>NC_000008.11:74052265-74677265 GCF_000001405.40 Homo sapiens | reverse complement strand
AAAGAGGTGTATTAACACACTTCATGATGGTGATGTGTTTATGAACTTATTCCTCTATAATTTTGTGCATATATATTGAACTGATTTTATTAGTGCATGTAGGTTTAGAATTATAATATCTTCCTGGTGAACTGAGCTCTTCAACATTATTTAATCATCTTTTCTATTTCTACTGATGCTTTTAACTTTAAGCATATTTTGTGTTGATATTAAAATAGTTACACAAGTTCTTTTTACATTTCTTTCTTTTCTACCTTCTCAAGTTATCTTTTAAGTGTTTCTCTTATCAGACTATTCCTGGATTTTTCCAGCTTTATTGAGGCATGGTACATAGAAATTATGTAGATTTAGGCTATACAACATGACATTTTGATATACCTGTACATTGTGAAATGATTACCACAATCCAGCTAATTAACATATTATTCATCACCTCTCATAGTTGCCTTTCGTATGTGTGTGTTGTAAGTACACTTGGAATCTACTCTTTTAGCAAATTTCAAGCATACAATGCATTATTATTAACGGTAGTCACCATGGTATATATTAGATCTCTAGTACTTATTCATCTTTATTCTCATATTTTTTATTTTTAAACCTATCTAATAAACTCTGTTTTTATTTATTGTGACTACTGACATATCTGAATTTTTTCACCCTCTTACTTTGTACACCTTGCCACATTTTTTTTCTATACTTCTTTTTCTTCTCTCTTGTATTTTTTGGATTGGTTAGTTTTGTTTTCTCATTTCATTTAATTTTTCTTTTACTGTTTGGAAGTTATATCCTCTACTTCTATTTTTTAATGTAATCTTTGCAATATTACTGCACAGAAGTTTTATTAATATTGCAATTTTCCTCCTGAGCAAGATAAGAACCATAAATCATTTTAACTGCAATGAAACTACTCTCAACCTACAGGCTAATTCTGTCCAGTATTTCAGTTCTTTTTATTCTCAATCTGAGACATCAGACATTATACAACATTTTATTATTAATTTATCTGCTATTTATTTATGCATCTACATATGTTTAAAATAATTTTCCTTCATTCTGAAATGTTTGCTTTAGATGTTCCTTTAGTAAAATCTGTTGGCAGTTAACCCTCTGCTTTAGTTCTTTTGAAAAAACATTGTTGGAACACATTTTTCCAGGTTTGCAATTCTAATTTGTAATTGATTTTTCTCTTAGCATATTGAAGACATTATTCCATAGTCTTCTGACTTTATTATTGCTCTTGAGAATAATAGTGTGTTTGCAGGTGAATTTTTCCTCTCTCTGGCTATTAAACATAGCTTCTTTAGTCAAGGATATGATGATCTCTTTTAATTAACAAATTAATACATTGTAAATTTAAGAGATTTATCGGACCGATACTAATAACATTTAGGAAGCATGTACTAATAAGGACGGATTGCGCATGTAGGAGGAGCATTAGATAGTGTGATTTCAGGGCCATGAAGATTGTTTTCATCCTCTCTAAATGTCTTCCTATCTATTTTACTGTGCCTAAAATTCTACTCTTAGATTTAAATTGTGTTTTCTATGGTATTTTATATGCCTGGATCCTTATTTTTATTCAGATACCTTAACTGTCATTCTTCAGAAAGGTCTTTTCTAATGACCCCACTTGGAGTAATTACACACTGATCAATCATCCTAGTTTAACTGATTTTTCAACTTCACATCATCCTAATGTAATCATCCTCTGCACAGTGCCTGTGGTATCTTCAGGGATTGGTTCCAGGACCCCCCACTCCCTATAGATACTAAAATCCTCAAATATCTTACATAAGATGGCAGAGTATTGGCATATAACCCATTCATACCTTCTGGAATACTTTAAATTAGCTCTAGATTACTTACAATACCTAATATAATGTAAATGCTATGTAAATAATGGTTATAACTGCCTTGTTTGGGAAATAATGACAAGGAACAGAAAGTATGTACATGTTCAGCACAGATGCAACCATCACAAGCCTAACTACATTTCTGATTGGTGATTGGTTGAATCTGCTGATGTGGAACATGGGTATGAAGGGCCAATAATACTTACCACCATCCATTATCTTCTGTTTGCTTACAGTCTGTCTTTCCAAACTAAAACATAAGTCCTTTGAGGGCAATGATTTTCTTATTCACCACTGCATCCCCACAATTTAGATAAGTATCTGGTACATACGAGGTTTTCAGTAAATTTGTTCAATTATTGAATAAAAATATTAAATGTGTATACTCTTGAAAGATATAATACGTGGAAAATTTTCTACTGCAATTAGAACCTGTTAATCATTTGTTTACCAATATGATTAACAGGTTCAATAAAAGCCTGTTATTGGTAAACAAATGATTAACAGGTTCCAATTGTAATAGAAAAGTTTCCAAGTTTCCAAGTAGTATAGTAACGTATAGTATATATAACATATAGTATGTAAGTAGTATAGTAACGTATAGTATCATAGTAATGTATAGTAATTAACAGGTTCTTATTGAACCTGTTAATCATTTGTTTATCAATATGATTAATGGGTTCTAAAATGAACCCTTAGTTATGGTCTAAGATACGTTTTAGCAACGAGAAGGTGAAAAAGATGGAGAGAGATTCAGAATATGAGAGAGATCTAAGTTATACCACTGATGAACTAGAAGACCACAGAAAGTAGGGAAGAGTAAAGACAAACTTAGCCAAATTCTCTCATGATTCTTTATTTTTTGGTAGGAAAAATGAAGTCATCTGATTAGGATCCAACTTGTTAGTAGAAATGTACGTCTTTCAATATTATGTTTAATTTTATGTAAAATTCCTCTCCCTATTTTTTTGCATTATAATTATGGTGCTCTAGCTCTTTAAATAGTTAATCATCAAACTAGTTCATTACATCCCAGGATTGGGGAGGGGCTGTGTGAGGAGTGAGAGGTAAACTAGTGTAAGAAGCCATCACTCTAGCTTGGGGGTGGCAATTATATAGTTGTTCTACCACTGACACCATGAGAGGTGTAATTAATCAATCACACATTCATTCTGAGCAATCTTTCTCAATGTGATGATCCAGGCACAGAAACCAAATCCTACTTGCTCTGTCTAGATAAATGATACACACACACACACACACACACACACACACAAAAACCTCTGGTATAACCGGTCTACACCATGTATCATTGTAACTTCCATTATGTTAGCAATGTCTATTAGGATAACATATTATACTGATATTAATTATATTTGCATGGAGACTAATTGCTTGTTTAAAAAAAAACATAAAAAAAGGCTTCTCTGGGCACAGTGCTTAGAGGATAGCCCTGCTCTGCAAGGAGCAGTAATATATATAGATAGATATTTTGTGTGTGTATATATATATATATATATATATACAAAAAAATACTGTGTTGATTGTGACAGTTAACTTCAAGCTCCAAATTGGCATCAAAAAGTTAGGCTAATGGTTATCCATTTTCCCTATCAGACACTGTAGAAGATAAAGAACTAGACACTCTGAGACTAAAGTGAATCAAGTTTTTCAAACTTGTTCTAAGAACACAGATGAAAGTTGTAAAGGGAGAATAAATATGAATGAACTACAATATATATCTTCTTAACTTCTTTTCTAGCCCAAGACCAGGAATTGATGGACGTGGTCCTGGCCACATATATATAAAATTTGTCCTGCTTTTAGCCTAGATACAAAGTGTAACACAAGCAAAGAAGGATATTTACCTCCATTTCAGTTCATCTACCCTGTAGCATAATAAGATGTTGTGGAAATGACCAGCAAGCTAGTAAGACAATTTTGATAGCCAACCAAGGCAGCCAACATTGGGAGTGGGAGAGAATATCAGTAGAGCAAATCGTGATCTATCTGATGGGTGTCAGAATCAGCTGAGAAGATGGGCACTAAATGTAGAAAGAAAAGGACAATTGTGGCCCTCTAGGTGCTCATGAGAGACTCCCTAAGGACTCATTAAACTAGCAGGGAGGGATATAGAAGAGAACTGGGGTTCCATAGATTCTGCTGTTCCTTATGATTATTGTGACCCTATTTTCAGTTTCAGCTGGAAAGCCTGGGTAAATATCTGTCACATTCAGGTTTTAAAAGAATCTACCCTATTAAACAATACGTAACTGTCCAAACAGCTGGAATTCCTTCCTGTCAATAAAAGCTATGTTTTTTTTCTTTTTGCCTCTTCTTTCTTTACTAACTGCTTTATTATTAAGCAGTGTCACCAGTAGATTGAAGGTCTCATTCATCTTGCAGCTGCATACATGGATCTCTGTCCTTTATGATGGTAGTTGACCAAAAGTATGTTGCTCAAAAAAGCAGGTCAACAGAGCATGGAACTTACTCCACTGCAATCTGAAATATTCAATTTAAATAGTTCTGGAAAAGGAAATCCTTTGTTAATGCACTTAGCCTACAATTATACTTTGAAGAAATACTTATCAGCAGATATTCAGCAGATAATATCAGCAGAATTCAGCAGATATTAAAATAATAAAACAGCAGAAATAATATCAACAGAATTCAGCAGATATTAAAGTAATAAAACATTGTGTCTAAAAGGACCTTCTGTGATAGGAAAGTGACATTTTTATGAACTTGCAAATTTGGGAACAGTATTTAAATAATAGGTATACATTGCTGCCTGTCAGTGTTCTTCCCATTCTCCCTGAACCTTCACTGGACATACACTGAATATCCATTTGCCCTGACTACAAGCCAGTTACAGACCTCAGAAACTGTTCACAGGAAAGGACCCTTGGACAAATTTAACTATCATGACTGGTAGTCCATTTCACTACATTTACCCTTCATCTCCAGAACAGCCCAAGATTCCTGCAGATCACCATTACTATGATATCCTTTTACCCATCTCTTTCATCCTAATATTATGCTATGATTCACCAGGGCAACAAACTACCTACACAGCAATGTACTGAATTCCTGTGCTTCATATAATCAAATGTGAATGTGCTGTGTATTATTTAGATTCAACGGATGCTAGGCCTGCAAAACCCAGATATGGACACTCTCAAGTTAGGTAACAGCTGTGAGATTTTGTGAAAATGTGATGCATAGAAGGCCAAGAAATATAAGAAAAATAGAAGTATAATATATTATTTGATAACTGTTTTATAATAATATGTGGATAAAGCACTAATCTTTACTGGGTAGCCATATTCTGCCAATGCAATTTGATATTTACAATTAGCAGGGATTATAGAGAAAAACTGATAATGCTGATGACTTAAAATTTATCTATAAAAAGGTATCCTGCTTTGTGATATTTTTCTGCTTGTGCAGTAACAGTCATCTTGAAAGAGATCATTTTTCTTCTCCTGAGTTGACCTGCAAATGTTTGGTTTGGTAGGCCGCTGAAGCCACAAAATGCACTCCTCTTAGTGGGTTTCTGTTAATGGAGATTGAATCTTTGAGCAAGAAAATGATAAAATTCAACCTTAGTGAGCAGATCTGAAAATACAAAGGGTTGATATTGTGCAGAGCAGTACCAAAGCTTTGTTATCTTTGATGGTGAAGGACCATGATTAACTAAACCTCAACCACCACAAAGCACACTACTTGAATAGCTCTCTCATTTTCAGTCCACACATTGTTACCAGTAAATTCCTCTTCAAACAACCCCGGGTTCCAACTTTGGGTTTTGAGACTAGTTGAATGTTAATAACATTTTTATATCTCCAGATGAGAAAGAACATAAAATCTACTTTTGGATCCTCAGCTTTTAAAATGAGAGTAAAAGTACCTTAAGTAGTTGTTTTAATAAACTCAACTCTACCATTTCATTAAACAGAAACCTCTCTATTAAGACCAGAATTAGACTTGCAAGAACTAAAAAACAAGCGAAGCTATCCTTAGAATATGTATAAAAATACCTCAAATAACAGAATCAGCTCTGGTCAACCAAAAATGACAGGATGCCTTTAAGTGATAGCAAAAATTCAGTCTACCTAAATCATAATACACAAAATGCATAGGAGTTTCTTCTAGCTATCCTAAGATAGCTGTTGGCAAAAGGAAATGATAAAATTTAAAGTTAATACCAGACTTACAAATATTCTTTTTTCTTCCTTTTCCCACTTCCTTTCCCTGCATTACCCACCACCTACACACACACACACACACACACACGTACACTCTCATTGATGTAACTATTACACACACCTGACTTGACGACAAGCTCTTTACAGGTTAGAGATCACTTGTCTACATTTATCTTTCCTAGAAAGTGATTCATAAAATCTGGGGTCCATGAAATATCTCCTAATTGAGTAAATGAATGAAATAGTGACAAAATAAATGAGAGAAAAAAATGAGAGAGAAACAGAAGAGGAGGTTAGGAGTTGGAGCAAGAAAAAGGAGAAGAAGAAAAAAAAAGAGAAAGAAATCGTTTATTTAAAAATTATATTAAAACCCCTTCCTCTTGCACTAAAGCCACGAAAGGATTTCTCCTTTCTTCACCTTTCCAATCTTGACTCTGGACTTAGAAATTTTTCAACATTTCTCCCAGTTGGCTTGTTTTATCAATGTCTGATAACCATATACCAACTTCCTGAAATATTTTTCTTTAGCTTATATGAATACTAGAAGTCCTTCCATGTTTTGTTTAAGTATCTAACTTTTCTTTTTCACTAGAATATACACAAATACATCTCTCTCCTGAACTCTAGTGATTAGCGTATCTCTTGGAGCAACTGCCAAAATTTAGTGCTTGATTATCTTTCATCGTTTATAGTCCTTCCGTTATTTTAGGTCTCAAGTATTTCTCTCACTATTTTATAAATTTAAAGAGATATTTCATACTTCAACCTGATTCTTGAATAATCTAGCCCAGGGGAGTTTCTTTAGATATATAGCCTGCCATATTACCGGAAAGAATAGCACTTAAATTTTTCATACTCTGTCTTTTACCTCTAACTTAAATAATTTTTGAGGCAACAGTCACCAAGCCAGTTAATATATTTTTGTTAAGTGCACTGTTCCTTGCACTGGAGATATAGCAGTGAGCAAGACAGATGGTACCCCAATCTTCCCAATCTTCCATAAAAAGTAGCACAGACTAGGTGGTTTAAATAACCAAAATTTATTTTTTCACAGTTTTGAAGACTGGAAGTCTGAAATAAAGGTGCCAACAGTGTCAGTGTCTGGTGAGGGCTCTCTTTCTGGCTTGCAGACAGCAGCCTTCTTGCTGTGTGCTCACGTGGTAGAGAAAGACATCTCTCTCTCTTACAAGGTCACAGTCCTATTAGATTAGATCCTCACATTTAAGACCTCATTTGACCTTAATTACCTCCTAAAGGCCCTGTCTCCAGATATAGACACACTGGAGTCAGAGTTTCAACATGAATTTTGTGGGGACATAATTTAGCCAGAAATAACAAATTTAAGACTAACGAGTGGTGTAAAGAAGATGCTTAGAAGTTGCTCTAACTAGGTGGTCAGGATGACCTCTCTGAAGAGATGACATTTGAGATCCAAGGGAGGAGAAGATAGAAAAAGTACCCAGCAAATACTTGGGAGAGAAGCCTCCCAAGAAGCAGGAATTGCAGATGCCCTGGGATGAAAAAGAACTGGTGTGTACAAAAGACAGAGAGAAAGGCAACATGCCTGAGAAGTAGTGAGCCTATCAATGGATCATGAGATACGTAAGTAGAGGTTCATCATATGGGGTTCTGGTGAAAAGTTTGGATTTGATTCTTGGAAAGGAAAATCATTAGCAAGAGTTAGGAAAATGACAAGATCTCATTTAAGTCTTAGATAAGATCTCTCTGTCTGCCAGTGGAAGACATATCTAAGCATACTAGAAAGGAGACAGCGATACAATTAGGAGACTTATGGGCATATGCCAGGTGAGAACGGATTGAAGCTTGGATAGGATTACAGCAGTAGAAATGGTGAGAGGCAATTGGGTTTGGGATGCATTAAAGAGGCAGGGCTGACAGAATGTTGATCAATAGGATGTGGATTTTTGAGGAACAGATCAAAGTCAAGGTTGCTTAGGTTTGGGGTCTAAGTATCTAGATGACTGGCAGTGATATTCATCGAGCAGTGTAGTTCTGATACAAGTAGATTTTGGCGTAAAAATCAAGGATTCATTTCTGAGCATATTAAAGTTGAAATTACTTAGAAATGCAAGCAGAAATGTTGATTTAAAAGTTTGAATTTTGAAACTCAAGTTCAAGGAAATAAAGTTGGAGACATGGATGTAAGATTGTAGCTAGTTGGGTTCATCAGGAGTCACATTCTGAAATTCATTGTGAGAAGGTTATCCCAGAGTGCTCTCAGATCAAGAGCTGTGACAAGAAAGGGAAAGAAAGATTGAGCAGGAGGAGAGATTGAACTTTAATTCAAGACCAACAGAGAAGCTCTGAAAATGAAATGAGCTTCCGCAAGTCTTCTGAGTTCAAGGATAGGATGTCCTCCAAAGCCCCTCACTTGAGTTTGCCATTAACTGCCAGTGGTGCCACAAAAAGGTTCTTACCTTGGCGAGGTGCCTCTCTTCTGGTGGGGCAGTTCCAAGAGGTGGCTGATAACTCATGGCTATTTTGGGGACAGCTCTGCCAGCCATGGACATGATAATTCCTTTGTTCCTGAAGAAGGATCTGAGTGGCACATCACAACATTCCACCACCATGCCCCAAAGAGAGTGATATTTAGAGATGGAAGTGGAACAAAATTATCTTTAGAAAGTAGGGATAGAAAAGCAGAGAAAGCTGAGGACAAAAGTCACAGATGATATCTTACAACTATGTGACACAGCAAAACAACTGCTCTAGTTCCTCCCTTCTGTAACTAAAGACAAAATTAAAGTACCAGCTCCTGGTAAGTTTTCAAATTTTCTAAATTCATGGCAAACAAACAAGTCTTTGTAACATCTGCTTGCTTCCCTGAGCAGACAGTATAAAATGTGTGTGTGTGTGTACATATATAATCTGCTTGTTCTTCTTGGCATGTGTAATTTGAAAAAATTAAAATATCAAAAGTAGGCTTATTGTTTTTTTTTTGTAATAGAAATAAGTATCACATCTAAAGAAACTGTAGGGAAAAAAATGCACTCTGGCAAAAGCAATGTGTCAGTAGCCTCTGACACTCAATTCTACATCAGCAAAGCCACTTCTTCTACATTTCTTTCCACCTAGTAGGAAAGAAGCTATAGCCCCCACCTCAGGTCATGCAGCGACTCCTGCAGAGGGAGGGTCACTGGGTTTTTTTTTTTTTCCATTCCAGTCATCTCTCTTTGCATGCCTACAATCTCATTTTTATCATTCTCCAGATTTATGGGCCTACATGCCTGACAACATCTGGACTTCCTGCTCAGATAATGTGTCATACCAATCACAAAATAAACCAAACCCAGCTTTATGTGGAACCCTTAATACAGTCACTCCCGTTTTGGAGGTCAGATAGTCAATTATAGGCCTCCTGGAGGGTTTCAGGCCACAATCACAAGGGGTGGTTCTCCTGAGCATCCCATGCCCACAATTAATGGAGTGCTGCGGTGGTTAAAGCTGTGGCTTTGGTACTCAGTAATAAACACAGGAGAGCAGATTGTCTGTTGGGGGTTTCAGTATTATTCCACAAGTTTTAAAAGGAGTACTTGAGAAAAACCAATGTCAGAAACAGACCACAAGGAGGATTCCATCCATGCTTGTGGGTTTCTGCAGTAGCATGTGTGAGGCAAAAGATACTTTAAAAATGAAATTTAATAGGCATAGGTAAAATAAAACTCTAAAAAAGTGATAGAATTTAGATTATTAAAATAAATGTAAAAATAATGCCATATTCATTTACATTCCCTTTAAATAATAAAGAGAACTTCTAGATTTTAGGACCAGCTAAATTTCAAGAGATGTGTTTTTATGCTAATTTGTCTCATTATCTTTTGTCATATGAGTTCCTTTCCTGACCTTCTAATTCATGAGGATGCTCTACCACAGAATTGGGAATTCTTGCCCTTACTGCCACAGCCCTGCTCCCTCACTTGTACCTATAGTGACAGCCAGGCTCCAAAGATGGCCTCAGATAAGCCCACCCTTTTCTCCACATTCATACCCCTCCTCTCTGGCCTCTGGACTGAGCTCCTGTCCCCTTTGACCAGGAGACAACAAACCTAGCAGCACTTCAGGAATTCTAGGAGCAGATATTAAGAACACCTGGTGATTTATCCCTCTTGCATGAGCTTTTGCGGCTCCTCAGCAGTCACGTGAGCAGTCCAGCTACCCTGCTGGAGAGATCACATGAAGAGGAAAGGCGCTAGGATGAACTGGAGCCCAAAAAGAGATGCCCAGCTGTCTCAGCATGCAGGTGGAGGTCCTCCAGAGGATGCCAAACTCCAACTGATTACAGCCTCATGAGAAATCCCAAGTAGGACTAGCAGAACTGGTCTGCAGAGCCCAGCAGACACGCAGGACCATGAGAGGCAATACAAAGGTTTTATAGTTTCATTATACCTACTGTGACCAAGAATATGGATTAAGAGGCACTTTCTTACACTGTTGGTGGGAGAGTAAATCTTTAGCAGTTTTCATGGATGGTAATTCGACACCATCTTTTGGAATTTTTAAATAAATATAACTTTGAGCCAGACAGAATGCTGGGCATTTACTTAAAGATGCATTCTCCAAAGGTCTACAAGACATTCATTCAGCCAATATACATTGAGGTCATCATGTGCTAGGCACTTTTCCAGGTCCTGTGACACAGCAATTTAAGAAGGGGATGAGGGGCTGATCTCAGAGACAATATGTCCTAGCAAGAAGACACAGACTACAAATAAACAAAGGCAATAGTGAAAAATATAAATCAGAAAACAATCAATCAAATTAGGATAAATGCTCTCCTGAAAACAGAGATGTGATACCAAGTGATGGTGGTTACTTTAGATGGGTGGGCTTTGAAGTTAGGAAAAGGGCTTTTATTTTTAAGTGCTGTAAAAAGACATTGGCAGGTTTTAAGTAAAAGAATTATGTGATTTTATCTCTTTTAAAATATGTCTCTGGACGCTTTGTGGGGAACGGATTATAAGAGAAAAAAAAAGAGGTAACCAGGGATACTGGTCAGGAGGCTAAATCAGGAGTCCCATGAGAAATGCTGGTGGCTTGGACTAGGATGATGGTGGAGGAGGCAGGGACAGTTGTATGAATTTAGAAGTTACTGTGAAAGTAACTAAGCTGTTGTATTGGTCTGTTCTCACACTGCCGACAAAAGCATACCCAAGATTGGGTAATTGATAAAGGAAAGAGGCTTAATGATCTCACAGTTCCACATGGCTGGGGAGGCCTCACACTCATGGTGGAAGGCAAAGGAGAAGCAAAGGCATGTCTTACATGGCAGCAGGCAAGAGAGCATGTGCAGGGGAACTCCCATTTTAAAACCATCAGATTTTGTGAGACGTATTCACTATCACAAGAACAGCAAGGGAAAGACCCTCTCCCATGATTCAATTACCTCCAAGGACACATGAGAATTATGGGAGCTACAATTCAAAATGAGATTTGAGTGGGGACACAGCCAAACCGTATCAGCTGTATACACAGGCAATATGGCCTGAAGTATTATAATAGAAGTGAGAAGAAAAAAATCATAAATGTGGTCAAAATAAAATGGAGAGGTAAATATAAAATGATCCTAAAGAGATGTGGAGGAAATGATGATGAGAGAGTGATTAATGACAGCAAAGCCTTCAAGCAAGTAAATAGCAAGGAGGGAAGCAATGGCTAGAAGTTCTGTATATTGCAGGAGATAGAAGCAGCATTTTGGGGAGGTCATTGGTGACCTTCGGAAAAAGAGCTTCAATAGAGATGTGAGAAAAGAGTTATGATTTGCAAAGGGCTAAAGAGTACCTGGAGGTGAATACATGGAGCCAGCAAGGTTATTCTCCCCGTAAGTTTATCTGTTGATCACAAAGAAAACTGTGTGTCATTGACTTGAGGGCCAAGCATATCGATGCGAGTTCATATCACATCATATCATATTGTTGCTGTTTGCTGTTGTTACTTTTGCAAGAATGCCATTTCATGTGTAAAGATGTGGGAGAGTAGCATATTGGCAAATTCGAAATCAAAAAAGGCAGAGATTAAAAATATGGCGGTGTTCTGGAGAAGATGGTAAGTGTAGAGATTGAAAGCAAGCACAGTAGGAAGAATAAACGAGGAAAGCAGAGAAGAATCCTGAGTGTCAGAAAAAGAAAGTTGTAACAGAAGAGAAGCAATTCAAAGAAGGCCAGGAAATACACTGAGAATAAAAAGGGTAAAAGTGAATTTGATTTCTTGAGAAAACCAGGAGATACTTAGAAGGTTCACTATGATGCTGGTAACAGGATATCTACCAGAGATCTTCAGCAAAGACTTGTGGTGGATTGAAATCAATTACAGATGCAAAGTCCAGGAAGTTGTTGGAGTGGAAGCAAAGAACAAAAGAAAAGTTGAGGCCTGGTGCAGTGGCTCACGCCTGTAATCCCAGCACTTTGAGAGGCTGAGGTGGGCGAATCACCTGAGGTCAGGAGTTCGAGACCGGCTGGCCAACATGGTGAAATCCCATCTCTACTAAAAATATAAAATATTAGCTGGGCATAGTGGCGGGCACCTGTAATCCCAGCTACTCAGGAGGCTGAGGCAGGAGAATCGCTTGAACCCTGGGGGCGGAGGTTGCAGTGAGCCGAGATTGTGCTGTTGCACTCCAGCCTGGGCAACAAGAGCAAAATTCTGCCTCAAAAAATAAAAATAAAAAAGGAAAAGAAAAAGAAAAGTTGATAAGGTGTAGGATGGAAAAGACAAGCTGAAGGAACAAGAAAGATTCAAGTAAGATAAATAAGGTTCCTGAATATCATTTTATTTTATATATTTGAGTCAGTTTTTGGAATCAGAGCCTTTCCATGCTGAGAAAATCTATTACTAAATCCTCAAATGATTTGCCTTAGGCTGTCACTAAAGCCCTTGTTCTGGAGAATCTTTTTTTTTCTTTTTTTTAAATTTCAATCCCTTTTGGGGTACATGCAGTTTTTGGTTACATGGACAATAGTGGTGAATTCTGAGATTTTAGTGCACTTGTCATCTGAGTAGTTTGCATCGTACGCAATACATAGTTTTTTTTTTTATCACACACCGCCTTCCCACTCTCTCCCTTCTGAGTCTCCAAAGTCCATTATTCCACTCTGCATGCCTTTGCCTACTCATAGCTTAACTCCCACTTACAAGTGAGAACATACAGTATTTGGTTTTCCATTCCTGAATTACTTCACTTAGAATAATGGCCTCCAGCTCCACTGGAGGATCGTTTCTTTCTCATCACCAATAAAGTTAGCCAATTTTCACGGTGGAATATGGAAAAGGAAATAATTTTTTCTTGAGTGTTAAAGAGATCCCTGAGGTTTAATCACTATTACTTGAGCCCTGGCTCTAAGAGAAGTAAGTGCAGTGAGTGCATCCAAACTAGTGAACACTCAGTTTCCAAGATTAACACTCAGAGGTAAATGCTACTTACATTTTCTATATGCTTCCCCAAATTTTCAAAGAACACTGAATACATTAGATAAGATCAAGTTCACTAGATTATTCTTAGCCTCCTGAGATTCTGCAATTTTGTAAAGCTGAAACTATTTACTTCATGAGAGTTAGGAAGCCCCATTGGCTGTGTTTACAAAGGAGCAGTTTGGGATTTAGTTTTGAACAAATAGTTTTGAAAGACAGGGAAAACAGACTGCAAGTGACTTATCTTTTCTCTCCTTTGCAAAGCTAACTATCTCAAGCTGATCCATACTTGCAACCTGGCTCAGCCAATATTCCCTAAGAGCAACCATGAATTCTATTTTAGTTTTAATATCCATAGACTTACAAATTTGGGATAGGTAAAAACTACAGCAAACAATTCAAAACACGGTGTTCTTAAACAAGTCACAGGCCTCCTTTTAATCTCCCTGGCATGTATATCAAAGAATCAAAGTCAGAGAATTATTATCCAGTGTAACCCAATAAACTTTGTCATTACTCCAGCTGTGGCATGATGCTCTTTTTTTCCCCTGGGCAAAAAAAGTCAGTGTAATTTACATCTTCTGTTCACTTTCACTTTTTCAAAGAATGTATTCATCATATTGGTACTTCATATTACCAATACTCTTTATGAATAAGTAATGCTAATGGACTTCGGGATTTTATGGTCAACAAACATAGATTATCTTATTTTATAGTTTATTTATTAATTCAAGATTAAAATAAGATGCAATTTTGTGTTATTATATCATCTTGGTTATCACATTGGGGATTAGCATAATAAAAGTATGATACTATCATGCATCTTTAAAAAGTATCTGTTTTTTAAAATACTGTATAATATATAAAATCATAAAATTATACCACACACACACACACACACACACACACACACACACAAATGAGTCATTTCTAGGAGAAAAATGTATTTTCAGTGCCTTCTCATTTTTACACCAACTGCTTAGGAACCAAAAGTGCCCACATAAGCCCCTCCTATCATTAAAGAAAACCGCTATAATAAGCTCATTCTTACAAGATATTAAGGTGTTTTCCACCCTATAAGTGGAAACAGAAAAATTCTTAACTTAAATAGCAATTATCCTTGGACATGGAAAATAGTCTGGCTTCTTAGGCCCTCAAATTATACCTTACAGAACGCAACTTCTTTTTTTTCTTTTATTTTAAGTTCTGGGATACATATGCAGAATGTGCAGGTTTGTTACATATGTATACATGTGCCATGTCAACCTGTCATCTGGGTTTTAAGCCCCGCATGCACTAGGTATTTGACCTAATGCTCTCCCTCCCCTTGCCCCCCACCCCTCAGCAGGCCCCAGTATGTGATGTTCGCCTCCCTGTGTCCATGTGTTCTCATTAGAATCCTACTTCTTATGCGGAAGGCTGGATCCACTCTTCTTCTAGAGGCTGAAATTTTACAATGTCCTTGGAATATATAAATAGGCAAATATTCAATGAATACATTTACAAAAGTGAAGCGATGCCTGTGGTTGACATTATTGTGGGAGAGAAAATGTCTATTCAAGTCAACTTCTGACCATTGAAAAAGCCTTTGATATTATAATCTAGATTCTAAGAGCCCTGCTTTCAGGGAACTCTTGTTTCAAAACCGTGATACTCTCATAATGCTCGATTTGCTGTGAGAAAGTGGCCTGTTTTTCTTTGAATGAATTGGAATAACTATGCCTAAAGGTAGGGTAAAATTTTTAACCTGTGTATTTTAGAGTTATATCCATTTAGTGCTATGATAGATAAACCTATATTTTTGTCACTGGTAATGTTTGCCGATTTTTTTCTTACAATTAGTCTCAAGTCTAGATATATCGTTTTTCAATAATTAGCAACGAATCAGACATAGTGATTTGTATCTCTTTTTGAATGATAGTAGTTCCCATACAACATAGGGATGCTTTGAGTCTATTTTTCTTTCAAGGGGACATAAAAATATACCTAGCTCTGTTTCTCAGTCACAAGCTCAAACCTTGTCACCTGCATCCGATTTCCCCTTGCTTTTTCTTGGTTCAGATGAATGCCATTGCATGGGTGATTGAGCTTTAAATTCTGAGCCAAACATAATACAACATGTGGAAGAAATCATTACTCTTTATAAAATTCCACATAAAAATAAGAATCCTCAGAATGTCACACCTTAGAAATGTGCAATGAACCTCTTGTACAGCCATGCCCAGTGGCCCTGGAAGTCTCTTTTTTAGATTTATCTTTAATGTTAAGAAGGACCAGGCCAGGCACAGTGACTCACGCCTGTAATCCCAGCACTGTGGGAGACTGAGGTGGGCGGATCAGGAGGTCAGGAGTTCAAGACCAGCCTGGCCAACATATTGAAACCCCATCTCTACTAAAAATACAAAAATTAGCTGAGTCTGGTAGCATGTGCCTCTAATCCCAGCTACTCGGGAGGCTGAGGCAGGAGAATCGCTTGAACCTGGGAGGTGGAGGTTGCAGTGAGTCAAGACCGCACCATAAGCACACCAGCCTGGGCAACAGAGTGAGACTCTGTCTCGAAAAAAAAAAAAAAAAAAGGACCTAAGCTGGCATCCAGTCCAAGTTTTTTCATGTCACCAGGTAACCAAGGTAGCCCAGCTGGTAACTGGCAAAGCCAAGGCTGGAAGTCAGGTCCTGTTTCACTTGCTGTTCTTTCAGTTGTAGTTATTATCTCCCTTTTGAGGGTTTTCTAAACTCCAGTTGCTGACAGAGCAGATTTTTGTCTAAATCCTACATCAGAATTATATATTATTTAAAATTATTATTTATTATCTCCTCTGCCTTCTCCAGGAAAAATAAAGTTTATTCCAACTGTTATCAGGTTTTCATCGGATCTCCTCCAATTTCCCCAAGTCTGTTATTTTTTTTAAACATAAAGCCTTTTATAAGATCAGCGTGTATGAAAGCAAGATTACTTTTTTATGGAATATTTCAGGGCTCTTAGGAAGATAAAGAGAGTGACTATATTTGAAATAATACAATAAACTATCTCCAAAGGCACATCCCTTGAACGCTCATGTAATTGATGATGTTGTTGTTTTCTCAAAATCCAGACAGATTAGACAAAATTTTGAACTTTGAAAGTCCTCTACACCCTTTCCAATCTTGGCATCCTAAATTTAAAATCTAAAGCATTTCAATTCTTGAAAAGAGAAACAAGTAATATTTTATTTTCCAAGGAATATCCTGGCAAAAATATTTTACTGGTAATTTTCTTTCAACTGGTGAATCCTGGAGTATGTGTTTAGCACACTGAAGCCTGAACCACCCGAATTTCCACCTGTTTACACACCTCTCTCTTGCGCAGAAACCTGGCTGCCTCAACCACAGATGATTGCACCAGATAGTCTAGTCATAGGTTTGAGTGGTCAGTGACCTAGTTCAAAAAATGAGCTGGGCCAGAGTCTTCTTTCAGGAATTTGAAACTGAAGAGTCTAAGTCAGACTGCTAGGGCAGCTGAGTTAATAAATAATAAAGTAAGCTCAGTCCAGGTCCACTGTAGGTCATTTGAAGCTGAATTTATAAGGTCAGTAATCAGCAAAGTGAGGAAAAATGGTTCAGGTGAGCCGAGAAGAGCCATGAGCAAAACTTCATGAAAAAGATCAGCCATTAGCCATTTCTAGTGGCTTCCCAATTCCATTTGCCATGATGCTCTGTTGTGCAGATGCTCATGTTAGAACCATACTCAGGTGCATGGATTTCTTCATGTCCTTGTATATTTGCAGAATAATCATTTCTTAAACTAATCTATGCATATCTCTGTTTCTTATGACCAAAAGAACACTAACTGAAACAAAACAAAAAACAAAAATTGTGCCATTCCTCATATTAAAATAGAAGAAAATATGAATAACTTTAGACTGTCCTAAGTACATTAATAATATATTTAGCTTGGTTCAAAATTGAGAAATTAGAACAATTCAATTACCTGTAAGTGCTATAAAGAGGAAGTTCATAAATAGAAAATACTTCCTATCAGAAAAGCACATGGTTGGCCAGCATGGACACTCACACCTGTAGTCCCACCACTTTAGGAGGCCAAAATGGCAGCATCACTTGAAGCCAGGAGTTTGAGACCAGCCTGGGCAACATAGTGAGATCCCATATCTACGAGACATTCTTTCTAAAAGTTAGCCAGGTGCAGTGGTATGTGCCTGTATTCCTAGCTGCTTGGCAGGCTGAGGTGAGAGAATCACTTGAGCCCAGGAGTTCAAGGCTACAGTGAGCTGCGATTATATTATTGCCCTCCAGCTTCAGCAAAAAAATGAGACTCCATCTCTAAAATAAAAAATAAGCATGTAGGAAACACGATCTTAAAGTCAAAACATGGTAGAAATTAGAAAAGTTTTGTTTCAACTATACACTTTATTTTTATATTTGAGGACACAAAACATGAGAAATTTTCACTTGTTTTTCAAACTTGTGAGTCTCAGTAACTATGTATTCCATCTGTTTCTGATTTACTTACACTTTACTCATCAAAGTGCTGTTTTGTAAAAATTATTTGTTGTCCAAGAAGCCCGTTGAGTCTTCTTTATGAGCATATTTAGCCTTTCTTAGAAACAGGTTCATTGTCCAAGAACAAGTGAGCTTGTACAACAAAACATTCAAATTTGGATAGAAACATAAAAAAGTTCAGGTTAGTTTCTTTGGGGAAAAAGAAAACAGTGCGCATAACTTTCAGACACTAGTCCTGATAAAATTTTGTTAGATAAATCTCTTTGTGTTTTCTCAGTCTCTCAGGAGAGAAGCTCATTTGGGTAAGTATGAAAGAATTTATTAAATTGTTTTAAATAAAGCTTCCTTCATCAAAATTGTGAAGATGAGTAAAAGCCCATATTCTCCAGTTAAAACAACTTGCCTACTTTGTCCAGTGGCCTTCTTGGTGCAAACATGTATGCCAATAAAATAAGATGCTTTACAGAGATTCTGTTTGCCTTTAATCACATTAAGTGCTTAGAGAAATTGATAATTTGAAAAAAAATCAAGATATAGTTATTGAGCACCTACTGTGTGTCAGGCATTATTCTGCAAACTCAAGGAACATCAACAGGGCCAGGCACAGTGGTTCACACTTGTAATCCCAACACTTGGGAAGCTGACGTGGGCAGATCACTTGAGGTCAGGAGTTCGAGACCAGCCTAGCCAACATGGTGAAACCTCATTTCTACTAAAAATACAAAAATTAGCCGGGTGTGGTGGTGGGCACATCCCAGCTACTCTGGAGGCTGAGGCAGGAGAATTGCTTGAAGCTGGGAGGTGGAGGTTGCAGTGAGCCAAGATCACGCCATTGCACTCCAGCCTGGGCGACAGACAGAGACTGCATCTCAAAAAGAAAAAAAAAAAAAGAGAGCGAGAGAAAGAAACATCAGCAGGCAAAGCAGACAAGACAACAATCCCTGCTTTGGTGGAGCATACATTCTCAGGAAAGACAGACAATAAACATAATAAAAAGCAAGTTCTACAGTACATTAAAAGGTGCTATATGTGAATGAAAAAAGTCAGGGCAGAGGAAGGGAATGCTGGCAGATGGAGATGAAATTCTAAATGCAAGCTTAATTGTGTATTGGTCTCACTGAGAAGATTAAAGACAAAGATGAAAGGGAGTGAGTATATAGGTATTTGAAAAATGGTGTTCAAAAGAGAAGGAATAGTCAGAGCTAAGGCCCTCAGGCAAGAATCCACCTAGTATGTTCAGGAAATAACATGATTGGAGTAGGAAAACTGAGAAAATTACTATGTGAGCCAAAAAGAGAACCAGGGGTAGAAGTTCATAGGTCATGGAGTTTCTCAAATTTTAGTGAACATGTGAATCACCTAGGGATCTTGTGAAAATGCAGATTCTGATTCAGTGGGTGATATGGTTTGGCTGTATCCCCACCCAAATCTCACTTTGAATTGTAACTCCCACAATTCCTACATGTTGTGGGAGAGTCCCGGTGGGAAGTAATTGAATCATGGGGGCAAGTCTTTCTCTTGCTGTTCTCATGATAGTGAAAAGTCTCACAAGATCTGATGGTTTTATAAAGGGAAGTTTCCCTGGGCAAGATCTCCTCTCTTGTCTGCTGCCATGTGAGACATGCCTTTCACCTTCCGCAATGATTGTGAGGCCTCCCCAGCCATGTGGAGTTGTAAGTCCATCAAACCTCTTTGGTTTGTAAATTGCCCAGTCTCAGGTTTGTCTTTGTCAGCAGTGTGAAAACGGATTAAAACAGTGGGTCTAGGATGGGTCTGGAGATTTGGCATTTCTAATAGACTCCTGGGCAGTGCTGATGCTGCCAGTCCATGGCCCACTCTTTGAGTAGCAGCCTTGCAGGTCATAAAAAAGAATGCTGGCTTTTACTGTGTGAGGAATGAGGAGTCACTGAAAAGTTATAGGGGAATGATGAAGTGGTTTATTGTAATAAACAAAACTCTAAACTTCATTTACAGATGACTTTCTTCTCCTCCCCATCCTCACTCCCCAGACTGGTGCTGCTGCAGTGGGAAGCTGGCAACTGTGGAAAGAGGGTGCTTGGATTCTGTTATCTTTATTCTGATAGCTCCTTCCTGCCCACCACTTCCAGCTGTGGCTAGGGGAAAAGAAGATGAGAAGAAGGCAGCAGCATAGAAAGGGTAACCACTGCCTGGGTAATGAGTACTCTCCCTGTATGCTGCAGTGTTTGTACGAGTTTGCAGACTTGCATCTTTGCAGTACCCTATAGATGAGCACCAAGGCACTCATGTCCTCCTCCTCTACTTATTCTGTTCTATGCCTCTAGGTATGAAGGAAGGAAAATGTTACTTTATTGTTTCTATCTTCAGCTGGCACTACTTTTCTCTAGGATTATCAGGTGTTTAGTACTGACTCCCTTCTTGACTGTCCCTAAACATTCCTTCTTTTGTCCCTGAAAAGCTACAAATAGTTTCCTTGACTTGGGTAAATGTATCTTTCCACCATTTGCTTATATATTCTCCCTCAGCTCAGAAGTGGGCAGTCCTCTCTGGTACAGTCACCTTGCCTCTCCAGGATACCCTCCTGAGCAGGTTCAAAGACAATCTCCTGGTCCAACTCTATCACATGGCCCTGTGTTAGTCCATTTTCACACTGCTGATAAAGACATACCCAAGACTGGGAAGAAAAAATGGTTTAATTGGACTTACAGTTCCACATGTCTGGGGAGGCCTCAGAATCATGGCAGGAGGTGAAAGGTACTTCTTACATGGCAGCAGCAAAAGAAAATGAGCAAGAAGCTAGAGGAAACCCATGATAAACCCATCAGATCTCGTGAGACTTATTCACTATCACAAGAATAGTACAGGAAAGACTGGCCCCCATGATTCAATTACCTCATACTGTGTCCCTCCCACAACACAGGGGAATTCTGGGAGCTACAATTCAAGTAGAGATTTGGGTGGGGACACAGCCAAACTATGTAATTACACCCCTGGCCCCTCCAAATCTCATGCCCTCACATTTCAAAACCAATCATGCCTTCCCAACAGTCCCCCAAAGTCTTAACTCATTTCAGCATTAACCCAAAAGTCCACAGTCCAAAGTCTCATCTGAGACAAGGCAGGTCGCTTCTGCCTATGAGCCTGTAAAATCAAAAGCAAGCTAGTTACTTCCTAGATACAATGAAGATACAGGTATCAGGTAAATACAGCCATTCCAAATGGGAGAGATTGGCCAAAACAAAGGGGTTACAGGGCCCACGCAAGTTCAAAATCCAGTGGGGTAGTCAAATTTTAAGGTCCAAAATGATCTCCTTTGACCCCATGTCTTACATCCAGGTCATGCTGATGCAAGAGGAAGGTTCCTATAATCTTAGGCAGCTCTGCCCCTGTTGCTTTGCAGGGTATAGGCCCCCTCCTGGCTGCTTTCATAGTCTGATGTTGAGTGTCTGTGGCTTTTCCAGGTGCACGGTGCAAGCTGTCAGTGGATCTACCATTCTGGGGTCTGAAGGATGGTGGCCCTCTTCTCACAGCTTCACTAGATGATGCCCTAGTATGGATGCTATGTGTGTTTGGGGGGGATCCAACCCCACATTTTCCTTCTGCACTGCCCTAGCAGAGGGTCTCCATAAGGGCCCCACCCCTGCAGCAAACTTTTGCCTGGGCATCCAAGCATTTCCATACATCTTCTGAAATCTAGGTGGAGATTATGAAACCTCAATTCTTCAGCACATGCACAGTCTCAACACCATGTGGAAGCTGCCAAGGTTTAGGGCTTGGATCCTCTGAAACCATGGCCGAGCTGTACCTTGGCCCCTTTTAGCAATGGCTGGAGCAGGTGGGACACAGGGCACTAAGTCCCTAGGCTGCACACAGCATGGGGACCCTGGGCCAGGTCCCCAAAACCATTTTTACCTCCTAGGCTTCTGGGTCCATGATGGGAGGGACTGCCATGAAGACCTATGACATGCCCTGGAGACATTTTTCCCATTGTCTTGTGGATTAACATTCGGCTCCTTGTTAGTTATGCAAATTGCTGCAGCCAGCTTGATTTTCTCCTCAAAAAATGGGTTTTTCTTTTCTATTGCATCATCAGGCTGCAAATTTTCCAAACTCCTATGCTCTGTTTTTCTTTTAAAATGGAATGCTTTTAACAGCACCAAAGTCACCTCTTGAATGCTCTACTGCTTAGAGATTTCTTTCACCAGATACCCTAAATCATCTCTCTCAAGCTCAAAGTTCCACAAATCTCTAGGGTGGGGGCAAAATGCCACCAGTCTCTTTGCTAAAACATAACAAGAGCCACCTTTGCTCCAGTTGCCAACAAGTTCCTCATCTCCATCTGAGACCTTCTCAGCCTGGGCCTTATTTTCCATATTACTATCAGGCTTTTGGTCAAAGCCATTCAACAAGTCTCTAGGAAGTTCCAAACTTTCCCACATTTTCCTGTCTTCTTCTGAGCCCTCCAAACTGTTCAACCTCTGCCCGTTACCCAGTTCCAAAGTCGCTTCCACATTTTCGGGTATCTTCTCAGGAACACCCTACTCCTGATACCAATTTACTATATTAGCCCATTTTCACACTGCTAATAAAGACATACTCAAGACTGGGAAGAAAAATGGTTTAATTGGACTTACACTTCCACATGGCTGGGGAGGTCTCAGAATCATGGCAGGACGCAAAATGTACTCCTTACATAACAGCGGCAAGAGAAAATGAGCAAGAAGCAAAAGCAGAAACCCTTGATAAGCCCATCAAATCTCATAAGACTTATTCACTACCATGAGAATAGCATGGGAAAGATGCACCCCCATGATCCAATTACCTCATCCTAGGTCCCTCCCACAACACGGGGGAGTTCCGGGAGATATAATTCAAGGTGAGATTTGGGTGGGGATACAGCCAAATCATATCAGTCCCCATCTGATCAATGGAAACACCCATGTATCTTTTGTCTGAGTGCAAACAGTACACCCTGCCTCCTTCCCTCCATAATCTAAGCAGCCAGTCAGTCATAGTCTCCTTTGTAGATTCCTCATGAGAAGAAGAACAGAATGCCAGCCCACTGAGACCTCAAAACTGAGGGGCACATGTCAAGTTCTCCAAACCTTTTCCTTGAAACTCCTCTAACTGAAAATGAAGAAAAAAGCATATCTCTACTGCTCTTCTGTAGACCCCAAATACGATTCTCTCAGTAGAAATGCTCTCTCCACCCATAGCCTTTCCTAGTGGAGGTAGGGGTGTCTACAATTTACAAAAACTGGTCCTGAGGTGCCTCTATTTGCATATGTAAGACTATATTATTAAATATTTGGCTTTTTTTAGTAGTTAGTGATAAGCAGAGCTCAAATATAACTCCTAACCTGCTGAGAAAACCATCTTGAAAAATCTATTTAAATCAACAATTTCTTCATAATTCTATATCTGTCATGCTTATTTGAAGCATTCAAAGTATATATTCATACTGTAACATTATGGGAATGTACATTATGGGTACATGTAATTTAATTACTGCTTGAATGGGGAATCAAAAAAATACTTTATTTTATACTTGCCATTGTATTTACTTCTATTGAAATGTTGCAATTTGTTTCAGACTGAGACCAATTTCATATGTATTTCATGTAATGATCTGTCCTTCAGGTGTGGTCCCATTGGTTTGAACACAGCTACTCTGAGTTCAACCTGGCTGTACCACTATGTGCTATAAAACACTCAATTCTTACATCAGTTTACCTTTCAACAGAAGCACAGTTAGAACTTTTATTTACATTGCAGGGCATGTCATTTAATCTTTGATTAGCATGACACTAATAAATGGATAAACTCAAACACCCCCACTGAAATCTCATGGCCAGGGATTAGAATATTATGAAAATGAAAACAGAAAGCTTAAAAAAAATTATGTATGTCTGATAAAAAGTAGCATCTCTTCAATGAGCACATCTACAGATTCATTTTGAAACTATTAAACTAGCTGGTGAAGTAATAAATCCTGTAACACCAAATAATGAGGCAAATCTCTTGGCAAAATAAACATCAGAAAGCTCAATTTCTGCCCACTTTGCATTATGGTTTGACATGGTGATGATAAGAGGATAGAATTAAAAGAAAACTGGAAAACTTTGCCACTTATAAAATATTGGTGAAACTTTCTGTCTTTGGACAAATGTCTTGCTAATTCTAATGTGGCCAGCATTTGTGTTTGTGAAAAGAAGCAGAAGAAAATAGGGAAAAGGGGGAAAAAAAAGTTTAGGTATAGCTAAAGAGACAGAATAAGGTAAGGATAAATATCACTATGAATTGTGAATTCTACTAATCAAGTGGAATTTGTTATGGCATGCTAACTAAATTGTATGCAGTTCCCTTATTGTTTTGAAGCAGCCAATCACTCAGGAGCCCAATTTAAATTCTGCTAACAGTTCTGCTGCAGTCAGCTACCCACTTCCTCCCAGCTTTAGTTTCTTCTGCTCACTCCATCATCAAAGCATACTTGTTGGTGGCCAGTTCACATAAAATTCTGATCTCTACTGGGTAATTTGATAGGAATCTGATATGCACAAGTATGAATAGCCTATTTGACTTTTCAGAAATAGATATGTGTTATGTGATAAGCACATTTAATGCAGAATACCTTCCCGTCTCCACCCACCCCAGAGAACCCTATTTTTAAAATTGTGAGATATCACATTTATATCAAAGGTCATGATATATTTAACCATTAAATCATTTTTCAAGGAATAAGTAACTCTGTCTGAGTCAGAATAAGATATACACTATGCTAAAAACAACCCCAAAATCTCAATAATTTGAGGTAATAAATTAGTTCTCATATGTGCCACATGTTCAATGCCAATTTGCAAAGGGATTTGGTCCACATGGTCTTCACTCCAGAGCCTAGACTGATACAGGCTCCCTTTTAAAAATGTGTTTTCATCACTGCAGAAGTGAGAAAAAGAGAGTATCACTGGCTCCAACCAGAAATATTATGTGTCACGTCCACTTATATTTCACTGGCCAGAGTAAGTCATATGGCCACATTCAAACCTAACAGTGCAAAAGGCAGTGTGCTCCCACAGGCAGGACTATCAAATACTTTGAGTAAGACAGCCTTAAATACTGACAATCCAGTGCAGGAGACAGTCTGTAATGTGAAATATTTTAGCAACTAATCAGAGATGACACTGAGGCTATAGCCTATGTTGATATAACTCTTGCTGGAGCCTTTCAGGGGTTCCAGTAAATACCAGCCTGTTCCTCAAATGGGTTCTAAGTCGACTGAGAAATAAGGCGAGACAGTCAGCAATTGAAACCAAAATATCACCATCATTGCCAGTGAATGCCAGAGAGAAGACACAGTTCAGTACAAAAGCCTAGATAGGCTTGCTACCTTTCTTCCCTCTTATTAAACCCTGAAATAGCCACCTAAAAGAAAGTTTGAGTCCACACTTTGATTTCACATACCAAGGTCTGTGCTTCTCGCTGGTTCAGAAAGAGCAGAGTGACCAGACTCAGACCCTGTGTATTTTCACTTCAACTAATTAAGAAATGTGGGCCACTAACAAATGCCTACCAGCAAAGTAGTTTACTCTGTGTTCTTGCAGAGGATAAAAAGGAAGTTCTCTGGCCAAGAATACTAAGCTCCTTTCACATGGAAGAAAAAAATCAGGACTGGGGAGAAATAATTTCTCCATACCATACACCAACTTGAATTACTAAATTTTTGTTTTTTGTTTTTTGTCTTCTCCACTAAATTGTAGACTCCTTGTAGAACTGCATTTTCCATAGTTTTAAGATTCTTTAATAAAAAGCAAGAAAATATGTTATAAATGTTATACTATTTTATTACAAACAAAAACACTCCAAAATCATATATTCATACTCAGTGATAATAGCTACTTTTACTCACAGAAGAATTTCATACAGACTTCTAACCATTACCTGTCAAACACATTCATTCACCTTGCAATATAGTGGAACTCCAAAGAGAAATAAATATTCTTAAAGAGAATAGAGGTTTTTGACAATATTCAAAAATTGTCAATAATTTGACAACTTACAATATAACAGACATCATTAAAATAATCATCATTAAAAACAACCAGTTCCCAACGGCTATGGTGGCCTTATGTAACACAGAATTGAAAGCATGCTAAGGAAAAAAAAATGAGAAAAAAAAAAGAATTTATTACTAACTCACTCCAATCACAAAAAGGAAAGAAACAAACGTATACACAGATGATTTCCAAGTCTATTAACCAGAAAGGAAACAAAAGCATTTTTATCCAAGATATGAGAGATGACACAGAGTGCAATAAAATAGATTTATGATGGAAGCCATTAAAATGGCAGTATTTGAATTATCAAACTGAAACCAACACACTTTAATATTTCACTTTATGAAAAGAAAAATATTTCAGTTCAATAAAACCAGGGCTTATGCATTCCGAGTCCATGCTGGTGGCTGACCAGACTGAGAGCCTGAAATAAAATGCACCTTCATTTTGTCTTTTAGTAGAGAAATATTTTCAGTCACATGTTAACCTGTGACTTAAAACTTCACTAAAAACCCACTGGAATGACCAAAATTCACCAACAGGTACTATTGATGAGGGCATGGAACTACTGGAACTTTCATGCATTTCTGGTGGAGTGTAAAATCATCCAGCCACTTGGAGGACAGGTTGGTGGTGTGCCTACCACACCATACTCATCTATCGCACCACACAGAAATTCCATTCCTAAGTTTTCACCCCAGAGACATGAAAAAATATGTCCACAAAAACATTCATATGAGAATGGCCATAGCAGCATTATTCAAGATAGCTAAACACTGAAAATAAAAACATTAAATTTACATCAACTAATGAATGGATAAAATGATTGTGGTATATCTATACTATTGGAATACTATCTCCCTATAAAAATGAAATGAACAAACTATTGATACACACAACATGAGTGAACCTCAAAAAACCTTACGTTAAGTGAAAAAAGTCAAACACAAAAGACTACATACTGTATAATTTTATTTATACGAAATTCCAGAAAAGGCAAACAACATTGAGGAGGAGACAGACTGAAAGGGGTGATGAAATTGTCTGCCTTTACATATCCTGATTGTGGTGGTAGTTATACAGTTGCATACAATTGCAAAAGTTCATCAGACTGTATGCTTATATTATTGTGTGTAAGTTATATCTTAACAAATCTGGGAGGAAATTTCACTAATAAATATAAAACCACAGATTTAACTGAAGAAATGCTTTAAAATCATAAATGAAATTAATTGCAAGGTTTAGCATTAAATCATACTAAAAATTTCAAATCATATTTCAAATATACACACTCAGTAGAAGGACACTTTATAGGAATAATAAAAGCAAGCATAATGAAGGTTAGAGCCAAATGTTGGTGACTATCTGGACATTTATATAGATGTAGAGTTCTTTGAAAAAAAATATAAAATATTACATAAATATTGCCAGAACCCAACAACCACCTGAACTTAAATATTACTTTTCCATGATGTTCAAACATGCACTTCTCTAAACTCTTCAAACTACCCATGAGAAACATATAGTGAGTAATTCACAGTGACACTAAATAGGTAAAAGTGTAGATTTTTTACACATAGGCATTTTGTAAACACAAAATATTTAAAAATGAATTGTAAAAGATATTTTGAAAACCAAATGCATAAAATTAAAGTATTTGTGATATAATCAGAGTGCCTAAGAACAATAAACTTTTATATGTGCATATATATATATGTAGGTATATATGTAAATATATTCATATTCACATTCATGTTTGAAAGACCATGATCAACACGTTTTTATCTCATACCCCTCAGATTTCCTTTTTAGAACTGTCTTCCTCTCTATTCTATTTAATTTTTAAATTGCATGATCAACTCTGAGCATTATTTTTTAAACTATTTTAATAGCACTAAATCACACACACAAAAATGCAAAACCGAAGGAACTGACAAGAAAAAAATGTATCCAAGGCGTCATTTTCATAAAATATTTCAGACCACATACTCACAACTCTATAAAGTGGTTCAAGACACCTGCATCTGTGTCTCTCATGAGATTTATTTATTTATTTCTTCTCTTTCTTAAAAGTCCGTATCAATCATATTATCAACATTATCTTTTAAATTACCAAAAATCGAGCTAAGCCACAAACATCAGTTTACTACCCTGTGTCTCCTATTCTAATTTTTTTTTTTGCCTCTGTCTCTGACTTCTGTCTCCTATTCATATGGGTGCTCAGTGACCTCTCTTTGCTAGACAATTTCAGAGATCCAGATGTCCCCACTATAGTGTGCCAGTGTGTGTCCTTTCTTTCCTAAGAGGCCAAGGAAAATTGAATGTTCATGAAAACAGGTCATAGAAAGAAAGGCATAATCAAATCTTCATGTTGACACAGTGATTGTTTTCCTTATATTATCTTTTTTAAACACTTAGATATGATCTATCAGGCACATAGAGACGATTCAAAAGTATTGTCTTCCTTGCAGTATTCCTTAGTTCACTTACCCAATGAAATATAAGAAAATAATACGTATCGGGGGAACCAGCCCCCAATATTTCAATGTAGGTTCTTTCTATTTTCCCTAAGTGTCGGCCAGTCTGAGATATAAAGAGAAAGAGTACAAAGAGAGAAATTTTACAGCTGGGCCTCCGGGGGTGTCATCACATATTGGTAGGACCGTGATGGCGACCTTGAGCTGCAAAACCAGCAAGTTTTTGCTGGGGAGTGGGTGTACGAACAGGGAGTAAGTCACAAAGATCACATGCTTCAAGGGGCAATAAAAGATCACAAGACAAAGGCAAAATTAGAATTACTGATGAGGGTCCATGTCCTGCTGTGCACACATTGTCATGATAAACATCTTAACAGGAAACAGAGTTCGAGAGCAGACAACCATTCTGACTAGAATTCACCAGGCTGGAATTTCCCAACCCTAGTAAGCTGAGGGTACTGCAGGAGACCAGGGCATATTTCAGTCCTTATCTCAACCACAGAAGACAGACACTCCCAGAGCAGCCATTCATAGACCTCCCCCCAGGAATGCATTCCTTACCCAGGGTATCAATTATTAATATTCCTTGCTGGGAAAAGAATTCAGTGATATTTCTCCTACTCACATATCTGTCTATAGCTTTCTGGGAGAAGAAAAATATGGCTCTATTCTGCCCAAACCTGAAGGCAGTCAGACATTATGGTTATCTTTCCTTATTCCCTGAAAATCATTGTTATTCTGTTCTTTTTTAGGGTGCACTGATTTCATATTGTTCAAACACACATATTTTACAATCAATTTGTACAATAGTGGTCTTGAGGTGACATACATTCTCAGCTTGCAAAGATAACAGGATTAAGAGATTAAAGTAAAGACAAGCATAAGAAATTATAAGAATATTGATTGGGGAAGTGATAAATGTCCCTGAAATATTCACAATTTATGTTCAGAGATTGCAGTAAAGACAGGCATAAGGAATTATAAAAGTATTAATTTTGGGAACTGATAAATGTCCATGAAATCTTCACAATTCATGTTCTTCTGCCACAGCTTCAGCCGGTCCCTCCATTCTGGGTCCCTGACTTCCCGCAACAAATAAGAAACAAATAATAGTCCAAATGCTTCAGGTTGCTAACTTAGAATTCTAAAAGGCTATATGATTTCCAATTTCAGTTTTTCAGTTCTAAACAATGTGTTCTTAGGACTAAATGCTTAAAACATTTTTTCAATAAATCTGAATGAAAAAACTTATAAGAGAGAAATGTTTTCCAGAAACTTACAGCTTGGTTTTTCCATTTTTTATTTGTTTATTGCCAAGAAGGAGCTAATTGCAATGCTTTGCATTTGTGTAACATATTATAGTTTGTAATACATCACTTATTTGAGCCTCAAACCACCTTGTAAGAAGAGCCATTTCGTCATCTCCATTTCACAGTTAAAGCAACTGGAGACTGAACCAGAGTCAAATATTGGAAAGCAACATAGCTTTTGCCTAAAACCTGGGTGTTTCTGTCCTCTTGTCCTGCAACCTCTCTGTAATGCCATATCACCTCTTTGCTGAAATACCATGTGTGTATATGTAAGAGACAGAAAGGCCATATATTGCATATATATGCATATATGCAGAAAGGCCTAAGACTAACAGGTTCCTTCAAACTCCATTTAAGGTGAAAATTTGTGAATAAGGTTAGGTGAACTTTTGTGCCTCCTGCACACAGACTGATAAGACACCTGGGTACTGGCCCAAATAGCTGGTAGAATTCTGAGGTCCACCACTATTGATTTATATGATTTGATTATGATCTATTTATTGATAATATTTATTTATTTATTTATTTATTTGAGACAGGGTTTCACTCTGTTACCCAGACTGAAGTTCAGTGGCTTGACCAAAGCTCACTACAGCCTGTACCTCCCAGGCTCAAGCAATTCTCCCACCTCAGCCTCCTGGGGAGCTGGGGATTCAGGAATGTACCAGCACACCCAGATAATTTTTTTAATTTTCATATAGAAAGGGTCTTACAGGGTTGCCAGGTCTGATATCGAACTCCTAGGCTCAAGTGATCTATCCATCTGCTTTGACTCCCCTAAGTATTGGGATTACAGGCATTAGCCACTTTGCCTGGGGCTCATAGTAATTTTTAAATATCCAGTGTTATATGTGAATGCCCACCAGTCTATAAAACATATCTTTTTGTTTCTCCCACAGCTAACTTGAATTACCATGTCCTAAACTGAACTCATCATCTCCTCACTGTCACACCCTGCATTTGCTCTCTCTGTCAATGTCACTACTATCCAGTCAGTTTCCCAAACCATAAAGCTGAGCATCATTCCCAAGAATACCTTCTCCTTCACTGCTTACATCAAATCAAACACCAGTATGGATTATAACTCCTGTGTCTTAAAACTTTCCTGTTTTCTCTACTTTCATATTTAGGTGGCCATCATTTCTTCACCAAGCCACTCTTCACACTGCAGCCAGAGAACTCTTATAAAGACTTGAATGAAAGTCTCTTACTTCCTCTAGGAAGTCTTCCCTGGATCCCCATTCCTGGGTGAGGTGCCCTCTTCTGTGAATGGAGAAGAGACATTCTGTACTTCCCTTATCATGGTATTAATCACACTGTATTTTAGGCACTACTTACCTGTTTGTATTCCCACTAGACTCAGTTGCAGAGGGGCAAAGACCCTGCCACTCTTAATAGCTTTTGTATCCCCAGTGATTAGCACAAAGCTTTGCAAATAAGTAGGTGCTCATTAAATATTTGTTGACTATAAACAAATAAATACATAGTTTCCTAATAGGGGTCATTGATGAAAAAAATATCAGGAGGTAGTAAAAACCAGGACCTACTCCACAAAAAACATAGGCTTAGGTTGTAAAAATCATTCAAGATTAAAAGGACGATTTTCTCAGGCAAATCAGATAGAGGAAGCTGACCATTAGATGGCACAGTTTGGTAACAGATAAATTTGAGAGATACATGTTGCCCTGACATCAAGCAGTAGACATGGGTCTGATTAATGGAATAGCTCCATGGCTTTGCTCTTTCTAGATAATTCTGCTACCAGTAAACCCGTTTGGGCTTTAAGTTTCAAGTCAATTCATAAGCATTAGCAGTCACTATGTTCCAGGTGAGATCAGATCTCATTAGTAATCAGATCTCAGATTTAATCTTCTAGGCCGGGCGCAGTGGCTCGCGCCGGTAATCCCAGTACTTTGGGAGGCCAAAGCAGGCAGATCACCTGAGGTTGGGAGTTCGTGACCAGCCTGACCAACATAGAGAAACCCCATCTCTACTAAAAATACAAAATTAGCTGGGTGTGGTGGCACATGCCTGTAGTCCCAGCTACTCATGAGGCTGAGGCAGGAGAATTGCTTGAACCTGGGAGGCGGAGGTTGTGGTGAGCCAAGATCGTGCCATTGCACTCCAGCCTAGGCAACAAGAGCAAAACTCCGTCTCAAAAAAAAAAAAAAGAAAGAAAAGATTTAATCTTCTATGAACTCGATGGTGCTTCCTTGACTGGAATTCACTTTTTTATTTACCAAGGTCACCTTTTTCCCCAACTTTGAAACTAAGTTTATGACTATACTTTGATATCTTGAGTGGTAATCCATCTAAATTTTCCACCCCATAGTACATTTCTTCTTACTTAGCTAAACAATATAAAAATGTGCTGAAAATGCAAGTCTAGATGCTACTGGAAAAAAAACTTCTCATAAATAACTCTTCAGGAGAATCAATTCCAACTTGTTACTTCTATAAATAAAGCATCTAAAATGAAGGGACAGGGCTCCAAGACAAGTGGTTGGTTTCTTTTGGTTTGTTAGTTTGCTTTTGTTTTTTATTTTTTATTTTATTTTATTTTATTTTTGAGCCAGGGTCTTGTTCTCTTGCCCAGGCTAGAGTGGAGTGGCATGATTATAGCTCACTGCAGCCTCAACCTCCTGGGCTCAAATGATACTCCAACCTCAGCCACCCAAGTAGCTGGGACCACAGGCATGCACCACCATGCCCGGCTAATTTATTTATTTATTGTAGAGACAGGGTTTTGCCATGTTTCCCAGGCTGGTCTTGAACTCCTGAGCTCAAGTAATTCACCTGCCTCAGCCCCCCAAAGTGCTAGGATTGTAGGCGTGAGCCACTGTGCCCGGTGACAAGTGGTTTTTCTACAGGGCACCTATGTTTCACAAAAGGAAAAAAAAACTCACTACAATCATGCACCACTTAACGAAACGGATATTTTCTGAGAAATGCATTGATAGGTGATTTTGTCATTGTGCGAACATCATAGAGTGTACTTCCACAAACCTAGATGGTGTAACCTGCTACACACTGAGGCTAGATGGTGTAGCCTATTGCTCTCAGGCCACAAACCTGTACAGCATGTTACTATACTAATACTGTAGGCAATTGTAACACAGTGGTAAGTATCTGTGTATCCAAACATGTCTAAATATTGAAAAAGTACAGCAAAAATACGGTATTATAATCTTACAGGACCACTGTCGCGTATGTTATTGACATTATTGACTGAAACGTCATTATGTGGCTCATGACTATATTTTGTTCTTCCTAAAAATGCACAATGTGACATATGGAGGGGAAAGTAGAGAGAAAAGACACTGAGGAGGAATAAAGTGCCAGCTCATGGCCTTTTACATCTCATACTAGTGAGTTCGGACTTCACTGACTGGGCAATATGTAATCATAAGAAATATTTATGCAGGAAAACAACAAAGGAGAATTACATCTCAGGGGATGTTAAGCACTGAGGATACAAAAGTAAGAAAGAAGCTTACCACCAAGCAATCCCCAGAATGATCTAGTTCTGTGATAAAAGTCTGTTCTAATGAAAGTGTTTTCCTTATAGAAAGAATTTAAAAGGGCTTTTCTGTTATTTTTTCTTGTTGTTAACTAAAAGAGGCCATTTAAATGATAAAAAGAGTGGTGAATGTCTGTTTGCTCAACTGTATTATATATTGCTTATTAGCATTAGGGAAGGGTAGGAATTTAAGAGAGCTGTCCGTACAAGGGAAACTTTGCTACTTATCTCTAAAGTTTAAAAAAAATGCTTCTAATATTTTTTAATTTTTCTTCTAGATGGCATTATCTCATTATCTCAACTTAGATTTACTGGGATTATAGTAAATAAACAGTGATGCTTAGAATAATTTGATACTTCTTTCTTTACTAGAGAATAAAACATTTTGGGACTGCAGGCATTTTGTTAGCTGACAGACTTAGAGAAAGGGCTGAAAGGTAAAACCACGAGAACGAAAATATACCTCCGGACTTCTGGAAACACCAGCAAAAACAAATTCATCTTTTCCCTTACCAATCCTTTTTTTACTCTGCCTCCTGGAATTGTTAATTCTTTCAAATTTCTGGTCTTTAAAGAATTTTTTTTTTAATTCTACTGAGGTTCAAATTGCTAAGTACATGTGAAGAAGTCCAAGAAACCACATTTACTACCATGCTTAAGAAAGAAATTACGGAATTCTGAATCAGTTGTTCAGGGCAGAGCTGGTAGTAAAAACCATTACTGAATGCACAAGAATAATTCGCCTTTTGAAGGCAACCAGGTTGGGAGTGAGCAGATTATTGGATATTCCTACCTGTGGATTCTTTTTGCCCAAGCACTGCTCTGACAAAATTTAGAATGCTCCCAGAGAGACAGCAGACATATGTGTCTATCTGAAAATGTGTAAGGTAACTCATACGAATGTAATTTTGCCAATTGTTGGAGGGAATGGAAGTGCAGAAGGAAGGTGAATGTGACCTGCCATGCATGGGAATCTGGCTAGGTGTATTCAAAACTATTTCTACCTGTCTGATAAAACTATCCAGTGCTGGTAGCTGGAAATGAAAAGCACAATTAGAATTTGAGGAACAAATGCTACCCATGCTGGACACGCAATGAAACCCAAGTAGATGATGGGAACCATGCTATTTGATGTGAGCATCAGGTTGTTTAACCTGTACAATTTCAGAGACACACTATGGAACACACAAAGGGTATGCATTTTTAATAAGTCGATAGTCATCTAGTTAAATGAACTGGATTCACAAATAAGCTTGAAAGACACAATAACTAATTCTTGGTGGTACTGCCTTCTAAAGACTCTGCTGCTTGTATTCAACTGCAATTTCCCAACAGTTAGCAAATATATAAAATGTCACTGATATGTTTTTAAATTTTGTTGCAACCTTAAAATCATTAACAGTAATCTCAAATATACCAACTTCTTAAGTCAGTACTGCTGAGACTATCCTTATCAGAGTTGTTGGGAAGCAGCTGTTTGGTTCACTGTTTCTTCTTTAGCATCTACAACAATTCCTGGCACTCAGTACTCAACAAATAATTTGTTCCATGAAATGCCCAAGAGTTAGTATATGTCCCAATAGGTTAATTACACATATAAAGCAAGCTTCCTATAATCTTCCTAAAGTTCTTCAGAACTTAAAAATGACATCTTCTTGAAGTATCCCAATCCTTGGAAACCGCGCACATTAACCACTGTGATCTAAAACTAGCATGACAAATTTGAACTGTGGAATTAGAAAAAAAATAGCATGCAAATTCCAACAGCAACTTACCAATTTGCAATCCTGAGCAAGTTTAATGACCTTCAGAGCCTTCATATTTAAAATGGAGGTAATAAAACCTCCCATATAAATGGGAGGATTAAATAATATAATATGAATAGAACATCTGAAAGGTTCTAAGTACATAGTACACCACCAGTCACCCACACCACCACCACTGCTACGTTTTCTGCCCCTGTACTGCCTCACCAGCAGCACTCAATGCCTTCTGGGCCCAGGCATCTGCACAAGGCCCCCATCTTCCTCCCCTGGGCTGAGACAATATATCCCACCATTGAGCATACCCAAAACATGCCTGTGTTCACCCTCTAAATATTATTAATGTACATTTGACTTAAAAGCATACTTTAAATAGTTGGATATAACCTACAAGTATCTTATTTTTCTATTACAATCTGTTTGGAAGGGATGAGGATAAACAGGTTCATGTATATTGATGCGGAATTATTCAAACACAAATGTATTACATCAGCTTGTCTTTTGCTTACCAAAAAAAACCCCATGAAATGTTTTCTCAACTTTTGTACTTAAGCATAATACTAAAAAAAAAATGGACCACAATCTATTCTATTTTTCTCTAATCAGTCACATTAATAATACAGGTAATATTCAAAAAGCAAATATATGAATGCAATTTTTGTAGTTCATTATAGAGAAAATAACTCATATAAGAAGAAAAAAATGAGCTTCTTTTTTTTCTTAACCAAAGCAAATGGAAGATCTACTGGACATTTCAGTTCAAAATAACCAAGCAATGATGACTTGAAAGTAGTTTTGCTTTTATCTCTTTAACAGGTTGTCCTGCTAGGCTTGGATTCACCAGATAATTATACAACTCATCACATATTTTTGGCTATATGTACATGGCCGCAAATGCACCCAGGATAAATATGAAGAGCTTTTAGGACCCAATAAAGAAAATAAAATCTCTAAGAAATTGGCATTTGGAATATAGAGTTCTTTATCTGACAGAATAATAGGAAGGCTGTTTCATTTTCAATAATTAATGAATGTAAATGTCCTAGCAATTTCTTATACAGACTATCTTCACGATAAACACAATTTTGTAATTATCGTACTCACCCTTTGCATTTCATTTATACTTAACACCATTAAAAAGTACCCATCTTAATATTGTTGGCCACTAAAATGTCTGTGACCTAAGCAAAATTACAGTTCACTCCAAGAACACAATGGCTGTGCTCTAAGTCTTTTGGCAAAGGCCAGGATTTTAATGACCTTAAACAAGCAGGGCAGGCAGTCACATTCTCTGAGAACTCCAGAGCTTTCGTACAGTTTATTCTTGTTGAAGTAAGCTAAGGCAAAAGCTTTGGCAGCAATCTGAAAATAGGGGCAAAGGGTTTCAAGTGGTTGTTTTTCTGGATGTAACTCTGGCTGAATTAAAAAGGACGATGTTTATGGAAAGCTTTCCTGGGATACTGTTAGATCTCTTTCCCTGGATGGGGTACAAAGGAAGGAAACCTCAGCTGGCATTTATTTTCCCTAATTTGTACCTGAGTCCTTATAAGAACATAAAGAGCAAGTGGATGCATGTTTGAGATAGAGTATAACCTCTTCCAGAAAGCTGATGACCTACCTGCCTCTTTCTCTTTGAATTGCTTTCAGAACTTAAAACGGAGGCCAGGGAGAGCATCAGCGCCCACTCTTTTTTTTTTTTTTTTTTTTTTGAGACGGAGTCTTGCCCTGTCCAGGCTGGAGTGCAGTGGTGCAATTTCGACTCACTGCAACCTCTGCTTCCTGGGTTCAAGTGATTCTTCTGCCTCAGCCTCCCGAGTAGCTGGGACTACAGGCAAGCACCACCACGCCCAGCTAATTTTTGTATTTTTTTTTTAGTAGAGACGGGGTTTCACCATATTGGCCAGGATAGTTTTAATCTCCTGACCTCATGATCCACCTGATCCACCTGCCTTGGCCTCCCAAAGTGCTAGGATTACAAGTGTGAGCTACTGTGTCCAGCCTCAGTGTCTACCCTTATTTCCGCATTGAGAGAAGCTCCATGTTGAGAAGGGAATAATTAATTTAAATGCTCTTGCTTTCAAACTATGGATTAAAGAAGTGAAAGTAAGATAGAACCTAAGTGATCAAACATTAATAAAGGCATTAAAGGAGCTGTTGGTGACATCTGAAACCATGATGGGACTGTGACAAGCAAAACCCACGTAAGTACCACCATGGCTCAAGTGGCTCTCATTCAAAGTGTTACTGGAAAAAGGGAATACCAGTGTGTAACGATGTCATTCCACTTGCAGACTAGTTCAATGGATACAAATGTCCACATCAGCTCTATTATTGCTTACTGGGGACTTTGATAAAAAAAAAAGTATGTTTAATGAAAGTTGTGAAGATAATGAAATAATAATGCCATGACACAACCTAGAATTTGTCAAAAATACTAAAATGTCCAATAGGAACATAATTGAAATCACTTTTTCAACAGAGAAAAAATAAAATGTGAAAGAAAATATGCAAGAACATTTTTAACAGGAGTTTCATATATATCATGGGCTAAGCAATGAGGATAAAACAATTTACAGAAATGAAACACAATTCCTGCCTTCCCAGAGCCCTGGACTACATTATTAGGTTGGGTGTCTTAAAATTCTGCAAAGATAAATAATAACTCTATGTGACCAGTTGTGCGATCCTCATAATTTGAGCTATTATCTTCCCATTCAAGGCAGAGTTTCTGTACCTAAAAAACTTTCTGGATTATTAGGATATGTATGCCCAAATGATGAAAGGAAAGGTAGCCTGTTACAAAGATCATATAAGGTGTATAAAATGACAGATGAACATAAAAGTGAGAATGTGTCTCTGAATGGAGGATCAAAAAGATTTTTATAAAGCAGATTCAACTTTAACTAAATCTTAAAATGTGGATGGAATTCTACAGAGGAATTGAAAATATAATATAAACATGGGCTGAAAGGCAGGAGAAAGAAAGAGTTTTAACATTGACCAAGATCACCCATGACAAATCAAGCCCTCAAAAGAACAGACACTTTTCAAATGTGGATCTCAAGGCTACTCAAACCTATTTACCCATAGAAATACTTTTCCTTCTTGAAATACTCTCTTCCTTTGTTTTCTAAGGACTCAGTCTCTCCGAATTTTCCTCTTGCTATTGGTAGCTCATTCCCAAGCCACTTTATAGGCTTTGTTTGTTTGTTTTTGCTCATGACCTAATGTTCATATTCTCCAGGACTCAGTCCTCAGCCTTTCAACCTTCTCACTCTACATACTCCCCCAAAACAATCACATATATTTCCATGGCTTTCGATTTCATCCGTATCCTGATGATGCCCAGATTAATAAATTCCCCACTTAGTTCGCCACTTAGTTCTGAACATATATCCCTCACTCCCACTCTACATCTTTATTTAGGTATTCCAAGAGACCATCAAGCACGTGTCCAAATGTGAAGTTATCTTCTTCCCCTCAGAGACAGTGTTTCTCATTGCTTCCCCAGCTTAATAAATAATACCTGCCCAAACCTGAAATATTGGTGTCATCACTGACTTCTTTGTCTCCTGTATCCACACTACTCCCCAAAATCCTCCTATGTGAAATTATCTACTCTCCATTTCTACTGCCACCACTGTCATACAAAACATCAGCATATTTCACCTGAGCAATTGCAAGAGCTGATCTCTCACCTCTAGTTTCATCCCCTTCAAGTCATCCTCCATCCTGCAGCCTGTATGATAGTGTCAAAATGTAAAGTTGTTTATGTAAGTTCCCTGCTTAAAACCCTTCATTGGTTTTCATTACCCTCAGCATGTTTATGTTGATTACACAGTGTACAAAGCCTTCTGCAACTGGCCCCTTCTAGCTCTCATTTCTCTCTCATACTTTTATATCAAATAATATTGAATTTGTCACAATTATTTGAAGATTTGAAGGCTCCACACTTTCTCATTAGCCTAGGATACTTCATTTTGTGTGTGCTGTTCTCTCTCTATCTCTCCCCAACTTCCATCAACCATCCCTCTGATAACTCCCTTTATTTTTCAGGAGCTCAAACATCACTTCTTCAGGAATGTGTACACTGATTCCCATTGTAAGTAATATCCCTATAATTTTTTGTTCTTTTATAATACTCATCACAATTTATTGCATTTACTTGTAAATATCTATCAATGCCATGAGAATATGAGCTCCTTTAAAGCAGGTTCCACATCTGCTGGGTTCAAAACTATATCCCTAGAGTCAAACACATATTCTGGCACATAGAAGGCATTCCATGAATTTATTTTTCAATTAATAAAAGGTAAATATTCCACTTAGATGGTAAAGTAGAGCATTGAAGGGAAATACAGTAAGCGATAGGCTAGAAAGATAAGTTGGAACCAAATCATAAAGGACTATTCATGCCATACCCAAAAATGTAGACCTTATCTGTAAACATGAGGTCCCACTTACAAAGCAACTACATTCTAAGGAGGGAGGAGAGTAGGGGAGATTTGAAGAAGCTTGCTAGAAGAATCTTAGAAAGCTTATGTATGTTTTTCAGAGTGATACTCATGAAAGTTCTCCAAAGTGTGCTATTTATATTTCCTTTAAAAACTCCACGTTATAAAGTTAAAACATGGCTTAAGGACAAAAATTCTCTGTTAAAATTGGCTGTGTTTTTCTGAAGATAAAACTGATTTGTGAGCAAGCAATATGGCAACTTTGACCAGGATCGTGTGTGTGTGTGTGTGCACGCACATGTGTGTGTTTGAGTGTTTGTTTTATTTAATTTTCACCCCCCATCTCTCACAAAATTCCTGAATGTGTTTGCATGTGTATCCTGGAAGAAATAAGCTAATTAAGCTGGCTCCCTTTTCAGTCCTATCTCCAACCTCTTTTCCATGTACACCCTAAGTCCCAGCCACTTGGGTCTACGGAGCCCATGGATTCTGACATGTAGTCCTTCCATCTGGAAAATCTTCCATGCCTGCTCAGATCCTTCACATCTTCCTAGACCCAGTTTAATAAGTTTCCTCTTCTATGAAACCTTTCTGAATTTCTCCTACTCTCCACAAAATGAATCCTTTCTTCCTTTCTATTCTCAATGAAATATGTGTATCACTGTATTCAGATTGCCTTATATTTGCTTTTGATGTGCCTAATGACCCCATTATATTATGAGTTCTTTATTAAAGATAATCCCAAAGAGCCCTGCCACCCAAAGTGTGGTCCCTCTACCAACATAGCTGTGAGCATATTAGAAATGCAGACCTTCAGGTCCCAACCCAGACTTCAGAATCTGCATCATAATATACCTCCAGTTCATTTTTATCACAATAAATTCTGAAAAGTGGTGCCATAGAGTATCTAGCATGTTAACACATAAAAGGTATTTTGTATAGGCTTGCTTGATGGATGGAAAGGGCATGAAAAATCAGGGAGAGGCATTTAATGTGCTGCTCTCAGTGTGCCAATGTGGTCTGGGAATTTATCTCAGGGTATACGATAGGTAGCATGGACAATATATTAAATTTATGGACCACAAAACACCACTAAGAGCCATAAAATGGTGAAAGACACTGATGAAAACCCAGAGTTTTTGGCAGAGAATATCATAAAGTATTCTGAAATTTGAAGATCTTTTTAAAAATCACTCTAACTTGACCTATCTTGGATTCGCGCTTTGAGCTATTACACTGCATTCAAATATTTGTTTTCATTCCTGCATATTTTCTTCTCCCTCTCCTTCCTGCATAAATTTATATATGGAACTTAGTTAACTCAGACTGCCAGCTGGTAAAACTGTTTTCCGAGAAAAAATGTAAAAGCATCCTAAATTCAAGGACAAAAATTTGCAGAATTGGTGGATTATTGGAGCACCACACAGTGATAAATACATTAAAGGCTATCATCCCAGCAGGACTTGGAACAAGGTAAAGTCTACAGAAAGGTAAGTAAAGAACAGGTCAACTTCTGAACCTTCTGGATCCCCCTCTAGAAGAAACAAAATGAAATTACTCCAATTATTTTCGGACACTGAGGCCAAGCGTGGCTTACTAAGTTCTAAAATGGTGTCTCACCCCTCATGGAAAGAAAAAAGAACTGAAATAGAGGCAACTGAGGACATCTTGGAGGACAAGACATGAGCCAGGAAGGGGGCCTGACACAGAAACAGAGATAAGGAAAGAAATGATGAGTTTGTTTGCTCTTTCTGTGAAAGTTTTAATTCCCACATTTCCATTACTTAATATGTCATTATTTTACTTTTCAGAAATTGGCAAACCAAAAGCATTCCACCATTTATTTTAAAACTTGTAGTCAACACACATCAGACTTTTATATTGCCTCAAATAAAAATTCTCTAAAGAATCAAATCTAAAGCTGTGCTATAAATTTCCCTGGGGAAGTTAATCCTAAAGTTCTTAGACATCAATATATGCTCCTGACCAAAGGTTGGATTTCAGAGGTCATGATGACATAGATTGATAAAATCCTGCTGCGTAATCCAGCCACGAATTACGTGTTGACATTGATAAGCAACATTTTTCATTGCCTATTAAATAAAGGTCAAATTCTTCAGCCTGGCATTAAAGATGACCCCAGTTTGAATTTCGAACTTTATTTCCCTCGACTCTAGCCAAGTGGAACAAATTGTGTTCTGTGCATGTCCTTTAATTTATTGTCTTTATGGTTTTGCTTACAGCTCCTTTCACTTGTAATTCTCTTTCTTTCTATATCTGTGGATCCCAAACTTATCCAGTAATTAAGGACCAGTGCAAATGACATCTCCATTGGGCCTCCAAATACCCAAAGAGCTGAAAATGTACTCTTTCAAATATCTCCTAGACACCTGACAAACTTCATCTCATGTTATATTTATTTATGTATGTTTAATGCAATTCACTAGAGGTAAACCTTCCTGACGGTAAAAAAAAAAAAAAATCTGTTTTTGTGCTTTCTGTACCTAATATAGTGATTTGCACATAATAGGTACCCATAAATATTTCATAATTCTACAATTGTGGAACTGTTATAAGTATTCAGTCAAATGAGACCATAATACCCTTTTGGTATGCTGTTCTCCCTTTTTCTCACATTTCCATTCACCCCCAACCCCCCAAATTTCTCTAAAATCCTAATAAGTCATTTTCACTGTAACTTACCTTGTTCTTCATGGAATTATTAGATAAAAATTAGACTAATGAATATACATTTTCCTTCTTTTGAATAAAAATAAGCCATATTCCTGACATAATGTCCATATCTGACATTCAATAAATAATTGAGGAAAGAGTGGATCAATTAATCAATCAATCAATTGCCCTGCCAAAATCTCAGTGAATCTAGCATGACTAGCATAAAGCTATGGACCCCTCAGATTTCGTTGTCCGTTTCTGTCTTGCGATACCTATGAAGTAGTGGTAGATGTCTCCTGATTGTATACAGTGGTCTTATAAATTGAATAAGAGCAGTGTATTAACAGATTACATGATGTTGCTTCCTTAAAGATAATGTCTTTACTCACTCATGGTAACAAAAGTGTAATTTTGACTATATTAAGCCATATAAGTCCCCAAGGGGACTCATCCCAAGATTAAGCACTGAGTAAATATTACAATAATTGCTGCTGCTACTTGAAAACGATAGTAAAACTCAAAAAAAAATTTAAGGTGAAAATGTATTAAGAATGTATTAAGAAATTATTTTGCAAGAGTTCTAAATTATGACAGCTTATAAGTAAAGATACAGGTGACGGGTTATAATCTGTCAAATACTACATGATGTCAGCAACAAGTTTCTCCTGCCTTTGGCCCGACTATTTGGGCATAGGTTGTCTATGTAAACCTCTGCCTTGTTGTCTCTGCCTCAATTAATAGCTTACTAATACACTGGTAATCTGGTCTTTCTAATTCTGGGAACTGGCAAGTCTTTTCAATCCCTTTCTCCAACCTAAACTGAAATCTCTTTCCTGAATGCCTGTTCTAAGTATTGCTAGTTCCTGAATTCTCCAATAGCATGCCCTCCCTACATTTCAGGAAGCCTAAATCTGAAGAGCAAGCATGCTTTCTACAAGTGTTAGAATAGATAGTAAAATGAGAATCAAGCCTCTCCACCTTACTGAAATAACTTAATGTCCTCCTCCTCCTCCATTAGGCTCCCAGATATTTGAGGAAAGAAACTATTAATTTAACTTTCATTCTCCCTCTTAAAAGAGGCTCGGTACATCTAATGTGCCCAGTGATTGTTGAATAAGCCAATGAAAGACTGCATTAACCAACTTAGAAATGTACAAACCATTCTTAAGTTTACAGAGCATTATATCTCCATTATGTTCTTCATCCTTGTAGTAGTCAAAGGCTCATAGTTACATCTCTGAATGTCTTTATAACCAGCCAATTGCATACCAATACATCTATCAGGACAATCAACAATATAAGCCTAGAACTAAGTTACTATCTTTAGCGTACTCAGCATCAATGCTGAGTGCAGCCCCAATGAACAGTACACATGCAAACAAATACCTAAACAGATGTAACAGAACTAGTAGTACATTGAGCCTAGGAAACGCATAACAAGTACAACTCATGCAAGTGACATGACAATGCTAGAAATCAATCTCTGCCGTCATTTAGCAAGGTAAGATGGCATTCTGAGGAGGAGCCTTGTGATTAGGGAATGGGAATAAGCCAGAACAACAGCAACAACAAAAGTAGCTTGTGAGTACCTGGTACCAGAGTGCTGACTTTTTCTTACTTGTGCCTGACAAGTCATAATGCCTAAGAACTACCACCAGGGGTGTCACAATGGAGAGTAACGTACACTAGAAGCACCTAATGAGGAATTAAGAGTGGGATGTGTGCTGGAAAGGGTTCACACATATAATCCCAGCACTTTGGGAGGCTGAGGTAGGAAGATCGCTGGAACCCAGGAGTTCAAGACCATCCTGGGTAATATGAAGAGACCCTGTCTCTACAAAAAAACAAAAAAGAAAACCATTAGCCAGGGGTGGTGGCACATGCCTGTGGTCCCAGCTACTCAGAAAACTGAGGTGGGAGGACTGCTTGAGCTTGGGAGGTTGAGGCTGCAGTGAGCCATGATCAAGCCACTGTACTACAGTCTGGGCAACAAAGCAAGACCCTGTCTCAAAACAAACAAACAAACAAACAAATAAAAGAGTAGGATATATCATATAGTCATGGGAGAGGAATTATCAAAGTTGAGTCCTGAAGGTTGAACCAGACTAGTGAGGAGTGGTGAGATGAGAGCCAGAAAACAGAGACAGCCTGGGAGTCATTGGCTATATCATAAAACAGAGACTATTATAAAAACAGTGAGGTAGGGGTCCGATCAACACGAGCTGATTATGCCAAGATAAGAAGTTTGTCTTCAGAGAAAAGAGCCATGTATAATATTTCTTCCAGTTCCCATGATAATTATCTCACCCAGGGAAATGGGGAAAGGCTAGCACTGGCAACCTAAATATTCAGAATTACATACAGAATATTGGTGAAGGATAACATTAAAGTCATACCAAATATATTTACATTTAGATGTTGTATGTGTTTTACTTTCAAATATGCAGCAAATTATAATTTTTAAGCCTGAAGTTTAAAATGCTTTTATTTCCAGAATTAATATAACTTTTTTCTCCCTAAGTAAGTTTTTTTTTCAATCCCTAGGTAAGATAACAGCACCTCAGAGAAGATTTGGAAAATAAATGAGCTGATGAGAGGTAAGTATAGCACTCAGGGAGAGACACGGGCCAAGCAGGCTCTCCCCTGAAAGAAACTGCGGGGCCACTATAGGATAATAAGCCCCAATCACAAACGCAGGCTCTGGTGGCCACACATCCTGCTGGTGGCACCCTGAGACCAAACTTGCTCCTCTGGATCTCCCTGGCGAGAGTCTTGGAGAAACCTGTGCAGTCATGCTGTGGTCCAGGAGAAGCCACTATCAATACGTCCTCCGACAGCCACAGTCAGCTCAAGGGGAGGGATGCCCAGATCATAAGGATCGCCTGCAAAGGAGCAATGAGTGGAAAAATGGCCTCATAGAGGTGTTGTGATGTCTAAGCTAGAGGGCTCTCATCCTCTTCAGCTTCTCTTGCTGAGTATGCTTGATATACTCCTAAGTAAAATAAGGAGGCTGCTATGGTCTAAATGTTTGTGTCCCTCCAAATTTATATGTTGAAACTGAACCCTTAATGCAATAGTGTTAAGAGGTGGGATCTTTGGGGAAATTATTAAATCATGAGGGCCTCATGAATGAGATTTGTGCCCATATAAAAGAAGGTGAAGGGAGCATGTTTGTCCTTTTCACCATGTGAAGACACAGCATTTGCCCCTTCTGCCATGTGAGGATGCAGCAAGTAGGCACCATCTCTGAAGCACAGCAAGTCCTCACCAGACACTGAATCTGCTGGTGCCTTGACCTTGGACTCCCCATCCTCCAAAAATACAGGAAATAAATTTCTGTCATTGATAAATTACCCAGTCTAAGGCATTTTTGTTATAGCAGCCCAAACTAAGACAGAGGGTTTTTGAGAAGTTATTACTACTGGTCCAAAATCTTTCTACCAATTCACAGAAACCATCACATCAACAGCTGTTGAAGTACCTTAAACAGGTAAATATATGATTAGGTAATTATATTAAACCTCTATGTCATAAAAGGTAGAAGAATCTTAAATGTTTAAGAATCAAAAAAGTAGAAATATGCCTCTCAATTTCAAGTCAAAAGAATAAAAAACAAATCAAGTAACTCTCAAAGCTTTCAGAAAAAAGGATAGAACTAATTATTCAAATACACCAAACATTGTTTTCTATTTATTCTTCTATACCAGAAACCATTGCTGCTATAACTAGCAATAATCTCTTAAGATTTGTTGTTGGAAAAGATGCAGATGTATATTTAATTTCCCTCCTACTCCACAGATAACCAAATGAGGAGTCTGGCTGTCACAGGGACTATCTAGCCCGCCAGGCCAAAAGGCCTGTGTTTATTGTTAGAGTGGCCTGAATGAGGTGGGCATAGACTCTGAGCAGTATACCTTACATGATAATTGCTCTATCCTCAAACTACTCTAATACGAAAAAGTTTCTTTTTTATTACCAACCATAACTCAGAGAAACCCTATCATCCCTAAAATCTTGGATATGTGGAAAATGGAGAACGATATTTGCCTTTAAGTACACATAATTACATTTAAGCATAGATGAGAGCACATGCCACTCAATAAATATATGAAGCTGGGCAAATTATTGAATCTCTGAGCTCTCGTTTCCTCATTTTTACAAAGAAGATAGCAAGTCAGTCTGAGGATCAAATGAAGTAGGCTACAGGAAACAACTTGCATAGTAGCTGAGGTGTCAGAGGCACTAAATGGTAGCTCCTTAACACTTTCCACTCTTCTTGTTGTGAATTGTTAATGTAGAGCAAACTAGAACAAATGGCTAAGGAGATGTAGTTGCTATGTTATGCCATCCGTAGCTCACTGCCAGGAATGTCCAGCCAGTGTTTTGTCCTTCAGTTTCCAGAGAACTTGTTTCTGAAGCTCAGTCGAATGTTTTTTGCTAGCTATCTATCCCTAGAGAGTTCCTTATCATCAAAGTTTTTTAAGCTGGATTGCCCTTTTTTCTTTTTTTTTTTTTTTTCAGAGAAATCTTTTTGCACTTTTGTCCTTTTTCTGAAGATTCTTTCCTCTTTCTGGAGTAAAAGGCTTGCCAAGATAGCCCTCTTAACCATTTCCTCTTGGCTCTTTACCTTCTCTGTGCTTGGACAGAAAAATGGACATTTGCAAATATTAGGACACCCTTCCAAGCCTGACTTGTCTCTTGCCCCAATATCCAGAAAGAGCAGCAGCCCACTGCCTGGGAGAGAAGAGGGAAACTTCATTTTCAGTCCATTGATTAAATATGTCAGATTTTCTCTCTTGGAAACAATGGGTAAGGAGGGGAGTATTCTTGGGAGTCTATTTTGAGCTGAACAAAAATAACTGTTTTGATTTAGGAAAAAAAATGTGTTTAGCATTATTATCAGATACAACCAGCACATTTTCACTTGTTTTTCATTCTGAACAGACCTGAACTTCCACTATGACATAAATTCATTGTCCTAGCTTTTGAACATGCCTTCGAACAACTCTTTTCTGTGCCTGTAATTATGTTTTCTCCTTCTTCAGTCAGAGAATTCCTAGTATATTTATCCATTCAACAAACATTTATTTGGAGAAAGCCTGGCTGGATGCATGGGTGAGGGAGTCATGAGGACATCAGAAGGTGGTGCTGAGTTGCAGCAGAGGAGAGTGGACTTTGCTTAGAGAGAAATAACAGTTGTGAGCACAGGGCTAAGGATGTTGCTGGGGAAACATCCCTATTCAAGCTTTGTCAAAGAGGAGTGACCATTGATATATTTATTATTCATCTCCCAGTCACTCTTGTGGTTGGCCAACGCTGTTTTGGTGCACCACTCAGATACCTTGTACTGGGCCAATGCACCACCCCCAGCTTCTGTGAGTGTTGGCTGCAAAAGGCTTCCAGTAGCTCCCCTTCTCCAAAGAATTGCCCTCAGCTGACAGGAGTAAGCTCTCTGAAAGTTAAGTACCTATGCTCTCAAGGAGAGCCCTGAAGCCTATGACTAACACTATACTGGAATGCAAAAGGCTGGCCCCTTGCTGTTTCCTCTTTTCATACCTTCCTTTTACTCTTCCATCCTCCTAGACCACTTCCAACACTCCCCCACCCTAGGCATCACCTACTGTAGAAAACCATCCTGAAAGTAATTATCTGCAACCTGGCTAAGTGCCCCTCTCTGCTTGTTTCAATCACTTTGAAAGTTCTAATGTCAAAAATACTTCCTGGCTCTTAACGTTTGGCTTCAATAAATATTTGCTGAGTCAGGGAATAAAGGAATGAGTAAACTGCTATGAAAGTGCTCATTTAATATATTTAACAGTTTACCGTGGCCTAACAGCATAGAGCCTCTGTCATCAAATAAGTTGCTTGCCAAAAACTTAAACTTGTTAAAAACGTTTATGTGATATTTTAATGAAAGAGTATGCTAGGCAGTAAATTAGTTTCATGAGCAAATCTGTGTGAAAGCAACCAACACACTGGCTGACATAAGAGGAACTCAAAAAGTCCTCGTTCAATAAAACAGTGAACTGGAGGGGGATTTTCCTTTAAAAAGCCTTCACAATTTTTTTCAAGTAAAATGCTCTCTCCCATCAGACTACTGGAAAACCATGGAGCTCCTGTCTATGCCATCAAACAAGATACCAATTTTTTTTTTCTTTTTCCAGCAATTTTCTGCTTCCTGGGCCACCACAGTCTTCTTTGCTGTTTTTGATTGCAACCATTTTCAGAGAAGAATCAACACCAAAGGTCAGACTTACACAATTTCATTGTCTCTTGAATTATACCTTCTAATATTTCTCTAACTGCAACTCTATTAAGCACCTTCTTTATCCTACTACTGAACTCCTAGAAAGTAAACTTCAATTCTCATACAGTTGGTAACCTTTGATCATCACTCAGAATTAAAAAACACCTTCTAAGTACTTTAGAGCCTGAATTGTGGAGATCCAGACTAATCAGAAGTCGCCCTCAAAATGCCCAATTTTCCGGTTTGCCAATTAGGCTTTGCCCCAAGCAGTTTTTACTGAATTAGCTGAACAAGGAGCTAGGCTGAAAAAGGAAGCTCACCACCACCACAACCTTCCACATCTATCGGCTTCTGACAAAATATTTTTCATCTCCAACGTTCATCTGAGCCACACGAACATAGTTTGATATTTTAACCTGGACTTAGAGATTATCACATTTTTTTCTTCCTCTCATTTCTCGAGGTAGTTATGTTTTATTTCTTTGGACCATCCAAGCCCTTGAACGAATGTTTAGTTTCTGCTTTCATACAAAGACTTTTGTCCAAAGAGTTCCTGGGTTCTCCAGATGCTTCGTTTCCTTTGGTATTATGCTTCCCTCATCTCTGCATCTCTCACCAATCCCCAAGGCCATATCTTTTGTAATAGGTATCTGTTCTAATTTTGAACTGGTCTTTAATTCAAATATGAGTTACTCTCTCTTCCTCGTGCCCATGTTAACAATGACAGGAAGCAGAACAAGGCAATCAGAAGGCATCAGTGCACCAAAGTCCTCCAAAACCCCAGCACTATGGAAAAGGAGAGCACAATCCTTATGCCATGTTCAACTTAAGCCAACAATCAACTCAGCCCGTCAGCCAGGCTACATGGCTACTAAGCTTGATAGATTTCAACTTAAAGGCCCTTTAGATCCTCCACATCCCTAATTGTAATCTTGTTAACATGGAAGAGGTCATTGAGAAAGTAGAGATTTAATCATTTCATTTTTTTAAAATGCTTATGTCATACTTTAATTACATTCAGACACCCTGGAGGATTCCTTAAATATTCAGGCATGTGTAAAGCAACCAACACACCAACACACCATTACATGGACAACCACATGTTAAATGGATAACTGACACAATTATTCGGGTCATATAGAACAAATTCACTTTACTCCTACCTGTCATTATCAATCTCACATCAAAGTGGAATTTGGCACTTTTTAAAAAAATCCGTGATCTGAATTACTTAAGTAATAGCTTTAATTTTCCCTTAAAAAATCTAAACCAAAAATAGGAAAGTGTTGCCTGAAGATTTTTCAAATAGGCATTAAGTATATTTCATGCTACTGGCATTATTTCTTCTCAGAATGCTTCTACAGTATCCAAATTATTCAAATAATGATTTGGGTTTGGTAGAATTTTTATGAGCCCATATTTTCAGATATTCAGCAACACTCATCAGCCATTGGTCATGTGCTTACTAAGTGTCAGTTCTCAATCTAGAATAAATAACAAAAAAAGGCAAATGTCTTGCTCTCATGCAGCTTACAGTAGGGAGTGGGAGAGATTAAACAAATGATGGTACTTATGAATGTATGATTATAAACTGTAATGTGTCCTGAAGGAAAGGTATATAATGTCTTGAAAATATAAAACAGCAGAACCTGACTCAACTGAGGATTTTTCTAGATGGCCTATGTTCTGAGCTCTGAAAGGTGAATATGTGTTGGAGACTGTGGGCAGGGTGAGAGCCAAGAAGGGTACAGGCCATGTTAAAGGACATGACAGAAGCCACCATGGCTGCCCAGCCAGAGGAGAGTAGAATATTTTAAGGCTGGAGAATTAAGCAGAAAATAAAACATAAAAACTTTAAAGCCATATTAAGGATTTCTGTTCTTTTTCCTAAGAAAAATAGTAAGATATGAAAGGTTTTCAGCAGCCTGTGTTATAATCTGGTCTGCATTTGTAAAAGGTCAGTCTGGCTGCAGTGTAGACAACGTACTGGGGAATGGAGGAGCATGCAGAGTTACAATGTAGGGATGTCCAGGTATGAAACGATGGGGACTTTCACCTTGGCCTGTCAGCAAAATATGGAAATGCCAGATAACTCAAAAAATACAGAAAGAGATGGGTGCAGATGCTGACAATGTCTTTTCTATTACTGGTAGAGAATGGTAGTATTCACGGCATATAGAAGATGAAGCATCTTGTTGCTTAGAGCCCTGAAATTCAATCTTACGTCCTGGAATTTTTGTCCTAGATCTGACTTCAATTTTCCATTCTATATCCTGAGAATATTCTCTATATTCTCAAAGAAACTGGCATAACTTTGCAGGCACCTTGCCTAGGAGCCCTCTTACTTCCATCCACAGAGAAGGTACTACTAGTTATAAGAAAGAAATGGCCCAATCCCTGTACTTTAGCACACTAATGGAAATAAACTACAAATTTCTGAAAGGAAGTTATCAACTCAGCCCTTAGTGGCCAAGCCAGGACCTAGGGGTATAGGAAATGAGGCAAAATATTTTTTATGACCAGCAGCCTGATTTGAAGATCCTAGGAGGTCACCCCAGGAGAAGTGGCTCTAAAGAGGTATCCAGTGATAATTGCTGGCAGCAAAAAGGGAGGAGAACCCAGCACTTGCTGCTCTGCTCTGAGTGAGCCAAGGAGGTGCTGTTCTCCCGGGGCACCCACTTCAACAGCTGTTGTCCAGTGCTGCATTGTAGAGAGGGCTGCTGGAGACGGTCCTGTTTCAGGTGTCCAGGGAGTGCTAGTGTGGAGGGTGGGGGAAGAAAGGAGCCTCTTTGGGGCTTCTGTAATTAATGTTATAAGTGATGTTCCCAAATATTCATCTTTGCATTTTGGCTAATTTACCATTTAAAGGCATCCAAGATTGCTGTAGGGTGACTGCTCTTATAATGTATGCATAATAATTACAGATTATTGTTCAAAAATTTTATCAACTTGAAATGTTTGATGTGAGAAAGGCAAATTGGAATCCAAAATCAACTTATATTATTGCAAGAATCTTTAATATTACATTTGTCAATGAAAGGGGAAAAATTATAACAAAATACAAAATATAATTTCAATTGTCAAAGTCTTTAAATGATTGTAAGAATATTCTTTAACTTTATTAACTATTTGGGTAAACAATTTCTTGATAATGGCATCTATTGGAATTTTGGACAGATAATCACTGAAATAGAAATTTTGTGTAACTCTCTAAAATAGAAACAGAAGCAAGCTCTTCAAAATTTGTACTTCAAAATTTGTGCTGTTTTATCAAAATCTACATTTTGGTAAAATCTACATTTAAAATTTTACATTTTAGTTTTTATAATTATATGTCACCAAATACTATATAAATGCCTTCAAATCTTTTCCATAGCTTGCCTCAGTGTGCTCTACAAATACTATCATTTTTGTGCACTTCATAAAAGGTATTCACGGCTGGGTGCTGTGGCTCATACCTGTAATGCCAGCACTTTGAGAGGCTGAGGTGGGAGGATTGCTTGAAGGCAGGAGTTCAAGACAAGCCTGGGCAACATAGCGAGACTCTGTCTCTACAAAATAAAAGTTAAAAAAATTAACATGGCATGGTGATGTATGCCTGTAGTCCTTGCTATTTAGGAGGCTGAGTCAGGAGGACCACTTGAGCCCAGGAATCTGAGACTGCAGTGAGCTGTGATCACACCGCTAAACTCCAACCTGAGCAACAGAGCAAGACCCTGTCTCAAAAAAAAAAGGTATTCAGGTTCCATAACAGCAGGTTACAAGAGCCAAAATAATAATAATAATCACAATTTTTACTCCTGGATCCATATGGTTTGTGAATACGGGTTTTCATCCTTTACTGTACTCATCTGTGCTCTGTCCAACTTTCCATGATCTTCTTCCTTAACTCCTTCGCAGCTAAATCTCAAAAAAGAGAATCATATTTCCTCCTTCCTTTGCATTTCTGGTTGAATTATTTTACAGACGGAGTGAGAAAACTATACAGAATTCCACAGGCAGGTATGATCAGAAAGAACACACCTCAAAGTATTTAAGTGTTAGGAATACATAAACAAATACAAATAAATGCACAAGTGCCAGGAGGCCTGAAAATTTTAAGGGAAAATGCCATATTAAAATGACTCTAAAAATCGAAATTTCAGCAGGTTGATCAAATGCATTTACAAGCATTTTTGTCAATGGATAAATACTGCTTTTCAATACATGGCAAGTATGCAAACTCCAGAAAATTACTGTCTCACAGAATGTCAGGTAGGAGATAGTTGGGAATCTGGATTTAAAAACAACAGCAACTAAGGGAAGAGCCAGTTGTGTACTGAAAGATATGAGAACATGATTATAAGCAAATGCTTCATTTCAATAACAGACAGGTTCCACAAAAATTCTCCAGTGTATTTACAGAAAGTCAATCTGATCAAACCACACTGGTTGCCCAGAAGAAAGATCAAGAATATGTTTGAAGTGAAATCAACCCCCTTGGAACTTTAGACAAAGTGACATAAGCCCAGAAACTTGGCTGTGGTACCAGTGATGTGGAAAAGAATGATATGCTTTCAATTTGAAGAGAATCACTTGGCCCTTGGGTGGTGCCCTAAAAGCTATACAACAGTTTGTGGCTAATTGTTCCCGGAAAAAAATGGAAAATCAGTTGGACCAAAATCTCCATGATTTCTATCTTTGCTGAAACTAAAACATATATTAGTTCTCTTGGTAAAACTAAAATATTACAAGCTGGCTCTTTTTGGTCATGCCATAAATAGCTTTTGGAAAGGTACTACATCCAGAATGCCAAATGTAAAAGGGAATATAACTGCTTGGCTCCACTGCTTCCAAGATGGGTAAGAAAAAGTACCTTTCTAATTTCATGATTAAAAATTTTAGCTTTTTAACTTTGTTCACCCTGGCAACCTTTAACAAGACTTCTCTTTCACTGGCCTAATCAATGTTCAATATCCCTTATATACAGATCATCAAGCCATGTAGCAATTGAGATAAAGACCTAACATGAAGAATTCTATTCTGAGATCCAGAAGAAATGAATCACAGACCCAGTTTGTTTCTTTTCGCATCTTTGTCATACTGAATACACACCTAGCCTTCTCAAGTCTTTGGTTACTTAGCGTGTTCAGAGTATGCTGACCACAGTCATAGAGAGAAAAAACAAGTTTTATGTTAGTACCTGACTCCACTGAAAGATGTGCCATTTAAAAAGTCCTAAAAGACCTTTTTAATAATGACATTGTATTTATTTTAGAATAAAATTTAAAATTAAAAAAACACATTTTATCATGATCTTTAAGTTCTGAACAGTTGACGTTCCTGCCTATCTGCTCAGTCTCCTTTTCTACTTTTCTCCCCGACACTGTGTACACTTCAGTGACATGAGTACATCTTCTGTTACATTGACTGCATGTTCTCCTTCTTGCCCCAGGGCCTTAGCACATGTTCCCTCCGTGTAAAATGTCCCCAATTGTCACCCCCACCTAAGGAAATTTCTCTGAGCTTTCAATTTTATTAAACTGACAAATAAAAATGATATATATTTATGTGGTACAGCATAATGTTTTAATGTATGTATATATTGTGGAATGGCTAAATCACGCTAATTAACCTAACAATCACCTACCATTCTTATCTTTTTTGTGATGAGAACACTAAAATCTACTCTTTTACAAATTTTCAGATATACACTAGGTTGCTGTTAAATATACTTACCATGGTGAACAACAGATCTCTTGAACTTATTCTTCCTGTCTTACTGAAATTTGTGTTCTTTGACCAACATCTACCCAATACCCTGCCCTCAGTCTCCTTGTAACCACTACTTTCTGCTACTGTGACCCTTATAAGTGAGATCATGTGGTATTTATCTTTCTGTGCCTGGCTTATTTCACTTAAGGTAATGCTCTCCAGGTTCATCCATATTGTTGCAAATGACAGAATTCTATTTTTAAGTTTTTGAGGAACCTCTCGGTGGTTTTCATAATGACTGTACTGTACTAACTTACATTTCCACCAACAGTGTGCCTCGTTTTTTCCCCGCATGCTCACCAATATTTGTTATTGTTTCTCTTTTTAATAATAGCCATTTCTGATAGGTAAGGTGATACCTCATTATGGCTGATGATTAGTGATGTTGAGCATTTTTTTCTTTTTTCGTCTTTTCTTTTTAAAATTTTTTTTCTAATTTTTTGAGACAGGGTCTCACTCTGTGGCCTAGGCTGGAGTGCAGTGATGAGATCTTGTCTCACTGCAACCTTCATCTCCCAGGTACAAGCAATTCTCATGCCTCAGCCTCCCAAGTAGCAGGGACTGCAGGAGCATGCCACCACACTCAGCTAATTTTTGTATTTTTAGTAAAAACAGGGTTTTGCCATGTTGGCCAGGCTGGTCTGGAACTCCTGAGCTCAAGCTATCCACCTGCCTCAGCCTCTCAAAATGCTGGGATTACAGGCATGAGCCACCACACCCAGCCAACATTTTTTTTCATATACATGTTGACCATTTATATACCTGTTGTTTCATTTACCTTTTCGAAAATGTCTGTTCAGAATCTTTGCCCATTCTTTAAATGGATTATTTATTTTCTTGACTTTAAGTTATCTGAGTTCTTCATATGTTTTAGATATCAGTCCCTTATTATATACATAGCTTGCAAATATTTCTTCCCATTCCATAGGTCATCTCTTCACTCTGTTGATTGCTTTCTTTGCGGTGCAGGTGCTTTTTGGATTGATATAATCCCGTTTGTCTCTTTCTGCTTTTGCTGCCTGTACTCTTGGGGTCATACCCAAAAAAAATCATTACCCAGACCAGTGTCAAAGAGCTTTTAACCTATGATTTCTTTTAGTAATTGTATAGTTACAGGCCTTACATTTGAGTCTCTAATCCATTCTGAGTTGGTTTTTGTACATGGTGTAAGATAAGGGTCTAGTTTCATTCTTCTGCATGTGGGTATATAGTTTTTCCAAAACTATTTACTGAAAAGATTGTCCTTTCCCCACAGCGTGGTCTTGGCAGCCTTGTTAAAAATCTGAGCTCTCCATTCTGTTCCGGTGGTGACATGGTTTGGCTCTGTGTCCCCACACAAATCTCACCTTGAATTGTAATCCCCACATGTCAAGCATGGGACCAGGTGGACACAATTGAATCATTGTGGCTGTTTCCCCCATGCTGTTAATGAGTGAGTCTCACAAGATCTGATGGTCCCATAAGCATCTGGCATTTCCCCTGCTTGCACTCACTCTGTCCTGCTGCCCTGTGAAGAGGGTGCCTGCTTCTCCTTTGCCTTCTGCCATTATTGAAAGTTTCCTGAGGCCTCCCAAGCAATGCAGAAATGTGAGTCTATTAAACCTCTTTCCTTTAAAAATTACCCAGTCTCAGGTATTTTTTCATAGCAGTGTGAGAACAGACTAATATAGTAAATTGATACCACAGAGAGTGGAGTGCTGCTATAAAGATATGTGAAAATGTGGAAGCAACTTTAGAACTGGGTAACAAGCACAGATTGGAACAGTTTGGAGGACTCAGAAGAAGACAGGAAAATGTGGGAAAGTTTGGAACTTCCTAGAGACTTGGAGGGCTCAGATGACAGGAAGATGTGGGAAGATTTGGAGCTTCCTAGAGACTTGTTGAATGGCTTTGACCAAAATGCTGACAGCAATATGGACAATGAAGTCCAGGCTGAGGTGATCACAGATGGAGATGAGGAACTTTTTGGCAACTGCAGTAAAGGTCACCCTTGCTATGCAAAGAGAATGGTGGCATTTTGCTTCTGCCCTAGAGATCTGTGGAACTTTGAACTTGAAAGAGATGATCTAGAGTATTTGGTGGAAGAAATTTCTAAGTGGCAAAGTGTTCAAGAGAAAGCAGAGCATAAAAGTTTGAAAAATATCCAACCTGACCATGCAATAGAAAATAAAAACTCATTTTCTGGGGAGAAATTCCAGCCTGCCACAGAAATTTGCATAAGTAATGAGGAATGGAATGTTAATCACCAAGACAATGGGGAAAAGGTCAGAGACCTTCATGGCAGCCCTTCCCATCACAGGCCAGGAGGCCTAGGTGGGAAAAATGGTTTCAGGGGCCCAGCCCAAGGCCACTCTGCTCTGTGCAGCCTCAGGACATGGTGCCCTGTGTCCCAGCTGCTTCAGCTCCAGCCCTGGCTAAAAAGGGTCAGCATACAGCTCAGGCCATTGCTTCAGAGAGTGCAAACTCCAAGCTTTGGCAGCTTACACATGGTGTTGGGCCTGTGTGTGCACAGAAGTCAAGAATTGAGGTTTGGGAACTTCCACCTAGATTTCAGAGGATCTAGGGAAATGCCTGGATGTCCAGACAGAAGTTTCCTGCAGGGGCAGAGCCCTCATGGAGAGCCTCTGTGAGGGCAGTGCAGAAGGGAAACGTGAGGTTGGTGACCCCACACAGAGTCCCCATGCGGGCACTGCCTAGAGGAGCTATGAGAAAAAGGCCACTGTTCTCCAGACCCCAGAATGGTAGATCAACCAACAGCTTGCACCATGCACCTGGAAAAGCCACAGACACTTAATGCCAGCAGTGAAAGCAGCCAGGATGGGTTGTATCCTGTGAAGCCAGAGGGGCAGAGCTGCCTAAGACCACGGGAACCCACCTCTTGCATCAGCATAACCTAGATGTGAGACATGAAGTGAAAGGAGATAATTTTGGAACTTAAGGTTTAATGACTGCTCTATTGGATTTCAGACTCGCACAGGGCCTGTAGCCCCTTTGTTTTAGTTAATTTCTCCCATTGGAATGGCTATACCCAATACCTGTATCCCCATTGTATCTAGGAAGTAACTAACTTGCTTTTGATTTTACAGGCTCATAGGCAGAAGGGACTTGCCCTGTCTCAGATGAGACTTTGGATTTGGACTTTTGGGTTAATGTTGGAATGAGTTAAGACTCTGGGCAACTGTTGGAAGGCATGATTATGTTGTGAAATGTGAGGACATGAGATTTGGGAGGGGCCAGAGCAAAAAGATATAGTTAAGTTTTGTGTCCCCACCCAAATCTCATCTTGAATTGTAATCCCCATAATTCCCACATGTCAAGGTGGGACCAGGTGGAGGTAATTGAATCATAGGGGCTGTTTCCCTTATTCTGTTCTTGTGATAATGAGTGAGTCTCACGAGATCTTATGGTTTTATAAGTGTCTGGCATTTCCCCTGCTTGCACTTACTCCATCCTGCCACCCTGTGAAGAATGTGCCTGCTTCTCCTTTGCCTTCCACCATGATTGTAAGTTTCCTGAGGCCTCCCAAGCAATGCAGAACTATGAGTCTATAAAACCTCTTTCCTTTATAAATTACTCAGATATTTCTTCATAGCAGTGTGTGAATAGACAAATATAATTGGTCTATGAGTCTGTTTTTGCCAGTACCATGCTGTTTTGATTACTATAGCTTTGTAATAAATTTTAAAATCTGACAGTGTGATGCCTCCAGCTCTGTTCTTTTTGCTGTAGATTGCTTTGGCTATTGAGGTCTTTTGTGGTTCCATACAAATTTTAGAATTTTTTTTTATTTCTTTAAAAAATGTCATCAGAATTTTGATAGGGATTGAATTTTATTTGTATATTGCTTTGGGTAGTATGGATATTTTAACAATATTAATTCTTCCAATCCAGGTACATAGGATATATTTTTATTTGTGTCTTCTTCAATTTCTTGCAAAAATGTTTTATAATTTGCAGTGTACAGATCTTTCAGCTTTTTAAAAAAATTTATTCCTAAGTACTTTTTGTAGCTGTTCTAAATGGGATTGTTTTCTCAAATAGTTCATTGTTAACATATAAAAATGTTATTGATTTTTGTATGTTGACTTTGTATAATGAAACTTTACTGAATTTCCTTGTTAGCTCCAACAGTTTTTGTATAAAGTCTTTAGGGATTTTTTTATATAAGAGCATGTCATCTACAAACAGAGACAATTAAACTTTTTCATTTCCAGTTAGAGTGCATGTTATTTCTTTCTTTTGTCTAATTGCTCTGGTTAGAATCTCCAGTACTATGTTGAATAGAAGTGGTGAGAGTGCGCATCTTTGTCTTGTTCCTTATCTCACAGGAAAATCTTTAAACTTTTCACCATTGAGTTGATATTATCTGTGGGCTTGTCATATACAACTTTTATTTTGTTTTGGTACATTTCTTCTATACCTAATTTGTTGCAAGTTTTTATGATGAAATAATGTGAAATTTTGTCAAATGCTTATTCTGCATCTATTGAGATGATCATATGGTTTTTGTCCTTCATTCTGTTAATGTGATGGATCACATCAAATATACTCTTAATGTACTATAAGCCCCCTCCCTTCCGGCTCTCATTATCATTATTTATACATTTAATGAATGTTTACAGAGTGCTGACTATGTGCCAGTTACTTGGGGCACTTGGAATAGAACAGTGAACAAAACAATGTCCCTTTCCTCATGGAGCTTTTATTCTGATAGGAGGAGAAAATTAATAAATGGGCAAATTGATATGTAAAAACTGATAGTGATAAATTCTATTAAAAAATAAAATTGGGCAAGAGGACGGAAAATGGTGAGCAGGTTCAATCTTGATCAAGTGGTCAAAGAGTGCCTGCTGATCAGAAGCATTTGAGAAAAGAGAGCCCTGAGGCAAGTTTCTAAATAGTGCTTAAAGCGATGGAATTGGGGGCCATCACATGGTGAATAGATGCATCTGGAGAAGCAGAGAAAAGGTTCAAGGACTGAATAGTACGGCACTTCCCCATTTAGAAGTTGAGAAGGTGAGTCTTGTGCAGCCAATGAGACTGAGAAGAAACAGCCAGAAAGGTAGAAGAATCAAGAATTGTATCCATCACTAATCATCAGAGAAATACAAATCAAAACCACAATGAGATACTATCTTACACCAGTCAGAATGGCTATTACTAAAAAGTCCAAAACAATAGATGTTGGCAAGGATGTGGAGAAAATGGAATGCTTATGCACTGTTGGTGGGAATGTAAACTAGTACAACCTCTGTGGAACACTATGGAGATTTTCAAAGAACTAAAAATAGAACTACCATTTGATCCAGCAATCTCACTACTGGGTATCTATTCAAAGGAAAAGAAATAATTATATCAAAAAGATGCCTGCACTTGTATGCTTATCACAGCACTATTCACAATAACAAAGTAATGAAATCAACCTAAGTGTCCATCAACAAAGAACTGGATTTTTAAAATGTGAGACAGATATATACACGTATGTGCACATATACATATATATATGTATATACACCACATTTTTATATAAAATGTGTGCATATATGTATGTATGTATACACACACACACACACACACACACACACACACCCAATGGAATACTACTTAGCCATAAAAAATAATGAAATAATGTCTTTTGTAGCAGCATGGATGGAACTTGAGGCCATTATCCTAAGTAAAATAACTCAGGAACAGAAAAACAAATACTGCATGTTCTCACTTATAAATGAGAGCTAAATGATGGGCACACATGGACATACGGAGCAGAATAATAAATACTGGAGACTCCAAAAGTTGGAAGGGTGGAAGGGAGTGAGGATTAAAAAGTTACCTCTTGGGTACAATGCTCACTATTTGAGTGATGGGTACACTAAAATCTCAGATTTCACCACTATATGATATATGTATGTAAGAAATCCATACTTGTACTCCTATATATTAAAAATTAAAAATGTTTAAAGAGTTGTATCTAAAGGAATAGTGAGGAAAGTAAGTATTTAATAAGAGAGTAGAGTATGATCAACTTTTTCAAAGGATGTTCATGGAATGTAAACTTTGTAAGGGCCAGGATTTTTTTTTTAATCTTTTTTTCTTTTACCTTCATAGCCTCAATACCTGAAACAGAGCTGGCATGTGGCATATCCTCAGAAACATTTGCTAAATGACACCTAGTCTATAGGAGGAGGACTCATTCTTAACCATTAGATTTAGCCATGCAGAAGTCAGATCAAGAGTAAACAGAGCAAGAACAGTTTTGGTGCTGTGATGGGTCAAAAGCCTGAGTCAGGTAGGTTTAAGACAGAGTACGAGGGAAAGAAGCAGAGAAAACAAGTCTATCTACAGCCTTTAATGTATGTTTACTTCCTTCATTTACAATGAAATCTCACCACATATCCATAGTGCCTGGTATACAATTGCTGTCAGATTATATTTTTATATGAATGAAATGAAAATCAAAAACAGGGATGCAAAATAGAATACTGCAATTATATAAACATAACGTCCTCAGAGTATAGGGACAGTAATACTTAAAAAGAAAGGAAGGTGAGACATGGTATTAAGCATAAAATTTAACAGACATGATAAATAATTATATATATAAAATATAGAAGAATCAAAGCATTTGCATTTCTCTGATGGCCAGTGACGATGAGCATTTACATGAAAAAAATGCTCATCATCACTGGACATCAGAGAAATGCAAATCAAAACCACAGTGAGATACCATCTCACACCAGTTAGAATGGCGATCATTAAAAAGTCAGGAAACAACAGGTTCTGGAGAGGATGTGGAGAAATAGGAACACTTTTACACTGTTAGTGGGACTGTAAACTAGTTCAACCATTATGGAAGACAGTGTGGCAATTCCTCAAGGATCTACAACTAGAAATACCATTTGACCCAGCCATCCCATTACTGGGTATATACCCAAAGGATTATAAATCATGCTGCTATAAAGACACATGCCCACATATGTTTATTGCAGCACTATTCACAATAGCAAAGACTTGGAACCAACCCAAACGTCCATCAATGATAGACTGGATTAAGAAAATGTGGCACATATACACCATGGAATACTATGCAGCCATAAAAAAATGATGAGTTCATGTCCTTTGTAGGGACATGGATGAAGCTGGAAACCATGATTCTGAGCAAACTATCGCAAGGACAGAAAACCAAACACCACATGTTCTCACTCATAGGTGAGAATCGAACAATGATAACACTTGGACACAGGGTGGGGAACATCACACACCAGGGCCTGTTGTGGGGTGGGGGGAGTGGGGAAGGATAGTATTAGGGGATATACCTAATGTTAAATGACGAGTTAATGGGTGCAGCACACCAACATGGCACATGTATACATATGTAACAAACCTGCATGTTGTGCACATGTACCCTAGAACTTAAAGTATAATAAAAAAAAAAAGAAGATGAGAACACAAGACAATGGAGTTGCCAGTCACACTGAGAAACTGAAATGCAGAGCTAGTTATCAGGGAAAATGTAAATTATATTTTGAAATATTGAGTTTGAAGAGTGGATACAGTAAAGTGAGATGAAAGAACACTGGACTAAAAGGAACATGGCTGGATTCTGTACCCACCTTCTGCCAGTCCTCTGTTTTCCTCATCTTCAAGATGGGGATGAGGCACAGTGGACTCAGCTTCTGGCTGCAATAATCTTTGATTCTATGAAAGGATCTCACATGTGAAGATGAGCTACTCTCAGGATGACATTAGAGCTAGAGTTGTGAAAGTAGGTGTAATTACCAGGATGGTGATAGCTGAAGTTCAGAGAATATTTGAGTTTGTAGGGAAAAGCAGAAGATGGTGGATTGAGCCCCGTGTGTCATTAACTGGCTCCATAGGGAGGTACAACCCACACAGCTGGCTTCCTTACCTCTCTTCTCTGACCTATTCACTTGGCTGGTGCTGTCAATGAAGTAGGCTAGAGAGCAGCTGTTCTAAGGAGGAAGCATGGGAGAGACAGCAAATCGTTAAAGAAAATAAAAGACTAGGAAGATGGTTAATTCACCTAAAGCAAAGTCAAATTAAAATTGGTTCTTCCTTTGATGCTTTGAGCTATAGAGGAATTCTGAAACCTTCTTAAGAGGAACTTAAAAAGAAAATTCAGGGATATTTTGTCTCATGGGGAAAAACTGCATTCAATCTAGTGAAAAAAAAAAAAGATGAAATTGTCTTTTCTGTGTCATCCCTAGTGGTAACAGTGTCAAAAATATTCATCCACCCTATATCAGAGCAAAAAGTTGGTCTGAAAAATTCCTATTGTTAAAATATGCTAGATTAAAAGAAGTAGCATATATTTTTTAAATTGAGAAGAAAGGAAAGGAAAGAGAAAAAAAGAAAAGAAATAGGAATCAGAATAGAAATAAAGAAAAGAAATACAAGTAAAGGAAAATATTATAAGGGGAAAGCAATGTAAAGAAAAACTACCCAAGGATTAGAAGACAATTTGCCTTTGAGAAGTTCAAGTTATAAAAGAATTTAATAAGCATATGAATTCAAGAAAAACTAGAACCCAAATATATGATTTTTTAAAGAATGAGACAATAAGTTGAGAATTTAAAAGCACCAATATAGATCAAATAGATCAATTATAAAAGCAAGGACCAGGATAGCCACTGTCAAAAATCAAATCACTGTCTTAGAGAACAGGTAGAAGATAATGATTCTGAATGCAGAGAAAAAAGACAAAAAGATCAAAATAAATAGAGGAAATATTTTTAACAGATATTTTAATAGGCATAAAAGGCCAACAAAGATTATCTGACTATATAATTTGTGTTTTTAAAATACTGAACCTAGTAGGTGGATCAGAGAAAGGATTCAATAATATTCAACTCTTAGAAGTTACTGTTGCCACTGTTTCCAAGCCAAAGGAGAAGAAAGAGAAATAATTTAAAATGTTAGGCAACTGAGTAAAATCACAACATTTAAATCATCTGAACAACTATTTGAATCCTCTATGTTACTTTGAGGAAGATGTGAAATCGTTTATTAGGATTTCTCAAATTACAGGAAAAAGTCCCTGATAAAGATTCAGAAAACTAAATATATAAAACTACTGTCTCCATCAATTAAATTCATGTAAATATCTAAAATTCAATGCATAACCAAAATACACCTAATTCATGGCCAGTAGCTTCTGACTAGATCTGACCATCATATTTAAAAAAAACCTCAAAACCAGATCAACAAATCCTGATAATGGCTTAAAAATTGAATCCCTGCAGGCCAGGCATGGCAGCTTATGCCGGTAATCTCAGCACTTTGGGAGGCGGAGTCGGGTGGATCACGTGAGGTCTGGAGTTCAAGACCAGCTTGGCCAACATGGCAAAACCCCGTCTCTACTAAAAAATACAAAAATTAGCCGGGCGTGGTGGTGGGTGCCTGTAATCCCAGCTACTTGGGAGGCTGAGGCAGGGAGAATTGCTTGAACCCGGGAGGCGGAAGTTGCAGTGAGCCAAGATCCTGCCACTGTACCCCAGCCTTGGTGACACAGCGAGACTCTGTCTCGGGTGAAAAAAAAATGAATCCCTGCCATCAAGCCTCTTAGGCTATTTATCTCCATCCCATTCAGTTTAGTGCCTCATGCAGATGAAAGAAACACAGTCATTGTCACTGGCCTAAAACACATGGACTCTCTCTTTGCAAATGGTATAGCTGTTCTGATTTCAAAATCATGAATATCAAGAATATTATAGTTGATCATCATTGTATGCCTTACCCTTCTTGAATACTAAGCTCAGATTGTCTACAATATTGTGTGATGTTCATATAGTACCAGTCACTCCAAAGTGCTAAAAGTATATTTTGAGAGCAAGAAGAAACACACTTGCTATATTTGTAGTTGCCGGTCTCCAATTCTTTCAGCCTCAACCCAGAGATTTCTGTCTAAGCATTTTAGCCCTCATAACTGAACCTCTACCCACAAAACTGTAGCCGTGGCCTCTCTCATCAGCAACGCTCTCCCTTTTCTCCCTTTAGTGAGGTTTCACTGTCTGATTCAAACAGCTGTTTGTCCATTATCATATTTGTCTTCCCACACAGTGCAGCTGCACTCAAAGATCTTTCCCACCTTCCACTCCAGTTCTGGATCCTTTTCTGGCTCTCCACTTGCTCCAAAGCTGCCACCTTTGTCTCTGGATCATGGGATCTCTCGGGAACTGCAGAAAAACATTTTTGTTTAATAGATACGTATTAGATTATTTTTCCTGCTTCTTTTACTACACTCACATGAAGAAAGAAAAATAACTAAAATGTATTAAAAGCAATATGTTTTTACAGCATAAAATGACTTTTAAGACTTAATAAAACTAGTAGTTTAGTTATTCAGACAAATGGTCATTTTCCAGACTTTCTAAAGGTAAAGATGATTAGAAGGATACTCCTCTTTTCTTCTATGGCTAGCCAAATGATAACTCATGCTTTGACTGCATTTTGGTTTTCCAGATTACATGTATATAAATTACCTAGTAACGAGCATGACCTCTGTCCAAGCAGAAGGCAAGCAGGGGAGAAGATTTAGCTGCTCAACTACAGTTATTCTCTCAACCCAAGCTAAGGTATGTCAGTTCTCTATTAAAATCCTGGCTCTTTTACCTCAGAGTGAGCTTAGATAGAAATGGTGGAGCTACAGACACTAATAAGTGAAGATATGAGAAATGCTGAAATAGATACCTCTAAACAAGTCTGCAGGACAGTTCTCTGAATGAAAGTGGACCAACTCTGAATGGAAGTGGACCAACCCAATTCTCTCCACTTTCTCACTTGTAATTCTCAAGGATACCTGTAGAATGTGCTGGGAATGGAACATTGTGAGATAAAGAAGAGGTAGCTGGAACAGTCCAGGCTCTGTTCCAGTTGGCCCTAGAAACAGGGTGTCCTTCAGCACTTTTGCCCAAGGTGTCATGCGGCCACTGGGGTACAAAGCCCAAGGCAGGCGTTTTACACCTGTGGTGCAAGTGGAGCACTTGAAGATAAGACTCTGTTCACCTTAAGTAGCTTTCCTGAGCTTCGGGGGATGAGCTTGCCCTGAATCCCAGGCTTTGGTTGTCCCTTGCCGTCTATCTGTAAGTAACAAATTTGGTTCATGTAACTTTGTGTGAGTGTTCTATCACACCCAAGTCAGGCAAACAACTGGTGCAGAGTAAACCTGCTTCACAATTTCCTCTACTGGCATTCCAAATAGTTGAACATCCTATCAATCATGATAGGTGGTGTATGGATGGATGAATGGATGGATTTCTGCAAATTTACATGAGGAGCCATAAAGCTGAGGGAACAGATAAATGAAAACCACAGCTTAAGAGATTTATAATCATGAAACATTACATTTTGTTCGTAGTGTCCTTACAAAGTAAAAAAGAAAAGTATTATGTATTATATAATTCTCCTTGTCTAAATAAATAAAATGTACTATTTATGAGAGACTTTCTGAAGCAAGATTATTAAAGAAATGTGTTTTTTACATTACAGCAGGGGATGTTAACAGACATCTTGCAAAAGGCTCACAAATACTATTCACATGGCCATTTAGGAAGGGTCATTTTAAAATCAACTATTAATCAAATTAAATGGCATGTAATTTATGTAATTTTTTTAAAAATCGCCAAATTCTTTCAAAAAATAGTTTTACTGCTTTATATTTCCACCAACAGTATATAAGAGTTCCAGTTTCTCTTCATCCTCTCCAACATTTGATGTTGTCAGTGTTTTTAATATAAGATATTTGTAATAGGTGTGCAATGGTATCTCATGGTGTTTTACTTTCCATTTCCCTAATGAAAAATTGATGTTTAGTGTTTTAATGTGCTTATTTGCCATTATATATATTTTCTGATGTAGCGTCTATTCAAATATTTTGCCAATATTACATTATTTTTATTATTGAGTTTTGAAAGATTTTTATGTTCAAAGTATAAACCCTTTATCAGATATATGATTTGCAAATATTTTCTAGCAGACTGTCACTTATCTTTCACTCTCTTAATAGTGTCTTTCTAAGAGCTGTTCTTCATTTTGATAATGTTCAATTTATCAATGTTTTATTTTGTGAATTATGTTTTTGGTATTATATCTAAGCAGTCTTTACTTAATCCAATTTCCTATGTTTTCTTCTAGAGATTGTGTATTTTTAGCTTGATACTTTTTGGTCTATAATTTCTTTTGAATTCATTTTTGTATATGATGTAAGGTAGGCAGTGGGGTGTTGTTATTCAATTGTTATTCAATTGAATTATTGATATTCAATTGTTACAGCAACATTATTGAAAAACCTATCTGTTCTCCACTGAATTGCCTTTGGTTCCTTGTCAAAAATCAATTAACTGTACATGTGTGAGTATATTTCTGAACTCATCATATTTTATCCTCATGCCAATATCATACTGCTTTGATTATTGTAGCTTTATAAAGGTTTTTGAAGGCAGGAAATGTAAGTCTTCCAAGTTGCCTCTTTTTTTTCAGAGTTTTTTTGGCTATTCTCAGTGGTTGGCATTTCTACATAAATTTTAGAATGAGCATGTCAATTTCTATTAAAAAGAAAAGGACTGCTGAGAAATTTATAGATTAATTTAGATACTTGACATATTAACAATGTTGAATCTTCCAAACTATGAACATAACTCTCCTTTTCATAAGTTTTAAAAATTTTTTCTCAGCAATATTGTATAGTTTGTATTTTACAGGTCTTGCATACCTTTTGAAGATTATTCTCTATTTCATAAGTAAGAACACTATTGTATATGATATTGAATTTTAACTCAATTTAAAATTATTGATTCCAAGAATATACAAACACAATTAAATTTTGTATATTAATCTTGCATCCTGCAACCTTGTTAAATTCACACATTATTCTAGTATCTTTTGAAGATTCCATAGAATTTTTTTTTTGGATGATTATGTTGTCTGCAAATAAAGAACAGATGTAAGCTGAGATGATTGATTTCAGACATTTTTTCTTTTCCATTACAGGTAGTTGGTGCCATACATTTCCCACAGGACTACTATTTTCCAATATCAACATCTTTAATTTATTTATTTATTTTTGTTTTAGTGCACTAGCTGGAAGTTTCGATATAATGTTAAATACAAAGGATGAGAGTAAATATTCTTACATTTTTCCTGGTCTTATGAAGAAAGAATTTTCTTTCACCATTAAGTATTATGTTGTCTGTAGGTTTTTCACATATGTTCATAGTGGGTTGAAGCACTCTCTTTTTAGTCCTAGCTGAGAGTTTTAGGTTAAGAATAAGTATTATTTATTATTATTATTATTTATTTATTATTATAAATAAAATACATTTATTACATTAAATGAGAGTATCTTTTTTTAGTCTAATAATCTGGCATATTAAATTGATTGATCTTTATATGTTAAACTCATTTTGCATTCTTGGAATAAATCATACAAGGTTTTGACTTATTATCACTGTTATATGTTGTTAACTTTGATCAATTAAAATTTTGTTAGAAAGGTTTGTATCACATTTATGAGGAATATTGGCATGCAATTTTCTTCCTTTGCAATATCTTTGTCTGGTTTTGGTGTTTGAGTAATGCTGGCATCGTATAATTGGTTGAAAAATATTTTCTCTTTTATAATTTTCTGGAAGAACTTGTATAGCATTGGCTTTATTTCTTGTTTAAATGTTTGATAGAATTCCCTAGCGAAGCATCTGGGTCTAAAGTTTCCTGTGTAAAAAATTTTTAACTACAATTCAACTATTTTACTAAATATGGGACTATTCAGGTTATCTATTTCTTCCTCAGTAAACTCTGTTAATTTTTATCTTTCACGGTATTTGTTCTTTTCTTGTAAGTAGTCAAATTTATTCACATATTTTAAGAGACAATATTTGTTATTATCCTCTTAATATCAATAAACTCTTTAGTGATGTCACATATCTTATTCCTGACACTGGTAATTTGCATATTTACTCTTATTTTTATCACTGGTTGCCAAAAAGCCTATTAACTTTATTAATCTTAAAAATTCTTTTGTTTTTATTAATTTTCTCTATTACTTTTATGTTTTCTCATTCATTAATTTCTGCTCTGGTTTTTATTATTATGTTCTGTAACATTAAAAAGTATTTACTTTGGATTTTATTTTGTTTTTTCTTATTTCTTAAAACTTAAGCTGAGATTACTGACTTGAGACCTTTCTTCTTTTCTAATACAGGTAGTTGGTGTCATAAATTTTCCACTAAGTTTTGTTTTAACTTCATCTCACAAAATTTGATACTGTATTTTCATTTTCATTCAGTTCGTAATATTTTCTACATTCCTTTCTTGACACACAGTTTACTTAGAAATGTCTTTATAATTTTCAAATATTTGGAGATTTTTCTATTCATGATTTCTAACTGTGGTCTGACAATATACTTTGTATGAATTTAATTGATTGAATCTTAACTTATGATTCAGAATATGGTCTATCTTGGTAAATATTTAGTGTGAACTATATATTAAATACACATAAAATATACATTGAAAAGAATGTGTATTCTGATTTTTTAGGATGGAGTGCTCTTTGTAGGTCAATAAGGTCAACCTGATTGATAGTGTTAAGACTTCAATATTCTTATAGATGTTTTTTTCTCTTCATCTTATCGTAACTGAGTAACCCAGTTGTTAAAGAAAAAAAGAGTTACAATTTAAAAAATTATTTTCTCTTCTTTTCTCCTTTCTCCATTTCCCCCATTCCCTATTTCCTATTTAGCCCTTTAGAAATGCAATTATAACCTTTTACATCTTCTTCCCCAGACACTCCCTATAGGGCAAGTTCATCTAATTATGTGCTTAGAAGCTCTAGAGCAGAACTCTCACCCACCGAAAAGGTGATCCAAGAGTTAACAGTTGACTTACAACCTAAAATATGCCTGCTATGAAATTTTAACCTACCAGGAAACTGTCTGAAGAGACAGCCGCCAATTTACAACCCAAAGTCCCATGCAAAATTCTCTCCCACCTGGAGAGTTTTTGGACACCTTTACAATCTATTAATATTTCTGCCAATGAAGATGCCAATTCAACTGCCCAATAGATAAGGCACCAAGCTAACATGTAGACACCTCCCACACCTGCTTGCTTTCTCCCTTGTGTGCCATTCATAATAGGCCCCCTTTAAAAGCAACCACTTTCTGATCCAAAGGTGAAGCGGTACCCTTAAGACAGGAAGGCTGTACTTCCGCTAAGCTAGTTTTGTAATAAAGAGTCACTTTCTTTATACCAGACTTTGCTCTTATTAATTGAACTCCATGAGCAGTGAGTGACTAAACCTGTATTTCACTTATACTATTAATTACTGAAAAAGGGTTAAATTCCTGAATAAAATGGTAGATTTGCCTATTTCTCCTTTTTGTTCTATCAGTTCTGGTTTTGTGTATTTTTATTTTTTTAGATGGAGTTTGACTCTTGTCACCCAGGCTGGAGAGCAATGGCATGATCTTGGCTCACTGCAACCTCTGCCTCCTGGGTTCAAGTGATTCTCCTGCCTCAGCCTCCCAAGTAGCTAGGATTACAGGCACCCACCACCACGCCCGGCTAATTTTTGTATTTTTAGTAGAGACGGGGATTTGCCATGTTGGCCAGGCTAGTCTCAAACTCCTGACCTCAGGTGATCCACCCACCTCGGCCTCTCAAAGTGCTGGGATTACAGGCGTGAGCCACCATGCCTGGCCTGTTATGTGTATTTTTTAAGCTCTATTATTAAGTGCTTAAATGTTTAATATCATTTTCCCCTAAAAAACTCACTCCCTTTATTATTGTGAATTAATTATCTTATAGCTACTATTATTTTTATGTTCTGAAATCTACTTTCTTTGATATTAATATAGCCACTCCAGCTTTCTTTTGATTGATGTTAGCAAGCAAATCTTTTTTTTTTTTTAAGTTTTACTCTGTGTGGGTCATTATATTTAAGGTGGGTTTCTTATAGGCTATATATAGTTGGATCTTGCTTTTTTCTCCAATCTTTCAATTTTTTTGCCTTTTAGTTGGGATTTTTAGGCCATTTACATTTAATACGGCTATTGGTAATGTTCAATTTGTCCTTTTTTGCCTTTAGGATTGAGGGTTTTTTATTATTTCATTTTATCTGCCTTTTTTTCTTTGTTACATACTAGCTATGTTTTTGTTGTGTTCTTTTAATGTTTGCTTTAGGATTTAAAGTACAATTTTTTAAAACTTTTATTTTAAGTTCAGGGGTGCATGAGCAGATTTATTATATAGGTCACAGGAATTTGTTGCACAGATTGTCACCCAGGTATCAAACCTAGTACCTACTGGTTATTTTTCCTGATCCTTTCCCTTCTTCCACCCTCTACACTCGGGTAGGCCCCAGTGTCTATCATTCCCCTGTACGTGTCTATGTGTTCTCATCATTTAGCTCCCACTTATAAGTGAGAACTATTGTATAAATTTTTAACTTACTGCAATCTACCTTTAAGTGAAATTATACCATTTTTCACATTACATCAGAACTTTAAAATAGTATTCTTTTACTTCTTCCCTGCTGGCCTCTGTGATTGTATTGTCACATATTTTATTTCTACATATGTTATAAATATCATAATGTAATGCCCAACCTTGTTTTCACTAACCCTGTTTTTAGACTCTCCCTTTACTTTAATCACCTAGCCTTGTTTCCACCTGAATTGACTCTCCCTTAGCTAAGAGAGCCAGACAGACTCCATCTTGGCTCTTTCACTGGCAGCCCCTTCCTCAAGGACTTAACTTGTGCAAGCTGACTCCCAGCACATCCAAGAATGCAATTAACCGATAAGATACTGTGGCAAGCTATATCCACAGTTCCCAGGAATTCATCCGATTGATAACACCCAAAGCCCCGCGTCTATCACCTTGTAATAGTCTTAAAGCCCCTGCACCTGGAACTGTTTACTTTCCTGTAACCATTTATCCTTTTAACTTTTTTGCCTACTTTACTTCTGTAAAATTGTTTTAACTAGACCCCCCACCTCCCCTTTCTGAACCAAAGTGTAAAAGAAAATCTAGCCCCTTCTTCGGGGCCAGAGAACTTTGAGTGTTAGCCGTCTCTTGGCCGCCGGCTAAATCAACAGACTCTTAATTTGTCTCAAAGTGTGGCATTTTCTCTAACTCGCTAAGGTACAACAATAATACATTGATACTATAATTTATTTAAACAGTTGATTGTCTTTTAAAGAGAAATAAACAATTAGAAGGTCGTTTATATTTTGCCTTTGTTATCATTTCCAGTTCTTTAGTTTTTTATTTCTAGTTTGTGATTCATTCAAATTTGAATTATTTGACTATCAAAAATGTTCTTTTCTTTGTTGGAACTCTTTCAGTACAAATAACTTGATTATTTACAAAGTGCTAAAATTTCCTTTCAAGGTCATATTGCAGCTAATTTCCTCATCGTGGTTCCCCAAAACACAGGCATTACTTTCAAGTGTCTTCTTTCCAAGTATTTTCTTCTCAACTAACACTACTCTAGATTTCCTTATAAAATTTGTGAGGGAACTCATAACTTACAAAATTAGAGAAGAACTCTTAAATAGGATACTCACAAGCTTATTTCCATTTCCCTTCTAAATGTCACAAGACCACAATAAATGGGAAAATTTTCAATACTTCATTGTGAAATGCCCTAAGGAATCAAATCAGTGAGCAGTGAATGTTAAATGCTCTCCTGCTTAGCCCACGAAGCTTTTGAGTCAGATTACAAAGTTCCTCCCTGGGCAGAATTTGCTGTGTCTGTATTATATCACAGCTAATTAGTATTAAAATTCGGTCAGTTACCCCTCATGTAAAAATAGCATGCAAGTAATGGCAACCTAAACCACAGACTCTGCATCTTTGATGAGGGGAGGAAGGCGGGGTCCTAAGGAACCCAAAAAGAAGAGCTGTCTTCTAGAGAAATGAAGTTAGGGTGCAACAAGGGCCCATGTGACTGATAATCATGAAGGGCAGAATATGGGTCTTAAGACACAGTGACAAAAAACAATCAGTCATTTTGTTACCAGAAAGCCATTCTGATCCAGACCCTAAGGGACAGTTATTGAATCTCATGCAAGAAATTCAGGATGAGCTCACAGGGTAAAGTGAAAGCAAGTTAATTAAAGAAGTAAAGAAACGGCCGGGTGCGGTGGCTCACGCCTGTAATCCCAGCACTTTCGGAGGCTGAGATGGAAGGATCACTTGAGGTCAGGAGTTCAAGACTAGCCTGACTAATGTGGTGAAACCTCGTCTCTACTAAAAATACAAAAATTAGCCAGGCATGGTGGCACATGCCTGTAATCCCAGCTACTAGGGAGGCTGAGGCAGGAGAGTCGCTTGAATCTGGGAGACGGAAGTTGCAGTGAGCCAAGATCGCGCCATTGCACTCCAGCCTGGGCAACAAGAGCAAGACTCCGTCTCAGAAAAAAAAAAAAAAAAAAAAAAAAAGTAAAGAAACAAGGCCGGCCCAGAGCAGCTTGAGCAGCCGCAGTCTGCACCCTCTCCCGCCCGCCCGCCCTCCACGGCACCCCCACCCGCCCCGGGGTCTCTTTCCCCCTTCCTCCTCCTCCTCCTCCACCCCACCTTCCTCCTCCGCCCGCCCGCGGGGCCCCCCCTCACCTTCCCGCCTGCCCCTATTGTTCCGCCCCCGGCCTCCCGCCCTTCCCCTTCCAGCCCATTCCCCTTTTCCCCTCAGTCGCCTCGCGCCAGCAGTTTTTGGCTTTCACCCCCCATCAGTGACCAAAGACTTGACCACTCAAAGTCCAGCTCCCCAGAACACTGCTCGACATGGAAACCAGTGTGATTGAAGGTGGATTAAATATCACTCTCACCATCCGACTACTTATGCATGGAAAGGAAGTTGGCAGTATCATCGGAAAGAAAGGAGAATCAGTTAAGAAGATGCGCGAGGAGAGTGGTGCACCTATCAACATCTCAGAAGGGAATTGTCCTGAGAGAATTATCACTTTTGCTGGACCTGCTAATGCCGTCTTCAAAGGCTTTGCTATGATCATTGACAAACTGGAAGAGGACATAAGCAGCTCTATGACCAGTAGCACAGCTGCCACTAGACCCCCAGTCACCCTGAGGCTGGTGGTCCCTGCTAGTCAGTGTGGCTCTCTCATTGGAAAAGGTGGTTGCAAGATCAAGGAAATACGAGAGAGTACAGGGGCTCAGGTCTAGATGGCAGGGGATATGCTACCCAACTCAACTGAGCAGGCCATCACTATTGCTGGCATCCCACAATCCATCATTGAGTGTGTCAAACAGATCTGTGTGGTCATGTTGGAGTCCCCCCCGAAGGGCGTGACCATCCCGTACCAGCTCAAGCCTTCCAGCTCTCCGGTCATCTTTGCAGGCGGTCAGGCCTATACCCTTCAAGGACAGTTTGCCATTCCACAGCCAGATTTGACCATGCTGCACCAGTTGGCAATGCAACAGTCTCATTTTCCCATGACGCATGGCAACACTGGATTCAGTGCAGGTTTGGATACATCTGCTCAGACTACTTCTCATGAACTTACCATTCCAAACGATTTGATTGGCTGCATAATCGGGCGTCAAGGCGCCAAAATAAATGAGATCCGTCAGATGTCTGGGGCACAGATCAAAATTGCGAACCCAGTGGAAGGATCTACTGATAGGCAGGTTACCATCACTGGATCTGCTGCCAGCATTAGCCTGGCTCAATATCTAATCAATGTCAGGCTTTCCTCGGAGACGGGTGGCATGGGGAGCAGCTAGAACAATGCAGATTTATCCACAATCCCTTTCTGCTGTTCACCACCACCCATGATCCATCTGTGTAGTTTCTGAACAGTCAGCGATTTCAGGTTTTAAATAGTTTGTAAATTTTCAGTTTCTACACACTTTATCATCCACTCGTGATTTTTTACTTAAAGTGTTTTAATTCCTTTCTCTGTTCAGCTGTTGGTGCTGAGATCCATATTTAGTTTTATAAGCTTCTACCTGGGATTTTTTTTTTTTTTTTTGGTGTTTTGTTTTGTTTTGTTTTGTTTTGGCTCATGAATTTTTCTGTCTGTCATGGAAATGTTAAGAATGGAATATTAATACATTTCAGTTTAGTACTGTAAAGTCAGGAATTTTTCAAAAAAATTTAAAAATGGACTGGAGCTTTTTCTTTGTGAATAGAAAAAAGAAAGAAAGAAAGAAAGAAAGAAAGAAAGAAAGAAAGAAAGAAAGAAAGAAAGAAACACGGCCGGGCATGGCAGCTCACATCCATAATCCCAGCACTTTGGGAGGCCGAGGCAGGTGGATCACAAAGTCAGGAGTTTGAGACCAGCCTGGCCAACATGGTGAAACTCCGTCTCTGCTTAAAAAAAAATACAAAAATTAGCCAGGCATGGTGGCATGTGCCTGTAATCCTAGCTACTTGGGAGGCTGAGGCAGGAGAATTGCTTGAACCCAGGAGGCAGAGGTTGCAGAGAGCCGAGATCGCGCCACTGCACTCCAGCCTGGGCAATGGAGCAAGACTGTCTCAAAAAAAAAAAGAAAGAAAGAAAAGAAACACAAGAATGGCCACTCCATAGGCAGAGTAGCTGTTGGTTGTCTATTTTTATGGTTATTTCTTGATCATATGCTAAACAAGGGATGGATTATTCATGAGTTTTCTGGGAAAGGGGCAGGCAATCTCTGGAACTGATGGTTCCTTCCCTTTTTAGACCATATAGGGTAACTTCCATACCTTGCCACGGCATTTGCAAATTGTCATGATGCTGGCAGGAGTATCTTTTAGCATGCTAATGCATTATAATTAGCATCTAATAAGCAGTGAGGATGATCAAAGGTCACTTTCATCACCATCTTGGTTTTGGAAGGTTTTGGCAGGTTTTGGCCAGCTTCTTTACCACATCCTGTTTTATCAGCGGGAGCTTTGTAACCTGTATCTTGTGCTAACCTCCTACCTCATTCTGTGACTAAGAGTGTCTAACCTCCTGGGAATGCAGCCCAGTAGGTGTCAGTCTCATTTTACCCAGACCCTATTCAGGATGGAGTCTCTCTGGATTGAACACTTTTGACAATTTCAAGTGTGAAAACTAATTAAAATTTACTAGAGTAGAAGTTCTAAAATACAGGCATTGACTTGTGAATAATCTGCTTTTCACTTGGACAGTGAAGTATGATTCTAGGGGAGAAGATAATGAGATTTATTCACTTAAATATGATTAATAATGCTCCTGAGTAATGTAAGACAAGCCAGTCAGAATCTGGTATTAGTAAGTACAGTCAGCTAATGCCAGCTCACCATCAAATCAAGTATCAATTAAATGTTTACTGTGTTGATATTTTGCTGTAGCCTAAGGGATACAAAAAATAGTAATACTGAGCTCTTATCCTAAAATATGCTATGATTTAGTGGAGAAAACAAGAAAGGTTTTGTACACATATTAGGAATTAACTATTTGTCAAAAAAGCATTAATCAATATAATTCAATATAAAGTTTGATCAATATTATACCAGAAGATCCTTGGGCAAATGGAACTGAGAGAGATTTACTCCTATTGAAGACACTGAAGAAAACTTCCTAAAGAACTGGGCCTTGGAATGTGGGGTGATTTTAACACGTACAGATGAGGGAGTCAAGCAGTCTCTGTAGGAGACAGGAAAATGTATGCCACTCACAGCCTACCCCTTATGTTATGGGCACACTCTCTTATACAGAATAGCATGAACAAAGACACCAAAATGAGAACAAGAAGAACAAGTTCCAGGAATGGCAATTCCAGTTGGAGTGCTTTGAGACATAATAAATTTGATAAAGCTTGAATGATTACAGACAAATGGTAGTGGACTATGAATTTAAGAATAAGAGGTTTGGCCTCTGCAGTAAAGATGCTTATATAAATACAAATAATTAAGAAGAAATTGAGGAAAGAAAACAAATTGGCTGAGTTCCTAGCCAACCTGACTGCATTAAAATTCTCAAGACTTTATGAATCCCCTTATTCCTATAAATCCTGTACTATAATCAAATGACAAGTTCTTAAAAATAGATTTCTAAATGCCTTTCTGGCTTTTTGTAAAGCAGCAAAGAATATTGTGGAAAGAACACAGGTTTAGGGCCAGTAAGACCTATGTCCCAGGTCTCTCACTCTACCATACACCTATACGTCACAGCATTATTAAGAATTAAATAGGCCAGGCGCGGTGGCTCACGCCTGTAATCCCAGCACTTTGGGAGGCTCAGGCTGGCAGAAAATGAGGTCAGGAGATCGAGACCATCCTGGCCAACATGGTGAAACCTCATCTCTACTAAAAATACAAAAATTAGCTGGGCATGGTGGCACGCACTTGTAATCCCAGCTACTTGGGAGGCTGAGGCAGGATAATCACTTGAACCCGGGAGGCAGAGGTTGCAGTGAGCCAAGATTGTGCCACCGCACTCCAGCCTGCTGACAGAGCTCCGTCTCTTTTTTTTTTTTCCTTTTTCTTTTTTTTTTTGAGAGGGAGTTTTGCTCTTGTTGCCCAGGCTGGAATGCAGCTCACCACAACCTCCGCCTCCCCGGTTCATGCCATTCTCCTGCCTCAGCCTCCGAGTAGCTGGGATTACAGGCATGTGCAACCACGCCCGGCTAATTTTGTATTTTTAGTGGAAACGGGGTTTCTCCATGTTGGTCAGCTAGTCTCGAACTCCTGACCTCAAGTGATCCGCCCACCTCGGCCTCTCAAAGTGCTGGGATTACAGGTGTGAGCCACCATGCCCACCTGAAACTCCATCTCAAAAAAAAAAAAGAAAAGAAATAAAACAGAGCTTTCAGGGAGGAGCCAAGATGGCCGAATAGGAACAGCTCCAGTCTACAGCTCCCAGCGTGAGTGACGCAGAAGAAGGGTGATTTCTGCATTTCCAACTGAGGTACCAGGTTCATCTCACTAGGGAGTGCCAGACAGTGGGCGAAGGTCAGTGGCTGTGCACACCGTGCACCAGCCGAAGCACGGCGAGGCATTGCCTCACTTGGGAAGCGCAAGGGGTCAGGGAGTTCCCTTTCCGAGTCAAAGAAAGGGGTGACAGACGGCACCTGGAAAATCGGGTCACTCCCACCCGAATACTGCGCTTTTCCGACGGGCTTAAAAAACGGCGCACCACGAGAGTATATCACGCACCTGGCTCGGAGGGTCCTACGCCCACGGAATCTCGCTGATTGCTAGCACAGCAGTCTGAGATCAAACTGCAAGGCGGCAGCGAGGCGGGGGGAGGGGCGCCCGCCATTGCCCAGGCTTGATTAGGTAAACAAAGCAGCCGGAAAGCTCCAACTGGGTGGAGCCCACCACAGCTCAAGGAGGCCTGCCTGCCTCTGTAGGCTCCACCTCTGGGGGCAGGGCACAGACAAACAAAAAGACAGCAGTAACCTCTGCAGACTTAAATGTCCCTGTCTGGACAGCTTTGAAGAGAGCAGTGGTTCTCCCAGCATGCAGCTGGAGATCTGAGAACGGGCAGACTGCCTCCTCAAGTGAGTCCCTCACCCCTCACCCCCGAGCAGCCTAACTGGGAGGCACCCCCCAGCAGGGGCACACTGACACCTCACACAGCAGGGTATTCCAACAGACCTGCAGCTGAGGGTCCTGTCTGTTAGAAGGAAAACTAACAAACAGAAAGGACATCCACACCAAAAACCCATCTGTACATCACCATCATCAAAGACCAAAAGTAGATAAAACCACAAAGATGGGGAAAAAACAGAACAGAAAAACTGGAAACTAAAAAGCAGAGCGCCTCTCCTCCTCCAAAGGAACGCAGTTCCTCACCAGCAATGGAACAAAGCTGGATGGAGAATGACTTTGACGACCTGAGAGAAGGCTTCAGACGATCAAATTACTCTGAGCTATGGGAGGACATTCAAACCAAAGGCAAAGAAGTTGAAAACTTTGAAAAAAATTTAGAAGAATGTATAACTAGAATAACCAATACAGAGAAGTGCTTAAAGGAGCTGATGGAGCTGAAAACCAAGGCTCGAGAACTACGTGAAGAATGCAGAAGCCTCAGGAGCCGATGCGATCAACTGGAAGAAAGGGTATCAGCAGTGGAAGATGAAATGAATGAAATGAAGCGAGAAGGGAAGTTTAGAGAAAAAAGAATAAAAAGAAATGAGCAAAGCCTCCAAGAAATATGGGACTATGTGAAAAGACCAAATCTACGTCTGATTGGTGTACCTGAAAGTGATGGGGAGAATGGAACCAAGTTGGAAAACACTCTGCAGGATATTATCCAGGAGAACTTCTCCAATCTAGCAAGGCAGGCCAACGTTCAGATTCAGGAAATACACAGAACGCCACAAAGATACTCCTCGAGAAGAGCAACTCCAAGACACATAATTGTCAGATTCACCAAAGTTGAAATGAAGGAAAAAATGTTAAGGGCAGCCAGAGAGAAAGGTCGGGTTACCCTCAAAGGGAAGCCCATCAGACTAACAGCGGATATCTTGGCAGAAACCCTACAAGCCAGAAGAGAGTGGGGGCCAATATTCAACATTCTTAAAGAAAAGAATTTTCAACCCAGAATTTCATATCCAGCCAAACTAAGCTTCATAAGTGTAGGAAAAATAAAATCCTTTACAGACAAGCAAATGCTGAGAGATTTTGTCACCACCAGGCCTGCCCTAAAAGAGCTCCTGAAGGAAGCACTGAACATGGAAAGGAACAACCGATACCAGCCGCTGCAAAATCATGCCAAAATGTAAAGACCATCAAGACTAGGAAGAAACTGCATCAACTAACGAGCAAAATAACCAGCTAACATCATAATGACAGGATCAAATTCACACATAACAATATTAACTTTAAATGTAAATGTACTAAATGCTCCAATTAAAAGATACAGACTGGCAAATTGGATAAAGAGTCAAGACCCATCAGTGTGCTGTATTCAGGAAACCCATCTCACGTGCAGAGACACACATAGACTCAAAATAAAAGGATGGAGGAAGATCTACCAAGCAAATGGAAAACAAAAAAAGGCAGGGGTTGCAATCCTAGTCTCTGATGAAACAGACTTTAAACCAACAAAGATCAAAAGAGACAAAGAAGGCCATTACATAATGGTAAAGGGATCAATTCAACAAGAAGAGCTAACTATCCTAAATATATATGCACCCAATACAGGAGCACCAAGATTCATAAAGCAAGTCCTGAGTGACCTACAAAGAGACTTAGACTCCCACACATTAATAATGGGAGACTTTAACACCCCACTGTCAACATTAGACAGATCAACGAGACAGAAAGTCAACAAGGATACCCAGGAATTGAACTCAGCTCTGCACCAAGCAGACCTAATAGACATCTACAGAACTCTCCACACCAAATCAACAGAATATACATTTTTTTCAGCACCACACCACACCTATTCCAAAATTGACCACATAGTTGGAAGTAAAGCTCTCCTCAGCAAATGTAAAAGAACAGAAATTATAACAAACTGTCTCTCAGACCACAGTGCAATCAAACTAGAACTCAGGATTAAGAATCTCACTCAAAACCGCTCAACTACATGGAAACTGAACAACCTGCTCCTGAATGACTACTGGGTACATAACGAAATGAAGGCAGAAATAAAGATGTTCTTTGAAACCAATGAGAACAAAGACACAACATACCAGAATCTCTGGGACACATTCGAAGCAGTGTGTAGAGGGAAATTTATAGCACTAAATGCCCATAAGAGAAAGCAGGAAAGATCCAAAATTGACACTCTAACATCACAATTAAAAGAACTAGAAAAGCAAGAGCAAACACATTCAAAAGCTAGCAGAAGGCAAGAAATAACTAAAATCAGAGCAGAACTGAAGGAAATAGAGACACAAAAAACCCTTCAAAAAATTAATGAATCCAGGAGCTGGTTTTTTGAAAGGATCAACAAAATTGATAGACCGCTAGCAAGACTAATAAAGAAAAAAAGAGAGAAGAATCAAATAGACGCAATAAAAAATGATAAGGGGGATATCACCACCGGTCCCATAGAAATACAAACTACCATCAGAGAATACTACAAACACCTCTATGGAAATAAACTAGAAAATCTAGAAGAAATGGATAAATTCCTCAACACATACACTCTCCCAAGACTAAACCAGGAAGAAATTGAATCTCTGAATAGACCAATAACAGGATCTGAAATTGTGGCAATAATCAATAGCTTACCAACAAAAAAGAGTCCAGGACCAGATGGATTCACAGCCGAATTCTACCAGAGGTACAAGGAGGAACTGGTACTATTCCTTCTGAAACTATTCCAATCAATAGAAAAAGAGGGAATCCTCCCTAACTCATTTTATGAGGCCAGCATCATTCTGATACCAAAGCCAGGCAGAGTCACAACAAAAAAAGAGAATTTTAGACCAATATCCTTGATGAACATTGATGCAAAAATCCTCAATAAAATACTGGCAAAACGAGTCCAGCAGCACATCAAAAAGCTTATTCACCATGATCAAGTGGGCTTCATCCCTGGGATGCAAGGCTGGTTCAATATATGCAAATCAATAAATGTAATCCAGCATATAAACAGAGCCAAAGACAAAAACCACATGATTATCTCAATTGATGCAGAAAAAGCCTTTGACAAAATTCAACAACACTTCATGCTAAAAACTCTCAATAAATTAGGTATTGATGGGACGTATTTCAAAATAATAAGAGCTATCTATGACAAACCCACAGCCAATATCATACTGAATGGGCAAAAACTGGAAGCATTCCCTTTGAAAACTGGCACAAGACAGGGATGCCCTCTCTCACCGCTCCTATTCAACATAGTGTTGGAAGTTCTGGCCAGGGCAATTAGGCAGGAGAAGGAAATAAAGGGTATTCAATTAGGAAAAGAGGAAGTCAAATTGTCCCTGTTTGCAGATGACATGATTGTATATCTAGAAAACCCCATTGTCTCAGCCCAAAATCTCCTTAAGCTGATAAGCAACTTCAGCAAAGTCTCAGGATACAAAATCAATATACAAAAATCACAAGCATTATTATACACCAACAACAAACAGAGAGCCAAATCATGAGTGAACTCCCATTCACAATTGCTTCAAAGAGAATAAAATACCTAGGAATCCAACTTACAAGGGATGCGAAGGACCTCTTCAAGGAGAACTACAAACCACTGCTCAATGAAATAAAAGAGGATACAAACAAATGGAAGAACATTCCATGCTCACGGGTAGGAAGAATCAATATCGTGAAAATGGCCATATTGCCCAAGGTAATTTATAGATTCAGTGCCATCCCCATCAAGCTACCAATGCCTTTCTTCACAGAATTGGAAAAAACTACTTTAAAGTTCATATGGAACCAAAAAAGAGCCCGCATCGCCAAGTCAATCCCAAGCCAAAAGAACAAAGCTGGAGGCATCACACTACCTGACTTCAAACTATACTATAAGGCTACAGTAACCAAAACAGCATGGTACTGGTACCAAAACAGAGATATAGATCAATGGAACAGAACAGAGCCCTCAGAAATAACGCCGCTTATCTACAACTATCTGATCTTTGACAAACCTGAGAAAAACAAGCAATGGGGAAAGGATTCCCTATTTAATAAATGGTGCTGGGAAAACTGGCTAGCCATATGTAGAAAGCTGAAACTGGATCCCTTCCTTACACCTTATACAAAAATCAATTCAAGATGGATTAAAGACTTAAACGTTAGACCTAAAACCATAAAAACCCTAGAAGAAAACCTAGGCATTACCATTCAGGACATAGGCATGGGCAAGGACTTCATGTCTAAAACACCAAAAGCAATGGCAACAAAAGACAAAATTGACAAATGGGATCTCATTAAACTAAAGAGCTTCTGCACAGCAAAAGAAACTACCATCAGAGTGAACAGGCAACATACAAAATGGGAGAAAATTTTCACAACCTACTTATCTGACAAAGGGCTAATATCCAGAATCTACAATGAACTCAAACAAATTTACAAGAAAAAAACAACCCCATCAAAAAGTGGGCAAAGGACATGAACAGACACTTCTCAAAAGAAGACATTTATGCAGCCAAAAAACACATGAAAAAATGCTCACCATAACTGGCCATCAGAGAAATGCAAATCAAAACCACAGTGAGATACCATCTCACACCAGTTAGAATGGCAATCATTAAAAAGTCAGGAAACAACAGGTGCTGGAGAGGATGTGGAGAAATAGGAACACTTTTCCACTGTTAGTGGGACTGTAAACTAGTTCAACTATTGTGGAAGTCAGTGTGGCGATTCCTCAGGGATCTAGAACTGGTAATACCATTTGACCCAGCCATCCCATTACTGGGTATATACCCAAAGGACTATAAATCATGCTGCTATAAAGACACATGCACACGTATGTTTATTGCGGCATTATTCACAATAGCAAAGACTTGGAACCAACCCAAATGTCCAACAATGATAGACTGGATTAAGAAAATGTGGCATATATACACCATGGAATACTATGTAGCCATAAAAAATGATGAGTTCAGGTCCTTTGTAGGGACATGGATGAAATTGGAAATCTTCATTCTCAGTAAACTATCGCAAGAACAAAAAACCAAACACCGCATATTCTCACTCATAGGTGGGAATTGAACAATGAGAACACATGTACACAGGAAGGGGAACATCACACTCTGGGGACTGTTGTGGGGTGGGGGTAGGCGGGAGGGATAGCATTGGGAGATATACCTAATGCTAGATGATGAGTTAGTGGGTGCAGTGCACCAGCATGGCACATGTATACATATGTAACTAACCTGCACAATGTGCACATGTACCCTAAAACTTAAAGTATAAAAAAAAAAGAAATAAAACAATATAAATAAGGAGCTTATCATACAATAGTCACTTGGTAAACTTTTCTTCTCTAACCCCCTACCTAATTTTTTTCTGTTAATTCTTCATTCTTTCTATCTTATATCCTTAAAGTACATCATACATAACTTAAAATGTTATAACTTAAGTGATTAAATATGTGTTGATTAATCATTTTTATTTTCAGTTTTCTAGACTCTCATTTCAATCCAAGAGGAAGTAACAGGAATCAGATTTACCTTCCAATCTGAATCAATCAAAAACACCAAACAAAATATATGAAACAATGGTTTTCAAGACACTAGATACCAGGCAATGAAGTCTAGTGATCCCTGATTCCTGAGAGACAGGAAACAAACAAAAGGAGCACTCTAACTGCCGGGCTTACTCCCTTCAGAATGTTTCCAGGCTAAGATGTAGCATAGGGGAAGCCAGGCGAAGTCAGCAGACTCTCTGAGTTGAAGACACAGAGCTGAGTCTTTGCGGAAATCCAACCGGCTATAGAGTTCACAGAATTGATCACTGGAGAGGCAAGAGTTGCACAGAGAAAGAACCCTGGACATCTGAGAGTCCTTCCTCCTTGAGTATTTAGCAGAGCACTGAAGAACATGTGCATATGAAGGAGGTCTCCAAGGCTAGGGAATTATCTAAAAGCATTAGAGGGACCCCTAGAGATGTTGATACAGGGCTGGGAATAGTACCTGTTCCCTCTAGCCAGATGGGAAAAAAAAATTCATATAGCATGGAACATTGCCTAGAGTATTCAGAAGATTCTTGTCTCCCTAGTAGATAACAATTAGCCCAAGTCTAAATGTTGCTCTGGCCCTTGTTAACAAATCTTAAAAGCAAGAGTCAAAAGGTTCAAAATTTTTTTAAGCAGCTTAACTACATCTCAGAACAAAGCTCAAGATATTTGTAAGAATACAACAAATATCCAACACTCAAAAGTATAACATTCCCAGTGTCTGGAGTAAAGCCAAAGATTATCAGGCATGCAAAGGAAAAAGAAAATATGACCCATAATGAGAAAAATAAATCGATCTAAACCAATCCAGAACCAACACAAATGTTAGAATTAGTAGACAAAGACCATAAAACAATTATTTTCAGTTTTCTAGGTTTCTTTACTTCTTTGTTTTAACAAGGCAGTACCTCATGTCATACAGGTTTAACAGTAAGACATTTACCACAATGTGGTAATGCAACAAAGTAACAGATTTTCAAATCACAGAAAAACCACATATTTTTAAAGTTTTGAATAAAGTTGCTCTTCTGACAATTACTATCCATATTAAATTTTGTTTCATACTGACTAAAAAGTTGGTCTAAAGTCTTAATTTTTTCTGGAATTGGTGACAGTTCTCATCTAGCAATTGTCATCCCTTCTTGTCTCTATGATGTTATTCATTGCTCTAGTACTTTTGTTCAGAAATCCTTGTTTGGAGTATCGCTTTACTTCTCAAGTTAAATGAAGCTTTTAAAAAATTGCTTCTGTTTATTATATGGCCTGTCTTACTAACCTCATAGGACAATTTGTTATTACTTAGTTGTCTAACTGGCAGAGTGATATAAAGATGTAACAATCTCATGCCTGGGGACAGGGGTTCAAATTCCAGCTCTGTGAAACACAAGTTCCATTCTCAGAGCACTTAACCCAACTACAGTTTCCAGAGAATCACTTTTGGAACTTTATACAACATGTGGATAACTAGGTTCCATTCCAAATGCATTGAATCAGAATCTTTGGAGATAGGGCCTGACCATCACAGCTTTTGTAAAATTCCAAAGTGATGTGTAGTCCAGGTTAAGAACCACTGAGTGCTAACTTCTGTAGTTCTCAATGCAGGCTAGTAAGAATGATAATACATTATTTATTTATCTCATAGGTTTGGTCTAAGCACCAAAAGAGAAAATATATGACAATATATATACCTCAAAACATTTAAAAGATTTTCTCGTGTCTAGTCCAAAAAAAAAAAAAAACCACTATGTTAAGTGAAATAAGCCAGGCACGGAAAGACAAATATCACATGTTCTCACTCATATGAGGGAGCTGAAAAAAAATTTTAAATCATGGAGAAGTAATAGAATGATGGTTACCAGAGGCTGGAAGGGGTAGTGAAGATGGTTACTGGGTACAAAAATACAGTTGGATACAATGAATAAGAACTCGTATTTGGTAGCACAATAGGGTAACTATAGTTAACAATAATTTGTGGTATATTTTAAAGTAGCTAAAAGAATGGAATTCAAATGTTCTTAGCACAAAGAAATGATAAATGCTTAAAGTGATGGATATTCCAATTACCCTGATTTGATCATTACACATTGTATGCTTGTATCAAAATATCACATGTACCCCATAAATATATGCAACTATTGTGTGCCCATAACAATTATAAATTTTTTTAAAAGCTTAAAGACTTCTGGAAATACATAAATCCTCTTTTTGGTAAAGGAATATAAATATTATTTATATATAATATATGTAATATTTATATATATAATATATAATATATGTAATATTTATATATATAATATATAATATATGTAATATTTATATATATAATATATAATATATGTAATATTTATATATATAATATATAATATATGTAATATTTATATATATAATATATAATATATGTAATATTTATATATATAATATATAATATATGTAATATTTATATATATAATATATAATATATGTAATATTTATATATATAATATATAATATATGTAATATTTATATATATAATATATAATATATGTAATATTTATATATATAATATATAATATATGTAATATTTATATATATAATATATAATATATGTAATATTTATATATATAATATATAATATATGTAATATTTATATATATAATATATAATATATGTAATATTTATATATATAATATATAAATATTCCTCCTATTTCCTAGAAACATTGAAGTATGACCAAACCAATGATTCTTTTTATTTCCCTTCAACTTTTATTTTAAGTTCAGGGGTACACATGCAGGATGTGCATGTTTGTGACATAGGTAAACGTGTTCCATGGTGGTTTGCTGCACTGTTTGACTCATCACCTAGGTATTAAGCTCAGCATCCATTAGCTGTTCTTCCTGATGCTCTCCCTCCCCTCCACCCCTGACAGGCCCTAGCTTGTGTTGTTTTTTGCCATGCGTCCATGTGTTCTCATCATTCGGTTCCCACTTATAAGTGAGAACATGTGGTGTTTGGTTTTCTGTTTCTGCGTTAGTCTGCTGAGGATAATGGCTTCCAACTCTATCCATGTCCCTGCAAAGGACATGATCTCATTCCTTTTCATGGCTGCATAGTGTTCCATGGTGTATATGTACTACATTTTCTTCATCCAGTCTATCATTGATGGGTATTAAGGTTGATTCCATGTCTTTGCTATTGTGAATAGTGCTGCAATGAACATACGCATGCATGTATCTTTATAATAGAATGACTTATATTCCTTTGGATATATACCTAGTAATGGTATTGCTGGGTCAAATGGTATTTCTGCCTCTAGGTCTTTGAGTAATCACCACACAGTTTCCACAGTGGCTGAACTAATTTACATTTCCACCAACAGTGTAAAAGCATTCCTATTTCTCCACAGCCTCTCCAGCATCTGTTATTTTTTGACTTTTTAATAATAGCCAGTCTGATTGGCGTGAGATGGTATCTCATTGTGCTTTTGATTGGCATTTCTCTAATAATCAGTGATGTTGAGCTTTTTTTTCATGTTTTTTGGCTGCATGTTTGTCTTCTTTTGAGAAGTGTCAGTTATGTCCTTTGCCCACTTGTTAATGGGCTTCAAGCCAGTAATTCTTATCTTTCAGGTGGTACAAGGAAGAATGGCAGATTGGCAGATTGGGTGGCCAGGAGGCTTCACAGAGACCCCGTTGAGAATCCAGTAAAACCTATGGTTCCTCTTTTAAGAAAAATACATGGGCACGCACAAAAAAACCTTAGTGTTTGTTTCCCTGGTCTTTGTTTCCACACATGCCCTGAAGCCCAGCTGTGATGCAGGTTAAGAATCTCTACCCTGGATTCCAAAGTGGTTAGTAGCATTTCTTGTTCTGTTCTTTTTGTTTTCTAAAGGCCTGAAAGCCTGAAGCCATTTGTTAAGATTTTTAAAAAAGAATTATTTCATGCTTATTTTATGATTATTAGAATGTCACTCAAACTGAGCTATTCATAGAATTCCTCCCTCTCTGGTAAACAAGGTCATTCCTGATGAATTAATAAAGCATTTCTTCTCATCAGATAGGAAGAACAGGAAATGATCTATGGAACTCAGCACTTTTCTTCCAGGGATTCCTTCAAGGCTCCGTGATGTGATGGGAGCTCTGCTGTAAGTAAAGCACTAATCAGTGAGGAGAGAGAGTAGTTCATCTTCCAGAAGTTTGCCCTCCACACCCTTCTCCAGTCATCAGGGAACAATACCACCATGCAGGTAGTTCCTCCAGTCATTACTAGAAAGAAACAACGAAGAGTAGCTTGTTTCATCTCTTCCCAGACTAGAAGCGATGGGAACCATATGTTTGCAACCTATAGGGTTTTGTGGCAGCTGTTCACTCACTGCGGTAACTATGGCTCTTTGCTGATGGTTGGAATTTATTGTATGCATAGATGTTGTTTAGCTATTTAATAGATTCCTCTATTGTGTTAACTAATCTTATCCTCTTTTCCATCTTGGAACTGTTTAATTCAATAGAAGATACTTTTATGGCTTTTATCTTACCTAATAAAATGCTTCTGCTTTCAGGCAACTTTGGCATCTTTACCCCTTGTTTATATCTAACTAATTAACATTTTCTTTTCTAAAAGCATCTCCTTCAAAATTGTAGACCAGGCCAGGTGTGGTGGCTCATGCCTGTAATCCCAGCACTTTGGGAGGCTGAAACAGGTGGATCACCTGAGATCAGGAGTTCAAGATCAGCTTGGGCAACATGGTGAAACCCAGTCTCTACTAAAAATATAAAAATTAGCTGCGCATGGTGGCACGTGCCTGTAGTCTCAGCTATTCGGGAGGCTGAGGCAGGAGAATTGCTTAAACCCAGGAGGCGGAGGTTGCAGTAAGCCAAGATTGCACCACTGCACTCCAGTGACAGTGAGAGACTCCATCTCAAAAAAAAAAACAAAAAAAAAAACAAGCAAAACAAAACAAAACAAAAAACAAAACAGTAGACCATAAATCAAAACTCAAATCTAGCATTTAAGGCTCTATATCAGATGGACATAACAGTGTGAGGCTAAATGTTTAACAACCAGCTTTCTAGACAGCTCCTCCACCCCACCCGAAAAGGCCCTGAATTTGCTCAATTTTATGGTATACATATTCCCATTACCATAGCTAATTTCAAGCCATCAAAATGATATCAACTATCTAACAAGATTCCTGAAAATTTAACAGCTCTCACAAGGCAATATCAATTAACTCTAGCACACCGTTATATTGGTTGAATCAAACTTCTCACTCTATTATTGTTCCATGTTTTCTTTAATGCATTTTGTGTGTAAAGAACTACTGATTCATTTTTCAACATGGACTCCTACCCCTTTGTTCATTTACTCACTCTCTGGAAAGCACTTGCCTCATCGCCACACATCAAACTCCTAAACAGCCTTTGAACATGAGCTTATAGGAGATATCTTTCATGGGCATTTTTTTAATGCTTCCAAGTGAACTGAAATCCTCTCTGCTTTGATATCACCTAACATTTTTATGTCACATTTCAATATCTGCTTTGCAGTAATTTATTTATGCAGTCTTATTTTCCCTAAGACCTTGTGTACACTTCGAGGGCAGGATCTGCATCTTCATAAGTCTTAAAATACTTACAAAAGTGTCTTGTTCATAATAGATGCAACACAGATATTTTCCAATTTGTTAATTTTAATTAACGTATGCAAAACTTTAGCTGCTTGATTTAAAAAAAGAAATTTGATTTTAACCTTCACATATAAGCTAAAAGTTTGAAAATGACTACATGATTTAATAGAACTATAATCTAAGCCAAATGAATTCTGAGTACTATAGTAGGCATTTTGCTAATTTATAAAACTAAAACTGTGGTGTTACACTATCTGACTAACTAGAGAAGTATACAGCCTAGACAAATGATTTTAAAAATATAAACTTTGGGATAAAGAATATTATCAAAAATATATTTTATTTATTTATTTATTTATTTATTTATTTATTTACTTATTTATTTTTTGAGACGGAGTCTCGCTCTTTCGCCCAGGCCAGAGTGCAGTGCGCTATCTCGGCTCACTGCAAGCTCCGCCTTCCCAGGTTCACGCCATTCTCCTGTCTCAGCCTCCCAAGTAGCTGGGACTATAGGCGTCCGCCACGGCGCCTGGCTAATTTTTTGTATTTTTAGTAGAGACGGCATTTCACCGTGTTAGCCAGGATGGAATATATTTTAAAAGTTAATTTTGAAATGTTAATAAAAGAGTAGAAATTGGACTTGATAAAAATATTAGAGGAAATGTCATTACCACTTAACACAGTCCTTATTTTTGAGGCTGTGCCTCTCCCCATTTTTGTCCCCAAAAAGTTAACAAAACATGAAAAGAGAATTTGAAGGACTTTAAATCCTAAGGGAGAGCTTGACCTTACTAGTTTAGAAAATAACGCACTTCTTTCAATTAATCTTTCGAGCGATGGTTCTTTTCAGTATGATATTTAAGGAAAGGAAATAACTCAGTGACTCAGTTGCAAGTGACCAAGTTTCAAGTTAGATAAAAACTGGGCACATGGCAAAGGGACCCAAACAAGTACAGAGCCATGGGAAAGAGTAAGAAAAGCTGAGCTTAGAGGACTAGCAGTAATATAATGAAAGAATACGATGGTGGATATGCAGTCATAAGGAGAGGATAGAGATTTCTTGGAGAATTTTTAAAACTCAGGGGACAAATTAAATGAATATTTTTCTGGAAAAAAGTTCAGAAACACAGATGGTAGGCAATATGGTCCTACATCTTTGAGAAGTAAACTGTGGTTTAATATATAGAATCCCTTGAGACTTTAAAAAAAGATATTAGAATGGGAAATGCAATAGTCAACACAGGAAGAGATTTTAAGTAAAAGTGTCTGCCACCTGTTCAATTTGCGATGCAATCAAACAAGACTCCCTAGGCCATTTCTCACAGACCAAGTAAAGACATTCTATTTGGAGTATTTCATGGAAGTCACCATGAGCAACTGCACAAGATGGACAAAATCTTCACCACTGAAGTTCAAATTTATTTTTGGTGATTTGAGTATTCTTTCAGAAAAACTCAAAATTCTTATTTTTTCTCACATATCTATTTGTAACAAATGCATGCCCAAAAAATCACTTTAACTTCTTGCTAAACACATTTTCTGTCCCATACAAACATAGTAAATAATGTTTTTTATACACCAAGCATTCTTAAAAGACTCTTCCCATCCACTCATAACTTCTCATCACACTATGAAACCTATTTCAAATTTCACTCTTTGCACTATTGGCTTCCGTTTAGAATACATTCAGAATATGTATTCCGTTTAGAATACATATATCCTCTGGGATCTCATAAAGAATTCATCGCCCCTTGGTTTTATTGGTATTTGCCTTAATATCATCACTATATCTATTAATGCATCTGATACAAATTGATTGAGAACAGAAAACCTACATGTTTATTTTCTCAGTTCTCCTAAAGAGCCATGCTATTACATGCACATGCATCTTTGATATCAATGGCCTCTGCCTGAAAAGAACCCCTATTTACCCTACCTTATTTCCCCCTGTCTAGAAACACCTACTCAGATCACCTTCGATAGAAATTTAGTTAGATTCTTCTACTGTGTTAATCTAATCGTATCCTCCTTTCCATCTTAGAACTGTTTAATTCAATAGGAGATCGTTTTTATGGCTTTTATCTCACCTAATAAAATGCTTCTGTTTCCAGGCAACTTTGGTGTTTTACCCCTTGCTTATACTTAATTAATTATCACTTTCTTTTCTAAAAGTGTTTCCTTTAAAAGAGTAAAACATGTATCAAAATCAATATCATGAACTTAATTGCATTGAGTATCTAGTGTTCAAGGGTCTGTATCAGATGGGTCCAATGGCATGCTGGTAAAGGTTTAACAATCAGCTTTCCAGACAACTCCTCACCCCCGCTAAAAAAGGCCCCGAATTTGCTTTCCTGACTCCTTCAACTGAGTTGACCACTTAAAATCTCTACTGTATTCTTTTCCCACACATTTGTAATGGATTGTATTTGTTTGTTTACGTGTCTACCTTCCCTACACACTGACTATATAAGATGATAAATTCTTAGAGGATAAATAGTATATCATTTATCTTTATTTATATTCAGCCTACTAATATAGCATAGTGTTTAATAGATTCTCTGTCAATGTTAAAGGGTGAATGACTATATAAACTTTATAGCTTATCAAATGCTTCATCATATTTTGACCTTTCTACATCACAGGTACTTAGGGAAGAGATTATTTATCCCATTGACACTTAAATGAAGGCTCAAGTGTCTCCTGTCCAAGATCCCAGAGCTAATATGAAGCAGATTTCACAATAAACTGCTCCTCATTGTTCTCAATCACCTCTCATTAGAGAGCTAAATACATTTTTGAAATTGTATTTTTTAAAATTTGAGAATGGTTTTGGCTCAGCCAGCCACATATTATCGACTACACCTATTCGAATCTGGAAATATATATTTTTAATTCCATATTTAAAGCCAGCTTTGCCAGATCCAACTAGTTGCATAAGTGTGAATTAACCTCAACATAGCACACATTACATTATTTCACATGTGGAATGAATGTGCACTCCAGCCCAAAATGCCTTATCTAGTTTGTTTTTACTTCCGGATTGTTTAAGATTTTCAACAGATGGTTTAATGCTTCTTGTTTCCACCGTAAGTTGAATTCCACGTTCCATGTAAGGGGAAGGTGATCCCAAGAGGTGGAGACCAAGTCTACTGACAGACACAACACAAACCGACAAAGGGAATCATGTTTGTAAATCAGAGCTTAAACTTTGACCAAAGACCTCTTATTAAGTAAGTGATACTCTGAAGAGAAAGAGCTCCATAAAAGAAAGCTGTTTCATTATAGAGGGAGAAGTAAAACTGGGTTTCAAACAAACTTGTGTGTTAATGACCGAAGGAATTCAGAGCATGCCACCCCCAAAGGATGCCACTTGGCATATTGACTATTTTGAGTTAAAAGCACTTGGAAAAGAGCAGATGCAAAAAGGACATTCTGACTTTCCTTTTTTTCCTGAAAGCACTAAACTCCCATGTGAAAGATGCTCTCCCTGTACCAGAAGGAAAGTATCATTTTTGTCACCAAAGACAGGAAAAACAAGAAGTTAAGGCTGAGGAAAATCTGTACAAGTCTTGCTAAACTAACCCCTATCTTCTTAGTCACTTCTTCATGACTGACTACCCTAGCCCAAGCTCCTTTGCCTTGTCACATTTTCACAATTTATTACTTCGTCCAACTTGATATATGAGCACTCTATTAGACTCTAACTGCTTTTTTGGGTCTTTATTTTCCTATGAAGATTACTCTCATGTTCATGTACAAATCTGTATGCTTTTTCCTTTTTAGAGACAGGGTCTTGCCCTGTTGCCCAGACTGGAATGCACTGCCACAATCATAGCTCACTGCAGCCTTGAACTCCTGGGCTCAAGCAATTTTCTCACCCCAGCCTCCCGAGTAGCTAGGACTATAGGTGTGGGCCACCACACCCAGTTAATTTTTTTATTTTTTTTAAAGATGGGGGTCTCGGGGTCTCACTATGTTGCCCAGGCTGGTCTTGAGACCCTGGCCTCAAGTCATCCTTCTACCTCGGCCTCCTAAAGCACTGGGATTATAGGCTTAAATCTGTACACTTTTTTCCTGCTAATCTGTTTTATGTCAATTTAATTGCCTGCCCCAGTCAGAGCCCCTAAGTGGGCAGTGTGCTGGGCATGGAAGCGAGGGAACCATTAGCAACGGTTCTCTGGGACTCTTCTTTCCTTGGAAGCTGGGATATTTGTCCCATGAGAATGATCCGGAGTTAAAAAACAAATCTTGGATTTGATGATCCAACTAGTGCACTTGGTAATGATCTTAGTGATCTTTGATGAATAAAACTTCCAAACTAATATCCCAAGATCATCAAAAGTATTTAGTTCTCTGAAATATAGGGTGAAAAACTATTCTTAAGCAAAAACTAAAAGGTTTACTATGTGCGGGCTCATTCCTTATTTTATCCTTTCAGTCTTCCTCTCTGCTTATACTCCACCCCCAGCTAGACAACTGATAGTGGGAGAGAGAGGTAGAACAAACAAAAAGTATAGACAGGCTTGCTTCCATTTAAGGAAAGTCTATAGATGGAAAAACTTTCAAAACAGGTGAAGTAAAGGGCTGAATTCACTTCACAAATGGGTTCTCCAAAGAATTTATCTTCAAACAACTATTCCTCCTAGGAGATTTAAACACAAAGTTCCATTGACCTAGGTTCTTTTTATATAGGACTATATTCATTGATTGAATAATATAAATCAATGGAGAATAATGGGCAAAGAAGCAAGATAAACAGCAACAATACCCAGGAGATATTATGAATTGCAGGGACACAGACGGCTGGTGCTTCCTTGTGTTTCTATAGGTTTTTTTTGCCTCCAAGTGTCATCACACACAAAAAAAAAACTTGGTCAAAAAAACTTTCAGTTGAAAAGAAATGGAATGATAAAGGAGCCTAAGAACAAAATAAGAAAAAAAGATTGCACTTCAGAATTTTCTTAAGTAGCACACCAGATCCATGGTCTTCATGAGACAATCCAAAACCCATGCTAGGATGCTTAGCCCTGAAAATAAAATAAAAACAAAGAAAAAATAACAAGCAAATACCCTCCTAATCCTGAAAAAATTAGTTTATTTTAAAACAAGTTTACAAAAGGAGGGCTGAAATAAACGTTAAGCTGAAGAAATAAGTCTGTGTCTGTTCTTTTCCTCACTTCTCTCCAGTCTCAAAAATTGTAAAACCAAGCCTAGACCATGCATTTCATGCCCTCAGTTCCTGTCCTTCCTCCTCTGTGTGACTTGCTGGGTTAATTATTCCCCATCTCCTCAACCTCATCTTCCCATCAGCTTCTTCCCTGCACTTCAACTTGGTTACTGTCTCTCATATACAAAATAATAATAATAAAACCCTTCCCTAAACCCTGACTTGTCTTCACAACTTCAGCACTTCCTTTTACATGTACTGAACTGTCTTCCTACTTCCACTTAGCAAACTATGGCCAGCAGTCTAAATCCCACCTCCATCTGTTTTTGTAAATAAAGTTTTCGCAGAACACAGCCAGGGCCATCTGTTTACATATTGTCTCTGGGTTCACACAACAATGACAGAGTTGTATCATCACAACAGAGACCTAATGGCCTGCAATGCCTAAATTTTTTACACAAAAGGCTTAGGGGTCATATGGAATCAAATGTCCTGAAAGAAGAGTCTACATTTGCTGTTACTTCCTTCCCTCTCCTCACCCCTCAAGCCACCATGCTCAGACTTCCACCACAACCCTTGTAAAGTGACACCATGTTTAAAAATTATTAATACCCTCGTTATTAAAAATTTCTCAAACACTAAACTCTTGTCTCTGAATCTAAATTTTGATCACTCTTTTATCTCTGTCTTCTCTTGGTCTTCTTATTCCTCCATGTCATTATTTTTCTGGGTTTTTGTTTGTTTGTTTGTTTGTTTCTGTTACTCTCTTCCCTCTGCATTCTAGTTCTAAGCAATCTTACCTAGTTCAGCGACTTCAATTGTTGAGCCTATGTGAACGATGTCCAAATTACTCCCAGCCCTGATCTCTCTTCCAAGCTCAACATTTCATATCATATACAAGACACTGAACATTACATGGAAAATTCCAAATGTCAAAACTAGAACATCTTATTCTTTTGTGATCACTAGTTCTTCTAGGGATTAGTAATGGCATTACTAATTTCCTAGTTCCCAAGCCTGGAAATTCTGGAAATATCATGCTTTTTCATTCCAACCATCTAAATGCTTACCAAATGTCACGGTATGAATCCATTCTGCACCCACAATAGCTATTGCACCCATTCCTCCTTTCCATTTCCACAACCCCATCTACAATTTAGGCCCTCACACTCTTCCTCCAGGACAGCTGTGAGACTCCTACATGGTTTCCTGTCTACTCTAATACTCTGTATATGTGGCTTCTGTGTTAATCTTCCCACAGCACAGTCCAGTTCTAGCCTTCTCCTAACCCGTTTTTTTCTCATTGGAAGTCCCAAGTCCTTAATGCATGAGTCAGTCTCAGCAGGAAACAGATGACTCAAGCTGGATGACTGAGGAGAGTTTAGTGAAAGCATACTAAGTATAGGCAGAGTGGAAGGACATCAAGTGTAAAGTAGGATCCGGAGGCTAATGATAATGGAGAACCTCTCTACTCCTAATCCTGAAGAAGCAAGAGAAAGCAGAACTTGCCAGAACCTAGAGGGGATAACAGGTGGAGAGGGCTGCTTGACAGGAGCTGTGGCCCATTGTAGAGGGACTCAGCCAACCTGCAGAGAAGAAGGTCAGAGAACAAACCCAGACCTCACTCCCCAGCTACATGCCATCACCTCTGGTGCTCCTTGATGGCTGAACTCAACTGGAGCCCAGTGACCAAGGAAGAACAGTCCATACAGGGCAGCATCCTGGGGCATAACATAGAAAAGAGTAGAACGTGAATCTGGAAGAAAGATATCCAGCACATCATCTTAACATTTAATCACTCCCTGATCTATCCTCAAATGACATTTCTACTTTACTGCAAATCCCCTTTACACTTTCTTTAATCAAGCCAAACTAGAATTCTCTCTAAATATTCAGAGATTTTTTCTTTTTGCCTTTTTTTCCACATGTTCAAATTAAAATTTTAAATTCCATAGGCTTCTAGCAAAAACTTAAGATGCCACTAGGTGTGAATTTCATCCCTTCTAACATCTCTGTTTCCAAACTTGTCTGTCATTCTGGTAGGTTGCATTAATAACTTTAGTCCTTCACTGCTCACCATATCTTTGTGGTGCCCTTGCACTCTGATATTGAGCTAGACATATGACCAATTTGGGGCAATGGAATGAGGCAGAGGTGGCGATGAAATCCTGTGCCACAAGAAATCCTGTGCCTCTGTCATCACCCTGAGAAGAATTTGCCTGAGCTTTGCCTGATGATACCAGGAGGTGAATGGGAGAACCAAGGAGCAGATCCAACATGCAGACATGTGATAGGGCTGACTGAAGCACAGGTGCATGCAGGAGTCCAGCCCAAATCAGCTGAGCCCTGCAGATGCAAGAGAAATAATCGGTCATTTTTATATGCCACAGGTTTTGAGATTGCTTGCTCAACATCAAGTACTACAATATTATATATTCTAACCTCATTTCTTGCTGTCTGAGAGATGCCCCTACTCCTCCTCAATGTTACAGTTCTGTCTTTAGCCCTATGTATAACCACTTCAAGGTATTACTCCAGGGAAAAAAATTCTCTAATATCTTTAATCTCCCCTTCTCTACTTGTTATTTTTCCCTCTACCTGCAAATATATGAATCTACCCCACACAAAACCTAACCTTCTGCACTGTGATAGGAAGAATTTTGAGATAATCCTGATGACTTATGCTTTGTATGATCTTCTCCCATCTGAGTATGGTAGGAACCTGTGAATATAATGAATACCACCACTGTGGTTAGTTTATGTTATATGCCACAGTTGACCATAAGAAAGGAAGATTGTCCTCAGTGGGCCTGACCTAGACAGCTGATCCATTAAAAGGGATGGGGCTTTCCCTTGACAGAAAAAAAAAAAAAAGATTTGAAGTGAGAGAGAGCATGGGACAGTCTCTATTGCTGGCTCTGAAGATGGAGGGGGGCACATGGCAAGGAATGTGGGCAACCTCCAGGAGCTGAGAGTGGCCCCTGTCTGACCCCAGCAAGCAAAGAGGGACCTCAGTCCTCCAGCCACAAAGAACCGAATTCTGACAACAACCTGAGTGTGTTCAGAAGCAGATTCTTCCCAGAATCTCCAGAAAGGAAGACAGCCCATCTAACATCTTGATTCACACTTGTGAGAAACGAGCTCTACCCAGGCTCCTACCCTCCAGAACGGTGAGATAATAAATGGCTGTTGGTTTAAGCCTCAAAGTGGATGGTAATGTATTATGTACCAATAGAAAACTCATACACTTGCCTCTTAACTATTCTTCTCAGAGGAGCTTCTCTAAAGCATAATAACACTTTTGTAGACAGCACTTACCATAGGACATCTACAATTCTAAGTGTTTTACATACAATTTAATCCTCACAGTCATTACTACTGCCATTTTCCAGTTGTAAAGCCTGAAGTACAAAGTGGTTACTAATGTGCCCAAGGTCACAGCTACTAAACTGGCGAAGCAGGAATTCCAGCCTAGGCATCCTGGTTTTTTAATCTAGACTCTAAACCATCCCAATCTACTCCACTTCTCCAGTTACCACTTACTCCTCCACCATCAGATTGTGACTCTGCCCCCAAAACTCTACTGAAACTTCTCTGCTAAAAACACCAGGCCCTCACTAATTTTCAAACTCAAAGATATAATACACCCTAACCATTAAGTTCTCCACAGCAGTTATCATTGTGTACTGCTTCCTCCTTCTTAAACCCTCTTACCTTTCGGATGGCCTTCCTACGCATGGAAGTGCTTTGACACATCTTCCTTTGCTCAGCTTTGACACATCTTCCTTTGCTCAGCCCATAAGTGTTGCTGTGACTCACGATTGTCCTTGGCCTTTCCATGGTACATCAATTCCCTGAATGGCCTAGGCTTCTTTCCTGATGAGAGCTGTTGTCTACGTGCCTGTGACTCCCAATGAGCATAACCCTCTCTCCAAAATTCAGGACCCATGTTTCTAGCTGCCAGTGAAACAAACACAATCTGATGTCTTTTTGTAGATCATTGGGAGTTAAGTAAAAGAAGAAATAAAAATAAAAAATAAAAAGCAACTTGGTGGCCCACCTCAAATCAGAGCACATCCAAGATACCCAAGACAAAAGCCCCTGTCATCTATCTCAACTTTCACTCTCAGCTGCAACATTCCTTCTTCCATTTGCCAGCCTCTCTCATCTCAAACCCAATAATTTTCTGGTGTTATAATTTTTCCTTTTTTCTCAGAACCCATTCTGCTCTTACTCCCAAACAGTGACCCACTTCAAAACTTGCACAAAATAAGTTTCCCAAGACATATCTTAATCTTTTTGGTCCTTAGTTTCCACTAGGTGCCTGTGAAACAATCAGGTAAACTGATTTCTTCAAAAATGTCAACTGGCTACCATTCTCCAGATAAGCTCCACCTTAAGCAAATAAAACACCCAGACCTTTCTATCAAAATCCTGAAGAAAAAAAATAATGCCAAGATTTAAGAAAGCAGAGATTTGTTTTTCAGAGGCAAGGAATCTTCAGAGTTTATTCCTCAAATCTAACTTCAGTGGTTTCATCTCACTTTGCCTTACAGGGCAGTCCAGCAAGCCTGAGCACTTTACAGTTTGGGATTATGCTTCAGACAAACCCAGCTCCCTATAACCATGTCTCCATCTGCAAAATGTTCTCACTACAAATACGGATCAAAATCAAACTTCTGAATCTTGTTGCCTCCAGCATGAAGAATGCTTAATGAGATGAGTTAAATCCAAGGCAATTCTCTATTGCCACCAAATAATAAAAGTTCAAAATAACTTTTTCCACTTGTAGTTCCAGGAACATCTCTGTTCTCTCCTCTCTGGTATCAAGCCTCAGAGAAATGTCTAATTTTTTAAAATGAAATTACTTGAGATATGGTTCAAATTATTCTCTCAGCAGTCAGATATGCCACTGTGATAAGTGCAGTGAGGTCATTGTCTTTTCTGCTGGCCTACAACCACTGCACTTCACACGCTTACCTGTATTGCCAAGAATACAGAATACACATCCTAGCTGAGACCAGAGCCTCATTGACAGCTCAGGGCCCAGAGTTGGCTACACACCTTAATTGAGTGCCACTCCAAGAAACATAATCAAGTGAAACCATCATGAATAAAAAATAATATTAAATGCACAGAAACCAAGATCAGCAAACTATGGAAGTAAACCAGTGTGAGCATTCTTTCAAAGCCTCAGATGATCACTCGGTACATGACAATACCTTGCCCAGTGAATTAAGTATTAACCAAATGCTTTCAAAAGGAGTGAACTCTAAATGGCCACTTGACCTTAAGAAGATTTCAATTCCATAGGAAACAGGCCTGGGTAAGTGCAGGCTGAGGGTGTTGATAGTGTGTCCTCAGTATAAATTATATATCATTTGGGTTCCTTTCACATGTACTCACATAAACATTTTTCATTGAAGTACAGTAAGAAAAGGGGAAAAGGACAATTAAACTAAAATAAATATATAGAAGCAGCTGAAATCTAGTAATGGAGATTGTTTCAACCTAAAATTCAGAAACAATACATTTTCTTTGTTGTACTAGAAATGAAGTAATAATAGATTCTAGTCCTGGATCTATTCCTTATTAGCCCTGTGACCTCATCCATAAAATAAGCTTCATCTTTTAAATTGGAGTGATAATAATAGCTCACAGACTTACTAGGAGGAAATGAGGTCGTGGAAGTGAGAACACTTTATCCTTTGTAAAGCACTCTACAAATGAATGGCGTTATTACTATCGGTTTATCTAAAGGTAATGTAATCTGTGCACCTGTCTAAAGCCAAGAGGTACAAAACCAAGAACAAGACAAGATTAGAGTGATCACGGCTGTGCAAGTTTGTTTTTTTGTATCAGTGAAAAAGGTTCCTTTCCCACTTCTTCAAAGAATAGCCAAATTAAATCGTAATGGAATAATTATGTTTAAAGTCCATGCATTATTTTTTTAAGTTGCTGCCTAAGTGAAGTCCTTCGAGTGTGATGGGTAAGAAAGTTTGGTTTCTGAGTAGACATTGCCCGCACACCTTCTTTAAGCCTCTGTTCCTGTCCTCTATCCCCACTTTGCCACACAAACATCCCCAGCATTAGAAGGGACCAGCAGCAGGAGCACCTTCTACCTTTACAGCATTGATCTCAAACCATCAGCGCCTCTGGGACCTCCCTGATTGCAAGCTCAATGCTTATCTTCCATTTATAGTGTCATCTCCAACTTGACCTTCAACCTTCCTGGGAACCTATCCTTCATTGTACTTCAGATTCTTTTCCCATTTTTACCCTAGACCACCCATCAAGCTCAATGCTGGCCTCAGGATCCCTCTGTGGTGTTAGCTCATGGGCAGCCACCTTCCTTCCAGATTCACCATTGACCTTACAGTGGACCTGGGCAGGTAGGCCAGGCCATATGAGTTGTGTTGCTAAGTTGTGTTCATGGGTTCTATGAGAAGAGCCAGACTGTTCTGCCTCCCCTACCTGACTTCTGTTTCCCTGTGTTTTTCCCAGGGCTCTGTATGCACTTGTTTTGTACACACTCTTCCAGCCAAAGTACACAGGTGGTCACAGTGTTTCTCTCTGTTGACATGAGCTTTCTTCAAGCTAAGCCCCAAGGCCACTGTCTATCTGCCAAGGCACTGCAAAGCCTCCAAGCTAAGGATGAGATCATTAACTGTCTTCTCTTTCCCTTATGAGATAAATCACATCGAGCCTTTCTTGACCCACCCTTTTGGCCCACACTTAGGAGTTATGGCAACACTTCTCACTGCCAAAGGTGTTGGTATCAAATGCTGGCTTCGGGAGAGTGGATCCTGTAAACTTGCCTCATCAGTAGGCTTTGAGGAATGACCCCAGGGAGCTAGATATGAACTTGCTGCTAGCTTATTTTTCACAAATATTGTCCTCCTGAGAACACCCCGGTTCAGCTGCAGCAGTAAAACAACTATGTGTCTTGTTGACATACACTCTGTGCTGATAATTCTAGGGGAAGCAGAGGGCAGTGCAAGTCCCTCAATCACTAGACTTACAAGTGATAGCAAACGCCTAAAAATTCAAAGGCCTCCTGTTTAGGGAGGTGAATTCCCCTATTTTAATGATATAAATAATATATTTTATTGCAATTTATATAGCAACTTACAGTTTCAAACAATATTATCTCTCATCATAAACTTTCATTCTTTTATCTTTCCTTTCTTACAGCCCAGTCTTAGGTTCACTGTTCTAAGTGTTGCTGGTGGCAGAATAGTAACTTCTCTATGCTTTCAATGATTGAATGTGATCGCTCCCAAATTCACTCACGGTCTGACGTACCAAGTTTATAAAGATAGGGCCTGAAAACACTAAGGTGCTGGAACACAAAACATATACCTCAAGGGTTTATATAGTTCCAAACTGACAGTGCATAATCCTCCCACAGATTAAAGGCTGCTCAAATGTTACTGCATAATCAAAGCCTTTTTCTGGAAAAAAAAATCTTAAAGACACTCTGGATATATTTTCTGCTTAGTATATTATATGGTTTGCATCTGTATCTCCACCCAAATCTCATGTTTCATTTTAATCCCTAATGTTGAAGGTGAGGCCTAGTGGGAGGTGACTGGGTCATGGGGGCGGATTTCTTGCTTGGTGCTGATCTTGTGATAGGGAGTGAGTGAGTTCTTGTGAGACCTAGTCGTTTAAATGTGTATGGTACTTCCCCCACCCTCCTCTCTTACTCCTGCTCTGGCTTTGTAAGATGTGCCTGCTTCTCCTTCACCTTCCACTGTGATTGTAAATTTCCTGATGCCTCCCCAGAAGCAGAAGCCACTATGCTTCCTTTACAGCCTGCAGAACTGTCAGCCAAATAAACCTCTTTTCTTTATAAATTACCCAGTCTCAGGTATTTTTTTATAGTGGTGCAAGAATGGGTTAATACAGTATACAGGCTTAGGACAGAGCCTGTTAATTTAGATGAAGCCTCAGATTAATATTCTAGATTGCTTAATGTATTGTGAAAAAGGCTTTAATGTTCCACAGTTAATAAATGAAGGTGACAAGGGCTCCTCAATAAAGCAGACTTAGCTGAATTCCCTGGTAAAGGTTCATAGAGACTCTAGAACTTCTCACATAATAGCTAATGTTTATTAAATGTTCATTATGTGCTATACACTGTACTATATGTTTTACGTACATTATTTAGTCCTCCCAAAAACCTCTTAAGGTGAGAAACAATTTTGATCCTGGGAAGGTACTATCATTGCTCCATTTTGTGAATGAGCAAACTGAGGCACAGAGAAGTTAAGTAAAGGGCCAATTTACACAGCTAGCAAATGTGGAATCAGGATCTGCATGACAGGCAGGCTGGGTCCAGAGCCAGCCCACTCCCCGAAACCACACCTCTGCTCATTATATCAACTTTCACATCAGTCCTTTTGCTAACAGTTGGGACACCAGACAGCAGAGGTTTTTCTGCCTCTAGGTCAAAGATAACCCACAGTATTCAGAAACAGACATAATGTTGAAGAATCTGGATTGCATCCAGAGTCAATCAATGAATGCCATGGATCCTGAAATGAAGAGGAAGAACCAATAACTACAGTTTTAGTTTTGCAAAAATTTGCAAGCTCTATCCATGTTTATTGCAGCCTACATTCACAATTGCTGGTTTCTTAACATGACAAACATATATAACCTCCTTCACTTTACTCCAGCAATAGCCAAACATCATAATCCCCATAGCAAATATTTTCAATCCTTCAAGTTAAAAATATTTCTACATTACTCATCAGGAGTAAGATTACTAGATTGGGGATGGGGGTAGGGAGCTATGTATCTTCTCACTCGAGCCAACAAAATCAACCCTAGGCAGGATCAGCCCTCAAGAACCTCCCCAAGACAGTCAAGGAATGTTGTTTTCCCTCAGGGCCTATTCTCAGAGTACCTCTTGGCTTTTCCCTTCATAAACAAAAGGATGCCTTTCAGCAAGCATAGGTGAAGAAGACTCCAAGCATCTACACTCTGTCACTCTCATTCTTTGTGAGATCAGTGACAAGATTTTGTGAGAGAGGCAGGGGAGACTGGATGTTCCATTTAGATGGAATGCAAAATTTGACCCCATGTGAAATCCTGGAACCATCCTAGAAAAAGTACTATCATATTATAATCCAAAGATTATTAGAAACCCTAAAGGAAAAGGCAGACAGAGAGAAGGCAGTTATGTTGTTTGGGAAAATGCTGCATTATATTTCCATATAGAAAGGAAGTCATACATGGCTATGCCTCGGGGATCTTAAAACCCAAAGTTTATAATTATTTATAGCACAAAGTATGGCTATAATGTGGCAGTTTTTGAATAGGAAGGATGGGATTAGGAAATAAATTTAAAAGGCTAAAGACATGGATGGAGGAAAATATTTAGACACTGTCATTCTTTACTTTTACAACTAAAATAGGATGGAAATGACAGACACCTCATGAGGTAGGTTAGGTATTACCCCATTCCTGCATGTTTTCATAACTCCCCACATCACCTGTCCTATGCCTTTGGACATTTCTTGTCTTTTTCACTAAACTATTTGGGAACTTCATCATCCCTGAGCACTCTCAGTCCTAGCACAGCACCCTGCTAGGGCACTAGCAAGTGCTTAGTAGGTATATTGTTATGGCCTGAATGTTTACATCCTTCCAAAATTCTTATTTTGAAGCCCTAACCCCCTAGTGTGATGGTATTAGGAGGTGGGGACTTTGGGAGGTAATTAGGTTTAGATGAGGTCATGAGGGTGGGGTCTTCATGACGGAATTAATGTCCTTATAAGATGAAACCAGGGCTATCACATTTTCCCCACTACCCCCACCCCCACCATATGAGGATACAACAAAGGCAGCTGTCTACAAGGCAGGAAGCAGTCCCTCACCCAGAACCCAACTGGCTAGCATCTTGATCTTGGAATTCCCAGCCTCTAGAACTATGACAAATAAATGTTTGTTATTTAAGCTACCCAGTTTATGATATTTTGTTATAGCAGTCTGAGCAGGCTAATACACACATATTCACTGACTGATGATGAATGGATAAACAGTGCTTCTGAAGAGCTAGATGTAAAATTCAAGTGAAGATCAATACAATTATTTCCTAACAGTGGCAAAGAATGCTTCAGTTTTCTGCTTCTGCTTTACTCTACCCTGAAATCCTTTGAAAAACTGAATTGTATCAAAGGAAGCATCCAATCTGATTTTTTTTAAAATTAGGTATTGATCTTCTTCACATCCAATCTGATTTTTTTTAAAGAAGGTACTGATCTTCTCCAAAGGAGTCATTTATATGAACCATTAATGGTGGTGGATGTGCAGAATCAGATGCCTTGAAATGACGGTGACATTTATTTTCAAGTTTATCAGTCCATTGGTTAGTCTAAGCCAAAACACCTCTCTTTTGTAACTTTCCTAACAGATTATTTTGTTGACTAAACATTTTAAATAACACTTGAAAAATTACTTTGAGTCTGCTTATACAATTGATTTGTCTATCATGACATAGTCTAATTGTTGCATCCAGAGAATTATTAAGAATAATGACACAGCAAATGGACAGAGGAGAGTAAACAAATTGTTCTGCTGTTTATTAAAGATTAAAAGCATCTGTTTTGTTTACTTTGATTAATCAATATGTTAGAGCTCTCTGTGGGGTTTTGCAAAGCTGACATGTCCAGTATATATACATTAAGGAGAAAATATCTCAGCAACTTAAGGTCTTATGCTATGAAGCCCAGTGGGCATAAGTTTATTGCTTTAGATGTTGGCTTTTTTTTCCTCCTTAAATTAACTGAAAACAGCTTGGAAAGAACTTCACAGTAACTTTCTGGCTCATCAGCACAAGGACAGCCTAGGACCTACTGGCAGAAATGTCATAGGAAACTTATATTCATTGTTCTCCAATTTGGATCAATTAAATAGAACAATACAAGGGACTTTTTTCAATTACAGTAGAAGGCCCTAAGCAATCTGTTGGATGGGAATTTTTAAGATTCATGTTTGCTGTGTTTAAAAGAGAATAATCTTCACTTGGAGTTTAAAAAGATGAAAACAGTGAGACCTCCAGAGAGCAGAGGACAAGTCCTCTTTTCAGGGCAGTGTCCTTTCCTCTCCTGAAAGCAGAACTACAGTTTTCTTGGAAAATAAATAAATGAATGAAGAGCTAACCTGAAGCTAGCAACTTCTAGCGGCCATTGGTAATAAAGCGTCTCTATCCCTTTCTCAAATCAACCCAAGAACACAGCCCACAGGAAGTATGTGGAATGAGGGCAGACAGAGAGGTCACATGAAGTGGTGGCACAAAAGGGAGAAACCAGGTAAGACATGCTCTCCCTTTCTCAGAGTTTCTGCTTTTCTGGCCTTTGGCTATGCATATTCTACTTGTTCTCTGAACCCTAAGAAAGAATGTTCACTCATTAGACATTTTTACTCCACCCACTATGTCAGGAAATGTTGAAGATAAAATAATTTTTTGGTGATATGTTGGTTATCTCTATGATCATATCACAGTGAAAAATCAAATCAAAAAGCAGTAAATAGAATGTCTATGAACAGGCTTAAATATATATGATGCAGCTATTAAATACATTTGTGTGATTTAATTTTTAAATGTCTGAAGACATCAAGTTAACGGACCAGTGCTATAAACAATACGGAGACCCCCAGACCATTATCTCACACCATAAAAAATGATGCAAACACATTTCTTATGCACCCAAAGTAAAGCACAAATGTATCTTTTCATGATAGCTGAATCTTACATGTGGTGAAATGATGTCTCCGACATTTCGCAAAACCAGAAAATATCTATTTATGGCCACTGCCAATTATTCTGGTACCCACGTCCTCAGTCAAGCACATTAATTTAAAATAGTACACACAAGAGAGGAAACAGACTTCTCTGTTCCCTTTTCTTTTGATCTCCACTCAGTTTCAGTTAATCAGTAAACAGCTTTTTAAATATTTACTGTACCAAGAACTACGGAGAGTTAAAATTAAAAATGAATGTTCGGTTTTCCCTGAGGAGTTTATGAAATTAAGGACAAATATAAGAATGATCTTTTTGCTTTGATCAACTAAGCAACTACAAAGACAACTCTCCAGATAAAGAAGCAGCAATGGTGTGCTCCATCTACAAAAGGAAGGATGAGAACTAAATTGCTGTGGAAAATTCTCTCAATATGGGGAGAAAGAGGCAGACAGAAAAGACTAAATTGACTTTTTTAGTGTCTGAATTAATGAGAAACTGTGTAACTATATAAAATGAATGTCAGAGTCTCACACATAATAGGCACTGAATAAATAATATAGAATACAAATGCTATATTATTAGCTTCTCAATTACTCCTCATTATACCACTCCATTGCCCCCAGACTGCTATGATTGTTGGGTCAAACTATCTCCCACTGGAACGCTAGCTCCCCTTAACTCCCATATTGGTTTCAAGTTCTATTTCTACCTGTCATACAAAATCAATCTTCTACGACATGATAATAATTCCATTATGTGAAAGAATCCATTCTTGCTAGGCCAGTGCTGCAAAACATCCTCTCTTCTCAATTTTACAGAAGCAGCAGCTAAAGCACAGAAAGGTGAAGTAACTTAGTGAGAATGGTGAAGTAACTCAGTGATATGGTTTAGCTGTGTCCCCACCCAAATCACCTTGAATTGTATAATCCCCATGAGTCAAGGGTGGGGCCAGGTGGAGATAATTGAATCATGGAGGTGGTTTCCCCCATACTGGTCTTGTGTTGGTCAACAAGTCTCACAAGATCTGATGGTTTTATAAATGGGAGTTCCCCTGCACAAGCTCTCTTGCCTGCCGCAATGTAAGACGTGACTTTGCTCCTCATTCACTTTCTGCCATGATTGTGAGGCCTCCCCAGCCATGTGGAACTGAGAGTCAATTAAACTTTTTTCCTTTATAAACTATCCAGTCTTGGGTATGTCTTTATTAGCATCATGAGAACAGACTAATACACTTAGCTAAACAAGACTCAAAGTTAGTAACAGGTGCAGTAAGGCTTTGAATTCAGGTCATGTAAATCTAAAGCCTCTGATCTTTGTGCTACAAAATGATTATCATCCCTGACATTCATGTTTTTTGTTGTGAACATTCTAGGCTCTCTCCTGCTTTGGGGACTTTGCACTGGCTAATTTCTTTGCCTAGACCACTCTTCCTGAAGTGAGCTGGGAGTTTGCTGTTAAGCTGAAATAATCAAAAAGACCAGAATCCAGTTTTAAAGAGTTCTATTCAAGCTCTAAGTTGAGAATGGCCATTAAGGTAACACAGACTCCAAAGGAATGGGGACAGTGCTCTACAACTGAAAAGTTAGGTCTTGTTTATACAGGCAGAAAACAAATAAATTTAACAGGATTACAATATGTTTTTTACAAGGCTAGTTTATGAGTTACCAACAATTTGATTAGTTACAGTTGTTTTTCTTTTCCTTTCACAATCTAAATGTATATTTAACATTCCACCTTAGACAATGTTGTCAGAGACATTGGAACCAGAACCACTCCATCTTAAATAGGTGCTGGGTAAAATGAGACTGAGACCTACTGGGCTGCACTCCCAGATGGTTAATGCATTCTAAGTCACAGGATGAGACAGGAGTTCAACACAAGATATAGGTCATAAAGACCTTGCTGATAAAACAGGTTTCAGTAAAGAAGCTGGCCAAAACCCACCAAAACCAAGATGGCGATGAGAGTGACCTCCAGTTGTCCTCACTGATACATTCCCATCAGCATCATGACAGTTTACAAATGCCATGCAATGTCAGGAAGATATCCTACAGGGTCTAAAATGGAGAGGCATGAATGATGCGCCCATTGTTTAACATATCATCAAGAAATAACCACAAAAATGGGCAACCTGCAGCCCTCGGGGCTGCTCTGCCTATGGAGTGGCCATTCTTTTATTCCTTTACTTTCCTAATAAACTCGCTTTCACTTTACTCTATGGACTTGCCCTGAATTATTTCTTGGGTGAGATCCAAGAACCCTCTCTTGTGGTCTGGATCCAGAACGCTTTTCTGTAACAGTTTGATAATGATAAGGTCTTTGTGTAAGAGAAGTAAGAGTGAAGCTAATCTATAATAAATATATTAACAGTGAAGAGGGAAGAGTCTTCTTCTCTTGCACCCTGTATTCTTTTACAACATTTTAAAGAATACTGTAGGTAAAGAAAAGGCTAATCTATCATTAGAAGAACAAGGGTCACTGCTTCCTAGGTTACAGTTGCAGAGGGTGTAGCTGTCTGTCAAGTGACTCAGGTCCCATAATCACATTCCTTTAAGGCTCATTCACATGCTGCCTTAAAATTTCTCATGAAAAGTCACTTTCTCAATGAGGCCAACCCTCACAACCCTATTTAAAATGGTAATGTCCCACACTGTACTCATGCTTTAATTTATTTCATAGCACTGATCAATTTCTAACAAACTACATAATTTACCAGTTGTGTTTGGGGTTCATCTTCTTATACTACAGCAAGGGTTTTTCACTCTTTTGTTCATTGATATATTCTAAGCACCCAAAACAGTAACTGGCAACTGTGGTTCTCAGCCAAGATACCCGACTTGGCCAATAGAGCAACCCCTCTTGGTCAAGCTCCCTTGTAAAGAATACAACCTACGCAATTAAAATACAACAATCATATCTGTTGAATAACTTAATGATTAAACCAAACTTCTCCAGCTCACCTTATTTTGTTGTTGTTGTTTTCTGTTTTGTTTTGTTTTGTTTTAGGTTTTTAGTTTCTGTCTCTAGTGATAACTGGAAAAGAGGGATGAGGAAGGGTCTTTACTGGCCCAACTGGAAACAGAAACTGAGAACTCTGACTGTATTATCTCCCTTGGAAACTCCTGGTTTAAACAAAAAGGAAACTCATAAGTCACATCCTCCTTAGGCTGCTATGATTGTCACATGCTCTATAAAAAACCACCCCCCCTTCAACTCAATAAATTGTTACCAGTCCTATTTCTTACAGAATATAAAGTTAATCTGCTTTCTTCATCGACATGATCATGTGATGTCAGTCATGTGATAACAACCCTAAAACTACTCCCAAAGCCTCAAAATAAAGTGGTTCATTGTCTAAGCTAAGTATTTCACAATATTGTTTTGAGCAAAGCTCTCATCTTTTTTCCCCTTTAAAGGCAAGGTAGTTGGCAATTATCTTCCTTTAAGAGTGTTGTTCAAAATTGAAACCATAAAGTATCTATTATCTTCAAAAGATAATAGATTCTTCCAGTGGGCAAAATAAACTAAAAGAAACTTTTTTTACAACATCATCCGTCACTGTAAGTAATTCCTACACCTGTTGGGCACATAAAGGCTGCAACTTCATTCTGTTTACTACTCGACAAAGGGAGATTCTTATGCAAATTAGTGAGTTAAAAAGACGTTAATTAATTAGAATGGAGAAACATTGTGAGAACCAATTTCTTACAATGTGCTGATCCTAAATGATCTCTGATTAAAGCAGCTCTACACTGATCATTTTTTGCCAGCCTTGTTAGATTATTCATTTATATAGCTTTGTTTTTTTAATGTGCCACAATTTCTCATTTCATGCTCAATACACATAATTATTGACAACAACCTAATTACAATAAAAGTTCTGACATCTGTGCTGAGTCCTGAATTGAACAACCTAACATAGTTATATAAAAAGTCTTTCAAAAATCCAGTTTATTTTGACTAGTTATACTTAGGCTTGAAGCACATATGCCTCCAGAAGTGCCTGTAAATAATCAAGAGGCAACAAGTGTGGCTCATAAGATCAATATTTCCACGTACACGTACACCTGTGAAATCTCTGCGATTGAAAATATTATTTTCTGTGAGTGCTTGCAGATTCTGCTTCCATGAATCCTAGCATACTGCAGCTACCTCCAAATTTTCTCACAGCTTCTAGTCCTCTACCCATTCTCTATATGGCACTCAAAGAAACATTTCTAAGATGAAAACCTTACCCTTTTGCTCCCGATATGGTTTGGATCTGTGGCCCCACTCAAATCTCATGTCAAATTGTAATCCCCAATGTTGGAGCTCGGGACTGGTTGGAGATGGCTGGATCGTGGTGAAATGGGAGAGTTCCCTGATCCCCCTCACAGGATGTGTGACAGGGGTGTGGCTCACATGTTTAGTTACCAATGCTCAAACCCCTGATGGGAGAGGGAGCATGCAGATGGGCAGATGCAGGAGTCGGGGCGAGTGCTTTGGGCTCTGACTCTGCGATAGTGTCTAGGGGTGGGTGCCTGCAACCCCAGCGTTACAATGCTCCTTTAGCCTTGCCATCCACAGACAGCTTAAGTGTTAACCAGCTCAATGGACCCTCTGCCTTTTCACAAGGGAGGAGGGCCAGTGTGACAGCTTTCTTTATCCTGAGCTTTTGCCCAGCATCCCAGAAGAATTGGGTCACACGTGAGCTTGAAGGATGAATGCAGGGTTTTATTGAGTAGTGGAGGTGGTTCTCAGTGACATGGATGGGGAGCTGGAAGGGGGATGGAGTGGGAAGATGATCTTCCCCTGGAGTTTTGGTCATCCAGTGGCCGAACTCTACATCCACCCCCAGCTGAGCTCCTCTTGGTGTTCAGACGTTCCTTCTCTTCTCCTTTTCTCTGCCATGGCATTCCACTGTTCGTCTTTGTCTCCTCATCTGCTTCAGGAGCCTGGGCTCGGACTTTATGTCGGTAAAGGATGGGGGGCATGGCAGGCCAAAATGCAATTTTTTGGGCACAAAAACAGAAACGGCTGTTCCCACTTAAAGCTGTGGGTCTCCAGGCTCGAGGGTGGGGCCTGGAGACTTTCATCTACTCAGTGTTTCCCTGTCTCCTGTCCATATTAGTGGGGGTCATTTCTCACGGTTTAACACAACCCTCCTTGGGGCTGTCGTCATGATAGTGAGTTCTCGTGAGATCCAGTTGTTTAAAAGTGTGTAGTACTGGCCACGTACAGTGGCTCATGCCTGTCTCCCTTGGGAGACCAAGGCGGGTGGATCACCTGAGGTCAGGAGTTCAAGAGCAGCCTGGCCAACATGGTGAAACGCTATCTCTACTAAAAATACAAAAATTAGCCAGGTGCCTGTAATCCCAGCTACTCAGGGGGCTGAGGCTGGAGAATCGCTTGAAACTGGGAGGCGGAGGTTGCAGTGAGTGGAGATCGTGCCATCGCACACTAGCCTGGGTGACAAGAGCAGAACTCCATCTCAAAAAAAAAAAAAAAAAGTGTAGCACCTCCCTCACTTTCCTCATGCTCCATTCATGTGAAGCACCAGCTCCTGTTTTGCCTTCTCCCAAGATTGTAAGTTTCCTGAGGTGTCCCCAGAAGCTGAGCAGATGCCTGCATCATGCTTCCTATACAGCTGTGGAACCATGGGCCAATTAAACCTCTTTTCTTTATAAATTACCCAGTCTCAGGATTTCTTTATAGCAGTGCTAGAATAGACTAATATGGCTTCCTTACTTAAATTCCTTCAAATGCTTCCTAGTTTTTTTTGCTTTGTTTTTCTGTAAGATAAATCCTAAACCCCTCAAACCACTGACCAAGCCCTGGGTAATACAGCTTATTAGTCCCACTCCCTTTATACACAGGCTCCACAAGCCATCAGTTCTAGAAAAATGCCATGTTCCTTTTGTCTCTAGACCTTTTCCTAAGCTACTCCATCTGCCTAGACTCTCTTGTCCCCACCCTACTCCTGTCATCCCCCTTGATAGCTAATCTCCTCTCTACCGTTAGGTCTCAGCTGGGGCTTCACTCTCTCCTGATGACCCCAAATCTGGGTTCAGTGGCTCACTTCTTTCTGTCAGGATACCCCATACTGCTACTATCACAGCCCTCTTTATACAGCCCTCTTTATATTTTTAAGTTCACTCCTCTGTATCCTGCAGCAGATCATGAGCTCAATAGGAGAAAGTTTATTTCTATTTCAACAGTGAACCTACAGAACCTAGCAATGTACTTAATAATATATATTGACGGCCGGGAGTGGTGGCTCACGCCTGTAATCCCAGCACTTTGGGAAGCCGAGGCGGGTGGATCATTTGAGGTCAGGAGTTTGAGACCATGCTGGCCAATGTGAGGAAACCCCGTCTCTACTAAAAATACAAAAATTAGCCAGGCGTGATGGTGGGCACCTGTAATCCCAGCTACTCGGGAGGCTGAGGAAGGAGAATCGCTTGAACCCAGGAGGCAGAGGTTGCAGTGAGCCGAGATCTCACCACTGTACTCCAGCCTGGGTGACAGAGAGAGACTCTGTCTCAAAAATAATAATAGTATATATATATAGACATAATCAATGACAGATGACAAAATAGAGGGAAAAAATTCCAAGTTCACATAATTCATAAAGTATCCCGCCTTTCAAACTCGGATCTGTTTCAAAGTCCACGTTTTCACTATAATATATGACTGAAATAAATAAATTAATACCCCAGGATGGCACTGGCTGTTAGTGGACCAATCCTCAGGGATTGGAAACAGGAAATCCATAGAGCAAGGAAAGGCAGAGGCAGCCCACAGAGCAGGTGGTGGTGTCTGAGTTTTCAGCATGTGGAAAAACAAAGTCTTAACAAATGGTCCAGGCCAGAACATAGAATTTAAGAAAACCAACAGGCGGAGGTCCCAGTGGAGGTTATAGTTGGGAATATCTTGATGCAGATAGTTGCACCTCAGTTACTAGGTTTGAGTTCAGAGCCAGGATACAAATACTTTTTGGAGAGCAACACATATCTCTAGTCTTAGAGGAACTGGGGTCTTAGGCACACTTTTAAAGAAGGAATCTGGGAACAGAGAAACATGGAAGAACTATTCACATAGCAAAGACATGAAATCAACCTAGAGGTCCATCAACAGTGGACTTCATAAAAAAAAGTGGTACATATACACCATGGAATACTATGTGGATATAAAAAAAAAAAATCATGTCCCTTTGCAGGAACATGGATGTAGCTAGAGGACATTATCCTAAGCAAATTAACAAAGGAACAGAAAACCAAATACTACATGCTCTCACTTAAAGTAGAAGCCAAACATTGAGTACACGTGGACACTAAGAATGGAACAACAGACATCAGGGCCTGCTTGAAGGTGGGAGGAGAGTGAGAATCAAAAAACTACCTATCAGGTACTATGTTTATTACCTGGGTGATGAAATAATCTGTACACCAAAGCCCCGGGACACACAATTTACCCATGTAACATACCTACACATATACCCCTTGAACCTAAAATAAAAGTTGAAAGGAAAAATAAATAAATAAATAAAATCTAATTAAAAGAAACAGGGCAGAGACCAAGGGATGAAAACCTATAAAGAAAGTAACGATTTGGTGACTAGAGCACACCCTTCTTCTCTTCTAGTTATGGTATCTATTTTCCTAACTTGTACCCCTATTGAATGCCTGGTATGTGTTTGCACTTGAGTACCTTATTTTATTTTGTTTACATAATTGTCATTATTTCTGTTTATAAACTTCATACCTGCTCAGTCTTTAAAAACACATGTGTGTATAAATGTAGACATACTTAGCCCATTAAAAGTCCAAATAATCTTACCACTGCCATCACTATCCCCTTCTGAGATGAGCATTACTCAAAGTTGAACAGGAATGTTTCCATATTTATTACATGCAAATAGTAATATGTAAAATGTTCACAGTGGATTTGTGCAATGCATACTATTTGCAACTGGCTTTTTTCACTAAAAAAAATGTGACTTGAATATCTTTTTCCATGCCTATACTTAAAAAAAGCTACCTCACTTTTAAAGTCTCCAAAATTACATTATATTTAACATAGTTATGTTGCCTTGAATTTTTCAGAAACAAATACTTTTTCTTATTCATCTCCTTAGCTCCTTGCAGAATGCCTGTCACATAGAAAAAGTTCAATGATATAAATAATTTCTACTATTTGTTGACCTGTAAACACAACCCAAGTGCTGAAACACGTGCATCATCTAAAGCTCTCAAACTCTGTGAGGGTGTATTACTATCTCCACTTTCAGGTGAAGAAAATTTCATGTTAAAAGGTTTAATCAAATTGCCCAATATTGCAGTGCTAGACGGTGGTGAGGCAGCCTTAGAACTCAGGTCTAACTCCCAAACCACAACAAATATAAATTGAATAAATGCATAGATGAGTCTCCATCTGTACAAATCCATGTCAAAAACCAAGGGTCACACTCTACATAAATCCTTCAAGAATGAGAAAAATCATTCAAGGAGCAGAAGAAAAGCAAAAGATAAATACAGAGCTGAGAAAGTACCTGAGAGGGCAGATGGTGACCGGAGCAAAGGGCACGTGGAAGAAACGATGAAGGGGAATAAAGAGACAGGTTCTACTCATGGGGGTGTGTCAGACTGAGGAATACATCAGTGGATAGTCACTGTGGACTGTGATTATGATGTGACATAATCCATCAGAACAGTGCTCAGGAAGAGACAGTGGGGAGTAAGGCAGAAGTGATGTCAGGTGCAGATAATAGTTTTGCCATAATCCAGGAAAAAGGAAATGAAGAACTGAGCAAGATAGGGACATCAAGAATAAAGAATAAGGGTTCAGCATGGGAGATGTGTAGAAATAAAATTGAGCAATGCAGCTGCTGGTTGGATGTGAGAAATAGAAAGGCCAAAATGTTGGTAAGAATCTGCTGTCAGAGATAAGGTGGGGCCATGAACCAGTATGACGAAGAGGAGGAGAGGAGTCAAAAGGAAGATGATTAAGTTCAATTTTGAACATTTTTCTTTAATGTATGAAGAGAATGTAGGTGAATTTCAGAGGGAAAGAGAAGACCAAATTGTTCACCAATATGCCATATCTTATTAAACAAAGCTGCAAATATTTACTGGATTCCTACTTTAGGTCAATCCTCTGCTAAGTGTCTAAAGTCTGGGAGAAAAGCTGAGTTAAACAGGTATTTAGGATCACTGCAAAGGGTAATTGCTAAATGCAATGAGAGCTGAGAGAAATAAGCATTAAACAATTTCCATCATTCTTGGTATCTCGAGAAAGAAATCTGGAGAACAAAAGTACCAGAGAATGGGAAAGGGCTCGGTGTTACTGAACTCTCCAATCTTATGATGTCAGAAGACCCTGACCTTGTTTCACTCCTATTCAGCTTTGTTATCAATGCTAGAATGAAGGCACTGAAGACAGCTTATCATATATGGAGCTGTTCCTTAGTTTGGCAGGGTGGAAGACGGCTGGAAAAACAATATTCAAAATTATCTCAAGCAACTAAAATAAAAGAAGCTCAAGAGATAAATGTTTAGAAACTTTGTTTGGTATTATTTTATATGAAAAATCAACCTGAGATTTTTATTGAACCCCAAGTTCAATAAAAGCCAAAATATAAATCAAAATAAAAATTAAATTTTGGAATCTTGGCCAAAAAAAACATTATATTCTTTACTAGTCAAGAAACATCTGAGTAGTTTAATGAATTTTGGATATTCAATTTTACATGGAAACTGGCAAACTTGAGACAGATAAGCAATGTGAAGAATTACATCACATTTAGAAAAAAAAAAGACTTGGAGAACTTAGAGGATTTAGCCCAGAAAAGACTCAAAGGAATAAGGAATAGAATGTTGTGTTAGGTATTTAAAAGGTAATAATTTGGAAAGTAAGTAGTTTTGTCCAAAGTGGTCCAGAAACCAAAACTAGAAGCAATTAGTAGCTATTACTAAGAGGTACATTTCACTCTACTTAAGAAATAGCTTTCTAAAAAGAACAGCTGTTTAATGGAATGGACTGTTAGATAAACAAGTAAACTCCACTTGCCTGAACCTGTCAAGCATCTATAGCCACTGTGGAAGAGAACTGTGTATTAGTGGGGAGGTTGATTTTGATAACGACATCTTTAAGATTTGATGAAACTGCATTTTGCGGAAGATCAGTAATGACTTTACACATGAAAAAAGATGCATTGAATCAATACAATAGAGTGAAAGAGCTAGAATTTAGAATCTGGGATCTTGGATTTGAATCTTGATTCTGTCCATTGTGAGTTGTATAATTTTACCAAAACTCAGTTTCCTTATGTAAAAATGGTAATGATAATGTCTGCCCTACTTCATCCTTATGAGAAAATCAAGTGAGACAATGTATATGAAGCACTCTGTATAAATTGCTAGTTTTTATTACTAAATAATCATCAAAAATTAGCCTCAAATCTCCTGATCAGGAGATTGAAACCACTCTGCCTTCATTAAACTTATATTCCAGGAAAAATTGGTTTCTTCTGTTTTGTTCAGACCAAGCATATTAAGACATCAAGTAACATGATTTCAGGCATTAATTAAAACCTTGTGTCAATTTTTTTCCTATAAATAATTCAGAATCTATCTCTTAATTTTGCCTATTGCTAAAAATCCTTAATTTTTTATAACTTATTAATTGCTACAAAAAAGAATTAAATGTAGAATCCATTATGTGTATGTGAAGAGTTTATATTGTAGAATTTATTTTTTCTATACCAATAAGTATCACATTTTTCCATTTATTCAGTTTTAACTTTGATGTTTTATAATGTGCTTATAAAGATCAGGTCTCAGACACAGTGCTGACTTGAAATTATTCTGCTTTTTCCTCTTTCCTTTAGAATTATCTTGCTTCTATAATGTTTTCCAGACTGGTGTAGCTTTTCAGAAAAAAGAGAGAGGGCCCTGATACTGATTTGCTCATAGCAGAATCCAGCAGCCAGTACCAGGACTGAGATGCAAGATTTTTGCATATGCTTTCTCTGGCAAATGCCAACTTTTTTTTCGCTATTTCCAGTGTTCAATCTGCTTGCCAATTATTTCTAATATACTACTGTCTGGTTTAGCTGTGAATTACAAACAGTACCATATTTTAACATGTGAGACAAAGGACAACTTCCACCCCCAAGATGATCAAGCATTTAGTTTTCTATTTGAAAGATCCAGAATAAAATGCAATTTGAGAGCATATTGTGTGTCGGTATCAACCAAATACCCAATTGCTTTAGTGCTTATCCTGAAAGTGGCCAGACCAAATCCAACAATTGGAAATTGCAGAAAGAGTAAAATTATTTTCACAATTCAAACTGAAATCAAGGTGTTAGTTTGTAGTTTATTTCCAGGAAACCAAGTCTGTGTGTGTGGTTTCTATACTTTGGGAAATTTAGGAGTTCCTATACCTAGATTCTATTCCAAGCTCTACCGAGTAACCATATGAACTTGTGTACATAAATTGACCCCTCTGCATCTGTCTCATGTATACAGTGTGAACTCACTATAGTGAGTTAGATTACTTATAAACTACCCAGCAGCTCAGATTGTCTAAAGTTTGCTTTCATTAGGATTCTTTGACACCACACTAAAGATTAAAAAGTAAGTAATCATCTCAAGTTAATAATCTTTTATCTAAATAAGCCAGATTTGGAAGTAGAAAAAAAAGAGAGAGAGAATTGTTTTGGGGTTGGCACAAGTCAAAATGAAGTTGAATACAGGGAATTTAAACTGTAGGAAGTAAACCAAATAACTGGTTCAAAATGTGCAGCAGAAGCTTGTTTGTCCACTTAAATTTGTCAAGTATTTGCGAATGAGATAATTGTGGATACTAGCACCAGTGAAGAGGTAACAGTCTGATCGATCTGTTTAACAGCTAATTCACAATTGTAGACTGACAAATACTTGTCAGGGACCTGAACCTGATATCACAGGGGAAATAAAGATGTTTATTTAATTTAGTTACTTAAGCTTAGGCCCAAGATGTTTCCCTTGCCTTTGAAAATAAGTTATTTATTCATTGTCCATTACTAATCAAATAACCAGTTATTTTTTAAACCGTAATTTGTACTATTTTAATTAAAAAGTGGCAGTGTTCACAAAGTATTTATGATAAAAAATACAAAACATTTTTCAAAGTTAGGATTAAACAGCAATGTCAAAGATCGTATAAGAACTCTGGCCTCTCATCTTTTGGTATATTTAAAAGATAGTGTTACAGATAGAATTATGCTTCATTTTTACAGGCTATATACTCTTTGGGGAAAAATTAGGTCCTTGAATAAAAAAACTAAAAAAACACGTTATTCTCAATATGTGCAAATGGGCCAAAAATGACCTAATTTCTCTGTAAAAGAGTTCAGTACTAATATCTTCTAAATGATTTGCTTGTAAGAAAAGACAGCCTTTTTTTTATGTTTCTTACTATTGTCTTTTCTGGATATTTAAAATATAAACTGTCTTAGAACTACAAATGTGGAATATGTCTATAATGTCTAATCCCAGAAGCTGGGAAAGAGTTTTAAATAAGAGGTAATATTTTTTGATAAATATATCTAATATTTTCCCCTCACCAGCACTGCAAATTTGTGTACTCAAATAATCACATCTATAAATTGCTAATCTAAGAACTGAGTTACCCAAGCCAATAACAACAAAAATCAATTTTATTCCAAATAAAACAGTTCTCCCCATAAAGGAAACTGTGCACGTGAGTGACAAACCATGTCTCACTCAGTGCTTCCTGCTTTCAGATATTGGACAATAAAAGGTACTGATATACTGATTATTTCTGAAATAAGACATCATGAAACTGTTTAATTATAAGATTATTTTGTAATATCTTCAGAATATGTGATGGTGTAACCACCCAAGGAGTTTACCTTGCCCGCTGCCTAGACAGAACCGATTTACCAGGACAGGGGAATTGCAATGGAGAAAGAGTAATTCACACAAAGCCAGCTGTGCAGGAGACCGGAGTTTTATTATTACTCAAATCAGTCTCCCCACGCATTTGGGGATCAGAGTTTTTAAAGATAATTCGGCGGGTAGGGGCTTGGGAAGTGGGGAGTGCTGACTGATCAGGTTGGAGATGGAATCATAGGGGGACAAAGTGAGGTTTCCTTGCTGTCTTCTGTTCCTGGGTGGGATGGTAGAACTAGTTGAGCCAGATTACCAGTCTGGGTGGTGTCTGCTGATCCACTGAGAACAGGATCTGCAAAATATCTCAAGCACTGATCTTAGGTTTTCCAATAGTGATGTTATCCCCAGGAGCAATTTGGGGAGGTTTGGACTTTTGGAGCCAGAGTCCGCATGACCCCTATATTGTAATTTCAAATCTTGTAGCTAATTTGTTAGTCCTGCAAGGCAGACCGGTCCCCAGGCAAGAAGGGGGCCTCTTCAGGAAAGAGCTGTTATCAATTTTGTTTCAGAGTCAAACCATGAACTGAATTCCTTCCCAGAGTTAATTTGGCCTATGCCCAGGAATGAGCAAGGACACCTTAAAGTTTAGAAGCAAGATAGATAGATAGATAGATAGATAGATAGATAGATAGATAGATAGATAATTTGCCAAATCAGGGTAATTGGCAAATCCATGACCTTAAACATTTATGTTTTCTTTAGGTCAGGAATATTGCAATTCTTCTAGCTATTTTGAATTATAGAATAAATTATTGTTAACTATAACTTCCCTACTGTACTATCAAATACTAGAACTTATTTCTTGTATCTAACTGTATTTTTGTACACATTAACCAACTTCTCTTTATCCCTCTCTCCCTTCTTTCCTTCCCAGCCTCTGGTAGCCACTATTCTACTCTCTAACCCTATGAGATCTACTTTTTTTATTCTGATAAACAAATTATATTTGGAAAATACTTATGTCATCTGCTATATGCTTTTGACTGTGCACTTCATTTAGACTTCTAGAAGTAAGCTAAGTATTTTCAATAGAAATAAAAGGTAGAGTAGTAAAGAAAACAGGATGACTTACATTTTCACTTCTCTTTAAGAATAATATATTTGAATATATTTGACTATAAAGTAAATAATAAACCCACTACCCCATGTGTTGGCATTTTATTATCAGTCTAAAGCCAGTTCTGCCAAATATAAAACCATTTGATCAGAGTAGGGCCACTTAGCCTAGTTCATGTAAAGCCATTTTAATAGCCCTTGAGCAGAAGAGTCAACTTCTGATTACTGACATATAAACCAGCAACAAGTAGGAAAATGAATATATTTCAGTGTGGGGGTTCTGTTGCTATAAAGCAAACAGAATTTCAATCAATTTTGAAACAGACTGACTTCCTCACCAATCATTACGTTAGTCAAGGTAAATCAATGGCCTTTTCCAGCTCTAGCTGTGACAGTGGGCACAGGTGGCTCTAATTGGTACTACTTTTTTAGGGGGCAGCTTCTAAAACAATTCCAGAACAAAGACGCAGAGAATGAATTCACTTTTAAACGATTCAGAGATGGTATTTCAATTCACCAATATTAATGGTTTTTAGCACTCTCCAGAGTCTTCCTATATTTCAGTTATGTAATCATTACAAAGTAAAACTATTCCATGTCATGATTTAGGCAAGAAAAGTGAGAAAAATCTCTTAAATCGTAAATTGAAACTTAAGAGCCGAAATGTTCTTAAGACAATAATGTGGAAGACATTCCTCCTTTGGTTTACAATGGATATGCCCCTAGCTATTTGGGGATTCTGTTTAGATTTCAGAAAAATATTAGAACATCGTTGAAATCTTCGTTCCCTCCAATCTTCCAATTGAAAGAACCTCTACTTCTTTCAAGTATGAGAGGCAGATAAGATGGTGCCATGTTTGTGAACTCAGAGGGGAAAAAGACCTATAGTACCTTGACAATTCATATCCTATGCATAGCCACAATTTTTAAATGAAAATACATCTGAAATTTCAAAGAAAACAGTATATGACACAGCCCCTTTTTTCTGACTCAGTGGAGAACACTCTATCTCCAAAGCTCCTCTAAGCAGATGCCAGGCAAGAATTAGTAGATGCTAAGCTTCCTAAAAGCAGGGGCCATAGCATGTCTATGTTTATACCCCCAGGGCTCAGTACAATGTCAGTTACCTTATAAATACTCAGAAAATATTAAGTGAATGAACATATGGATAAATATTACTGTACTTTAATTTCAGAAGGTAGATGATTTGGGGAAAGAGAACTATCCTATCCTCACTGACTTACTGGGATAAAGCAATGCTCAGAACATAAATGTGAGGTCCATGCACATGGAGAGCAATCTTGTACTCTGAGAGACTGGATTCTAGTGAGCAGTACTGTACTGCTGCACTTCAAGTCTGCATTAGTCTGTTCTCATGCTGCTGTAAAGAACTGCCTGAGACTGGGAAATTTATAAAGGAAAGAGGTTTAATTGACTGACACTTCCACATGGCTGGGGAGGCCTCAGGGAACTTACAATCATGGCAGAAGGGGAAGCAAACACGTCCTTCTTCACATGGCAGCAGGAGAGAGAGAAGTGCCAAGCAAAGTGGGAAAAGCCCCTTATAAAACCATAAGATCTTGTGAGAATTCACTCACTGTCACAAGAACAGCACTGTGGTAACCGCCACCATGTTTCAATTACCTGTCACTGGGTCCCTTCCATAACCTGTGGGGATTATGCGAACTACAATTCAAAATGAGATTTGGGTGGGGACACAGCCAAACCACATCAAAGTCAGAAAACTGAGGTTTTTGCAGTGGTTTGTGATTTTTCCATCTTTGTGATCTTATGCCAATTATTTAAGCTCTCAGCCTTATTCATCACCTCTAAAATGGGCCCTGAGCAATAACACGCTGACACGTCAGGGTATATTCTGAGTGTCAAGTGAGAAGCTCTGCGTTTGTGGACAGTGACAACATTGTCATGACACATACCACAGAGTAATTAATGTGCATGCTCACCTGTTCTTCAGAAAGACAGCTGTGGGGTCCTGCAGATTTTTAAATCATCAGAGCAAATATCCTTACTATGATAATGCTAGGAATGTAAAAATATTGCTTCTATAAATGTTTTTAGCACAGAATTTAGGGCAAAAAATAGTTTCCTGGAATTATAAAGATTGTTTCTCAGGAAATACCATTCTAACAGTATTTACAAGGAAGAAGTTAATATGACTCTTATTGTTTATGTAGGAATCTAGCAAAACACTCTGAGACACTAATGTGATATAGCTTAAATAAAAGAACATTTGACTATTCTAGTATTTTAGCTAAAGGGCATTTTACCCCCAGAATCCCCTTTGGGAGTGATGAGCTTTATATCCTTATTAGGAACGCTGCTGGCAGATGGTCAATTGTCAATCTCCATTAGGGATTATGTGGCTGAAGATGAAGATAACCACCTTGTTCAAGGGCATGCCCTCTTTCCAGGAAGGCCCATGTCCAGTGACTGATTGACACAGAGCCTCTCACCCACCCTGGACAACTCTGAAGAGTCACCCTAGCTTCAGAGCTCCCCAAAGTGTTCACTGAGGCCTCCAGTGGGACTGCCTCCCTGCTCAGCTCCTCCCTCAGCCCAATCCTACCCTTCCCTTCCATGGCTGTTGATCCCAAGAACATCCTGAATAAACCCCCTGCATGTTACTCTCCATCTCAGAATCTGCCTCTTGTGGAGCCCAACCTGCAATAACTCTCAAAATGTTTTTTTGATTTTGTTGAAGATCAGATGGAATCCCCCATAAGATGCAATTTACCTATATAACAAACCTGCATATGTACCCCTGAACCTAAAAGTAAAAAATAAAAAAAAAAATGTAGTAACTTCTGCAAATAGAAACTACTGCATATTCCCTAGATTACACGGTGATAACAAACTCTGTCTCTTACCTCATTTTTGTAAAGCACTTTGACATCCACAAAGCATTTTCACATTTCTGTTTTATTATGGTCTCTAAAACACCCCTTGAAAGAAGGCAGGGCAAGTAGTGTCACTCCCATATTAAAGATGAGGCATTGAAGCTCAGAGAAACTGAATAACTTAACCAAGGTTACCTAAGTATGTAGGTAGGTGGGTAGGTGGTCAGTTAGTCAGTTTGTTAGTGGCAAATCTGAAATCTAATCTTCATTTTCTGACTTCCGACCTGGGCCTTACTTGACCATACATTACTTTTTCTCACAAAAACTTATGTTTGGGGTTCTGATCCTATGTAACTAGTATTTAGTGACTCACCCATGAACAATTTTAGGAATTTATTTTAAAATATCTTAAAACCCCTTGCAAAATCTGCCAACATCCTGAAATATCAAGATACTGGAGTTGGGAATAAGTGTTCTATGCTTACAGATTATTTCTTTCCAGTCTTTGTTGTTGAAAATCCTGGACTTGTTTTATTTCCTGACCAAGCCTTATCCATAATAAAGTGCCTAGTACATACAGGATACATCTCGAAATTAAAAAATGAAAAATAATATTTATTTTCTCTATTTTGTGAAAAGGTAATCCAGGCCCTAAACTTGTATTTATGATTGCCCGTCCTCCAAGTAGTCCCATATCTGCTATTTTAATTATACAATCTCCTCCTTAATATCTTTCTCTGCCACATAAAAAACACATGCACACACACACACACACACAGACTTTTCTTTGCAGGAAATAATCAGTCTTTTGTTTTTCAAAATTCCTTTAAAAACCTACTTCTCAGTGACTTGGAAAACTTTTTGTTTCATTTTGGGTTTTTGTTTTTTTTGTGGTTTGCTTTGGTTTCGTTGTCTTTTCAGAGTACCTATTAACAGGAGGTAGCTTAAATAATAGGTAAACAAGTAGACATTAATCTCAACAGTAGCACAAAATAGTCTGGTCATGAATTCTTCACTCTATTAGAATCAACAGTGAACTCTCTTCTCCAGCAGATATCCTGTGGCAAGAAACTTTTTAAAGATAGAATTATTTTGTGCTTGTGAGTTTCAGTGGAGAATCTTTTTTCCAGGAATATTTTTCAAATTCAAAACTCTAATTTGTGTTTGAATTTCCAAAATTCCCATTTTTTCTGAGTAATTGAAACCATAGTGGAATATTGTGTGCTCCCTTTTAAAAGAGCAAAAAGTGGGAGAACAAAGTATAATGGTAGTATAAATATGTACAGCCAGCCATTGTCCTGTAACTAATTTAGAGAACATAAATTGGAAGTGTCCAGGGAATGTGAGGACACCAGCTGGCTAGGGATACAAGAGAATCTGGGGTGTTTATGGAGACTAAAGTGATGTGATGGGATTGAGACATTCCACACCTTTTCCCAGTAATGACACGATTAACACTCTAGTTTTCCAGGCAAAATCTAAATCTCTTAGACAGAAAGGGTCCATTTTCTAACTCTTTTATCAGATGCAGCTTTTGGTCTACACAAGACATAGCTTAAAAAATAAAGTTCTTTCATTGTTTCAGTGCCTTAAAGTTTACTTCCAAGAAAAATATCTTATTTTAAATCATGTCACTTGTCTTACATTTACTCTAGTACTTTATAATCATTTGCTGGAAGATCTTGGTAGAGTTAATTGTCATGATCATTGAGGTTAAGTAAGCTTTTTGTATTAATGTCAGTCTTCTTAAAATGATAATTGCCTGACAGCCAAGATATCCAGCAAAGTTAAATAATTTGCCCTATGTACAAAATGCAAAAGAGCACTAGGTCTAGAACACAGGACTCACAAAAACCTGGGTTTTTATTCAGTGCAGAAGGTCCCGGCTACTCAAAGCACAATCCATGGACCAGTAGCTTAACTTGGGACCAGACTTACTGAATCAGAATCTGCATTTAACAAGCTCCATAGGTGATTTCCATGCATATTCAAGTCAATAAACCCTGCATTAGGTGATTTGTCTAATCATATTTATTTATTTATTTTTTTATTTTTATTTTTATTTTTATTTTTTTGAGACGGAGTCTTGCTCTGTCGCCCAGGCTGGAGTGCAGTGGCACCATCTCGGCTCGCTGCAAGCTCCGCCTCCCGGGTTCACACCATTCTTCTGCCTCAGCCTCCCACGTAGCTGGGACTACAGGTGCCCGCCACCATGCCCGGCTAATTTTTTGTATTTTTTAGTAAAGACGGGGTTTCACCGTGTTAGCCAGGATGGTCTCAATCTCCTGTCCTCGTGATCCGCCCGCCTCGGGCTCCCAAAGTGCTGGGATTACAGGCGTGAGCCACCGCGCCCGGCCTGTCTAATCATATTTATTATAGATAAACCGGTAAGGGTCTCTATGGTCCTTGTATCATAGATTGGTCTCCTGCTAAAGTTACATTATTAATATGACATGGCTGCCTCTGAATCACACATAGTCCACAGCCCTGAACTTCAGCTTGTAATCATTGAGGTGCTTAAGTCCTACCACCTACATCTGTCCACCAGATTTCCCAGAATATTTGAACCATAAGCACAAATAGGATCTGATATGCAAGGACTCCAAACTTTAGTCCAATATGCTTGCCCATGTTCATTTCCCATCATTTCCTCCTAAAAATTGTATAACCTAACTACAATAGCTTCTACCATTTCTCTAAAAGCCTTGCATCATTATGCCTCTATGCCTTTGCTTACACCATTTCCTTCACCTGGAATGATGGTCGCTCCATCCAATTCATCTTTAAACCCCAGATAATGTGTCACCTGTAAAATAACCCCTGATCTGACCAAGTATAGCAGCTTGGTTATCCTGATTATTTAGCATGTATTACATTGTACGTTTAATTGTTCAGGTTAGTCTCTTCCATGAAACTGCATATTTCCTAAAGACAGGGAATGTGTCTTATGTTTGTAAACACAAGATCTACCTTAATCATAGACAGTACTCAACATTATTTGTTGAATTGATTTGAAATTGTATTGTCATAAATTCAGAAGAACTGTCCAAATTCTATTGCCAGCATTTGGTTACAATAAATTTTTTACAAGACCAATGTATATAGCTTGTTGCTATCTGGAGATTTTTAGGAATATGAAATTTTGCATAAGCAGATTTGATACTGAGGCATATAACAGAGGCCACCAAATTTTGTATTAAAGGAGGAGACCTCACAGCAAAGGGGGAAGGTTCCATGAAGCTACCAGCAACTTGACCTTCTCTATTGAGTAACCTCTACAGTCCTCCAGTGGAACAGGGGCAGGACCGTGATCTTTAATACACTTAAAAAGCAGCAAGGTATAATGAGTAATTTACCAAGGCCATAGTTTCTATCTGGAAAGAAAGCATGGAGTTTGGGGAAGTATATGGGATTTAGAGTTAGAAGGTCTGTGTCCTTAGCCCCAGTGACAGGATTTTTTTCAATCCTCTTTGGTGGGAAATGGTCTAAGTTAGTCACTGAACCTTCCATTACATAAACTAAAGGGGATGATAATACCCATCTCACCTATTTCATAGGAATTTTATTAAAATCAAATGAAGTTGCAAGCAAAATCCACCTTGTAAAACAAAATCAATGAGTCGTCACTGAATAATTGTAAAAACACAACTCTGTCCTACATGAAACCATGCCTACAAGTGAACATTTTTCTCATTACTAGAAAAGTCACTCTCAAATTTTAAACACAAATGTAGAAATAAAAATGCTTTTACTAGCTAGCCATTTTAGAGAGATTTTTAAAAGTATATTTACCCTAGACCTGAGAAACATTTCATATAGTCAGATATTTTCAATGCATGCCCAAGTATTTACTGGTAATTTCATGTCAGGTAGTTAAAAATCTGCAAAAGACATCAGTATTTATTGAGCCCTTAATATGTGAGAAGTGCCAGGAATATGACAGTGAACAAGATAGTTCACTTCCTGACTTCATGAAGTTTACAGAATAATGGGGATACACATAGGTAAATAGAATTCTTAAATCCTTATATTTTGTTTTACTTTTACTGGAAAAAAAAGAGTGATTTAATATTAGTACTTCATAAACTGCTAAACTGACAACTAAGTTGCACAAAAAAATCAAAGAGGTGGCAGCCAGGATTGTAAAAGTTGCCTAAAGGTCAGCCAGAGGCAGCCATTGCTGACTTGGAGTGGCTGTAGCATTCTGAAAGAATCCTGTACTTCAAACACCCTTTCTTACCTGCTTGCTGAGTGGTTTCCATGCAACGTATTTGAAAAGATTCAAGAAATTTATGCACAAAAAAGGAAAAAGAATCCACTGCATCTTTTCCTCAGTTTTAGTTCCAGGTCTTCCTCTAACAAGATGTGTGATGTTGGGCAAATCATGTAACTTCCCTGACCCTCAGTTCTCATAAAAATTGTAGTTTTGACTAAATGATTGTAACTCTCCTAGTTCTAGTGTCTAGTTGTCTCTCTCTTATTTAAATTGGAAGTTGGTATAGAGAATTAGAAGAAAACTTCAAAGTACTATAATAAATAAAAGATATAGGAATCCCCAGAACTCACAATAAATTCTAATACCATTATCATAAAGATGATACCAAAAGTATTGTTTCTTATAATGTGTATATTCTCTCCTTTTATCATAATTACTAAAAATATTGTATTATAGATCCTTAGCCCATTACTTCCAGCAATACACTGTATATAATTTCCCAGATAATGTGCAAAGTGTTTTTTCACCCTTTTTCCAGAAGCATGGCGATAAATGTAATTAATACAAAATGTTTTAAAACAAATAACTTTTAAAAAAAATTACTTTAGGCCAGGTGCAATGGCTCACGCCTGTAATCCCAGCACTTTGGGAGGCCAAGGTGGGCAGATCACGAGGTCAGGAGATGGAGACCATCCTGGCTAACATGGTGAACCCCATCTCTATTAAAAATACAAAATATTAGCCAGGCGTGGTGGTGCACACCTGTAGTCCCAGCTACTTGGGAGTCTGAGGCAGGAGAATTGCTTAAACCCGGGAGGCAGCGGTTGCAGTGAGCCAAGATTGCACCACTGCACTCCAGCCTGGGTGACAGAGCAAGAGTCCACGTCAAAAAAAAAAAAAATTACTTTTACTACAAGCAAACCCTGAAGCATCCTGGACAGTCTTGACCTGTGAGATACCCTCTTACTTCCACAGTCATGGAAACTATGCATTTTCCAGATGGCATATAAGACCCGATACCTATGTTTTTCTAGAATCCCTTTGCAGTGGACTTTTCTTCTTCCTAAGGCCCATGGTGCGTGCATGGTCTCTAATGAACAGATGGCACTTGGTCCCTGGATGAGCTCTTGTACCTGCAAATCTTGAGAGCTTGGAGACAAGCAAGAAAATCATTTCAGACCCTCTCCTCCACTGTCAGCACCACTTCCCCACCCCTTTCACCTTGATCTGCTTGGTTTTGTGTTTTTGGGAAAACCCACTAGTTATTGGTCACTACCTGCTCACAAGTCAATGTAATGCTCCCCGTCTTGTTTCCATCTTGGTTTTCCTTTGTTTAAGAGGATGAAGCCACTTAGGACCCCTATATGAATGAGACTTGTTTGGTTGAAAGTTGACCCAAAGTAATAAGTGGTTTATTGTAAAGAGGAAAGAGGTCTATAAATAGAAAACCCTGGGGGACTGAGGCTGGCCTCAGGACCAGGGAATAGCAGAACACAAGTGTGCAAGTCAGAGAACTAGCCAAGAGTTTATAATCAAGCTTCTAAACAGGAAGTCTCAATTCAACTTCAAAAATTACTTTATAAAGAATTCAAGTGCCATGAAGGCATGTTTTAACTTGGCTTCTTTGGCTCAGAATAGTGTATATTGGTATCTCTAGTGGCTATCCCCTTCCCATTGTTAAAAACAACATGTGAAAAATCCTACAAAATAGGTAAAACACATTTTAAAGTGCCATTGACTGCTGAGGCAACTCACTTAATATCAACAAGTCTCAGTTTTTGGAAGAGGTATTGCCACCCTTTCTAGTCTAATAGGGACTAGAAAGGGTGGCAATACTCTTCAAAAACTTCACAAGGAAGTTGTAAGGAATATATGAGATCATCTATATAAAGCCCTTTGTGAACAATAAATCACGATAAACATAGACTTGTTGCATCTATCATATCACTTAGGGTTTTTTTTTTTTCTCTCACAGATTAAGGTAGTTCAAAAAGGAAGCCAGAATTTTCACTTTCTCTTTATTTCTGCTCCCAAAGAACCGTCAATTGCTTAAGGGATTGCTCCCAAAGAGCCTGGAGGTAGAGGACAGGAGGAGGCAGTTGTTTATTTAGTTTTTTGAAATGTTTCCAAGGAGAATGAAAACTAAAATTTGTGTGTGTCCTTTTTCATTTGCCTTCTGTCTAAATTGGAGTGTGGACAAAGGGCAGCCGCTTTGCTAGATGTGGACATTTGCTGAGCAGTATACTGTGCTCCAGTTGCAGGTGGATAGTGCCTAGCACTCCTCATTAGCTCATGGTTCTGCATCACATTCTTCAAAGAGCTGCTAAAGCACCCACACACCACCTGCCTGAGGGTGCAGCCAGGGCTGAGTGACATAGTGTGTGCCTCTCCTGCAGGTGCATTAATAAGGAGCCACAGGGGTTATAAGAGGCAGAGGGCTGAGAAGATGTTTCCTACAAATGGATCCGAAACACAGCCTGTTTGTATATGTGCAATTCATTGGCTTCTTGGAAACAATCCTTTGCCCAAAGTAACAGTTTATAATCGTGAAAATGTGACTAAACTTTAAAAGTACATGAGGAAAAGGACTATTTCTATTTTGCCGAGTCCAAGTTGGATTTGACTTTGGCCTTTCCATATCCCAAATGGTATCCACTGTTTTCAGCATTTTGGCCCTGAGAACAGCTGGTGAAGAAATTGATTGAGCTCAGAACAATCCTTCAGATGTCTAGAATAATCAACCACCTTCCATAATTTCAGTCTTACTAACTACGTGATATGGAGTGCACAGAAATCTGATTGACAACTCAATTAGTCCAAATTCCAGTTTGCTGCCATCCACACATCCACAATGTGCACACAAAGGTCAGCTAGTTTATAGAAGAGAAGAAGAAATGGGAGATTTATAATCGAAGGATTAAAGTCGATCACTAATGATCACTATTTAAACAAGGACCTGCTGTTACTTGTTAAACAAGGAAAGATTTGGAGGCTTCCATTTGTTAATGTCATTCAAACATCTGCTGTACACATTCTACCAATGGGCTATGAGCCACAGAACCCAATTGTGACTGCTGGGAACAGTCAATGGGGCTCAGTAAACTGCCTTGAGGAAATGGTCTGCCACAAACATCTGTAGTTATTCTTCAGCTGAAAGGCCAATATTTCCAGGGCAGCTGGGTCCCTCTAAGTCAGTGATTCATAGCTTCAGCTGCACCCTGCAATCACCTAGGAGCTTTAAAAAGTACTGATGTTCATCTCATCCCCAAGACCCCAGGAACTTCCATTTAATTGTTCTGGGGTGTGACCAGGCACACAGGTGATTCTGATTTTCAGTCTGGTTTGAGAATTCTTGGTCCAAACAGACAGGACTTGGTAGCTGGAAGATGTAACCACCAAGCCTCCCATATAATTTAATTAGCACGGCAAATTTGGGCTCATTTGTTCTGCTGGATTCAGGCACTTCACTGGGCAGTGGAAAATTTCTCACCAATTCACTGCCCTTTTGCCTCCAGCTCACCGTTACTTTTTAAACATCTTATTTCCTTTTGTTATTTTCAGTAACCTTCTGTAATTGCAAAGGCTTTTTAAAAAATGTCTTTTTGGGGGCACTTCAGCATATTCAATTTGGTTTCCTTCATATTTTAGTTTGGCTTCATTGATATTTATTTTTTGTATTCTAGCTGTTTCTTGGATGGTTCTTATTTTTCTACTAGATTCATGTTATTTGCAAACACTATGCACAGAATCACTTCTGGTGAGAAAAGGGACAAGAAGAATAAAGTACTCTTATTTTCCCCATGACCCCACACCCCACAGAGTCACTGAGGCTCCCTTTTGTAGATACTAAATGGGAGAAGCATTAACCAGCTTCACCCATCTGCTAACCACCTTGTGCAAGGTGAGCCTTCTGGTCTCCCTGGAGCATGTACAGTGTGTAAAACCTGAGGTATTATTTAGACCTTGATGTGTTACTTGGCAACAAAAGAGGAAACAAGTATAATTTGTTAGATAATAATCTGGCACAAAAGTGCATACAAAGACAATTAGGAAATGTAAAACACAGATTCGTTTATCAGTTATAAGTATACCCAATGCCCTAAATGAGTAGACACTTAGTATCCACTTTAGCCAATGCAGCCATGATCTCCCTCTCCTTATGTTTCATTGTCTTTTTTATAAGAAGCTGGTGTGCAAGGTTGATTTCAAACCAGTAAATTGCATATGAGACCCAGCAAGCTCAGGATCAAAACACAGGCAAAAAAAATAACAGAGAGATTAGGTATTGAATGCAGGAAGGGGCCTTTTTCTTTTGCTTTTTTGTTTTTTACATCCACTTGACTTTGAACAAAAGTTGTTTATTGTTTTAATAAAACTAGACTCACAAACGTTGCCATGGCATGGACTCTGTCAGCATTTCCATTGTAACCGTTGCTTTTGGGGGGGTTTTAACTCAGCCATAAAACTTCCTCTGGGTTAAAATCTGGCAACCAAAAATAACTTGGAATCTCTAAGACTCAGCCATGAAGGAAATAGTTGTATGTGAGTGTGTGTTTATGTACCTTTTGAAAAAGAAAAAAAAAAGTTCATTTGATAATTCTTAAAGAAACATTGTAAAAATTTTTCCCTCTGACTTTTAAAGTTTTTAATTTTTAAAGCAAAATTTCATCTACACTCCATGAAAGGTACATTCACTTAAAATATTTTACCCTATTCAACATAACATAGAAATATATTTCTCTTTACCTGTTTTTATCTTTTCCAGCTTCCTACTAAATGCACTTATATAGTAAAGAGATTGCAAGTTTCTGTGTTAAATAAATCCAGTTTTATTACTGTATTGTCACAGTTTATCAGTCTTTTTCATAACAGTAATTCCCTTCGCCAAAATCCACAGAGCAGACCATGAAATGGCATGGGCTTTTGAAATCTCCCATCTGCTCAACTTTTCTCATAAACATATGTAAAATGATTAATTAACACAACAAATGAAAAGTCCTCAAAGGATTCAGGAAATGGGCAGGGTGAAAATTGGAAATAATTTGAAAATTCTAGTCTTACTTCTTCTCACTAACTTCATATGAAAACTTGAGCAAGTTTCATAACATCCCAAGAAATTACATTCTTCAAAAGGATGCATTGGGACTGTGTGAGTTCTTGTTGGTCCTACCTTTCTAAGATTTGAGTGTTGTGACATTTGCCATTTTGAGCTTCAATACCAATGTTCAAATATACTTTCTATTTATTGGAAATACCAAAATGGGTAAGAAGCAGAACCTTGCTTGAAGGAAAGGCAGGCAGTTCTAGCAGCTGGGAGAAGGATTGTGATTTCAGCATAGTAAATCAGTGTCTCAAGCCTGGGACTTTGAATCTCTTTAGAGAGTGATGCACAGGTTCAAAGCCATTCAAAGATCACTTGTCACATATATGGCAGCCAAGACTCCAGCATTGCTGTGGGGAGGGTCTAGCACAGCTGTTCCTAGTGGTGGAGTCTTAAACAGACTTCCTAAGATGATCTTGGCCATGCCTTACCTCTCTTTTATCCTACTACTTTCTTGAACATGGTTCCCCAACATCTCCATCAATGCTGTGAGCTATGTGGTATCCTTCTAATACATTCCCTTTTCATTTAACATTACCAGAAATAAGCTGGCATTATTTGTAATGAAGCATCTTAACCAGAAAAAAATAGAACACTTACCAGGACAAATTATTTTCTTTAAAATTCATATAGGATCTTACTTTTTAGTGTGCTCCTTGGATCAACAGCATTGGTATAACGTGGGAGCTGGTTAGAAATTCAGAATTGCCTTCCCATCCCAGACCCATTGAATCAGAATCTGCATTTTCACAAGATCCCAAGATAATCTGTACACATGTTCATATTTAAGAAGCATTAGCCTAGGGTAACCCTCTATTTAAAGCATAAAAATAAGTTTAGCACACACACTAAATTATAGATTATTACTCCTTTAGATATTACTGCCTCAAAATTTTGTTTTAGTTTAATGTCATACCTAGAGCCTATGAAAATGGAACAATAATATTCTTATAGGGAGGACCTAGATATTACTTATGCCTGTATTCTTCTGATAATTTTTCAAAAAGACTAAGCAACAAAGAGTCTGAGACATTGCTAGTGGCATCCAGAATTGAAAGCACCAGGAATCTCATAGAGCAAGTCATGGTAAATCCAGAGAACTGTTGATTTGTGATTTTTACCATCTCTTTGGGTAACCTGGGAAATATATACTTTATCCCTCTAAGACTATTAATAACTCTATGTGAAGTGGGCAATATCACCCTTACTTTAACAATGAGGAAGCTGAGAATCAGGGCGATTTATGTTTCTTGACCAATACCAGCAGGTAGTTCTTAGACTCTGGTCTTCAGACTCCGTGTTCATTTTATTTCATTACCCAGCAGTCTTTCAAGGAAGGCAAGAGGCTGGTGCTCAACAAAGAGCTACAGATAGTTATTGAATATTGAGGGTTGCAAGTTAGATTACATGTTTTAAACAATCCATCTCTTCTACAACATCTTAGTAGGAAGAACAAAAGATTTGGAGTCAAAAGACTTGGATCTTAGCATTATCACACACACTTATCATTCGTGAAACTGACAGTAATTTAGTGTCTAAGCTGACATTTCCTAACCTACAAAAGAAAGATAACCATTGCAGATATGAGAGTTCTGTGAAAAGTACTTTGAAAGAAAAGCAAAGAACTACAAAAATTAAGCTGCAATGCCATTATCAGCTGTCAGGGCTGATGAGCATGGCTTAACAGCAATCTGTGTCTCACAGTTAGAAATGAGAAATACCCCCTTAAAAATGCCATGTGGGAACCTGGAGAAAAGATTTCTAAGCTGGTCCCATCACCAGAAGTGGTTAAATGATCTGCATTTGCTATTTAAATTTTCCAATCTTGCCACTTTTCTGTTTTATCACTTAATGAAAGAGAGGTGTTAAATCAGCTTCTATGCTTGAGAATTTATCTATTTCTCTTTTTAGTTCTGTCAGCTTTTGTGTATATTTTGAGTCTATGTTATTACATGCATTCAAATTTAGAACTGCTATATCTTTCTAGTGGAGTAAACATTTTATCATTATAAAATGCTTTTCTTTTCTCAAATAATATTTTAGCTTAACATCTTGTCTAGCATCAATTTAGCTCTGCTAGCTTTTTAGTCTTTATATGGTGAATGTTTTTCTACCCTTTTACTTTTAGACTTTGCTATGTTCTTATGTTTAATGGTTTGCCTCTTAAAAGCAACATAGAGTTTTTAAATCTAGGCTGACAATCTTTATTTCTAATTTGTTCACTTAATGTAATTACTGGTATATTTTATTTTACATATGGAATCCTATTATTTGTTTTTATTTGTCCCTCTTATTCTAGGTTCCTTTGTATCTTACCTTATGTGTTATTATTTTTATATACAATATTTGATTATATTGTTTTTGTTTTATATTTTATTATTTTGAGATAACATTTTCCACTAGCCTAGTAGTTACTTTACTATTATTTTATGTGTATGTGGTTACTCTAGAGCTGTCGAGTCAAATACAATAGTCGTTAGCCATGTGTGGCAATTTAAATTTAAATTAATAAAACTTAAAGAAAATTAGAAATTCAATTATTCAGTTGCATTAGTCAAATTTAAATTGTTCAATAGCCACATGTGACTTGTGTCAGCATGTTGGATACCACATACATAGAATATAATATTTTTATCATGAAAGAAAGTTCTATTGGTAGCACTGCAGAGATGCCTGAAACAAATTAGTAGTTTCATCACTTTACATTATTCTTCACTCCCTTCCTAAATTGTTTGCTACTATTGTTCCTTTCAATTCAATATGTATTTTAAGGACCACAGACATTATTATGTCTTTTTTTTTTTTTTTTTTTTGAGACAGTCTTACTCTGTCACCCAGGCTGGAGTGCAGATCTCAGCTCACTGCAACCTCCGCCTCCTGGGTTCAGGTGATTCTCCTGCCTCAGCCTCCCTAGTAGCTGGGACTACAGGCATGTACCACCACATCCAACTAATTTTTGGGGTTTTTTGTAGAGATGAGTTTTCATTGTGTTAGCCAGGATGCTCTCAATCTCCTGACCTTGTGATCCACCTGCCTTGGCCTCCCAAAGTGCTGGGATTACAGATGTGAGCCACTGTGTCTGGCCTATTATATCTTTATATAGCCAATATTCACTCAGACTTACCCACATATCTACCTTTTCCATTGCTCTTCTTTCTTTTCAGTATCTCTGAGCTTTCATCTGAGACTATTTCCCTTCGGTCTGAAAAATACACCTAAGTGTTTTATTTAGCCTAGGTATATTGTTAAGAAATTCTCTTAGCTTCATTTGGAAATACCTTTATTTCACCTGTTTGAAGAATATTTTTGCTGGATGTAGAATTCTATTTTCACAGTTATTTTCTTTCAGTGCTTTGAAGGTATGCCATTGTCCTCTGGTTTCCATTTTGTTTGTTGAGAGTTGTTGAAGCCAACTCTCAGTCTATTATTGCTCCTTTGAAGTCCTTCTGTCTTTTTCTATGAATACTTTTAAGATTTTCTTTATTTTATACTTTTAAACATTTGAGTATGCAGTGCCTAAGTGTAGTTTGTTTGTTTAACTATTCTGATATAGCTTTCTAGCACTTCTTAAGTCTGTAGCTGGGTGTCTTTGATAAGTCTTGGAAAATCCTCACTCACTACCTCTTCAACTATTGTATCTGTCCCATTTTTTCTCACACTTTAATTTCTACAACTCCCATTCTATATATGTAAAAACTTTTCTCAATAGCCCTTTTACCTCTAATGCTGTTTTTTAAATTTTCCACCCTTTTTTCTGTCTCTACTTCAGCCTAACTATTTTCTTCCGATCTATCTTCTGACAGTCTAATTCCCTCTTCAACTCTCTCTAATGTGTTGTTATGCCCATCCCATGAAGTCTTAATTTTAGTCACTGAATATTTTTCATTTTGGAATTTTCATTAGCTCTTTTAGTGCTTTTCAGTGTTTTGCTAAATTTCCCAATTATTTTGTATTTTTTAAATTTTTTGAACATATTAAATATAGTTAAAGTACAGGTCTGTTAACCATCATTTAAAAAATGGTTTCTTGGGCCAGGCCCAGGGCCCCTGCTGCTCTGTGCAGCCTTGGGACATGGCACCCTATGTCCTAGGCATGGCTAACAGCAGCCAAAGTATATAGCTCAGGCCACTGTTTCAGAGGGTGCAAGCCCCAAGCCTTGGCAGCTTATAGGTGGTGCTCGGCCTGCAGGTGCACAGAAGTCAAAAATTGAGGTTTGGGAACCTCCACCTAGATTTCAGAAGATGTACAGAAATGCCTGGATGTCCAGGCAGAAGTCTGCTGCAGGGACAGAACCCTCATGGAGAACCTCTGCTGGAGCAACATGGAAGAGAAATGTGAGGTTGGAGCCCCCACACAGAGTCCCCACTGGGACACTGCCTAGTGGAACTGTGAGAAGAGGGCCACCATCCTCCAGACCCCAGAACAGTAGTTTCATCAACAGCTTGCACTGTGTACCAAAAAAGCTACAGGGCACTCAATGAAAGCCCACAAAGGAGCTGCCCAAGGCTGTGAAAGCCCACCCCTTGCATCAGTGTGCCCCATATTTGAAACATGGAATCAAAGGAGATCATTTTGGAGATTCAAGATGTAATAACTGCCCTGCTGGATTTTGGACTTAACGTGGGGCCTGCAGCCCCTTTGTTTTGGACAATTTCTCCCATTTGGAATGGGAACATTTATCCAATGTCTGTACACCCATTGTATCTTGTAAGGAACTAACTTGCTTTTTGATTTTACAGACTTATCGGCAGAAAGGGCTTGTTGTCTCTCAGATGAGACTTTGCACTTGGACTTTTGGGTTAATTCCAGAATGAGTTAAGACTTTGGGGTAATGTTACTGTTGGGAAGGCATGATTATGTTTTGAAATGTAAGAAAGACATGAGATTTGGAGGGGCCATGGGCAAAATGATATGGTTTGGCTCTGTGTTCCCACCCAAATCTCATCTCAAATTGTAATCCCCATGTTTTCTGGGAGAAACCTGGTGGAAGGTGATTGAATCATGAGGGCAGTTTCCCTTATGCTGTTCTCATGATAATGAGTGAGTTCTAATGAGATCTGATGGCTTTATAAGGGACTGTTCTCCCTTCCCTTGCTCTCTCACACTTTCCTGCCACCTTGTAAAGAAGGTGCTTGCTTCCCCTTGCACTCTGATTGTAAGTTTCCTAAGGTCTCTCCAGCCATGTGGAACTGTGAGTCAATTAAACCTTTTTCCTTTATAAACTACACAGTCTCGGATATTTCTTTATAGCACTGTGAAAATGGACTAATACAAGAATGAACAAAACCTCCAAGAAAGATGGGATTATGTAAAGAGACTGAAGCTATGACTGATTGGGGTACCTGAAAGAGATGGGAAGAATGGAACCAAGTTGGAAAACTTACTTCAGGATATTATCCAGCAGAACTTCCTCAACCTAGCAAAACAGGCCAACATTCAAATTCAGGAAATATAGAGAAATCCCAGTAAGATACTCCACAAGAAGATCAACCCCAAGACACATAATCACCAGATTTGCCAAGGTCAAAATGAAAGAAAAAATGTTAAGGGTAGCCAGAGACAAAGGCCAGGTCACCCACCAAGAAAGCTCATCAAACTAACAGTGGCCCTGTCAGCAGAAACTCTACAAGCCAAAAGAGATTGGGGGCCAATATTTAACATTCTTAAAGAAAATAATTTCCAACCCAGAATTTCATATCCAGCCAAACTAAGCTTCCTGAATGAAAGAGAAATAAGATCCTGTTCCAGACAAGCAAATGCTGAGTGAATTTATCACCACAAGGCCTGCACTGCAAGAGTTCCTGAAGGAAGCACTAAATATGGAAGGGAAAATCCATTACCAGTCACTACAAAAACACACTGAAGTACACAGACCAGTGACACTATGAAGCAACCCCATGAACAAGTCTGCAAAATAACCAGCTAGCATCATGATAACAGGATCAAATTCACATATAATAATACTAACCTTAAATGTAAATGAGCTAAATGCTCCATTTAAAAAACACAGAATGGCAAGCTGGATGAACAACCAAGACCCATCAGTATGCTATATTTAAGAGACCCATCTCTCATGCAAAGACAAACATAGGCTCAAAATAAAGGAAAGGAGAAAAATCTACCAAGCAAATGGCAAACAGAAAAAAAGCAGGGTTGTGATCCTAGTTTCTGAAAAAAACAGACTTTAAACAAACAAAGATCAATAAAAACAAAGAAGGGCAGAATTCTCAACCCCAAAACAACAGAATATATATTCTTCTCATTGCCATATGGCACTTACTCTAGAATTGATCACATAATCAGAAGTAAAACATTTCTCAGCAAATGTAAAAGAACTGAAATCGTAAGAGTTTCTCAGACCACAGTGCAATCAAATTAGAACTCAAGATTAAGAAATTCACTCAGAACCACACAACTACATGGAAACTGAACAACATGCTCCTGAATGACTCCTAAGTAAATAATGAAATTAAGGCAGAAATCAAGAAGTTCTTTGAAACTAATGAGAACAAAGACATAGTGTACCAGAATCTGTGGGATGCAGCCAAAGCAGTTTTAAGATGGAAATTTATACCACTAAATGTCCGTATCAAAAAGCTAGAAAGATCTCAAGTTAACAACCTCACATCTCAACTAAAAGAACTAGAGAGCCAAGAGCAAACAAATCCCCAAAACTAGAAGAAGACAGATACAGACACAAAAAACACCCTTCAAAAAATCAATGAATCCAGGAGTTGATGTTTTGAAAAAAAATAATAAAATAGATAGACCACTAGCTAAACTAATAAAAGAGAGAAGAATCAAATAAACACACTCAGAAATTATAAGGGGGATACAACCACTGACTCCACAGAAATACAAGCAACCATCAGAGAATACTATAAACACCTCTATGCACATAAACCAGAAAATCTAGAAGAAATGGATACATTCCTGGTCACATACACTCTCCAAAGACTGAAACAGAAAGAAATTGAATCCCTGAATAGACGAATAATGAGTTTTCAAATTGAGGCAGTAATAGCCTACCAACCAGAAAAAGCCTAGGACCAGATGGATTCACAGCTGAATTCTACCAGAGGTACAAGAAGATCTGGTACCATTTCTACTGAAACTATTCCCAAAAATTGAAAAGGAGGGACTCCTCCCTAACTCATTCTATGAGGCCAACATCATCCTAATACCAAAACCTGGCAGAGATACAATAAAAAAAGAAAACTTCAGGCCAATATCCTTGATGAACTCAATGCAAAAGTCCTCAAAAAAATGCTGGCAAACCAAATTTAGCAGCACATCAAAAAGTTTATCCACCACGATCAAGTAGGCTTCATCCCTGGAATGCAAGTTTGGTTCAACATATGCAAATCAATAAATGTAATTCATAACATAAACATAATTAAAAACAAAAAAACACATGATTATCTCAATGAATGCAGAAAAGGCCTTTGATAAAATTCAGCATCCCTTCATGTTAAAAAACTCTCAATAAACCAGGTTTTGAAGGAATATACCTCAAAATAATAAGAGCCACATATGAAAACCCCACAGCCAATATCATACTGAATGGGCAAAAGCTGGAAGCATCCCCCTTGAAAACAGGCACAAGACAAGGATGCCCTCTCTCACCATGCCTATTCAACATAGCATTGGAAGTTCTGGCCAGGGCAATCAGGCAGAGAAATAAAGCGTATTCAAATAGGAAAAGAGGAAGTCAAATTATCTTTGTTTGCAGGTGACATAACCCTATATCTAGAAAACCCCATCATCTCAGCCCAAAAGCTTCTTAAGCTGATAAGCAACTTCGGCAAAGTCTCAGGATATAAAATCAATGTGCAAAATTTACTAACAGAATAGAGAACTCAGAAGTAAGACCACACACCTACTACTATGTGATCTTTGACAAACCTGACAAAAACAATGGGGAAAGGATTCCCTATTTAATAAATGGTGCTGGGAAAACTGGCTAGCCATATACAGAAAATTGAAACTGGACCCCTTCCTTACACCATATATAAAAATTAACTCGATAGATTAAAAACTTAAATATAAAACCCAAAACTATAAAAACCCTAGAACAAAATCTAGGGAATATCATTCAGGACATAAGCATGGGCAAAGATTTCATGACAAAAACTCCAAAAGCAATTGCAACAAAAGCAAAACTTGACAAATGGGATCTAATTAAACTAAAGATCTTCTGCACAGCAAAAGAAGCTATCATCAGAGTGAACAGACAGCCTACCAAGTGGGAGAAAATTTTTGCAGTCTATCCACCTGACATAGGACTAATATCCAGAGTCTACAAGGAACTTAAATTTACAAGATAAAAACAAACAACCCCATTAAAAAGTGGACAAAGGACATGAACAGACACTTCTCAAAAGAAAACATACATGCAGCCAACAAACATATGAAAAAAAGCTCAACATCACAGATCATTAGAGAAATGCAAATTAAAACCACAATGAGATGCTATCTCACACCAGTCAGGATGGCTATTACTAAAAAGTTAAGAACAACAGATGCTGGTGAGTTTGTGGAGAAATGGGAATGCTTTTACACCATTGGTGGGAGTGTAAATTAGTTCAACTATTGTGGAACAGTGTGGCAATTTGTCAAAGACCTAGAGGTAGAAATACCATTTGACCCAGCAATCCCACTACTAGGTATATATCCAAAGGAATATAAATCATACTATTATAAAAATACATGCACATGTATGTTCATTGCATCACTATTCACAATACCAAAGACATGGAATCAACTTAAATGCCCATAAATGGTAGACTAGATAAAGAAAATGTGATACATGAACACCTTGGAATATTATGCACCATAGAAAGGAATGGGATCATGTCCTTTGCAGGGACATGGATGGAGCTAAAAGCCATTATCCTCAGCAAACTAACACAAACAGAAAACCAGACACCACATGTTTTCACTTATAAGTGGGAGCTGAACGATGAGAACACATGGACACATGATAGGGAACAACACACACTGAGCACTGAGGCCTGTTGGGGGTGGAGGTGGTGGGGGAGATAGAGCATCAGAAAGAATAGCTAATGGATGCTGGGCTTCATACCTAGGTGATGGGATGATCTGTGCAGCAAACCACTATGGCACACGTTCACCTGTGTAACAAACCTGCACATCTGGCACATGTACTCTGAACTTAAAATAAATTAATTCGAAATACAAATTTCAATTTAGTTGATATTGCTGACAAATATTTTAAAGTTTAGCTCTTTTTTTACATATTTGAAATTGCTCTGTATTTTGACTCAAAACAAAATAAAACAAATATACAATAAAAAATAAAAGTTGAAGAAAAAAATAATAAAGTGTACAAAAAAATAGGAAGATGGATATTTCCTTAACATAATAAAAATACTTAAGTAAAAAAAAAAAGAAAATCCCTGGGAAAAATCAAAGAATGCAGATATATAGCAATCATCACTGAACATTAAATTCAGTAACCATGACACACTAATCCACATTCAATTGCAAAGGTTCTTATAAACTAGTTCTATTCTGGCCCATTTGTTTTCTTTTCATTTAATTTCTGTCACCAAACTTCCCCTTATTTTCTTCCAATTTTATTCTACATCTGCAAATTTCATAAGGACAAAGATCATGTTTTCTAGGTTTAGGCTTTCACATACACAGTCTTTTTTTATACACAGTCCTCATTTTGAAGGGAGAGTGAAATTAGGTACTTCTCTGGATTTTTTGTTTGTTTGTTTGGTTGGTTGGTTGGTTTTTTTTTTTGCCTTTAGACAAACAGCCAGGACCAGGTAACTTTCACCTGGAGCTCTTTACCAGCCCTTTTATAGAGTAGGGGTCAGCCTGACATGTTCTCATACATGCTTTCTCCTCCACACAAATCTTTTCCGTTTTTCCACTTCTCCTGCTGCCATTTGGAGTTACTTTCACGTTGTTTCTTTTCCTATATCGTACTGCCACCCTTTTAAACTTAGACCTTCATCCTTGACTAATGTAATAAATCTTTTTTTCCCATTTACATGTTGCCCTGCAGCTATCTTCCCTTCAAGAGGTTTGGGCAGATAGACAGAAACTATTTTACTTCCGCTTTTTGAACCTTTTTCTGTCGTACCTCTCTAGCTCCAAATCTGGGAAATTACAGAATGCTGCCTCCCCTGCAAAATTTCCCAATATATTTAATTCTACATATGTACATTTCCTTAGCTGCTTTCTAGAGCCAAAGTATTATAAAACTTGAGGTGCTCAATAAATATTTGTTGAATGAATATTTTTCATTCACAAAAAGTATATGCTGCCTCTACTGTCCAAGCAGTATTCTAGACAACAAGAAAAGATTTGGACCTAGTCCCTCTAATGCTCACATTTACCTTCACACCTGAAATTTGCCAATATTTTACTCAACTAAATCCTCAATTCTTTTAGCTAAGCCATCTCAAGTAGCCATTGAATTTCTGGATGAGGTACAGTTTCCTGCCTTCGCCTGCACCACAGTATTCTTTCAAAGTATGTCAGCTGTTCTCAATCCTTTCCACAGTTTTTTTCATATGCAATATGTATTGCCCCACTCTTAGCGTTTGTATTATGCACTTTCTTCCTTCTTTCTTCCTGCATTGTTCCCAATACCTCATCTCAGGTGAAGCCCTCCCTACAAATTCATTTGGCTAGAGAGCAGTTCCTCATATGGAATGCAATCTTCTTTTTTCCTATAACTATTGTGTGGAGTCTATTTCTCTTGGAAACTTCCTTTACTTTTTCTGATTACTTAGAAAAATGAGGTAAATAACCAAGTACTGAAATGTTCCTCCTCAACCTATGACTTTACTTTCAATGCCAAGGGAGCATATATGCTTTAAATAAGATCAAATGAGAGAATATGTGTAATAGAACAATTGACAGTAACATGCTATACAACATCAAGTTATAATTATTACCTGATGAGAATAAACCAAAACTCAGGACTTCAGGACTTTCTTCAGGAACCATAATATACGTTTCCCCTAACATATTAGCATTGGGCATACTCACTACAATTACCTGTTATCTAATTGAGAACAGGAGCTTAATATCAGCTAACATTTGTTGAATGCTTGCTAAGTGCCAAGCACTCAATTCCTGTTATACGTATTATCTCATTTACTCCTCACCAAAACTCTAAGATGTAAGTGTAGTCTTCATTTTATAGCTAAGAAAACTGAGGATTACAGAAATTAATAACCTACCTAACATTCTTGAATTGTTAAGTGATAGGGCTGAAATTCAAACCCAGGTGTATTTTTAAATATGATAATAATAAGACCTATACTTTTAATTACTATGTTATAACACTTTAAGGGAATAAACACAGTGGTTAAGTTTTAGAAGAGGAAAGAAGCACAGAGAATTAGACTGGACTAGAAGCATTGGGATCCTGGGAATTACATTCAAATTTACACACATGGAAGACAACATATTCTCACATACACATAAAGTGCTCATCAATCTGCTGAATTTTTTAATCTCTAAAAATAAAACCTCATTTTTAGTATCCATCACTGTAAGCACAATGCTTGACAGGTTGGTATTTTGTTTTGTGCTTACAGTCAGTATAACAGAAAAACAAAAGGAAAAAAACATTTCATTGAAAAAGTACAGTTCATAGAATTATCAACTTTTTAATGAAATTCTCATTAGTCTAAAAAAACACAATGAATAAGTAATATTATGTATTCACAAATTGGCCAGAGTATAAAATTTTATATGGAGAAGGGAAAACCTATAAAGCCTTATCTTCAAATGGCTAAAAGGACAGAAAAATGAGTGATCTTGTTCTTTTTACAATATTTTATTTGTCTACAATGTCTCTGTGAAATAAGATGCAAATCTTGATTTCAAAGTAGAAATTCAAGATCTGACTCAAGAAAAGGTTTATTTAGCCTTGCCTTTAGTAACTGCTTACCATATGGATATTTCATTGTAGTCCCAAGTTTACACATTTTGAACTCACTGGGCTCTGAAGACAGTAAAGGTATATTGATTTTGGCTCAGCATATGTTAGGGGTCCCCAACCCCGGGGCCACAGACTGGTACCGGTTCCTGGCCTGTTAGGAACCAGCTGCACAGCAGGAGGTGAGTGGCAGGCAAGCAAGCATTGCTACCTCAGCTCTGCCTTCTGACAGATCAGCATCAGCATTAGATTCTCACAGAAGCGAAAACCCTATTGTGAACTGCGCATGCAAGGGATCTAGGTTGTGTGCTCCTTAGAAGAATCTGATGCCTGATGATCTGAGGTGGAACAGTTTCATCTCAAAATCATCTCCACCATCTGTGGAAAAACTGTCTTCCATGAAACTAGTCCCAAGTGGTTTGGAGACTGCTGGCATATGCAATTCCTGCTGCAATAAATTTTCATCCAACAAAGGCCACAAAGGCAGCATGAATTATTTTTAAAATAGAGACTGCATGAATACTGATTTCATTTCAAATATTAATATTTTCTAATTATATTAGCTCCAAAACCTTCAACCTATGTGAAATTCCAATTCACAATTAATTTAGAGAGCAAAGATTTAGCTTAAAACTTCTGCCAGTCATTAACCTGGTGTGTTAGACTGTTTTCACGCTGCTGATAAAGACATAACCAAGACTGGGTAATTTATAAAGAAAAAGAGGTTTAATAGACTCACAGTTCCACGTGGTTGGGGAGGCCTCACAATCATGGCAGAAGACAAGAGGCACTTCTTACACGGCAGCAGCAAGAGAGAATGAGAGTCAAAGGGGTTTCCCCTTATAAAACCATCTTGTGAGACTTATTCACTACCACGAGAACAGTATGGGGGAAACTGCCCCCCACGATTCAATTATATCCCACCAGGTCCCTCCCACAACATGTGGGAATTATGGGAGCTACAATTCAAGATGAGACTTGGGTGGGGACACAGTCAAACTGTATCACCTTGCAAGCATAATCTCCAAAAGAACAATCTCTACTATTGTAGAAACAGTCATTCATTTTCCAAGAAAATTGACTCTGTCTTTCAGGTCTTTTTTTTTTTTTTTAAATATAAACAGGGGCCAGGTGCAATGGCTCATGCCTGTAATCCCAGTACTTTGGGAGGCCAAGATGGGAGGATAGCTTGAGCCCAGGAGTTCAAAACCAGCCTGGGCAACATAATGACACCCTGTCTCTACAAAAAAGAAAAAGTAAAAAGAAAACTCAATAAAGACATAGCCTTGCTTGTTGCTCAGACTGGAGTGCAGTGGTGCCATCATAGCTCACTGTAATCTCGAACTCCTACTCCTAGGCTGAAGAGATTTGCCCACCTCACCCTCCTGACCACCTGGGACTATAGGCATGCACCACCATGCCTGGCTCATTTTTTAAAAATTTTTTTGTAGAGAAGGGGTCTCACTAGGCTTCCCAGGTTGGTGTCAAACTCCTGGCCTCAAGCAATCCTCCTGCCAAGGCCTCCCAAAGTGCTGGGACTACAGGTGTGAGCCACCACAGCCAGCCCCTTCTAGTTGTATTGAACCACAGCAGATCTATTTGGTTTTCTAGTGACATTCTTTAGTTTCTTTACCTACAGAAAAAAAAAGTAACTTGGGGTTTAGTTTTGTTTTATTTTTCAATTGACCAGTAAGTTATATATATTTATGGTATACATCATGATGTCTTGATATATGTATATGTTTTACAGTGGCTAAATCAAACTACATATGCATTCCCTTACATACTTTTTTGGTAATAACACTTAAATGGTATATTAATGGTAATAACACAAAATCTACTCACAGTGATTTGCAAGTGTATTATTTTTAAATACAGTCACCATGTTGTACAATATACTTTTTAAACCTATTCCTTCTGTTTAACTAAATTTTCTTGTCCTTTGACCAACATCTCCCCAATTCCTCAAACCATCAACCCCTGTTAACCACCATTCTACTCTGTTTCTATGATTTCAACTTTAATAGATTCCCCCAAGTAAGTAAGATCATGTGGTATTTGTCTTTCTGTGCGTGGCTTATTTTCGTTAACAAAATGCCCTCCAGGTTCATCCAAGTTGTTGCAAATGGCAGGATTACCTTCTTTTTTAACACTGAATAGTATTCCACTGTGCATATTTATCACATGTTCTTTATCCATTCATCTGTTGATGGACACTTAGGTTGATTCTATATTTTGGTTTTAATGATTTATGCTGCAATGAACATGGGATGCCGATATCTCTTCAACATGCCAGTTTTTATATATATATATATAAAGTAAAATTGTTGGATCATATGTTAGTTCTATTTTAAGTTTTTGAAGAACCTCCATACCTTTTTCCATAATGGCTGTACTGATTTACATTCCCATCAACAGTATACAAGGGTTTCTTTGTCTCCACATCCTCACCAACATTTATATTTTGTCTTTTTGATAATAGCCCTTCTGACATGTATGAGGTGATATCTCATTATGGTTTTAATTTGCATTTCTCTCGTGATTACTGATGTTAAGCATTTTATTATATACCTTTCTCCTTTGTAAGTCTTTTTTGGAGAAATGTCTATTTGAGATCTTTGCTCATTTTTTAGTTGGGTTATTTGTTTTGTTGAGTTGTTTTATTCCTTATATATTTTGGATATTAATCCCTTATCAGATGGATGGTGTGCAGATATATTTTCCCATTCCATGGGTTGTCTCTTCACTGTGTTGTTTCCTTAACTGTGCAGAACCTTTTTAGTTACATGTAATCCCATTTATCTATTTCCGTTTTTGTTGCCTGTGCCTTGAGAGTCATATCCAAAAAAAAAATAAAAAATCACTATCCATACCAGTGTCATGAGCTTTTACCCCATGTCTTCTTCTAGTAGTTTTACAGTCTGAGGTTTTATGTTTCTGTCTTTAATCCAATTTTAGTTGATTGTTGTACATGATGTGAGATAAGGATCTCATTTTGGTCTTTCTCCTGTGGATATCCAGTTTTCAGAACACCATTTATTGAAGAGGCTATACCTTCTCCATCCTGTATTCTTGACAGCTTTGTTGAAAATCAATTGATTATAGATGTGTGGATTTATTTCTAGGCTCTCTATTGTGTTACACTCATCCATGGGTCTGTTTTTATGCTGGTGACGTGCTGTTTTGATTACTATAGCATTGTAGCAATTTTGAAATCAGGTACTTTGATGTCTCTGGCTTTATTCTTTTTGCTCAAGATATTTTTTGGCTATTTGAAGTCTTTTGTGGTTCCATACAAATTTTAAAATTATTTTTTCTATTTCCGTGAAAAATGACATTGGAATTTTGATAGAGATTGCACTGAAGCTGTAGATCACTTTGGGTAGTATGGACATTTTAGCAATAGTAATTCTTCCAATTCATGAACACAAGGTATCTTTCCATTTGTTTGTATCTTCTTCAATTTCTTTCATCAATGTTTTATAGTTTTCCGAACAGAGATCAGAGATCTTTCACTTCCTTGGTTAAATTTACTCCTAAATATTTTAATTTTTGTAGGAAATGTAAATGGGATTGTTTTATTTATTTTATTTCAATAATTTTGGGGGTACAGGTGATTTTAGTTTACATGGATAAGTTCCCTAGTGGTAATTTATGAGATTTTGCTGCACCTGTCACCTGAGCAGTGTACACTGTACCCAAGATGCAGTCTTTTATCCCTTATCCCTCCTACCCCCTGAGTCCCCAGAGTCCATTATATTATTCTTACGCCTTTGCATTTTCATAGCTTACCTCCTACTTATGAATGTAAACATATAATATTTGGTTTTCCATTCCATGTTACTTCCCTTAGAATAATGGCTTGCAGCTCCACCCATATTGAGGCAAAACACAGTACTTTGTTCCTTTTAATGGCTAAGTAGTATTTCATGGTGTAATATACCACATTTTCCTTATCCACTTGAAGGATGCCCACCATTACAACTTCTAGTCAACATAGTACTAGAAGTCCTGGCCAGAGCAATCAGACAAGAAAAAGAAATAAAGGGCATCCAAATTTGAAAACAGGATGTCAAACTGTCACTGTTGACTGATGATATGATTATATACCTAGACAACTCAAAAGTCTCATCCAAAAAGCTCCTGGATCTGATAAACGAATTCAGTAAAGTCTCAGGATACAAAATCAATGTACACAAATCAGTAGCACTGCTATACACCAACAACAACCAACCTGAGAATCAAATAAAGAACTCAATGCATTTTACAACAGCTGCAAAAAAAAAAAATATTTAGAAACCTACTTAAACAAGGAGGTGAAAGATCTCTGTAAAGAAAACTACAAAACACTGCTGAAAGAAATCATAGATAACACAAACAAATGGAAACACATCCCATGCTCACGGATGGGTAGAATCAATATTGTGAAAGTGACCATACTTCCCAAAGCAATCTACAGATTCAATGTAATTTCCATCAAAATACCATCATCATCCTTCACAGAACTAGAAAAAAATACTAAAATTCTTATGAAACCAAAAAAGAGCCTGTATAGCCAAAGCAATACTAAACAAAAAGAAAAAATCTGAAAGCCTCTTTTTTCAAGAGTTTGTACAAGATTGGTATTAGTTCTTATTTAAGTATTTGGTAGCATTCATCAGGAAAGTCATCAAGTCCTGAGATTTTCTTTGACAACAGACTTTTTCTTACTGATTCAATATCCCTACTCATTATGTGTCTGATCAGATTGTCTATTTCTTCATGATTTAGTCTTATTATGTTTTATGTGGCTACAAATGTATCCATTTCTTCTAGGTTATCCAATTTGTTGGTGTATAATTTTTCAAAGTAGTCTCTTATGATCCTTTGTATATCTATGTTATCAGTTGTTATGTCTCCTCTTTCATATATGATCTTATTTATTTGAGTCTTCTCTCTTTTTTTCTTAGTCTAACTAAAAGTGTGTCAACTTTGTTTGTTTCTTCGAGAAACCACCTCTTAGTTTTGTTGATACTTTCTATTGCTTTTTCAGTCTCTATTTCATTTATTTCTGCTCTGATCTTTATTATTTCCTTCCTCATACTCACTGGGTTTCATTTATCTTTTTCAAGTTCCTTGAGGTGTAAAATTAGGTTAATTATTTGAAAACATTTTTATGTAGTTTATTGCTATCAACTTTTTCTTATAACCACTTTTGCTGCATCACTAAGTTTTGGTACGTTGTGTTTCCATTTTTATTTGTCTTCGAACTCAAATAAATTAGCAAAAAGAAAAAAACATCAAAACGTGGGCTAAGGATATGAATAGACAATTCTCAAAAGAAGATATACAAATGGCCAACAAACATAAAAAATACTCAACATCACTAATGATCAGGGAAATGCAAATCAAAACCACAATGTGATACCACCTCACTTCTGCAAGAATGGCCATAATCAAAAGAGCAATAAATAATAGATGTGGGCATAGATGTGGTGAAAAGGGAACACTATTACATTGTTGGTGAAAATGTAAACTAGTACAACAACTGTGGGAAAAAGCGTGGAGATTCCTTAAAGAACTAGAAGCAGATCTACCATTTGATCCAGCAATCCCACTCCTGGGTATCTACACAGAGGAAAAAGAAGTCATTATACAAAAAAGATACCTGCACACACATGTTTATAGCAGCACAATTCACAATTGCAAAAATACGGAACCAGCCCAAATACCCATCAGTCAATGAGTGGATAAAGAAAATGTTTTTATATATGTGTATATACCATAGAGTACTATTCAGCCATAAAAGGGAACAAGATAAAGGCATTCAAAGCAACTTGCGTGGAATTGGAGACCATTATTCTAAGTGAAGTAACTCAGGAATGGAAAACCAAACATCATTGTTCTCATCATAAGTGGGAGCTAAGCTATGAGAACACAAATGCATAAGAATGATACAGTGGACTTTGGGGACTCGGGGGAAAGGGTAGGAGCGGGGTGAGGGATAAAAGACTACACATTGGGTACAATGTACACTGCTCTGGTGATGGGTGCCCCAAAAAATCTTAGAAATCCCCACTAAAGAACTTATTCATATAACCAAACACCACCTGTTCCCTGAAAACCTATTGAAATTAAAAATTAAGAAAAACTTTAAAATTTTTTTTTAATTTTTAATTTTTGTGGGTAAACAGTGGGTATAAACATTTGTAGGGTATGTGAGATATTTTGATACAGATATACAATGCACAATAATCACATCAGGGTAAATGAGGTGTCCATCACCTCAAATGTTTATCCTTTCTGTTACAAACAATCCAATTATACTCTTATAGTTATTTTTAAATGTGCAGTTAAATTATTATTGACTATAGTCACCCTGTTGTGCTATCAAATACTAGATCTTATTCATTCTTTCTAACAACTTTTTGTACCCATTAACCAGCTCCATATTCCCCACAACCTCCCACTACCCTTCCCAGCTCTTAATAGGCATCATTCTACTCTCTATATCCATTAGTTCAATTGTTTTAATTGTTAGCTCCCACAAATAAGTGAGAATATGTGAAGTTTCCCTTTCGATGCAGAGCTCATTTCACTTAACATAATGACCTCCAGTTTCATCCATGTTGTTGCAAATGACAGGATCTTATTCTTTTTTATGGCTTAATAGAAATCCATTGTGCATATGTACCACATTTTTTTAATCCATTTGTTCACTGATGGATACTTAGGTTGCTTCCAAATCTTGGCTATTGTGAATAGTGCTGCCATAAACATGGGAGTGCATATATCTCTTTGATAAACTAATTTCTTTTGGGTATGTACCTAGCAGTGGGATTGCTGGATCATATGGTAGCTCCATTTTTGGTTTTTTGAGGAAACTCAAAACTTTTCTCCATAGTGGTTGTGCCAATTTACATTTCAACCAACAGTGTACAAGGCTTTCCTTTTCTCCAAATCCTTGCCAGCATTTGTTATTGCCTGTCTTCTGCATAAAAGCCATTTTATCTGGAGTAAGATAATATCTCTTTGTAATTTTATTTGCATTTCTCTGACGATCAGTGATGCTGAATATATTTTCATATGCCTGTTTGCCTTTTGTATGTCTTCTCTTGAGAAATGTCTATTCAGATTTTTTGCCCATTTTTCATATTTTTCATATAAAGTTTTTAGAGCTCCTTATATATTCTTGTTATTAATCCTTTGTAAGATGGGTAGCTTGTAACTATTTTCTCCCATTCTGTGTGGTGTCTCTTCACATTGTTGATTGTTTACTTTGCTGTGCAGAAGCTTTTAAACATGATGTGATTGCATTTGTCCATTTTTGCTTTACTTGACTATGCTTGTGGGATAATTCTCAAGAAATCTTTGCCAAGTCCAGTGTCCTGGAGCATTTCCCCAATTTCCTTTAGTAGTTTCATAGATAGAGGTCTTAGATTTAAGTATTTGATCCATTCTGATTTGTGTATGTCTCTGGACATACATAAAAGTCTTTAATCCATTCTTGATTTGATTATTGACATATACAAAAGTCAAATCAGAATGGATTTTGTATATGTCAAGATGAGGGTCTAGTTTTATTCTTCTACATATGGATATCCAGTTTTCTCAGCACCATTTATTGAACAGACCATTCTTTTTTTTAATTTATTATACTTTAAGTTCTAGGGTACATGTGCACAACATGCAGGTTTGTAACATAGGTATACGTGTGCCATGTTGGTTTGCTGCACCCATTAACTCGTCATTTACATTAGGTATTTCTCCTAATGCTGTCCCTCCCCCTGCCCCCAACCCCACAACAGGCCCCCAAGTGTGATGTTCCCCACCCTGTGTCCAAGTGTTCTCATTGAACAGACCATTCTTTCCCCAATGTATGTTCTTGGCACCTTTGTTGAAAATAAGTTCACTTTAGACGTATGGTTTTATCTCTGAGTTCTCTAATCTTTTCTATTGGTCTTGTGTCTGCTTTTATGCCAGTACCATGCTGGTTTGACTACTATTACTCTGTAGTATTATATAACTTAAAATCAGGTGATGTGATTCCTCTACTTTTATACTTTTTGCTCAGGGTACCATTGGCTATCCTGGGTCTTTTCTGGCTCCACATAAATTTTAAGATTTTTTTTTCCACTTCTATAAAGAGTGTAATTGGTATTTTGATAGGTATTGCATCGAATCTGCAGATTGGGTACTATGGACATTTTAACAATATTGCTTTTTGTAATCCATGAATATGGAATATCTTTTAATTTTTTGGTGTCCTCTTCAATTTTTTTCATCAGTGTTTCAGTGTTTTCATTATAGAGACCTTTCACTTCTTTGCTTGAGTTAATTCCTAGGTATTTAATTTTATTTGTGGCTATTGTGAATGGGATTACTTTTTAAATTTCTTTTTCAGATTGTTCACTGTTGGCATATGGAAATGCTACTGATATTTTATATCCTGCAACTTTACTAAATTTGTTGATCAATTCTAATAGTTTCTGAGTAGTGTCTTTAGGTTTCTCCAAATATAAGATCATATCATCTGCAAACAGGGACGATTTGACTTCTTTTCTAACTTGGGTGCTCTTTATTCCTTTTTGTTGTCTGCTTGCTCTAGCTACTACTTCCAGTACTATGTTGAATAACAGTGAAAAGTTCATATCCTTGTCATGCTCCAGATCTTAAAGGAAAGGTGCTCAGTTTTTCCCTATTCAGTATGATAGTAGCTGTGGGTCTGTCATATATGGCTTTTATTATGCTGGCATATATTCCTTCTATACCCAGTTTTGCTAGCAAAATGGGGGTTTAATTAATGAGAGAGATTGAATTGTATCAAATGGTATTTCAACATCAATTGAAATGATCTTATGGTTTTTGTCCTTCATTCTGTTGATATGATGTATTACATTGATTGATTTGCATATGTTGAACCATCCTTGCATCCTTGGGATAAATCCTACTTGGTCATGATAAATAAACTTTTTAATGTGTTGTTGAATTTGGTTTCCTAGTATTTTTTTTGAGGATTTTTACATCAATGTTCATCACGGATACTGGCCTGTAGTTTTCTTTTATTGATATGTCTTTGTCTGGTTTTGGTATCAGGGTAATACTGGCTTTGTAGAAAGAGTTTAGAAGTATTCCCTCTTCCACTATTTTTAGGATAGTCTGAGTAGTACTGGTATTAGCTCACCTTTAAATGTTTGGTAGAATTCAGCAGTGAAGCCATTGGGTCCCACACTCTTCTTTGCTTGGAGACATTTTATTACAGCTTTTATATTGTTATTTTTCATTAATCTGTTCGGGATTTTTATTTCTTCATGATTAAATATTGGTAGGTTGTATGTATCTAGAAATTTACTCATTTTTTTCTAGGTTTTCCAATGTATTGGCATATAGTTGCTCATAGTGGCCTGTAATGATTCTTTGAATTTCTGCTATATCAGTTGTAATGTCTCGTTTTTCATCTCTGATTTTATTTATTTGGTTTTTCTCTTTTTTTCCTACTTACTCTAGCTAAAGTTTTGTCAATTTTGTTTCTCTTTTCAAAAAACCAGTTTTTTGTTTCATTGATCTTTTGCATTGTTTTTGTCATTTCAATTTCATTTATTTCTGCTCTGTTCTTTATTATTTCTTTTCTTCTACTAATTTTGGGTTTGGTTTGGCTTTGCTTTTCTAGTTCTTTAAGATGCATCATTAGGTTGTTTATTTGAAGTTTTTCTAGTGTTTTGATATAGGTACTTATAGGTATAAACTTTCCTCTTAGTACTGCTATCACTGTGTCCCGTAGCTTTTGGTATACTGTGTTTCCATTATTGTTTCAAGAAATTTTTCAATTTCTTTGTTAATATCCTTATTGACCCACTTGTCATTCAGGAGAATATTATTTAATTTCCACATGTTTGTATAGTTTCCAAAATTCTTCTTGTTATTGTTCTATAGTTTTATTACATTGTGGTCAATTTTTTGAATGTTTTAAGACTTGTTTTATGGTCTAACATACAGTCCATCTTTGAGAATGATCCATGTACTGGAAGAGAAGAATGTATATTCTACAGCCATTGGATGACATGTTCTGTAAATATCTATCAGGTACATTTGGTCTATAGTGCAGGTTAAGTCTGATGTTTCTTTGCTGGTTTTCTGTCTGGATGATCTGTCCAAGGCTGAAAGTGGAATGTTGAAGTCTCCCCATATTATTTTGTCAAGGGGGTCTATCTCTTCCTTTAGCTCTTATAATATGTGCTTCATATATCTGGATCCTCCAGTGCATATATATTTATAATTATTATATCCTCTTGCTAAATTGACCTCTTTATCATTATATAATGACCTTCTTTGTCTTTTCTTATAGTTTTGTCTCAAAATCTATTTTGTCTAAGTGTAGCTGCTTCTGCTGTTTTTGGTTTCCATTTGCAAGGAATACCTTCTTCCATCCCTTTATTTTCAGTCTACGTGTATACAGGTGAAATGTGTTACTAGTAGGCAATAAATCATTGGTGTTGTTTATTATCCATTCAGTCACTCTTAGTCTTTTGATTGGAGAGTTAGCCGATTTACATTCAATGTTATTATTAATAAATAGAGACTTACTCCTACCATTTTGTTATTTGTTTTCTGGTTATTTTGTCATCTTCTCTTCCTTCTTCTTTTCCTTCCTACCTTTCTTTCAGTGAGGGTGATTTTCTCTGATGGTATGTTGTAATTTCTTGTTTTTTATTTTGTCTGTATCCATTATATGTTTTTTGACTTGAGGTTATGGTTACCACAAGGCTTGCAAATAGTATCTTATAACTCATTATTTTAAGCGGATGAAAACTGAACACTTATTTTATAAATAAACAAGCAAGCAAAAGAAAACTAGTAGAAACTCTACACTTTAAATTCATCTCTCCACTCTTTTTTTCTATTTTTTTTATTATACTTTAAGTTCTAGGGTACATGTGTACAATGCGCAGGTTTCTTACATATGTATACATGTGCCATGTTGGTGTGCTGCACCCATTAACTCATCATTTACATTAGGTATATCTCCTAATGCTATCCCACCCCCCTCCCCCTACCCCACAACAGGCCCTGGTGTGTGATGTTCCCCTTCCTGTGTCCATGTGTTCTCATTGTTCAATTCCCACCACTGAGAACATGCAGTGTTTGGTTTTTTGTCCTTGCAATAGTTTGCTGAGAATGATGGTTTGCAGCTTCATCCATGTCCCTACAAAGACATGAACTCATCATTTTTTATGGCTGCATAGTATTCCATGGTATATATGTGCCACATTTTCTTAATCCAGTCTATCATTGTTGGACATTTGGGTTGGTTCCAAGTCTTTGCTATTGTGAGTAGTGCCTCAATAAACATACGTGTGCATGTGTCTTTATAGCAGCATGATTTATAATCCTTTGGGTATATACCCAGTAATGGGATGGCTGGGTCAAATGCTATTTCTAGTTCTAGATCCCTGAGGAATCACCACTCTGACTTCCACAATGGTTGAACTAGTTTACAGTCCCACCAACAGTGTAAAAGTGTTCCTGTTTCTCCACATCCTCTCCAGCACCTGTTGTTTCCTGACTTTTTAATGATTGCCATTCTAACTGGTGTGAGATGGTATCTCATTGTGGTTTTGATTTGCATTCCTCTGATGGCCAGTGATGATGAGCATTTTTTCATGTGTCTTTGGCTGCATAAATGTCTTCTTTTGAGAAGTGTGTGTTCATATCCTTCACCCACTTGTTGATGGGATTGTTTGTTTTTTTCTTGTAAATTTGTTTGAGTTCTTTGTAGATTCTGGATATTAGCCCTTGGTCAGATGAGTAGATTGCAAAAATTTTCTCCTATTCTGTAGGTTGCCTGTTCACTCTAATGGTAGTTTCTTTTGCTGTGCAGAAGCTCTTTAGTTTAATTAGATCCCATTTGTCAATTCTGGTTTTTGTTGCCATTGCTTTTGGTGTTTTAGACATGAAGTCCTTGCCCATGCCTATGTCCTGAATGGTAATGCCTAGGTTTTCTTCTAGGGTTTTTATGGTTTTAGGTCTAACATGTAAGTCTTTAATCCATCTTGAATTAATTTTTGTATAAGGTATAAGGAAGGGATCCAGCTTCAGCTTTCTACATATGGCTAGCCAGTTTTCCCAGCACCATTTATTAAACACGGAATCCTTTCGCCATTTCTTGTTTTTGTCAGGTTTGTCAAAGATCAGATGGTTGTAGACATGTGGTATTATTTCTGAGGGCTCCGTTCTGTTCCATTGATCTATATGTCTGTTTTGGTACCAGTACCATGCTGTTTTGGTTACTGTAGCCTTGTAGTATAGTTTGAAGTCAGGTAGCATGATGCCTCCAGCTTTGTTCTTTTTGCTTAGGATTGCCTTGGCAATGTGGCCTCTTTTTTGGTTCCATATGAACTTTAAAGTAGTTTTTTACAATTCTGTGACTTTTTGTTGTTTCTGTTTCTATTTTATTGTACTGTCTGTCTTGAAAAGTTGTTGTAGTTATTATTTTTTATCAGTTTATCTTTTACTCTTTCTACTTAAGATATGAGAAGTATACACACCACAATTACAGTGTTAATGATATTTTGTTTTTCTGTGTGCTTACTATTACCAATAAATTTTGTAGCTTCAGATGATTTCTCATTGCACATTAATGTCATTTTCTTTCAGATTGAAGAACTCCATTTACCATTTCTTGTAGGAAATGCCTGGCATTGATGAAATCCCTTAGCTTTTGTTTGTCTGGAAAGGTCTTTATCTCTCCTTCATGTTTCAAGGATATTCTTCCCAGATATAACATTCTTGGATAAAAGTGATTTTTTTCCATCAGCATTTTAAATATTTCATGCCACTCTCCTGGTCTATAAAGTTTCCACTGAAAAGTCTGCTACAAGACATATTGGAACTCCATTGTATGTTGTTTCTTTTCTCTTGCTGCTTTTATCCTTGACCTTTGGGAGATTGATTACTAAGTGCCTTGAATTAGTCTTCTTTGGGTTAAATCTGCTTTGTGTTCTATAACCTTCTTGTATTTGAATACTAATATCTTTCTCCAGTGGGGGAAGTTCTCTGTTTTTACTCCATTGAATAAATTTTTTATCTCTATCTCTCTCACGCACATGCACTTCATTTTAAGGCCATTAACTCTTAGATTTGCTCTTTTGAGGTGTTTTTCTACATATTTTAGACAAGTTTCATACTTTTTTTTTCTTTTATCTTCTTTGACTGTGTATTTTCAAGTAGCTTTCAAGCTCACTAATTCTTTCTTCTGCTTGATCAATTCTGCTATTAAGAGACTTTCATGCATTCTTCAGTATGTGAATTATATTTTTCAACTCCAGAATTTCTGCTTGATTCTTTTTAATTATATCAATCTCCTTATTAAATTTGTCTAATAGAATTCTTAATTCCTTTTCTGTGTTATCTTGAATTTCTTTGAGTTTTCTTAAAAGAACTATTTTGAATTATCTCCTGAGATGTCACATATCTCTGTGTCTCCCTGGTGCCTTCTTTAGTTCATTTGGTGAGGTCCTGTTTTCCTGGATGGTCTAGATGCTTGTAGATGTTCGTTGGTGTCTGGGCATTAAATAGTTAAGTATTTATATTTATTGTAGTCTTTGCAGTCTGAGTTTACTTATATCCATCCATCTTGTGAAGGCTTTCTAGGTGTTCCAAAGGACTTGGGTGCTGTGGTCTAAGTTTTTTATCTCAATAAGAGGCCACTCCAAGCCCATTAATGCTGTGGTTCTTGCAGACTCATAGAGGTACTGCCTTGGGGGTCTTAGGTAAGATTTGAAAGAAGTCTTTGGATTACTAGGCAGAGACTCTTGTTCTCTTCCATTACTTTTTCCCAAATAAATGAAGGCTGTCTCTGTGTGTGTGTGTGTGTGTGTGTGTGTGTGTGTGTGTGTGCGCCTGTGTGTGTGTGTGTTGAGCTGCCTGGAGCTGGGAGAGGGATGACAGAAGTCTCAATGAGACTGTGCCAGGTCAAACCTGACGTCAGAAGTCAGCACAGCAGTGGGCCTCACCTAAGGCCTGTGGTAACCACTGCCTGGCTACTGCCTATGTTTGCTCAAGGTTCTAGGGATCTACCGTCAGCAGGTGGTGAAGCCAGCCAGGCTTGTATCCTTTCCTTCAGGGCAGCGAGTTCTCCTAGCCCTTGGCAGGTCTAGAGATGCTCCCCAGGAGCCAGGACCTGGAGTTGGAATTTTAGAAGTCTACCTGGTGTCCTATTCTACTGCAGCTGAACTGTCACAAAACCACAATATAAAGTCCTTCCCACTCTTCACTCCCACTCCCACAGGCAGAGGAGTCTCTCCCCATGGCCAACACCACAGGCCCAAAGGGAGTACTGCCAGGCTACCACCAACGTTATCTTAAGGCCCAAGGACTCTTCGGTCAGCTTATAGTGAATGTTGCCAGGCCTGGCACTCTCTCTTCAGGGCAGTGGGCTCCCCTCTAGCCCAAGGAAGGTCAAGAAATGCAACAGCCAAGGCTTAAAATCAAGCACTCTGGGAGCCCATTTGGTGCTCTACCCCATTGTGGTTGAGCTGATACCTAAGCTGCAAGACAAATTACCTTTACTCTTCCCTTGGCTTTTCTCAAGTAGAAGGAATAACTCCTCCTAGCCACCACAGCTGTGAATGTGCTGGGTCAGACCTGAAGCCAGTATGTCTCAGAATCTCACCCATGGCCGATGGCATGTACTACCTGCTACTGCTGCTGATTACTGAGACCCAAAGGCTTTTTAGTCTGCAGGTGATGAATCCTGCCAGGACAGGTTCTTCCCTTCAAGGCAGTAAGTTCCCTTGTGGCCGGTGGTGTGTTTAGAAATGTTGTCTAGGAGCTAGAGGCTGGAATGAGGGCCTTACAACTCTGCCTGTTGCCACATCCTAGTGTGGCTGAGCTGATATCCAAGTTGTAAGACAAAGTCCCCTTTACTCTTCCCTCTCCTTTCCTCATGCAGAAGGAAGAAGTCTCTTCTGGACCTGTGAGCTGCACTTCCTGGGGTTGGGAGAAGGATGGCACAAGCACTACCTTAGGCACCCTGGCTGATGTCTCACTAGGTGGTGTGATCACAAGTCCATTGGCTCTGAATCCAGCACAGCCTTAGAATTTGCCTTCTAGGCAAGACCCAATGGACTTGTGATCACACCACCTAGTGAGACATCAGCCAGGGTACCTAAGGTAGTGCTTGTGCCATCCTTCTCCCAACCCCAGGAAGTGCAGCTAGTAGCTATAAAGAGACTTCTTCCTTCTGTATGAGGAAAGGAGAGGGAAGAGTAAAGGGGACTTTGTCTTACAACTTGGATATCAGCTCAGCCACACTAGGATATGGCAACAGGCAGAGTTGTAAGGCCCTCATTCCTAGGCAATACCATTCAGGACATAGGCATGGGCAAGGACTTCATGTCTAAAACACCAAAAGCAATGGCAACAGAAGCCAAAATTCACAAATGAGATCTAATTAAACTAACGAGCTTCTGCACAGCAAAAGAAACTACCATCAGAGTGAACAGGCAACCTACAGAATGGGAGAAAATTTTTGCAATCTACTCATCTGACAAAGGGCTAATATCCAGAATCTACAAAGAACTCAAACAAATTTACAAGAAAAAAACAAACAACCCCATCAACAAGTGGGCAAAGGATATGAACACACACTTCTCAAAAGAAGACATTTATGCAGCCAAAAGACACATGAAAAAATGCTCATCATCACTGGCCATTAGAGAAATGCAAATCAAAACCACAATGAGATACCATCTCACACCAGTTAGAATGGCAATCATTAAAAAGTCAGGAAACAACAGGTGCTGAAGAGGATGTGGAGAAACAGGAACACTTTTACACTGTTGGTGGGACTGTAAACTAGTTCAAACATTGTGGAAGTCAGTGTGGCGATTCCTCAGGGATCTAGAACTAGAAATACCATTTGACCCAGCCATCCCATTACTGGGTATATACCCAAAGGATTATAAAACATGCTGCCATAAAGACACATGCACATGTATGTTTATTGCGGCACTATTCACAATAGCAAAGACTTGGAACCAACCCAAATGTCCAACAATGATAGACTGGATTAAGAAAATGTGGCACATATACACCATGGAATACCATGCAGCCATAAAAAATGATGAGTTCATGTCCTTTGTAGGGACATGGATGAAGCTGCAAACCATCATTCTCAGCAAACTATCGCAAGGACAAAAAACCAAACACCGCATGTTCTCACTCATAGGTGGGAATTGAACAATGAGAACACATGGACACAGGAAGGGGAACATCACACACCGGGGCCTGTTGTGGGGTGGGGGGAGAGGGATGGGATAGCATTAGGAGATATACCTAATGTTAAATGAAGAGTTAATGGGTGCAGCATACCGACATGGCACATGTATACATATGTAACAAACCTGCATATTGTGCACATGTACCCTAAAACTTAAAGTACGATAAAAAATAAAAATAAAAATAAAAATAAAAAAAAAAGAATTTGCCTAGGAGTTGAAGTCCTTGTGGCCTAGGACTGCCTGTCAAGTTTATTTAGAACCTCAAAGCACTGCAGCCTGTGGTGGCAAGGCTTGGGGAAAATGGCCCATTTCAGATTTCTGTTTGATTACATGGTGCCTAGAATGAATGACTCCATTTGAGTTTGATGTGGTCTACTGAGGCCTAGAGTATGAGCTCAGTTCAAACAGTGGCCTCCCATAAACTCTATATAACACATAGAATATCTTTTTCCACCCTTTTAGTTTCAATCAATGTATGTCCTTAAAGGTGAAGTGAGTCTCCTGTAGGCAGCACATAGTTGGGTCTTGTTTTTTTTAATCCATTCAGCTACTTAAGTCTTTTAATTAGAGGATTTCATCTATTTACAGTCAAGGTAATTATTGATAGGTAAGAACTTAATACTGCAACTTTGTTAATTGTTTTCTGGTTTATGTTTAAATCCTTTGTTCCTTTCTTCCTCTCTCACTGTCATCCATTGTGATTAGATAATTACCACTAGTGGTATGGTTTGATTCCTTACTTTTTATCTTTTATATATCTACAGATTTTTGCTTTGTGGTGACCATGAGTCTTACATGAAACACTTTATAGTTATAACAACCTATTTTAAGCTGATGATGACCTAACTTTCATTGTATAAAATAACTCTACACTTTTATTTGACCCCTTTACCCACATTTTATGTTTTTGATGTCACAATTTGAATCTTTTTATATTGTATACACCTTAGCAAATTATTATAGCTATTATTTTTAGTACTCTTGTCTTTAACCTCCATACTAAAGATATAAGTTATTTGCACACCATCATTTCACTATTACAGTATTCTGAATTTGATTGTGTATTTAGTTTTACCAGTGAATTTTATACTTTCATGGCTTTGTACTACTAATTAGTATTCTTTTCTTTCAAATTGAATAATTTATCATTTTTTGTAAGACAGAGTTGATAGTGATTAACTCTCTCAGCTTGTTTATCTGAAAAGTCTTTATCTCTTCTTTATTTCTGTGGAACAGCTTTGCCAGGTCCAATATTCCTAGTTGGCAGGTTTTTTCCTTCAATGACATGTTTTCCTTTGAACATATGATCCCATTCTCTCCTAGCCTGTAAGGCTTCTGTTGAGAAATCCACTGCTAGCATTATTGGAATTCTATTATATGTGATTTGCTTCTTTTCTCTTGGTGCTTTCAGGATTCTCTCTTTGATTGTGATTTTTAATGGTCTGATTATATGTTTCAATGTAGTCTTGTTTGGATTGAATCTGCCTAAAGACATGACCTTCCTGTCGCTAGATATTTATATATGTCTCCAGATTTAGAAAGTTTTCTTCTATTATTTCTTTAAGTAAGTTTTCTGTCTCTTTGTCTTTCTCTTCTTTTTTAATTCCTATAACTCAAATATTTACTCTTTTGATGCTGTCCCACAAATACTATAAGCTTTCTTCATTCCTTTTCATTATTTTTTCATTTTTCTCTTCTGAGTGTATATTTTCAAATAACCTATCTTCAAGTTTGCAGATTTTTTCTTCTGCTTGCTCAATTCTGCTGTTGATGCTATTTAATTTCTCATTGTATTCATTGTATTTTTCAGCTTCATAATTTGTTTGATTTTTAAATATTATTTATATCTCTCTTAAATTTCTCATTTTGGTCATTTGTTGTTTTCTTGATTTTTTCAAATTGTTTGTGTGTACTTTATTAATGTTTATTGAACTTCCTTAAAACAATTATTTTAAATTCTTTGTCAGGCAGTTTATAGCTCTTTTTTTCTTTGGGTCAGGCACTGGGAGATTATGATATTCTTTTCATAGTGCTGTGTTTCTTTGGTTTTATGTTTCTCCTAGCTTTATGTTGATATCCATGTGTTTGACGGAGCAGTCACCTTGTGCAGACTTTATGAGCTAGTTTCACTATGAAAGACCTTCCTCTCTGGGGGACGGCATGGATAGGATGCAGCAGTTCTGGCATCAGTGAGGGTGCCAGCTGTGTTGTGTCTGTGCAGCTCTGTCATCTTAGGTCAGTGTTGGTGAATATTGCAGGGATCCTCAGTATCCAATACTGTGGATATCTGCAGTGACAATGAGGGTTGCTGGGGCCTTTGGTGGTGATGGCTGCAAAGATCCTCTCAATCTATTTTTCTCCCACTGGGGAAGTTGTGGCTGAGGGAATCCCTCTTGGCACTGGGTCTGTTTTGTGGACTTGTTTGCAATGTCTGTGGTACCAGTGACTGATGAGTGGCATCAATACAGTAAACTTGGAAGTCAAGGTCTGAAGCACAGGCACATGTGGACAGACTATGGCTCTGGATTCTCGAACAGTCATGGCACTGGTGTCTGGGGTACAGGCACCCCACCCCCACTGTTGCATTGGTAACAGTGTGTGAGGTCCAGGTGATTGTGAAGCAGACAGAGGATCCTCTTCACCCTGTGTTCAGTTCAAGAAATGAATCACCACAAACTTGCATATCTGCATAAATAAAAGTATCTGCCCTAGGCCTAGGCACAGTTGATATTATTTTGGTCATTTCAACACAGATTTACACACCTGAATTATGCTATCATCTATCCCTAGGTCCTTTCTTTTTCTTGCCTCTTTATTCCCCAAAGTCAATTCATAAGCCAGTTCTGTCACCTCTACCACTAAAGCAAGGAATCAATAAACTTGAAGGTACAAAAAATTGTATCTTTATGTTTGGTAGTTTTTCACTGAAATTTTAATATTTCCTTCCAATATAAAAGTTGGCAAAATAGATGAAATGCCTTTGACTTCATCATCAACAGAATTCACAGATATTCTTAATAAAATTACGATTTCAGCACTGTTATAATGATTCTTGTCTTTATCATGGCTTTGAAATAACAGTGGTTATCATACACACTATTAATTATTGTTATTTAACGTGTGACTAAAGGAGTGCATATACTAATATTTCCAAATTTGTTTTTTAATATTTTGATAACTACATTTCAATGCAATTGGATTATTTGACATTTTATTTATTTTATGTTATGCATTTTAAAATGGTACTCTGAAAGAGTTTTACAGGCTTCACCAGACTGCCAAAAGAAAAAAAAAAAAAAGGTATCTTTATTACAGCTTTTCTTTTTTTTAACACATAACCTTCAGCCTGAATCACAGTGATAGCTGGGTTTTCTGCTTCCTGTTCCCACCCTTGCTCTTCTAAAATCCATTTCCATAGAACAGCCAGGGTCACATTTTTTTAATATAAATTAAGTGGCATTGCTCTCCTGCTTAAACCTTCAAATGGCTTCCCAATGCACTTGAAAAAAAAATCTTCACAGTGACCTCCAGGTCTTATAGAGCATCAGACTCCTGTCTATCACTTCTGCTTAATATCAGCCTTCTCCCACATTCAAAATGGTCTGGCTTCTTTTTTTTTCTTCATTAACCATCTCAAGATCTATTCCATTGCAAGATGCTTTCCTTGCTGTCTCATGTGCCTGGATTTTAGCTTGCCTAACTGTTTCTCAACACTCAAGTCTCAGTGCCAATATCAATCCTTTAGAGAGGTCCTCCTTGAAACTATTGTTAAGACCTATGCCACTCACACACAGGTGCTGCCCCAATACAGTGTTCTTTTCTGCAGATTGCTTGTATATATTTGAAATTACACTCACTTATTTACTGTTTGGCACTCTAGGCAGAACATATTCTCCCAGAAGTCAGAGATATTGTGTCTTTCTTCCTTTTCTCAAGCTACGCCTAAATATGGTGTAATTTCCATGCATGTAGTGTGAAATGTATGAATGAAATGAATAAATTCTAGCTGTAAGCCTTAAGAAGTTGTATGCAATTCTAAAACAACAAATTCAAAGAAATAAATCCTCTCTCTACGATAAGTGACTAGAAGGCAGGCATCTGAAATAGAATCTGTGTGTGCTTGTCTGTATGCTTGCCTTCTAAGGTTACCTGCTTTTACTCTAAAAGTGAATGGTCCTCCTTGTTAGGTAATTTGTTAGGACCTACGTGTTGTTGAACCAAAGACATAAACCAGCAGAGGGTGTGCTTGGACAGGCTGCAGTTCTGAAAATAAAACTCATTTGTATGGCAAACAAGAGAAAAAGCAATGTATGTTTGGAACAAAGATCTGCAGTGCAAAGGCTTGACTAAACTTTATAGTAAACAGAATTGCTTAAATAAATCAATTATATGTTGATATTACATATTCTATGCTTAATCTTCTTTTAATTAGTTTAGACTGTGTCGCTGTACTTTTATCTCTCAAAATGTTACAATGTATGAATGAGCATGTAAAATATCTTTGCACATCAATTATACCAAATCACGGAAGAGTTGCATTCAGGTAAAATAGACGTTTCTCAGTTTTATACATTTATGCAAGTGAGGAATCGAGCTCATATTTAAGCCTCATGTATATTATTCTTTAGAATGTACAAATATTGTGTAACAGATTTATCTGTCTACTTAAAATCAGTATCAAAATATCATTATGTTCCCAAATACATACCAGCACTGGCTGGGAAAGAAGGCAAGTAAGTAAATAACTTCAGATATAGTGCTGGGGTTTTACTAATAATTTTCCATTCAATTCTCACAAATCCATAGAATACAGGTATTATTATGCCTATTTTATAGATGTTAAACTAAGACTCATGAAAATTGCTCAAGCTAATGCTAGTCTTTAGGAGAACTGAGATTCAAATCCAATCCACCTGTCCTTCCCACCACAGCATAGAACTAATACTGAATTCCATTAGATTTCAGGCACACAGAAACACTGGTTGCTTGCAGTAACATAAAAATTAAAGTGATGATAAAAGGAAATAGTCCATGATAGATCTAAGTCAGGGATTGAAAAAAAAATGGCACAAGTGCCATTTCCCTTTTCTTTGCCTATTTCAAACATGGCTAATCATTCAAAACACTTCTTTCTCCACCAAATTCAGATACAACCTCAAAATCTTCCTGAATGTAACATGCAAAATGGCTCATTAACAATCCCTTGAAAAAGACACAGAGAACTGAAATATTAATATTTGCCATCCATCTTCTAGGACTGCAGATGACTTTTTAAAGTATATGTTTACGCTTTTTAAAGTATATATACATATATTGTATATATTATATACAAAAATTGGACATACATCACAAACAATTGAACTCACTGCCATTTCACCCATATTGACTATTTCTTACCAATACCTTCCAATGCTTCACCTCACTCAACTTGCAGAAAAACACTAGATTTGTAATTAAACCATTTGTTGCATATAAAGTAACTTTTTTAAATGTGTAGTGCTATCATTACTTATCTAAACAACCAAACAATCTAGCATTCCTGAGGACTGAAGTACTCAATATAAACATATTCTTCAAAAAGTTAAGGTTTATAATTTTCAAGACTAATATTCAATTTTGAAAGACACCATTATAAAATGTATTATACTTTCCCAACTTATTAAACAGAATGTATACTGTGCATACTTTTTTCTTTGACATGAATTAAATTCAATATTATAAATGGCATAGTTCATACATGTTTACATACAACATTATTTAATATTCTTTACCATTTGGCCATCAACTGTCAGGTCTTACTATTATTATTGCTTTGAGAAAGAAAAGAAACTTTTATCTGAGGAATGCAAGCGCTTTTTAAATTATCAGGCCAAGAGAAGCACTGGAATGACACAGCAGTCACATCTCAACCCCTCTAACCCCACACACCCCAAGTAATTTCCTGAAGTCACTTGCTATTAGGACTCTAGACTGACTGATGCCAGTAGGTAGCTATAAATTGAACTAGTATCATTGCATGCTGGACATTGATCATCTCTTCTAGATGATCACTTCTAACTAGCTTTTTAAGAATTGTATATAAAAAGAAAAACAGATAATCTGAATGAGAATCTGAGGGTCTCTCCATAGAGAAAAAGAAATGCATGACTTCCATACGGGGATTTTATAATAAATATTTGAGATACTCAGAGTCTAGTTTTGTTTCCTTTTGGGGTCTTAGTTTATATTTTGAGGAATTGAGGGCAAATACTATTTCATGCTCTGGATTACTGATCTAAAGAAGGTTAACTTATAATCTTTTAATTCAAAAGAAAAGAAAGCCATGTATTTGAAAGTCATTAATGGTTTGAATTACCCCACAAGGAAGCCCAGTAATGGAAAGAGATTGTGAGAGGGCATCAGGGAATCTGGAGTTGGCTCCAGGCTTCACTACCAACCAATGGAGTGACCTTGAACAAGCCATTATACCTCTCTGGACTTCTGTTCTTTTCTTATCTAAATAGTCTATGTGTTCTCCAAAGTCTCTTCTAATTCTAAATTGCTCAAAGCCTATAGGAAATAAACTACATATTTCTTTTTATTGTCATCCAGAGACTCTTACCAAGTCTAAATTTGATAAAGTTCGGTTTCACATATCCCCATGCACCTAAAACTGGGAAATTCCTTCCTCTCAATCCATCAGAACATATCTTAAATAATGTCTTCATCCAGACATAAAGATATTTATTATGCTCAAAGATTCCAATAATGAAGCATGCATTCTGGAATGTGAGTTTCTTCACTGCTTCTATTCTGCTCCCCCTCAACCAGGCTTGTTTTGAATAGGACAAAGGCAGAGAAAATTACAGGCTACAAGACACGTAGATTAAATCTCCCTGGGTCTTTAATTCAGGCAAAGTGAAGTTACCAGCAATTGATTCCATTGATTCCATATACATACTCTTTAATTCTTAAAGAAAGAAAAAGTAATTAAAAATTCACTTGTGCACAGAGATTTGTATACACAGATGTAGTATGAACTAATTCTGATTTTTTAAAAGTTTGACCTGAAGCTAATTGGAGTTTATTTTATATTAAAAAAAAAAATAAAGACTGAAACCACCTGATAAGGTTTTGCTCTGTGTCCCCACACCAATCTCATGTCAAATTGTAATCCTCATGTATCAGGGGAGGGGACTGGAGGGAGGTGACTGAATCATGGAGGTGGACTCCCCACTTGGTGTTCTTGTGATGGAGTTCTCATGAGATCTGGTTGTTTGAAAGGGTGTAGCATTTTCCCCTTTGCTCTCTCTCTTCTCCTGCTCCACCATGGTAAGATATGCTTGCTTCCCCTTCGCCTCCTGCCATGATTGTAAGTTTCCTGAGGTCTTCCAGCCATGCTTCCTGTACAGCCTGTGGAACTGTGAGTCAATTAAACCTATTTATAAATTACCCAGTTTCAGGTAGTTCTTTACAGCAGTGTGAGAATGAACTAATACACTGCTTTTGTAAAAATTATAACAGTGAGAAAATGATGACTGTGAAAGAGATCTGATCTAACCAACCCCCATCTTGCCTTTACCCTCTAAACTTCCCCCTCCTAGGCTTAGGCCAAGTTAACCTGGGGAGAAATTTAGTTTATAGTTTAAATGATAATAGGCCTTCCCAAAACTAACTCACTTTCGTAAAGCTAATGAAAGACCACTAGGTTAGGAGGCTGAGAGGAGCCTGAATTCAGCTAAGGTGTAGATGTAAACAATTACCAGTCATTGTTTCAGAGTTCACAAGATTTGCAACTTCCCCAATTACTCCTGCAAATAACATCACTATTGTAGAACCTAAGATTGGTCTTTTGAGATGTCTTTTCAGGTTTTTGCATTTCTAATGCCCAATGGCTCCACCCAGACCTGACAACTGGTCCTGTGGTCCAACCCAAAACTGAACTCTGCCTACATGAGGACCATTTTCCACACCTGTATGATTGCATCCCCATACAATCAGCAGCACCCATTCCCCAGCCATTCCCCTCCCCACAAAACTATCATGGAAAAACTCTAACCTCTAAATTTTGGGGGAGGTTGATATGAGTAATAATAAAACTCCAGTCTCCCGTTCAGCCAACTTTGGGTGAATTAAGCTCTTTCTCTATTGCAATTCCCTTGTCTTGATAAATTGGCTCTATTGGGCAGCAGGCAAAATGAACTCATTAAGTGGTTACAAGGCTTGCTAAGAACATTAATGATTCAGTCAAACATACTTGCAAGGAAATGTTTAACCTAATTTAAAAAATAAGTCTCAAATCTTCTAGCATATTAATTTTAATTACAAATAAAATGTGAGTAATTAAAAAATAATACTGTTTTTTTAAATGCCCTTTACATGAAATTACTTAATTATTCATTCTTTTGAATTAAGGGAGGAGACCACTCCTCACATTGTCTTATGTCCAATTTCTGCCTCCAAAGAAAGAAGTAGTAAAAACTAAAAGGCAGAAATGGAATCCACAGGCAGATAGCCCAGCATCGCGCTCTGGGCCTGGTAGTTAAAAATCAACCCCTGACCTAATTGCTTGTGTTATCTATAGATTTCAGACATTGTATAGAAAAGTATCGTGAAAATCCCTGTCCTGTTCTGTTCCGTTCTGATCACTGGTGCATGCAGCCCCCAGTCACATACCCCCTGCTTGCTCAATTGATCATGACCCTTTCACGCAGACCCCCTTAGAGTTGTAAGCCCTTAAAAGGGACAGGAATTGCTCACTTGGGGAGCTCGGTTTTTGGAGACGTGAATCTGCCGATGCTCCCAGCTGAATAAAACCCTTTCCTTCTACAAGCTGGTGTCTGAGGGGTTCTTGTCTGTGGCTCGTCCTGCTACAGAATGACTATTTTTTTGTATTGGATAATTCTATATATTTGTAATAATTTAAATTTTTCATTTCCAACTAATTTAATGTAATAAAAAATAGAAAATTTGGAAATCACGTATGCAGATTCAATTGAGCAAATGGTTTTGATCAGAGTATTCTCTCCTGGAGAAATTAAAAGCCAGCAAGTTTTATATTTTATTTCTCAAATTTTCAGATATAAAACAGTGTCTAGTAAATAATAGGACCTTAATAAATATTCATTGAATTATTGATTGAATGAATGAATTTCCCTGCATTCATGTAGATGTCTTTAGTAATAAATTAAAATTACAGATCCAGAGATTTGGTATGATTGCATCAGTTATACCATACTCTAGCAAAGTATATGAGGGCCAAGGTTCTTGGCTCCCTAAAGGTTCACTGAAAAACCACTGACTTGGGGCAGATTGACTAACAGAAGAAAACGCAGACAAATTTATTTAACATGTATTCATGGGAGCCTTCAGAATGAAGACTCAACTTCCCAAATAGGTATAGAAGCTTACATGTCATATGAGATTACAGGGAGAATAGGGACTTGGATCCTGTTGAAACAGGTTATGGGAGGAAGAAGAAGAGGAATTATATTGAGAGGCCATAATGATTACTAGGGAGAATGACTGGATAGGAAACAAAAATTAACTTGTAAATTGTTTTTGGATATAAATGATCTTTGGACAGCCAGATGCAGTGGCTCACACCTGTAATCCCAGCACTTTGGGAGGCCGAGGTGGACAGATCACCCGAGGTCAGCAGTTCAAGACCAGTTGGCTAACATGGTGAAACCCCGTCTCTACTAAAAATACAAAAATTAGCTGGGCATGGTGGTGCATACCGGTAGTCCCAGCTACTCAGGAAGCCAAGGCAGGAGAATCGTTTGAGCCTGGGAGGCAGAGGTTGCAGTAAGCCAAGATCACGCCACTGCACTCCAGCCTGGGCAACAGAGTGAGACTTGGTCTCAAGAAAAAAAAAATTAAAATTAAAAAATTAAATGATCCTTGGAGAGAGTCACTATCTTGAAAAAAGATCTGTTCCAGTGTGGTCACATCTTGGTCTTCATCTCTGCAATAGATTATGAAATAGCAGGGAGGGAAAGAAAAAACAGTTGTTCTCCTTGGTAAGTCTGGATCTTAGGTAGATAAAAGAATTCACCTTCTATGGAAGATATGGTTGGGGGTGGGAATCATGGTTGGGGGCAGGGATCTGACAGACCTTGTGGCTTCCTCAGCTCAGCATGTTGAAAAACCACATTTGGTGGTATTGGTTTCTAAGCCCAAACAAGCAGGACTATTTTTATTGAAATAGAAGAAAAAGGAAACAATAGAATTTGCAAATGGCACTAAGTTATTGTAGAATAAATGAAATTACGTGAAATTTAAAAGAGCATATACTCTGGAATTAGAAAAAACGGAGTTTAAATAGCAATCTCACCAGTTTTTAGCTGGGTTACCTTAAACCAGAAAATGAACCAATGACATATTTTCTGTAATAAATTGATAATGAATAAGTATTTCCTACCTCATAACATTACTATAAAAAATATTAAGAAACTGTAAACCAAAAAGTATCTTAGACAAATCTCAATCAACTTAAAAGTTTCATTTGCCAAGGTTAAGAACATGCCTGTGGCCAGGCACGGTGACTCATGCCTGTAATCCCAGCACTTTGGGAAGCCGAGGTGGGTGGATCACCTGAGGTCAGGAGTTTGAGACCAGTCTGGCCAACATGGTGAAATCCCGTATCTACTAAAAACAGAAAAATTAGCTGGGTGTGGTGGCATGTGCCTGTGGTTCCAGCTACTCAGGAGGCTGAGGCAGGAGAATCACTTGAACTCAGGAGGCAGGGGTGCAGTGAGCTGAGATTATGCCACTGCACTGCAGCATGGGCAACAGAGCAAGACTCCCGGAAAAAAAAAAAAAAAAAAGAACATGCCTGTGACACAGCCTCAGGAGGTCCTGAGAATGTATGGCCCAGGTGGTTGGGCTACAGCCTGGATTTGAGGGACTAAGGGGCTAGGTTGGCTGGACTTCCTGGGTCAATAGGGACTTCCCTGAGGAGACTTTTCCCCTAAGCCAAAATGAGTCATAGCTGCAAGCTAAGGGATTGAAACTTCAACCAATCATATAGGGAGTTTAAGCTCTAGCTGCCGCCTGATGTTTTTAACCAATCAGGCCTGCCAACCCACAAGTGGATAGAAAATAAGCTAAGTCTATAGGACAGAAAAAGGAAACGGGAAGAGGTCATAAGGGGATATAAGCATAACTCACCCAAGCCAGAAACGGCAACCCTTACCGGTCCCCTTCCACGGTGTGGAAGCTTTACTTTGGGTTCCACTTTACTTTCACTTTTGCTTTAATAAATCTTGCCGGCGCACACTTTGGGTCCGTGCGTTTCTCTAATTGAGCTGTAACACTCGCTGCTGCGGTCCACGGCTTCATTCCTTGAAGCCCGTGAGACCACAAGCCCTTTGATCGAGAAAAACATTCGATCGGAAGAAGACTTCTCATCTCAGTTTTATACATTTTAGAGAAACATAAGACATCAACCAATACACTTCAGATATACATTGGTTCCAGGTCATAGGTGGGTTCAAAGATTTCCTGATTGGCAATTGGTTGAAAGAGTTTATCTAAAAACCTGGAATCAATAGAAGGGAAGTATGGGTTAACATAAGGGATTGTGGAGACCAAGGTTCTTATCATACAGATGAAGCCTCCAGGTAGCTGGCTTCAGAGAGAATAGATTGTAATGTTTCTTAACTTAAAAAGGTACCAGACTCTTTGTTAATTCTCTCCTGTGTCAGGAAAAGACCTGGAAAGGAAAAGGGATTCTCTACAGAATGTAGATTTTTCCCACAAGAGACAGATTTGCAGGGCCATTTGAAAATATGTCAGATAAATAGATTTTTGGGTAAAATATTTCTGTTTCTTTGGGCCTGCTATTCATCATATTGGTATCTTATTGCTACAAAGAGCCTGCTTTGTCAGTCTTAATGTCCCGTTTTAATGTTAATGCTGGTCAGTTGTGCCTGAATTCCAAAGGGAGGAGAGTATAATGAGGTATGTATGTCCAACCTCACTTCCCATCATGGCCTGAACTAGTCTTTCAGATTAACTTTGGAATGCCCTTGGCTGAGAAGAGGGGTCCATTCAGTTAGTTGGGGGGCTTAGAATTTTATTTTTGGTTTATAAAACCTATGTGGATACCTCCAGTGAAAGCAAAGAAAAAAGTGTTCTGTGGCATGCAAAAAGTATTTGCTTATATAATTCAAAATTAGTATAGATTAGCATTATATTAGCATGTGCTCTTAGCAATATAAGCAAGCTAAAATTAGTGGAGAAGAAATTGTCATATATACTTGAAACATTAAAACATATACACTTGATACAAATACTACTAAATAAATAAATAAAAGGAATTTTCTTCTATCTGCTACTAAAATTTTAGAAAAAATAATTAACAATGTAGATAATACCACTCTGATGACTTCAGATGCAAGGAAATTATGATGAAACCAATTATATTCATAGTTTTTTCTTTTTATTTTTTATTTCTCTTAATGTAAAAAAAATTACAGATCTTGTATGATTTTTTATATTACTAAGCTATAAACACCTCTTCTATTATAAGCTCCATGACAATTTTTGCTGGTATAGTTCCTATACCAAGAAGTATACCTGGTACATCCCAGGTACACAAGAAATATCTGTTAAAGGAATGGCATGGAATAAGGTAATCCTATATATTCATCAGTTCATAAAATCCAATAGTGTTTCCACATATGCATATACATTATACAACATTAAATGTTCGTGTCTTTCTAGTGGATTTTGATGTTAATTAGAAAAATACAGATTCAGGCAGTGTCTACTCTATAATTAACCTGAGCTAATTTGACAAAAGAAAGTAGTTAGTCCTGGTAGAAACATTTTAATGGTCCTTTTCATTCAAAATTGTTAGTTCATTTCTGAATCCACACAAGGTACCCACTTGGGACCTAGGCTCTTTCTAAAGAATTCTTCCAGGCTGTGGTTTCTTCATCGAGTTTTGTTGCCTAAGTCTCCCCAGCCATTAGAATGCAATCTGGCTTCTGATTGCTTTCCCTGGCTTTGATCTACAACACTTGGAGACATTTGCAGAATTTACCCTTTAGTTTTCAGTACCACAACCCAGGGAGGAGGTGTCTCCACTAAACACCACAACCCAGGGAGGAGGTGTCTCCACTAAACACCACAACACAGGAAATGTGTCACTACCTCCCTCCCATTTCTACTGTGCTGTTGAAGGCATTATGAATCTAGACACTTGCTTCTCTTTATCTCCCTGAGATTTAATTTCCTTATCTGAAAGAAGAATAGTAAATAATTATCTTACCTAACTCAAATTAGTGTGGCAGCAGCAAATAAGGTGAGACATATGAAAACGTTTTTTAAACCAGCAGTTCTCACACCGACACAAAATGATATTATTTAACAACTTAAAAAATAATTCTGCATCTTTCAAATTGTACATATAGAAACAAAATGAGAGGGAAAAGTTGAGGACAACTACTTACTAAATGCCTTTTAAAAGTGATATGCAGTGCATCTCATTTCATTTCCAGAACAATGCTATGAAGTAGTCATCATTCTCTTCATTTAACTGACTATGAAGAAACCGAGCTACAGAAAGGTCAAGTATCTCATGTAAGGCCACACAGCTAATTATCAATGTTACACTAAAGATTGGAAGATTCATATTAGTCTCTTCAGCAGAATTAAGAAAAGAAGGAAGCTAGAGAAACTATCAGTAAAGATTTGAAGAGAAACAACTTCAATACAGGGTTGAATAAGACAGGGTGTGGCAAATGCCAAGAGAAGAAAGCAGGGTGATCCCCCAGGGCCTGCAGAAAAGGAATAAAGGACTCAGGAGGGCTAGTTCAGGATCTGAAGGTGGCTGCACCTAGCTCTGGGTACACTCTACTTTTTGACCAATTAAAACCTCAGTTATGCCTCTCTTTTAACATCTTAATTTTTATATTAGATTTTTTTGCCTCTAAGATATGAAAAATTGAGCAACCTTCCACTGGATTTGATCAGTTTAGAAAATCGCTGTGGCTGTTCAGGCCAAAATCTCTGGCTTTTGTCACAACATTAAATGTAAATGTTCTGGATAACTACACTAATTTATTTTTCAATTCTACTATGCTCAGACAACCACTAGAGTATGGGAACAATTTGTATATGAATATCAAAAAAAATGAATAGAGCATATAGTCCTGTTGGGAGAGAGGAATTTTGGAAAACTCTCTTCCCATGGCAAAACTGAGATTTCAATTTGAAATGACAAAGAAGCATTTTAAAGAGGAGTTACATGTAGGAAAAATTATTTTCCCAATGTGAAAGTTGGGTAAGGAAATGTATTTTACAGAGAGGAAATTTTTGACAGAACTTTGAGTTCAATCAAAAGTAATAAAATTAGTGAATGAAGAGCTTACATCTTTAGAGGGAATTTGGCTAAATAAGTTATTCTCAACTCAGACTTAACAGTGTTAGAAGAAAAGTTGATGTATTATTTCCAAACAAAACTTTAACTTAAATTCTTAACGACAAAAAAAAACCTTTATTACTTTTAATCCAGCTAGTAAATTGCACAGTAGACAAATTTAGGCCATTAACACGAGTCAAGAATATGTCATCTGGAAACTCTCCAAAGGCCAGGGGGGCAACGGAAGCCTAGGAAACCAGGAACCCACAGACACACTTCCAATTCTACAAGGACATACCACTGAGTCCACAAGAGCAAACGATTGATAAAATAACTATGTTGTTCACAGCTATATTGCACAGGGCTGGATCCTTGTCCAATCTTTCTTTTTATAAAGCAAAACAAAATAAAAAATGGATTTCCAATGAATGGACTGATTTATAGGCTGTAACTGTTACACTTGCAGTTGTTTTTGGCAAAACTCTGTACTTTTCTATAAGGTATGCTATTAAGTTAATCCCTAACCTTACCCAAAACCAGAAAAGGAAAGGAACATTGACCAGAGTTATGCACTCAAATAAAAGTCCTTTCTACACATATAAATATGTATCCAGCGTCCTGAGTCATCCTCATGTAGTTGACTCCAAGCTGGTGTTCTGGCTGTGCTCCCAACAAGTCGTTCCAAATCTCTATTATGCTGACAACTTCTGGGTGGTGTGTATGGGATGTGACCATCGAGTCTCATGGTCATGAGTCCACTCCTGCACTTGCTTTTCTCTAAAGTAGGCCCCCGGTCCAATGCAGTGTTATGTGGGATCCTGTACTGGTGAATCAAGCTCTCTGTAAGCCTTTGGCTAATAATGCTGGCTGAGACCTGGCCGGCAGAAAACAACTCCACACTTGAATGTGCATCCATTCCTGTGTGAACAAACCGCTGACCCTTCCAGGATGAAAGGCTCCATCCATTCAGTTGTGAACTTGTCAACTGTGGCCAGTAGGTATCCCGAAGAAAAGCCTCCATAAGGGAGACTTGGTGACAGTCTCTGTTGCTGGCAGTGATGGTGCTACATCAGCCATGGTGAAAGGGAGTGCAGGCTGTTATGTGTTGCCGCTGTCTCAGTCACTTTCCTTTGCCCATCATGCCAGCACTAGGGTGGCAAATGACAGAGGCTGGCCAGATGATTTTGTCTACTTCGTTGTCTACTGTCTCTTTGAAGAAGGATGTTCTCTCTAGCGGATATAACATGTACAAAGATTGCCACACTTTGTGTTCACTCCTGGATATTAATCCCTGTTTCTTGACTCCAGACCTCCTTGGCCCTATCTTCCCCTTCTTTTTTTTCTTCCAGACCCCTAATTAGAGGTCTATCTATATTCTAATCTCCTGCCATTTCTCTTTACCCACAAAGTTGTCTACCAGGTACACCACCCGTCAGGAGAATTTTTCCTTGCCACTGTTTTTCAAGACTACCCCTGATTGAGGCTTCAGTGCAATTGCCATCTATTTTAGCTCATCTCCATATACCAAGCCAGCCCAGCTGAAAATTAAGCTCAGGCTTTTAACTCTTTAAAAGACAGCTTTAGCTGGTCACACGGGTCTTCCCATACAGCCATAGTTGCAAGCTGAAGAAGGAGCATTGGTGTAACCGTAGTGAGTGATGTCTGTGCTGCCTACTCATGCAGTTTGCTTTGTCCTCTGGCCCACCAGAGTTTGTGCCTCCTTTGTGACAGGAGGTGCAAAGTGCACTAATTTGTCTTTATCTTTGAAGAGATATCTTGGCATGCTCATTGTCACAAATATGTAAACATTTTACAGATATGGATGGTCTCTGAAACTTTACAATATTTAGCTCCCACCTTCTAGAGCTCATGTGTCTTCTCAAGGTTTCCAGTGTGTCTGCCTTTGGCTTATCTCACTAATCAACATAAAATCATTGATATAATGAATGGATATGATGATCTGCAGGATGCCAAGATGCAAATATGTTTAGACTATATTATGGCAGAGGACAGAAGAAGCCCTGAGGCAAAAGTATAAGTGTATATTATTGTACCTTCTATGTGACTACAAACTGTTTTCAAATTGTTATTTAAAAAATAAAATAGCATGCATTTCTGATGTTATATTAACCCACTTTATCAAAAATAACTTACATATCTGGTTTGAAGACTGGGATCAGGACTTTAATGTGGTTGAGCTTATCGTAGTCTGCAGTCACCGGCGGGATTCATTCAGTTTCTGCAGGGCCCAAACAGGTGAATTAAATCAATGTACTGGGACCAACATCCCTGCATCCTTTAGATAAAGGGACAACAGACTTTTTCTATAAAGAGCCAGATGGTAAAAATTTTAGGCTTTGCAGATCACATACAGTCTTTGTGGCATATTTTTATTTTTTTTTAACAACCTTTAAAAATGTAAAAACCATTCTTAGCTTGCAGGCTGTGTAAAAACTGGCCATGCACCAACTTTGTCCATGGTCCATAATTTTCCAGCTCCTGCTTCAGATCCTTAAAATGTCCCTAATCTTTTCTATCCCTCACCCTGGGATGTGATAGTTATTGATTTACTATCTTGGTTGTCATGGAGGGTAGCTTCTGAGACTTCCTCTTTATTTTTCACACTATGATAGACCTTAACTTTCAGACCAACACCCAATATGGGATTTGTGCCAATTGCAAGCATATCAATCCTAATTATACATTTGGGAACTGGGGAAACAATCACTGGGTGGGTCATCAGGCCCAAGGGAGTTTGTCCAGGAGTCCATTTATTTTCTAGTCCCCATAATTTATTATCAGCCTTGTCTATTATTTTGATTTTTTTTTTGTAAAACTATGAGTATGAATAACTTTCATAAAAATAAAAAATTAAGGAAAAATTCAATTGGGACTTTCAGTCAAACTAGCAGTTTATGAGCAAAAATACCTTCTTACTCCAAAGATGTAAAATTACTTGGTAGGATACATCAGATTTTGTTGTAAAATCAGAGCAATTCTCAAAAATAAGAAAATAGAGAAAGAGAAATCTACAGGAACCAGAAATGAAGATACGTTTCATTGTTAGAATGGTAAGAAAGGGCTTAAAACAACTGGGGTATAAACAAGTATAGGGCATAGATGTTAACAGTACAGTCTCATGTTGGGGATTTTAATGATTCTGTGGGCATAGGATGTAAGGCATCAGCGCTGTATATTTTGAAATAAATTCTTTGTCAAGCTGGAAGCCTCATAAATATGTCCTATCACCAAGGAGAAATAATCACTGAGTCCTCCAAACACTCCTTTCTAAGCAGGAAGCAGTATAGCAGCTTGTCATCTGCCAATGCTCTCCGTAGAAAAAGAGTTATTGGCAAGAAGCTAGAAACCCACGGTAGTGCTGTGCTTGGATGATGAGTCCAAATTTATATCAATCAAATGGGGCTAGAAATGCTAAATTTGAATTTTTAAGAAGTCTTGTTTAGAGCTGGTTAAGAACCCAGGTGAACGCAAAAACCACCCTGTAAAGATTCTTCCAAAGCCCAGGACATTCAAGATTCTCAGAGAAGAAAATCCCCACACATGTTAAGCTCACAATGAAAACAAAGATCAAACCACAAGAGCAAATGAACCACCAAGAGGGAAAACTATCAAACATAAATGAGAGAAATGTCATCATACCCAAATCTAGAAAGAATAACATATTCTAAAATTTTGTAAAATAATGATATTTATGATATTTTATAAGACAAAAAGCAGGAAATGAATACATAAAGCAAAAAAACAAAAATAAGTAAAAACTGATGATAGTATTAGAGTTAAATCTTCATATATCATTGCAGCAAATCAATAGACAATGTCTAAAATTAATATACATATATATGATAAATATTCCTTCAGAAAACCTAAAAACAGAAACAAAAGTGATTCCCAGTGGGGAGCAGGACAGAGAAAGGACCCAAAGTAATGTTTTTTAACTAGAAGCTCTTCTGTACTATATACTATTTATCACTTTCAAAAATAATAATAATTAGCAACTGTGTAAACTAGGGAGAGAAAATGTCAGGGTCAGAAATTGGTGTGGGGGGTTGGGGTCGTGTGTGTGTGTGTCTGTGTGTGTGAATTCAAACTAATACTGTGATTAATGTAATACATGGAATGCATAGTTTTAAAAAAAACACTAAGAGCTTATAATGAAAAGCAAAAGTCCCTTTTGCCTCATCACTTAAAGCAACTACGTAGCATACCCCAAGAATCCATCCCTATTTTTTCTCCCCTATCTCTCCTGTTGCAGAGCTCAGAAACAACTTGAAGAGAGTACAGACATCCCTCCCAAATTCTGTCTCGGAAGATGTTGTCTTTAAAAAAGGATTTAAAGTTTTCATCATGTTAGACAATATATACTTATTTTATTGTTTTGTTTTCTACTTTAAAATATAGCCAGGAAAGAGTATATAATCTTTTCAGTGCTTTGATTCTCCAAAAGTCTTATTATGAGCCTAGATCTGTTGGAAGTTACAGCAAAAATTCGTGAAGTAGTATGTTGACAATAATAAAGAAAAGAAAGAAATTCATCCATGAAACATTGTGGAAGAAGAATCAAAATGACTTAGGGAGCAAAAATGAAAAATATCTGAGGTGACAAAATTCATGAAGAGGATGAAGTTGGACTTTGGAAAAAGTAAAGAAAGGAAAGAGAAGTCTTCATATCAGACAATCTTAATACAGGGAAATGAAAAAGAAGCTGAGAGAAAGATATGTAGGAACAAAACTTAAGAGGGCGAATGTTAGGGATTTGGAACAGCCATGAGGAATATAAAACACCAGGGGTACTTTACCACAGGGATTCAATAGGATAGCTTTGTGGACTGGAGTGCTTAACTCACCATTTCTAAACCTGCATTTCTGGGGCAATGTGATTTGCGTTTCAAAAACCATATTTTCTGATGTGTATGTATACACAATGGAATACTAACTGTTCAGCCAAAGGAAGGAAATCCTTCACGCATTGTCATTTATGACAACATGTGATCCTGGAGGACATTATGTTCAGGTGAAAAAAAACAGGCACAGAAAGACAAATACTGCAATGTCTCACCTATCTGTGGACTCTGAAAAAGTTCAACTCAGAAGTAGGGAGCAGAATGATGGTTACTAGGGACCAGGGACATGTTGGTCAAAGTTTCAGTTAGACAGGAGGAATAAGTTCAAGCGATCTATTGTAAATCATGGTAACTATAGTTAATATATTGTATCCTAGAAAAGTGTGAAGAGAGTAGATTTTAAATCTCCTCACCAAAAAAAAAGTGTGTAATGTAATGTATACATATTAATTAGCTCAATTTGTCCTTTCCACAACGTATACATATTTCAAAACAACATGTTAGGCATGATAAATATAGATAATTTTTGTTGTTTGTCTAAATAAATGAATAAAAGAAAGAAGGATGTTTTATAAAAGTATATTTTCTGGTTCTGGCTGTGATATTGACTTCTATGATATCTGAAGAAATATTTCCATGGTAACAATTCATCTCTAGCTGAACTATAGAGAAAGGTGAAAGTGAGATACCCATTCAAACTAAATAATTCCACTGTCTCCTTTTCCAACTCAGTCTGAGAACACCATGTTGGCAGCCAGGCTTACACCACCCAGATAGAAGATGGAAAGATTCTTCTATAGAGAAACTGGCTAGCCCGATATGAAAGACTAAGAGATAATATTTGAATGTTTCTCCTGCCCTCTTCCAAAAAGAGCTTGCCTAGCTACTCTCAGCCAAGAGTAGTCAGTCATATAACAATGAATTAACAGTGGAAGTCTTCTTTGGGGTTCTTGCAAAAGCTTTTGCTCTTTTGATTAAGACGTGAGTCTTCTTTATTCTTTTGTTGTTGGAACGCAGGTATGATGACTGGAGCTGTTGCACTCATCTTGTGACCATGAAGAAAGGGTGCAAGAAAGTACAGAGACTGTATCATGGATCTCCTTAAAGAGTGCCAGAATTGACATTTGTCTACACAGCTCACTATGTGCGAAATATAAGACTTCATACATTTGATATGGTATCACTGGTTTATTTTTGTTGTTACTTACAGCAAGAAACTTTCCTAACTTATACAACTACTGCCATCGCTCTATCAAACACTAAGCTAATGAATCATATCTGAAACCTGAAATGTGTCAACAAAAGATACAGCATCTTGGATTTCTGGATTTCTACTCCATTCCTTTATTTTATTTTTGCATTTATTTCTTCTTTCTGAAGAAATAAGGAATTATTTCTTTCAGGTATGGAACAACATTTATGTCTGGTTTTTAAATATCCCTAAAATATGTAATCAACCTGTCTCTTCTGAGTAACGATAATTGTCAGGTGTTGGGAAACTTCAAACTCATGGTAATTAAACCATCTTCTGGTTCTTTTAATATTGAGAAATATTTGAAATTGAAGTGATAGGCTCAATATCTTCTAAATATCATTAAGATGTGCCACTTGTAGAAAGCATTTGAAATCATGGAAATAGTCTTTACTGGAATTAGCCATAAAGAAAAATTTTCCTTCACTTTAAAAAAATAATAATGTGAGCACCTTTATCCTCAAAAGCCAGCACACTTCAGTGTAAAAAAAAAAAAAAAAAAAAGCAGAGATGTATATTCATGTTGCATTTTTGGCACCAAACACTAAAAAAGCTATACACTCAGCCATGATTTGATCATAATCTTGATTTTCACTATTTCTTTCAAAAATGAATTAAAAAAGAGGTATATTGTTGATCACCAACAATTCTCTGAAAATAAAGTGGATAAATATTGAGGTAGAACATACTCGTCTTATCAACCCCTCCCCTGATGTAGTGGATGCCCCATTACTGCTGATCTCTCTCCACACCTGTCCAAGCTGTAACATGGGTCACAAAATGTTCATTAACTTAGAAAACCTGGAGAATGACAGAAGCATTTAGCGATGAACAGACATAAAGTGGTCAGGCACTTCTCCCTCATATATTCAGGAATGATTCATATTCTACACACTAGCACAACCATGCAACTGCCTCTGCTGGCCCACACATGATTTTTCCAGATTGTATGCCATAGATATTATGCAATCTATAACTGTGTCATTTGATAAAGGGATTTTACCAATCACTCACCTGCTTTCTCCCCAAGCATAAAAGTTGACATTAACTTTGTGCCAAGTTTCAAAGTTTTCTCAGAAATGGTATCTTTTCTTTCTGATTTTGCCATGATAAATGTAACTGTGGCAAGCTGAAAGTTTTGTACTCACCACCATCTTTAGCAACAAAAGTCATACATTTCATACTGTAAATCATTAATTTGTATTTGTTCTGGGCCAGAGAACTCATTCTGCTTTTGTTTATAATTACACAAAAGTTTCCAGAGCTTTATTTCTCTATTTGGCAAAAGTATACAACGTCACCCAGGGCATGAGGGATGAATACACTACTGGTACAACAATATCCCATTTTTAGATATTTATAATGCATCCTATTTTCATTTTTTTCTTGTGCAAAACAATAACACTTGTAGATTTGCTTGCTCTGGCCCATAAATATGTGCATTCATAATTTATATCAAAATCTGAGTACTAGAACCAAATAATTTCTGTAATTCAAAAATTTTCATTCTTCTAAGAAATACAAATGCAGATTCCATTATGTGCCAAACACTAAGATTGAAGGTGAGTAAATAGCTTTATATCATAATATGACAGCAAGTACAGAAACGAATGGTTTGATTGAGTATATTTCAGTGAAAATTATGATTTAGAAGTTGGATCTTATTTTGAAATTAAACCAAGTGAAGATCATTTAGTGCTTATGCTCATGGGACTCTAAATCTTCAGAATGTTAAAGGATGCCTGGAGATCATTTAGTGAAATCTATGACTTGTATATCTACATATCTATGCACTGCTTTAATATCTCACAAGCAATAATGAAAATCCCTCCGGAGGCAGCCAATACAGTTTTGGACAAGTCTAATTTTTAGGATATAAAATTAAATATTCATGTCACCCAGTATAAATAGAAAGTATTTCTTTATATAATCATAAATCCATGTCACCCAGTCTAACTATAAAATCTGTCTTTATATAAACATGAATATCAGTCTCCTTTTCTAACATTTTATCATTGATCACACTTCAACCCTCCAAGGGTAATGCACAATACATCTCTTCTGCCTTCTACATGGCAACCCTCCAAAAGTTTCAAAACAATAATTATGTCTGGCTTTAGTTTTTCCATCTACAGACTAGTCAGAGTTTGTAAGCTTCCCTCACCTAGTTCCTGTCTTCTAAACACTCCAGTCCATCAATGTCTTACTTAACCCATGGTATCAGAAGTGAGCATCAGATTGTGTCTGGTCTTAACTAGGTTAGTAAAAAGAGACTATCATTAGTCTTTTTCTGGACAAAAAAAAAATCTTTCCATTAATTTGTTCAATATTTCATTGCTCTAGGAAATCACATCATACTGTTGACTCACGTTGTGTCTTCAGGTAACTATAAACTTTTTCATGTGTGTGGCTAAGAAGCCACATCTTCTCCCACTAGAATTGTGCAATGGTGATTTTTGAACACGCCTGTTTTTCCTTCTGTGTGAATATAGAAGAGTACAGACATTCCTCTTAAGTGCAATTCAAATAGTTTCACCCCATCATTCCATCCTCTCAAGATCTGTCAGGATCATTGGGTGCAGTGGCTCACGCCTGTAATCCCAGCACTTTGGGAGGCCGAGGTGGGCAAATCATGAGGTCAGGAGTTCGAGACCAGCCTGATCAACATGGTGAAACCCCATCTCTACTAAAAATCAAAAAAGTAGCCAGGCGTGGTGGCGCACCTGTAATCCCAGCTACTCAGGAGGCTGAAGCAGGAGAATCGCTTGAACCCAGGAGGCGGAGGTTGCAGTGAGCCAAGATGGTGCCACTGTACTCCAACCTGGGTGACAGAGTGAGACTCCATCTCAAAAAAAAAGCAAAGAAAAAATTTGTCAGGATCCTCATTCTGGCATTGCCTATATATAATACATTGCCAATTTCATCTCATCTGCAAATTTTGTAAACAATCCATTCTTATGCTATACAACGTACTAATTAAAAAAATAAACATGATATATGAAACATGCCACAGTAATATTGTAAAAACAGATAATGAATATGACAGTGCTAAGGAATTAGCTGTTAAAACATCTCTCCTAGTTAACATAAATTTATCAGCTCATTTTCAGAGCAGGTATTCCATTAATACTAGTGGGTTTCACCATCCCATCATCCAGTTGTTTTTGCACTTTTTCTCAAAAAAGGTCATGAGAAATGCTGCTAGAGTCTCGCAAAATTCAGCTATTCAGGGTCTACTCCATTCTTTGAACCAAATGGGCCAGTAACACTGGTGAAAACTTGGGTTTCTAGATTGTAGAAGGGCATGGTTTTGCACTAAGTCGAAGAGGGAGCTAAAATAATATTTCAGAGTATCAGAAAATTATAATATAGAAGGTAAACTTGATTCATTAAAATAAAGAGAGAACGAGGTATTTAGAAGGCAGCTCCAAAAAATTCATTGACCCTGTGGTTTGGCTAAGAAGTCGTGCCCTGGGGGGACTTAGAGACAGCTGGCTTTGCCTTCAAAAGATGTAATTGGCCTGGCCCTGGTGCTTTTATGAAGCAAGATAGCAGAGAGCTTGTCAGTTCTGAAAGAGTGTTTTGTGTTCCACACAGGCCAGCATGGGAGTGGCATTCAAACTGCAGTGTCATTCTATAAAGAGTGTGTCCTGTCTTCTGAAGGTCTCATATCCATGTCACCCAGTCTAACTTTTAGCTGACTCCTACAGTTCCTTCCTTTTTACAAAGAAGCTCTGTCTAAGTATGGGCATGGGCCTCTATGAGTCTAGATAAGGTATAACAACAGAGAGTGATCTTCATTAGAGAGGGAAGGCAGTAGGGAGGAGCTGCCAGACTTTCCTCCAGTTGCCTCCAGCACAAAGGACACACAACAGAACAAGATAGCTCTAAGGAGTTACCAGGGATCTCAAACTCAAATGACAAGCAGCTGACAGAAATAAGAGAAGCAGGCAGGTTTGGCAAATGCAAATTAAGAGTCCCATCTCAGCAGGACAGTAGTGATGCAGTTCCAGCCAACTATTGCCACACAGGGTTGTAGGATCAGAGTTACTAAATCTTCTGATTATTTTTAAAATAAGCCAGAAAACTGTATTTTGGTGAATCTGGTATCACTGAGAACCTAAAACAGCTATATGCAGCACCAGAGCAAGGAACCAGGCAGCGGGTTGCTGAGGTTTGCTCTAAGCTCTAAGATACAGGGAGAGGTGACGGGAAACTAAAATTTTCCACACTGTTGATCTATTTACCACAGCTCTTCGGGGGAGGAGGAAGCAAAAACCCTGATTAGGACTGCAGAGTGCGTGATTGATGGAAGCATTCCATATTATGTGTCTTTCCAAAAAATGAATAAGGTAATTAGAATGCTGAAAAGAAACCCAAACTTCTGGGGGAAAAATGGTTTTCATTCCTCTCTCTTTAACCCAGTGATGGAGAAGGGCTACAAGATGCTGGTCCTTCTTGACTCCTTGATCACTGTGAAGCCAGCAAGTGGAATGAACGTGGAGCACGTTCTGCTTCAGAGTCTGGAGTGTGGCTACTTCCTCACTTGAGCCTCCAGACTGACCATCATGTTAGTTCTCTTCTCCCTGAGAAGTTAAAATTTGAAATTTACCTTCGGATTCAATACACTAATTCTTTGCATTACAAAATCTTTTTAATGATAAGAATGAAAGCATGTGTTTTGCAGCAACATGGATGGAGCTGGAGGCCATTATCGTTAGTAAAATGACTGAGAAACAGAAAGTCAAAAACCACATATTCTCATTTGTAAGTGAGAGCTAAACAATGGATACGCATAGACATATGGAATGGAATAATAGACATTCGAGACTCCAAAATGTAGGAGGGTGGGAGGGGGGTGAGGAATGGCATACTGCCTATTGGGTACAATATACACTATTGAAGTGATGGGTACACTAAAAGCCCAGATTTCATCACTGTGCAATATATCCATGTAATACAACTGCACCTTGACCCCTAAATACATAACAAGTAAAAAAATTACAAACAAAAAATTGTAGGGGATAGCAACAAATATAAATTTATAATTGAAAGCATATACTTGTCTTCAATTATATCAATCAATTAATCAATTTGTGTTAGATCCTGAAGTAGGCTCTGGGGATATAATTATTATCTTAATTTGGGTTCCCCCAAAAGCAGATCCTAAAACAAAGGTCCATGTTCTAGTGGTTTATTTGGTTGAGAAGTGGGAAAATGAAAAGAGAAGGCAGACAATAAAAGTAAGCCAGCTACCATGGTGGATGATTGGGATTTAGTTCCATAGGGAGGCTCTGGGAAACATGCATCATAGAGTTATATTGCCCGAGGAGTGAGGGAGTTGAGATATTTATACACCAACTAATTCTTTTTGGTTAAGGGATTCTGGAGGATATGAATGGTGTTAATTTTCCTGCATGAGCAAAGTGGCTTTCCATAGCTTAAAGAAAGTTCTTAGGCAAAGAGACTGAGATCTGCTGGTGTACCCTGAAGTAGTAAGTCCCCTGAGATATGGATAGAACATCAGCACTATCTGCTGCACTCCTAAGTCAGTCAAAGTCCTACCCAACCACAGCTTACAGTTAGTAAGGAGAAGTTAGAGAATAAACACAATACGATATGTATAATGATGAAAGTGCATATGTATTTTGACGATAAACTTTCTGAGAGACCTTTTCAATATCAATATTCTGTATTCATCTAAAAATAATCATGATGAAATCATAGCTAGTATTGTTTGTATATTTACTGTTTATCAAGCAAGTTACTTGATCCTAGCCTTCTTCTCTGAAGTATTAAATTCAGAGTATTTTTCTTTCTATGATTAATATTCTTTTATTCCTCACTCATTTCTAATTATGTCACTTTGCTATATTTTGTGAACCATTTTAAGCCACCATGGATCTTCTTCTGGATCAGAGAAAGAGATTGCACAAGTGAGCAAATGAAAGAAAAGAGGATTGGGAGAAAGGAGAAAGAGAAAATAGAATAAAACACATATTTTTTTTAATTTGATGCAGTAGCCTTTTGAGAAGCAAAATGGATTGGATACAATCTAACTTTTCTTTCCACTTACAATATAACATATGGCTCCCTGCATTGGTAAGGAGATAGAGAAATCTTCTTGCAGCAAAATATTTGTTCTCCCTAAGAGGGCCTCTTGAATAAGTGAAGTAAATGATAGATGGCCCTGTTAGAGGAGCTGATGAGAAAATGCATACTAAGTAGAAGGAATTTTAGAAAACGTTACAGAGCTGATCAAATGGACATGTATACTAGGTCATTTATCTAAAATGCCCTGGTTAGGACTAGTATGTATAAAGAAAAATGCTTTGGGGAGTGTTGAAAATGGTCTCAAGAATCCAGAAAGCATGGTGATTGAAATAATAACAGAGAAGCTTAGATGATGAGCTATATTCCCTTTCCAGAACCATCTTGATATACTAGGATACCTGGGGAGCTCTAAATGAATATGAGGTTTCTACACGGAGAACATTAGCAGGACCAATTCAAGGCATGTGCCTATTTATCAACAATGGTGTAATTTTTTTTACAAACTTTTATGGGGCTGTCAGACAATAGTAATTACGAAGAGAGGTAGAGTTGTATAGTGAAAACAGCATACCAGCTCAGTGAAAAAAGTTCAAATTCAGCACCACCACCTAGCAGTAGCTTGGTGACTTGCCCCAAGTCATCTAATCTTCCTAAGCCTCATGTCTCAATCTACAAAATGGAGCTAATATTAATACCTAGAATTGGCAGGTATTAATAATACACAATGACAACAATAATTGAATGAGATAAAGGATGCATACAAACAATGGTTATTTACATATTTCCCACTGTCAAATTAAGCAATCAAAAGATACTTCATTTGGTGTCCTAACATGATTGTTAACATACATATTTCCCACTGTCAAATTAATCAATCGAAAGATCCTTTGTTTGGTGTCCTAACATGATTGTTATCAGAGAATGTAAGAAGATTCTGGATTATAATCTGCTTTTTTATAGCATCCCTATCTCAATTCTATCCCTACCAAAACTATACAGCTTTAATGAATGAAGATTGATTTAGAAATAGTGGTCTCTCTCACCACTGTAACATTGTGGTTTCTAATATCATGAGTCTAGTAATAGAGTATTGGCATCTGAAATGCTTCTTACATGGGAAGAGATATTTCTTTCCTGTCAGCTGCACATAATAAACAATGTGTGCTTGTTTTTGGTTTTTTGTTTTTGGTTTTTTACAATAAACAAGGTGTGTGACCTCTAACTCTGCCTCAAGCTGGGGCATTATTTTGTTATCAAACAAGATGCCTGTCCTGATGTGGCCTTATAAAGACCCTAAGCCTCTGTGGCTGTATGCACTCTACTTGATTGCTTCTATGTACCAGGACAATACATATATTCAGGACACTGAGTATATGTACAACTCCATTCAAAAACAATTCATCAGGTTAATAGTCCTTGAGTTACACATGTGCCACCATTTTTCCATGGCCAAGTTGCTTCAGTTTGAACTAATCATATATTAAGTAAGTCCTCATAAGCAAGATTTTTATGCTTAAGTTTGTTGGCTTCCTACTTAACTTTTCAAAATACGTCCATAACACTCTAAGTTTGGCCTGTAATCCTAGTTCAGCTTGAGTCCATTGTGAGGATTTATTGATTGATTACTTTGAAAACACTAATGCAAGATCAGAAGGGCAGGAAAATTTTCCACACAATCCTGATTATACAAAATAAGATAGCAAGAAGGGGAGAAAGGCTCCAAACCTATTTATTCATTATTTGCTAATAAAATTTTTAAAGTGGGTTTGCTGAAATAAACCCAACTGGCAGGTGCCAGATCAGCTCTGCTATTGATACACTGTCAAGGCAGCAAGCTCTGCCAAGTCCACTGTTGTCTTTGGCACCAGGTGAGCTGTTCTTCCACCAGTATGCTGCATATGAGAAGCTAAAAATAGAAAGCAAATACATTAATTGGGTAATTGCATTCAATAAATCATAGTCTTCAGCATTTAATTATATAGTTTGTAAGAACATATTAACCAAAATAAGTCTCAATGTGTATGCAAAGAGTATACTTAGGTCAGTAGCAACTAACTCACTCTATCCATAACAATCACCATTAGAAACCACAGCCATATTTGTTTCTTTAGAGTCCAAGAAATGTCATTCTTATGTCCAAGTATGATTAGAAAGTTACACTAAAAATTGATGAGGGTACAGGACACTTCCCAAACTCCTGTTGTGGGGGAAAGGAAGAAGTACTCCTAGGAATTTCATCCCTCAAGAGCTTGACAAAATCCAACAGTGATATTTTGGAAATGCCTTACAAGTTAAAAGCAAATATTCTTTACCAATAACTTCCGTAGAAAAAGATAAAATATATTCTGATTGTTAACTACTCAAAATGCCTGTGGATCAAAGTAGAGGAATGAATGAATGTGCTAGTTTAATAATTTTTAACTTTAATAATTAGACTTTAATGCTTGTTCCTCTAATATTTTATTAGTAGAATCACTAGAATGTACAAGAAATAGAGGTACATATTGAAAAAGCTCTAGCAAAAGCAGTACATTGCAGAAAAGTATTCTCTCTGTAAAGGGCTGAGAAGAGAATGGCATGAGTGTGGAATGGCATATGAACAAGTCTGTTGAATTTAGGTCTGGCACACAAATCTCCATTTTTATCCAAGACCCCAGTGTTTGGATCAAGATGTAACTTCTTAGAAATGTCCTAGGCAAGCATGTCTTTCAACAACACTTCCCAATTTATGGTCCATATCCTTCAGCTGATGGCAGGATGGATGCCTTTCCTCTCAGTGGACCTCAAAGCTCAATCCAGAGCTGATTCTTAGATCCTAAGATTAAGTTAAAGAGGCAAATATAAAATAGATCTCTTGGCCTAAATGACCTACTGTACCTCTCTACCTTTTGAATTTCCTAGAAAATTGTTCATATCTACATTACTTTCCAGTCCTGCCAGAGAAGTAAAAAGGACCAATGGAACACATGAACTTCACATTTGGCTTCAGCCATTTAGGTCTACCCCTGCCAAGCCCATCATTTTCAGTGAGTATTGAATATTCATATTTCCCGCTTTTCTCAATTATATTAAGCCAGACACCTGCTATGTTCATCTAGCCATCATCAGATACAAGAGGATTTGCCCACATTTGCCAGCTTGGACAAAGAAGTTTTAATTCCCTTTTAAGAGGCAGTATATCCCTCCTCTATGCAATATTGGAAGCCAGGATGGAAAGAAGAATGGCTATGAATTAATGTTTTAGAAAAATAATAATATATCTTAGTTTTCCTATTTCCCTCACTTTGGGGCTTGCATTCATCTTCCTTAAGGTATGTTTTTGTTGAAATGGTTTCCTTCATTTCCACTGCAATGTATCAAACTGCTAATTCTAAGACAACTGACCTATTTCGTTTTCTGGGAACAGCCTATTTTCACATATAATATTAATAAAGCTAACATTAATCAAGGGTTTACCATGTGCCAGGCACTGTGCCATGGTCTTTTAAATGCAAATCTCATTTAATAATCATGACTCTATGAGGTATGTTCTATTATTATTCCCAACTTACAGATGGAAATGGAGGCTTGGAGAGGAGAAGTAACTTGTGAATGGTTACATAGCTTGTTAGTAAGTGAGATAGAATAATTTAAACGAGGTCTACCTGACTCCAAAGCCTATTCATGTTTCTAGTATGGCTGTTTGAAGCCTTACTGACATAATTCACAATGAAAAACATCAAGAAAGTGCAATGAAGGACAGATTCTGTACCTATACTTTAGTATTTATTGACTTGATTTAAGTCATAGGAGAAACTGCCGAGGGCAGAACAATAAAATATGTTAATATCCAAACAGGGAATATCATGGGGCCTTCTTAGCTGAGAAAGGAGACTTCAGGTAATAATTTTGTGTATTGTCAGATCCATAAATGAAACCACAACAACCTTCACTACTCAGTGAAGCCACTGTGCTTCATAACTCCCAACAGTGCTTCAGCCTCAAGAAGAACAGTACGTTCTCTTTTCTGGATTTTTGAGAATCTTTCAACCTCTTTGTGTGAAAACAAAATCATCAAAAGCAGAAATTCCAGCGTCAGCTGGTTATTCACTAATTTATTCGTGAAGTGCATTATGCAAAGCACTGAAGATAAAATAAGATTCTGACCACACAGAATTTGCTGTCCAGAAGGAGAGCTAGACATGTGAAGGAAACCTTGCCTCAGCATGTGATAAGTGTGCAAAGTGCAGCAAAGGCAGCAAAATAGAGTGACCGCCTGTGGCTGCATCATGAAACATGGCATTAGAACATAAGAAAAACATCACTGTATTTTCATTTATATTTTTCCTGCCATAAAAAATAAAAAACGAATAATAGTAACTCTATAGGTTTCTTGGCCCAGAGAAGAGACATGTCATCTGATACCAAACATTTTCCTGTAGGTAATGATTTTCTGTTCATTCCGTCCTATGACAAGAATCCTATCAGCCTATGTGTGTAACTATGCCCCCATGGAATGGTGGGAGCCAAGCCTAAGTCTTGCTAACATGGATTTCCCCTTCAGTGGAATTCTCTCAAGGAGGCTATGTAAATAAAGAGAGAATTGCTGCCCCTGAGTTCAGTACCACAGATTTTCTTTCCCACACAGGACAAGTGACCATCTCCCACTCACCACTTTTGGGTCAGTTTTCCAAATCATCACTGTTGCCATGTTTCCTCATTCTTGGGCTCTGGACACCACAACAGTTCCTATGGTCCAGCAGAGTCCACACTCCCCCTAATCCCCCATCAAATGGCCAAACCTCACCCAACAAACCATTTTCCCCAGTTGATTCAAGGTGGTTTCCTCAGTGGGGCACAAAATTGCCATGTATATTCCTGCTTCTGTGATTTTTTTTTTCATCTTTCTCCCTCACTTGGAAGACCAAGCCTCTCTCTGTCTCTCCAGCCTTCAGGTTCTTCCCATTTAAAGCCTTTCTTAATGACTTCAACTCTCTCCCGAATAATAACATAACACTTTGGGCTCTGTCAAAAAATTAAGTGCTTGATTATATCGGATCTTGTATTGCTCTCTAACCATTTTTTGTATATATGTTTAAATGCTGTATGACAGCAAGAATTGTGCCTCATATGCCGAGGGACCACCTAATCTATCACCCAAACTGAGAGTAAAAAGAAGGTATTAATAGTGACTTTTAGATATCAGACATAATCAAGGGGTGTCCCTGGAAAGCCAGGACTAATGGTCACTCTATTTCATTTGTATCTGTCACAGTTCTTGGTATAGAACCTAGGTCAACAATTACTTGACTTAGATTGCTGCACTGCTTTCTGAAGGACAAACAGAATTTTACCTATAAATCTTTGGATTTGGAATAACTTTTTGATTTCATAATCGTATCATGGGAATTGTTGTCAGTTTTTAATAACTGAAACACAGAAAGTAAGAGGGATATGGGTAATATTTTAAGCTGTGGAACCCAAAGGAAAGGAATTATAAAAAAAATTACATATTAACTAGTGTAACTTTATTCTGCAGGTGACAGAGCACCATTTGTGATTTTTAAGTAGTAGGGTAGTTTTGCATGTGAATGTGTGGGTTTGAAATGGTAAAGGATAAACTTGGAAAATCTGAGAATGGCTGAAAAGAGACTTTGGGCAATGGTTACCACAGTCTAACTAAGAAATGATGAGGGCTTGAACTTGGCCGGTGGTAATGAGAGAACATAGACCAGAGATTTTTTGACTTACTGTATAGGGGATAAAACAGAAGGAATCAAGATGACTAGGTTTATGGACTTTTAGGAAACTCAGTGGGCATATCCAGAAAAATAAGATTTGCCTCACAGAAATAACAAGCAGAATGCAGCAGAACCAGACATCTACTGATGTTCCTCTGTGTGTTGTCTTTTTAGCAAGCCCATTTTTGCCAGTTCCCAGGAGCAGTAATGTGGATCTAGGATCAGGTATCTCATAACACTATGGTTTTTCTGAAATGGGAAAAGCATATTCATCCATTTGATGATTGAGGCTAATTTTATGATCAACTTTGCTTATCCAAGTTAGGCAGAAATCTTCTCCTTCTTTCATAGCTATATATCATAAAACTATTGCAGAATCAGCAATGTGTTCTGTGATGTTTAGTTGTCATTATTTTCCGATATCCTTAGAACAAAGAATGAATACATAATGGAATGCTGTTACAAATGCAATGTCTGCTATAATATCTGGTCCTGAATGAATGAATAAAAGCTCAGTCATTTAAAGAGCAACTTTATATGTCTAAGCTCACTGATGCAAATATAACCTGCTAATATGTCCTGGAATCAAAAATTCAATCTGAATGTATGACGTATAGAAGGAAATTGTTAATTGGAATGTTCAATTAATGTTCAGCTTATGGTATAATTTTATAATATAACTTCACTTTTTAGAATCTTCTAGTTTTTGTAAGCAACTTCTATACAAAATTTCCAGATCAAATAATAATTTTAATTAGTATTTTAAATGAACATTTATTCATTAAACCAATATTATTGTGTACAATTGTAGATTGAATTCAATTTTCTCTTGCCTCCAATAAAGAAGGAACAACATAGATATTTTTGCACTTTTCTGAGCAAAGTCATGTACTCCTCACTATATTAGTTCCTAAGTCACTTCATCCTGTCGAAATCCGTGACCACTTGGAAGGAAAGAAGTCTTTGGCCAACTATCCCGTAAGGTGGCCCTGGGACACACAGCCTTTAGCAGAAGGAGAAATCACTGCATTTCAAGAAAATCCTGGTTCAACAAAAGGCAAGAGTTAGCCCTCCAACTTCTCCTAAGTAGAAGCTATTCCAATATAACTGGAGTTAAGCATGACTCCTGTAGGTAGATAAAATATATAACCAATATATAATACCATTTCAAGAGTTCTGGAAAGATCCTTCTGGCCAAAAATAATCTCCACTCACTGCTTAGTAGTGCCTCTGAGAGTATGGAGTTTCTTTACACATAACTAAAGACACTGCTTTAAATGTATATAACCCTATAAAAGATGACTTCTTTGAAATGCGTGCCAATGCACAGATGGCTTATCCAATACTTTATCTTGAGAGTACCCTTTAATAAGGAGGAAAAATGAATGACTTCCTATCCAAAAGCTACCCATGCTTTAATACACAGCTCTAATTCTATTTGGTTGGTGCAAAAGTAATAGCGGTTCTTGCCACAAGAAACACAATTACTTTTGCACCAACCTAATAGTCTGTGTAAAGCCTTATTCTGAAAAACTATGGTTCAAATGTCTACCCTCATTATATGCTGCCTACTGTTATTGTGTGTTTATCTTATTCCTCTGTAAGAATATAAACTCTGAGCATTTGATGGAATGTTATAACTCTTTCTATTCCTCAAGGCCTTAGCTCAGTGTCTTATTGATCTAATTAATGCCCAATAATAATTACTTACACATAGAACTCTAACTGTGTGTCCAGAAGAGCACTAGCTCTATGGTCTCATTCATTTATTGTGATCAGAAACAACCTCATAAAGTAGAACAGAGTTTACTTTCATTTTAAGATTAAGCTGCCAGGGCTTGCAGCAGTTAAGTAACTTATTCAAGTTACACAGCCAGCAAATGGCACAAGCAGAATTCAAGTCCAGGAAGTCTGACTCCAGAGCCCATGTCTGTAACTCCTACACTGTACTGCCTCTATGAGCATTTGTTAAAACAGAGGAAAGAGCACAAGAGCATCAGGTACTTAGTGTCACAGAGAGTGTAGAAAGGAGAAACTAATTGTAATGAAAATCACATCATTTCACACCAAAGTTCTGTTAAAAGTTGTTTCTACCCAGAATCACAGGCTCAAATATTTCTATTTATCCAGTAAGTGTGCCTTTCTCACTTACAATAAGGAAAGAGAGGCTGTCATATGCATGTGTCGTGGAGAAAGAAACCTGGAAACGTTGCTTCCAAATGAACAACTTCTAAAGGAGGAAAGAAACAAGCAGTCCAGGTGATACTTTTGGATGTGTCCATATTAAAGGAATGCCCAATCATCTAAACATTTTTTGTTTCATTTTTTTTCATTTTTTAACCATTTTTGTTTTGTTTTTTAACCATGCCACATAACACATCTTCTCACACAAGTAGTTGATGCCCTGCCCATCTATAGACAGAAAATCTGGAATACAATGTGAAAACTAAGTAAATGAAACAAATTCCTAGTAATTCCTCAAGATCAGAAGAGGAAGTAGAGGTGATAGGCCCCTGGAAAGCCATATTGGATCCTTGCATAGGGATAATTTGCTGATATATTCATGGAGGCCAAATACTGAGGAACTATATTCCTTATCACATGGGAGCTGCCACTTTTGCCTGAAGGAATCGTGAACTCCATAGGTTTGATGCTGCTGCTGAGAATAACATAAGAATGTAAATGAGGCAAATAGTGTCAAATTAAGCTACTTGATCCTGGAAGAAAGATGACCCCCCCCCCCCAAAAAAAAACCCTTCAGTTTGGTTTGAGAAGCATGTGGGAAGTCTAACAGAAAGTCCTTCCCCCTTCACCACCGTACTGCTCCTTTATCCCCATTCCACCTCATACCACAAAAAGTCTATCTCCATTACACCAGATTTCTCTTTTAGACTCCTCCCCTGCTAAAGACCAACTCCCATGTCTATATCCCCATTGTTTTATTCCTTTGTCTAGCCTGTTTAAAATAAATGATGGTAAGTTATGTAATCCATTTCCATCATCAACCATAACAAACAAAAAATTGGGTATTTTCCCAGCAGTTTTCAAGCTTTTTAGCCCCCTTCTCCTTATTGTGCACTGGTGTTTTTTATTATTAATAGGAAAATTATTCAAGAGAAGAGAAGCTTATTTTAGTTAATAATACACTGAGGAGCCAATTTTTGGTTTTAGCCTCCAGAGTAATGAGCAAATCTGAACTGGCCTAGCTCCAGTCAGACCAAAACAAAGCCACAGGGGTGAACAACTTATTAGAAAGGGAGTTGTTATTGCCCAAAATGAAGGTTTGTCTGGAGAGCAGCAATTCAAAGAAGTGAGATAGAAGAAGGTAGAACTTTATTACACTGATGTAGGCAAATAATCCCTGTCTTATTTTTAGTTATAGGAAGAAAAATCTCTACAATAAGGCATGGACTTCACAAGATAAGGCCAACATAGTCAAAGAACAGACTTTAGGACTACAATGTCAGGAATGATATATTGTCTATATACTAGTAACCAAATTTTGTAGATGCCATTACTGCAGCTATTCCAAGTGCCATCCTAGAAGGTAGTAGAACTGACCTGGCTTAGCCCTGCCCTGGCTGAAGGCACTGTTCTGAGAACCATTACTTCTAATTATTTTTACTAGCGTCCAAATGCACTGGGTGCCCCAAAGGCAGCTAGTCTGTGACAGAGCTAAAACCCAATCCCAGGCATTCTGATTTCAATGTCCACTAGCTTGGTAACCTCTCAGTGTCACAGTTTCTTCAACTGTTAAATGAAAATGGTAATATTAGCTCCCTAAATGGATTATTATAAAATTATAAGGATTAAATCATTTAAAATACATAAAGTACTCAGGATACATTGTAAGTACTCTATAAATATCAACTACTAGTTTTTTCCCAAAACAAACTAAGACCCCCAACAATGCTTTATTGCAATCAGGATACAGTCTTAGATTCCCAGGAAGTTCTACTGGATCCAAGATGAATTCCATTACCTGAATGGCTTAAAACAAATATAGGAGAACAGGTCTGTTCTGCCAACTTCCACCCTATTGCCCAAATCTTCTATTCCAAAGTGAAGAATTGGAATAGGTTTAATAAGAAACAGAAGAAAGCTCAAAAGACACAGTGTAATTATCTAGGACAAGATTATTTTTCATACTTGACATTAAAAGTTGACCTCTAGAAATGTGACTCAATTTTGTGATTTCAAATTTGACCAACACATAGATAGAGGAAGACAGTAAGGAAGCTAGGAGCTTCTGTAAGGCAACAACTTCCTTTTATGACTGACAATGACAATACCATTCACACATCATCCAAACAAGAAATCATAGACTAAGGAGTCTTCAGTTCCTCATTTCCTCTCACTTGCCAAAAGCAAATGATGCTTAACGTTTCTCTGCCTGTGCAACCAATATTCTAGTTCAGACCTTTAGTATCCATTTCCTGAACTTCTGAATAGTCATCCTGGAAGTAACCTCTTTATTCCACAACCCAACTCCTAGAGTGACAGTACAGTTAATGTGTCTGACTGCAAAAATAGCCCAGTACTTTGCAGTGCAGTTCCATCCATCAAGATACAGAGCCGGCCGGGCGCAGTGGCTCACACTTGTAATCTCAGCACTTTGGGAGGCCGAGGCGGGTGATCTTGAGGTCAGGAGATCGAGACCATCCTGGCTCACATGGTGAAACTCCATCTCTACCAAAAATACAAAAAATTAGCTGGGTGTGGTGGCATGCGCCTATAATCCCAGCTACTCGGGAGGCTAAAGCAGGAGAATCGCTTGAACCTGGGAGGCAGAGGTTGCAGTGAGCCAAGATTGCGCCACTGCACTCCAGCCTGGGCAACAGAGCGAGACTCCATCTCAAAAAAAAAAAAAAAAAAAAGAGAGTCCATTTCTTCACTCACTCAGGGATCACCATGGGAACTGGGAATAGCCTAGCTAATTCCTCTAGCCAATAGAGAGCAATAGAAGTGACATTGTGAGTTCCAAGCCTAGGCCTCAAAAAACCCTACAGCCTCTGCTCTTGCTGTTCTTAGAACCTAGTGCCTGCCATATAAAAACCCCAGGCTAGCCTGCTGCATAATGAAGGATTTTTGGCCTAGCAACCCTGACACCCTGACAGGGTCCAGTTATCCTAGAAGCTTCAGCTGCCAACTCAACCTACCAGCTGGCTACACACATAGGCGAGAACCTAGCAGGATTAGCTGAGCTGGTCCAGACAAAAAGAATTGGCCAACTGACCCACAGAAGAACTAAATAAATAGTGATTGCTTTAAGCCACTAACATTTCAGGTAATTTGCTATTCAGCAAAAAAGATTACATTTAATACAGATTTCATTTAATCTTTTAAAAATTGCAGGTAAAAATATCATTTAACATAGAAGCAACATTCATAAAAAAGAAATTATAGGAAATAAAGATAAATAGAAACACTTTTATAATTAGGAGATTTTAATTTCCACTTCTCAGTCCATGAAAGCTAAGTGGGAAAAATAGGTAAGGACATAAAATATCTAAATAATATAATTATAAAGTAGACTTGATTAATATTTATTGAACTATCTGCCTTAAAAATACAGAATATCCTTTTGAAGGCAATAAAAGTAGAAATTAAATACAAAACCAAATAACAGAAAGGTCTTCTACCTGGAAATTTTAAACCAGTAAGCAAAATTTCAAGAAAGTAATAATAATAACAACACTATTATAAGGTCTGTAAAGTGCAGCTAAAACATTGCTTAGAAAAAAATTTCGGCATTTAACTTATGTCACCAAGATGGCTGACTAAACTCAATCAGGAGGAGTATCTTCCACTAAGGGACCACGACATCAGAAAGACTGGTGCACTCCCAGCAGATCTTCACAGGGAAAGCATTGAGGGTGAATGGAGGGAAGACACAGATGCTGAGTTGAAAGGGGAGGAAGCTGGGAACCCTGTACAAGGCTACCATGCACTGGAATTTGTTCCTGGTCCACAGTGACTCCTGGGGAAGAGGTGAGTTGAACTGGCAAGAGCAACCGCTCTCACCATAGTCCTCCGGCATCCTGGCAGGAGGAGACCCCTTAGCCACCACACACACTTGAGTTGTCAGGGAGAACTGCTTAGACAAGTGGTAGGGGCAGAACTCCAGCTGGTGCGGAGCCCAGAGGGTCTGGTGTGGGAGTGGCTACAGTGGAGCACAGCCAGGGACACCCATTCCCCTAGGCTGGACTTGTGCCTAGGAGACTTTTAGTCTTAGGGGAAAAGTTAGATCTGAACTCTGCAGGATGGTACTACCTGCAAGATGGGGCCAGTCTGACCTGAGCACCCCTCAGTCTGCTGGCATCTCCTGGGGCCCCAGCTTGGCCATGCCTGCTTGCGGTGCAGCCTCCAGGTAGCTCCTGGGGGCCCACATCATAGCTCCTGTGCTGGCTGACCACACCTGACTGGTAGAGTGTACCAGCAGAGAAGCCCCCATAGACACACACCAGCCTACCCACGCCCTCCCTGTACTGCAGCCTCCCACCTGCCACTTTGCCTGCATACACTCAACCACGGCCACCCCCAACATCCCTTGGCCGGCACAGCTGTGCACCAGTGGACCTTACTTTTCCTTCCCCACCAACACATGTGTGCACGTGCACCTGACCATGTCACTGCTGCCAGTGTGAGGGCACTCTGCCCCTCTCCCCTTGCCACACTGCCATTGTTGTCTGTTGGCAGGCAGGGAACCTACCAGCCCCACCCCTACTAGCTGCTCCCCACCCCCACCACCCCACCAGCACCCTGTGCCTGTGCTAACACTGCTGCCAGCACAAAACTAGGCAAAAAGAACAGTAAAGCCGTCCTGGCTCTGAACAGTCACTGCCACTGACTCGAATGTGCGCATAGGATACACACTGTCCTGCTCCCACTAGTGCCCTGCCTCTATCCTAACACCACCATCAGCAAGAACGGACACCCAGTAGCTGGTGAAGGGGACAGCACCACCCCAACCATGCTGCTAATGCGACTACTGTGAACATCCACATGAAAGCCAGTACCCCAGCACATACTAGCACCTTGCCCCAGCTGATGAGTGTGCAGTGCACTGCACTGCCCTTGCCACTGTTGCTGGTATATGTGAATGAAGACAGATTCCACTGCCACTGCCCTTTGAAGTGCTTTGGCTGGCACCACCCATTAGAGTGTTGTGACCAGCAGTCTGGGAGTACCTGGGCCCCTCCAACACAGCAGGTTTCTAACCTTAAGGAGCCAGAGAACAAAGCCAGTCTTGATATCAGTACCCCAGGGTTAGAGAATACAGCCTAGGAGTCCTGAGCTGAGCCTTGGCCCCCTAAAATCTTCCAATAACAAAGCCAGTTGACTGAGTTCACTTTATACCACAAACCCCCAAGGTCATCAAATAGAATTAAAAAAAAAAACCATCCAAAGGACAGCAACTTCAAAGATTGAAGGAATATTAGCCCACAAAGATGAGAAAGAACCAGCACAAGAACTCTGACAACTCAAAAAACCAGAGTGCCTTCTTTCCTCCAAGCAACTGCACTAGTATTCCAGCAAAGGTACTTAACCAGGCTGAGATGGCTGAAACAATAACAATGGAATCAAAAATATGGAATCTGGTTGGGGATGAAGATCACTGAGGTTCAAGAAAACGTTGAAACCCAATCTAAGGGAGCTAAGAATCCTAATAAAGTGATACAGGAGCTGACAGACAAAATAGCCAGTAGAGAAAAGAATGTAACTGACTTGATAGAGCTGAAAAACACACTTCAAGAACTTCATAATGCAATCACAAGTATTAACAGAATGATAGACCAAGATAAGGAAACAATCTCAGAGACTGAACACCGGCTTTCTGAAATAAGGCAGTCAGACAAAAATAAAGAGAACAGAATGCAAAGGGACAAACAGAACCTCTGAGAAATACAGGATTATGTAAAGAGACCAAATTTATGACTCATTTGTATCCCTGAAAGAGATGAGGAGAATGGATGCAATTTGAAAGACATATTTCAGGATATTATCCATGAGAACTTCCCCAACATAGCTAGAATGGCAAATATTCAAGTTCAGAAAATTCAGAGAACCCTCACAAAATACTTCACAAGAAGGCCATCATGAAGACATATAATCATCAGACTCTCCAAGCTCAAAATGAAAGAAAAAATGTTAAAGGCAGCAAGAGAGAAAGGACAGGTCGTATACAAAGGGAAGCCTATCAGGCTAACAGTAGACCTCTCAGCAGAAACCCTACAAGCCAGAAAAGATTGGGGGCCTATATTCAACATTCTTAAAGCAAAGAAATTCCAACCACAGCTTTCATATCCTGCCAGACTAAGCTTCATAAGCAAAGGAGAACTAAAATCTTTTTCAGATGAGCAAATTCTGAAGGAATTTGTTACCACCAGACCTGCCTTACAAGAGCGCCTGAAAGAAGTGCTAAATATGAATAGGAAAGACCATTATTGGCCACTGCAAAAACACATGAATACACAGACCATTGACACTATAAAGCAACCACACAAACAAGATGACATAATAATCAGCTAATGACACAATAACAGGATCAAATCCACACATATCAATACTAACCTTGAATGTAAATGGCATAAATATCCTGATTAAAAGGCACAGAGTGGCAAGCTGGATAAAGAAGAAATACCCAATCGTATGTTGTCTTCAAGAGACCCATTTCACATGCAATGACACACATAGGCTCAAAATAAAGGGATGGAGAAAAATCTGCCAACCAAGAGGAAAACAGAAAAATAATAAAGGGGTTGCAATCCTAATTTCAGACAAAACAGACTTTAAATCAACAAATATCAAAAAAGACAAAGAAGGGTATTACAAGTGGTGAAGGGTTCAATTCAGCAAGAAGACCTAACCATCTTAAATATATATGCACCCAACACAGAAGCACCCAAATTCATGAAGGAAGTTCTTAGAGATCTTCAAAGAGACTTAGACTCCCACACAATAATAATGAGAGAATTCAACACCCCATTGACAGTATTAGACAGATCATTGAGTCAGAAAATTAACAAAGATATTCAGGACCTGAACTTAACACTGGACCAAATGGATCTAATAGACATCTACAGAACTCTTCACCCAAAAACAACAGAATATACATTCTTCTCATTGCCACATGGTACATACCAAAATCAACCACACAATCAGACAAAAAACAATCCTCAGCAAATGCAAAAGAAGCAAGATCATACCAACAACTCTTTCAGACCACAGGGCAATAAAAATAACATTCAAGACTAAAAAAGTAGCTCAAAACCATACAATTACATGGAAATTTAAAAACCTGTTCCTAAAAGACTTTTAGATAAATAATGAGATTAAGGCAGGAATCAAGAAGTTATTTGAAACTAATGAGAACAAAGATACAATATACCAAAATCTCTGTGACACAGCTAAGGAAGTGTTAAAAGGAAAATTTATGGCACTAAATGCCTATATCAAAAAGTTAGAAAGATCTCAAGTTAACAACCTAATATCACAACTAAAAGAACCAGAGAAGCAAGAGCAAACCAACCCCAAAGCTAGCAGAGACAAGGAATAAGCAAAATCAGAGCTTAACCAAAGGACACTGAGACACAAAAAAATCCATTCAAAAGATCAACAAAGCCAGGAGTTGGTTTTTGAAAAAAAATAATAATAAGATAGATAGACTGCTAGCTATATTAATAAAAAAGAAAAGCAAGAAGATCAAAATAAACACAATTAGAAATGACAAAGGAGATAATACCACTGACCCCACAGATATACAAATAACTATTAGAGAATATTATGAACACCTCTATGCACACAAACTACAAAATCTAGAGGAAATGGATAAACTCCTGGACACATAAACTGTCCCAATACTGAACCAGGAAGACTGAACAGACCAACAATGAGCGCCAAAATTGAATCAGTAATAAATAGCCTACCAACCAAAAAAAGCCCAGGACCAGATGGATTCACAGCTGAATTTTACCAGATGTACAAAAGAGCTGGTACCATTTCTACTGAAACCATTCCAAAAAATTGAGAAGGGATCCCTCCCCAACTCATTCTATAAGGCCATCATCATTCTGCTACAAAAGCCTGGCGGAAACACAACCAAAAAAGAAAACTGAAGGCCAAAATCCTTGATGAACATTGATGCAAAAATCCTCAACATAATACTAGCAAACTGAATTCAGCAACACATCAAAAAGCTAATCCACCATGATCAAGTAGGCTTTATTCCTGGGATGCAAGGTTGGTGCAACATACACAAATCAATTAATGTGATTCATCATATAAACAGAACTAACAACAAAAACCACATGATTATCTCAAAAGATGCAGAAAAGGCTTTCAATAAAATTCAGTATCCCTTCATGTTAAAAACTCTCAATAAACTAGGTATTGAAAGGACATACCTCAAAATAATAAGAACCATATATGACAAACCCACAGCCAACATCATACTGAATGGGCAAAACCTGGAAGCATTCCCCTGAAAAATCAGCACAAGACAAAGATGCCCTCTCTCACCACTCCTATTCAACATGGTGTTGGAAGTCCTGGCCAGAACAATCAGACAAGAGAAAGAAATAAAGGGCATCCAAATATGAAGGTAGGAAGTCAAGCTACCCTTGTTTCCAGATGACATGATTCTATATCTAGAAAACCCCACAGTCTCAGACCAAAAGCTCCTAAAGCTGATAAAAAACTTCAGCAAAGTCTCAGATTACAAAATCAATGTACAAAAATCACTAGCATTCCTAGCTAAGAACAAACTGAAAGCCAAATCGGGAATGCAATCTCATTCACAATTGCCACAAAGAGAATAAAATATCTAGGAATACAGCTAACCAGGGAGGTGAAAGATCTCTACAATGAGAACTACAAACTCAAGGAAACAGAGGTGAAACAAATAAATGGAAAAATATTCCATGTGCATGGATAGGAACAATCAATATTATTAAAATGGTTATGCTGCCCTAAACAATTTACATATTCAATGCTATTCCTATCAAACTACCAATGACACTCTTCACAGAACCAGGAAAAAAACTATTCTAAAATTCATAGAGAACCAAAAAAGGGCCTGAATAGCCAAGGCTATCCTAAATAAAAGAACAAAGCAGGAGGCATCATGTTACCTGACTTCAAACTGTACTACAGGACTACAGTAACCAAGACAGCATGGCAGTGGTACAAAAACAGACACAGAGGCCAATGGAACACAATAGAGAGCCCAGAAATAAGGCTACAGCCTTATACACCTATAACCATCTGATCTGTAACAAAGCTGAAAAAAAGCAAGCAATGAGGAAAGGACTCCCTATTCAATAAATAATGCTGGAATAACTGGCTAACCACATGCAGAAGATTGAAACTGAACCCTTTCCATACACCATATACAAAAATCAATTCAAGATGGGTTAAAGGCTTAAATGCAAATCCCAAAACTGTAAAAATCCTGGAAGACAACCTAGGCAATACCATTCTGGACACAGGAATGGACAGAGATTTCATAATGAAGACATCAAAAACATTTGCAACAAAAGCAAAAATTGACAAATGGTATCTAATTAAACTAAAGAGCTTCTGCACAGCAAAAGGAACTATCAACAGAGTAAACAGACCACCTACAGAATTGGAGAAAGTATTTGCAAACTATGCATCGGACAAAGGTCTAATATTCACCATCTATCAAGAACTTACACAAATTTAGATTAAAAAAACAAATAACTTCATTAAAAAGTGGGCAAAGAACATAAACAGGCACTTTTCAAAAAAAAAAAAAATACATGCAGCCAACAAGCATAGGAAAAAAAGCTCGGCTGGGCACAGTGGCTCATGCCTGTAATCCCAACATTTTGGGAGCCCAAGGCTAGCAGATTTCTTGAGTCCATGAGTTCAGTGTCAGCCTGGGCAACATGGTGAAACCCCATCTCTACAAAAAAAATACAAAAATTAGCTAGGTGCGGTGGCACGAACCTATAGTCCCAGCCACTTGGGAGGCTGAGGAGGGAAGACTGCTTGAGTTTGGGAGGCAGAAGTTACAATCAAGAGATCACAACACTGCCCTGCAGCCTGGGCAACAGAGCGACACCATGTCTCTCAAAAAAGAAAAGAAAAGAAAAGAAAAGAAAAGAAAAGAAAAGAAAAGAAAAGAAAAGAAAGCTCAATATCGATATCACTGATCATTAGAGAAATGCAAATCAAAGCCACAATGAGATACCATCTCACACCAGTCAGAATGGCTATTATTAAAAAGTCAAAAAAAAACAGATGCTGGTGAGGTTGCAGAGAAAAGGGAACACTTATACACTGTTGGTGGGAGTGTAAATTAGTTTAACCATTGTGGAAAGCAGTGTGGCAATTGCTCAAAAAGCTAAAAATAGAACTATCATTTAACCCAGCAATCCCATTACTGGGAACATACCCAAAGAAATATAAATTATTCTATCATAAAGACACATGCATCCCTATGTTCATTGCAGCACTATTCACAATAGCAAAGACATGGAATCAACCTAAATGTCCATCAAAGGTAGATTGGATAAAGAAAATGTGGTACATGTACACTATGGAATACTATGCAGTCATAAAAAGGAACAAGATCATGTCCTTTGCAGGGACATAGAGGTAGTTGGAAGCCATTATCCTCAGCAAACTAATGCAGAAACAAAACCAAATACAACATAGTCTTACTTATAAGTGGGAGCTAAATGATGAGAACACATGGACACAAAAGGGAACAACAGACACTGAGGACTATCGGAGAGTGGAGTGTGAGAGGAGGGAGAGGATCAGAAAAAATATTGGGTACTAGGCTTAGTACCTGGTGACAAAATAATCTGTACAACAAACCCTCATGACATGAGTTTACCTATATAACAAACCTGCACATGTATTCCTGAACCTAAAATAAAAGTTTAAAACAATTAATTAATTAATTTAATTAAGTGAATGGACAACCTCTATAACCTCTGGTATAGCTATATAACTGTGTACTACTCAGCAATATTAAGGAACAAACAATTGATATGAACAACAATAATGTATCTCAAAATCAATATGCCAAGTAAAAGAAGCCAGATGAAAAAGAGTACAGACTGCACGATTACAATGACATAGAATTCTAGAAAGTGTAAACTGACCGACAGTGACAAGCAGTATATCAGTGGTTATCTGGGGATGGGGATGGAGAAAGGATGGATTACAACAGGGTAATGAAAATTAAATGTCATCCTGATTTTGGTAATGGTCTCACCAGTATATGTAGATACATGTTAAAACTCATAAGACTGTATACTTTTTAAAAAGTCAATGAAAAATCATTTAAATATTTAAAATATGACTCAGAAATTGAGAAAAAGAATATCAAAATAAACCAATAGAAAACAAAAGGAAGGAATTATTTTTTTTAAAAAAAAAAGGAAAATTTACTCTGATTTAGAAAACAGAAAAATTGTAAAAATTAAATAAATAATCTTTTAAGTAAAATAAACCACTAGCAAAACTAATCAGGGAAAAAAGATGAAGTGAAAATACTTTAAATAAAATTATTTTAAAAGCGGGCAAACACCAAAAGCAATGGCAACAAAAGCCAAAACTGACAAATGGAATCTAATTAAACTAAAGAGCTTCTGCACAGCAAAAGAAACTACCATCAGAGTGAACAGGCAACCTACAAAATGGGAGAAAATTTTTGCAATCTACTCATCTGACAAAGGGCTAATATCCAGAATCTACAATGAACTCAAACAAATTTACAAGAAAAAAACAACCCCATCAAAAAGTGGGTGAAGGATATGAACAGACACCTCTCAAAAGAAGACATTTATGCAGCCAAAAGACACATGAAAAAATGCTCATCATCACTGGCCATAAGAGAAATGCAAATCAAACCCACAATGAGATACCATCTCACACCAGTTAGAATGGCGATCATTAAAAAGTCAGGAAACAGGTGCTGGAGAGGATGTGGAGAAACAGGAACACTTTTACACTGTTGGTGGGACTGTAAACTAGTTCAACCATTGTGGAAGTCAGTGTGGCGATTCCTCAGGGATCTAGAACTAGAAATACCATTTGACCCAGCCATCCCATTACTGGGTATATACGCAAAGGATTATAAATCATGCTGCTATAAAGACACATGCATACCTATGTTTATTGCGGCACTATTCACAATAGCAAAGACTTGGAACCAACCCAAATGTCCAACAATGATAGACTGGATTAAGAGAATGTGGCACATATACACCATGAAATACTATGCAGCCATAAAAAATGATGAGTTCATGTCCTTTGTAGGGACATGGATGAAGCTGGAAACCATCATTCTCAGCAAACTATCGCAAGGACAAAAAACCAGACACCACATGTTCTCACTGATAGGTGGGAATTGAACAATGAGAACACATGGACACAGGAAGGGGAACATCACACACCGGGGCCTGTTGTGGGGTGGGGGTAGAGGGGAGGGAGAGCATTAGGAGATATACCTAATGTTAAATGAAAAGTTAATGGGTGCAGCACACCAACATGGCACATGTATACATATGTAACCAACCTGCACGTTGTGCACATGTATCCTAAAACTTAGAGTATAATAAATAAAATAAAAGCAGGCAAAGGAGAGAGGAAACAGAGGAAATTTTAAAAGATTCATAATAAATCACTTTACTTAACACCAAGCAAATAAATTTGAAAACTTGGACGAAACGAATAATTTTCTAAGAAAGCATTAGCTACAAAAACTGAAGGAAAAAAAAACCTAAACAGAGTAATATCAATATAAGAAATGAAGATAAAAGCTAAGTCCCCCAACTCCCAAATAAACCTCCAGGCTCAAATGGTTTCAGAATACTATTTTTCTATTTTTATTTTTATTTTTATTTTTTTGAGATGGAGTTTTGCTCTTGTTGCCCAGGCTGGAGTGCAATGGTGCGATCTTGGCTCACTGCAACCTCCACCTCCCAGGTTCAAGCAATTCTCCTGCCTCAGCCTCCCGAGTAGCTGGGATTACAGGCATGCACCAGCACGCCCAGCTAATTTTGTATTTTAGTAGAGACGGGGTTTCTCCATGTTGGTCAGGCTGGTCTCAAACTCCCGACCTCAGGTGATCCGCCCACCTCAGCCTCCCAAAGTGCTGGGATTACAAGCATGAGCCACTGCACCCAGGCTTCAGAATACTTTTTTTTTTTTTTTGAGACGGAGTCTCACTCTGTAGCCCAGGCTGGAGTGCAGTGGCGCGATCTCGGCTCACTGCAAGCTCCGCTCCCCGGGGTTCACGCCATTCTCCTGCCTCAGCCTCCCGAGTAGCTGGGACTACAGGCGCCCGCCACCGCGCCCGGCTAATTTTTTGTATTTTTAGTAGAGACGGGGTTTCATCGTGTTAGCCAAGATGGTCTCCATCTCCTGACCTCGTGATCCGCCCTCCTCGGCCTCCCAAAGTGCTGGGATTACAGGCGTGAGCCACTGCGCCCGCCTCAGAATACTTTTAACAAATTTTTACATTTAAAATTTGTAAAGATAAATATCTCTAATTGCATATATACTGTTTCAGAGCATTAAAAAGGAAAAAAATCCTAATTTTTATTAAACAAATATGTTAACACTGATGTCAAAATTCAGAAGACATTAGAGGAAAAAAAACTACAGACCAATCTTCCTTGTATGTATAATAAAAATACCTATGTGTTATTTTAGCAGTACATTTAAAACAGAACATTAGAAAAAATGATCCACTAAGACCAAATTGGGTTTACTCCAATAATGTAAGAATAATTCAGGATTATTAATGTAATTCACCTATTATAATTCATCATATGCATATATCTGAGGAGAAAAAAATCATATAATCATCTCCCTGGATGCTAAAAAGACAAAATTCAAAATCATTCCTAATTTTTAATAATTAATAATGTAAGTATAGATAAGAAAATATTCTTTGCCCAAAGTCAGCATTATGCATAACTGAGGAATTCCCACTAAAGACAACAGGAGAAGAAAAATGATCACTATGCCTACTATGATTTAACATCGTACTGGAGTTAGCAGCCAAGGCAACTGAATATAAGAACAAAATTTGAAGATAAAAATTAGGAAAGAAGACAGTAAATTTTCACTCTTTGCAGATGATATTATTGCATATCTTGGAATATAAGAGCATCAACTAGAAAACTATTACAAACAATAAGAGAATTGAGTAAATTAGCAGGGTAAAAAGTTATATAGGAATCAGTGGTTTTCACATACACAAAAGTCAACAAATTAAAAGATATAATGGGATAAAAGACCCCATTAGCAATTAGCAACCTATATATGTGTGTGTGTATATATACACATTCATGTGTGTGTGTGTGTGTGTGTGTGTGTGTGTGTGTGTGTGTGTGTGTATGGGGTCATTTACATATATATGTAAATAATAAATGTAGCAAGAAATTTATTAAATCAATGGAATAATGCACCTTTAAGGGGCACAGATGGACAGGTCTTGAAGAGAAAGTCTCCAAATCACAAAGATGTTTTTATTATTTTTACTTAATGTATATATGAAATACAACAATTAAAAATACTAATAGTTTTTTATAGATAAGCAGATTCCAAAGTATATGGAAAAATATACATATAGGTGAGAAACCACTGAAAAAGAAGAGTAATGAAGATGAATTAGCCCAACAAATACTGAAACATATTAAAACACCACCGTAATTTAAAGAGTATGGTGCTTGTATGTAAATAACAGACCAAAAAAAAATAGAACAGTAAGTCCACAGGTAGGCCCAAATAATTATGTAATTTTAATTTATGACAAAACATTATCACAAACCAGTGGTAAAAAGATAAACTATTCAACAGATGATTTTAAGACAACTAGGTATGCATCTGAAAAAAAAAATCAGGTTATATCAATATCTCAAATCATGTTCTAAGAAAATTGTCCAAGAGATGAAATAATTAAATATAAAAAAATGAAACTCTCAAAGTAACAGAAGAAAACATAGAAAAATTATTTTACGGTATGTGTGTGTATAGGGCCTAAGAACAACTCAGAATGCCAGAGATCATAAAAGCAAATACTGGTGAATGTAAATGATCAGTCCAGCCCCCGGGTTCTACAGTTCCTTGACCTCCCCTCCTCCCACTATCTTGTTTAACACCCTGCTTTGGCTATTCACTCCATAGGTACCTCCACCTTGTAATTTCCAATAATTACAACCTCTGTATAATCTCAATTCCAAGAACCTACTCTCTGTGCTGCAGTGAACCTAGCAGCTTTATTGTAACCATCCTTGGAACCCTCCAGGCCCTACTGATTGCACTGCCTGTTCATTGACTCTTGCCTCTCATATCTTCACTGAACTTACCCACTTAAAATCTAGGATCAATCATTATACTCTCTCTCTCAAATAAGCCCTCAAACCCCTTGCCCTCTCTTTCTTCATCACACTTTGAACTTATGTCACAGTGGTTAAATCTAGCTGCTTATCTGTTCCACACTTGAACCAGGGAAGCTGAACCTGGCTCAGAAACCATTTAACCATGCTAAGTGTTCTCACTTTAATTCATGACTCATGATCACTAAGCTCCAGTAAGCAATGATGCTCGCCAATGATATGATTAACCTATTCCATTTGATCTTCCACTCTCTAAGACAGCTATTCTATCCCTTCTCCTTTCTCCTCAAACTTCCAACTCCTTCTCTACTGCTGTCCCTCTCAGCTGATGGCTTTGCTTCTATTTCACTGAGAAGACAGAAACAATAAAAAGAGAACTTTGATAATCTTCATATATAAATACCTACCTTCATTAATCCCCATATCCTCTACTCTTTTCCCTATTCCTATGTATAAGCTGTCTGTGTTCCTAATGCCAGCCCTTAACTAGGGCTATGGATTAGAGTCCGTGATTCCTTATTGAGTAATTCTTCCCTTTCAGCAGCAGCATCTATTCCCCTCTATCTGAGTCTCTCCCAGCAGTGCATAAATCTGCTGTCATTTGTCTTGAATATCTCCTCTCTATAGCCAACTCCCTTGGAGATGTCACTCAGTCTCCTGCCTGCAAATACATAGTGATGATTCACAAATGTACGTATCTCTAGATCAGAACTCTCACCTGCACACCAGACCCTGGCTTCCTATTTAACGTTTTTACTTGGATATCTAATCAGCGCCTTCAAATTTAACATGTAAAAACTGTTCCTATTTTTCCCCTACCCCTATTAAAATTGTTAGTCTATCCTTCCAGTTATCAAACCAATAAATTCAGAGTTATCCTTGATCTGTCCTCCACAACTGTAATCCAATCTATCAGCGAATCTTGCAAGCTCTATCTTCAACATATCTATGCAGCACTCCTTCTCATTGCCCAACTATTACCACTCCAGTCTAGGCCACCATTAGCTCTCACCATTGGCTCTCAATTACTGTGGTAGCCTGTTAACTGATCTTCACACATCTACCTTCGTCCTCTTCAGTTTTTTTCTCCACAAAGCCAAAGTAAATCTGTTAAAATCTAACTCAAATCAGATCACGTTTCCCTAAAACCCTCCAAAGCTATGGTTCCCAAACTGTGTTCCAAGGAACCCTGGGGCCCTGCAGTGAACTCCCTGGGGTGCTTTGAGATGTCTTAAATTTTTCAGAGAGAAATCCAGAGATACTCAATATCCTTTGGATACAAGGTGAGCTAGATCACACTACATTTTTTTATGAAGTCATATCTTTGCAAAGCATATTTTAAGCATGATTTAAGCATATTTTGCTCTGATAAAAAGCACGTCCCTCTGAAAAGAAACAATGTGGAACAGAAAATGAGTATGGCAGTATCCAATCTGATTCCAAAGTTTGAGAGTCTGCGCTATAAGCAAGGGATGCAGACATCATATTAATAAATGTGATTAGTTAAGAATGAAATTAAAATGTTCTTCAATTTATGTGTTTTTTAAAAATAGCTAATAAGTTGTTAGGACAAATAAATACCAAGTTCTCTGCTCATAACTATTTAATAAATAACACTGCTAGGTCTCTCTTTTGGCCTAGAAGTATGATGAAAAATTCCAGATTAAGTGGCCCTAAATTGATTAAAAAAAAAAAAAAACTTGGTGTGATTAAAGAACTGAAAATTATCAGTGTGCCTGAAGCAGGGAAGAGTGACTGACAAGCAGTTTGGAGAGGGAGCCAGGGCCAGATCTTGCAGAACAGCAGAGCATCAGAAGCCATAGTGGGGAATTTTAATGCTATGCTAAGAGCAATTGGAGGCTTGAGGTTATTTTAAGCAGATGAGTAATTTGACCAGACTTACAATTTTAAATGATCAAGCTGCTCGATGGAGACTGTGTTGGGGAAAGATGAGAAGGAGAAGTGGAGAACCTATCAGGCTATCATCTAGTCCAGAGAACTTGGTGGCTTGAACTCTGTGGGGCAGTGGAGGTGGAAGGGAAGGGAGACCAGCAGTACTTTGTAGGTAAAATTTATAAGGCTTGGCGAGAGATTGCATGAAAGGGGTAAGGGAAGCAGGTGTATCAAGAATGACTCCTAAACTTCTGGCTTGAGCAAGTGGGTGCGCCTACCTGAAATAAAGATAGGGAGGAACTAGTTTCAGGCAGAATAGCACGGCTTAGGTTTATTTTTTTTTATTTTTATTTATTTATTTTTGGAGAGGAGTCTCGCTCTGTCACCCAGGCTGGAGTGCAAGTGGTGCTATCTCAGCTCACTGCAACCTCCGTCTCCCGGGTTTAAGCAATTCTCCTGCCTCAGCCTCCCAAGTAACTGGGACTACAGGAGCACGCTACCACGCCCAGCTAACTTGTTGTATTTTAGTAGAGGTGGGCTTTCACCATGTTGCCCAGGCTGGTCTCGAACTCCTGAGCTCAAGCAATCTACCCGCCTTGGCCTCCCAAAGTGCTAGGATTACAGGCATGAGCCACCATGCCTGGCCGACAGCTTAAGTTTAGATGTTTTAAATTTAAGATACTTATTTACAATTAAATTTAAAAGGTGATATCTTAAATTGTAAGTATCTTGGAAGATACTTACAATTTAAGATGACAGTAGGCAGGTATTTAGGTTTGAATATGAAATTAATATCCCTTTCCCTAAATATGGCATGACTGTCCATTCCCCCTCAGTCTTTGTCTGACGGAGTTATTCTTATCTCTAGCAATACTCTTAGCATATACAATCACATCCAGGCCCAACTCAAAGGCATCCTGCCAAGACAGCATATTAGGGGCTCCATCTGGAAGTGTGCACAAAATGTAGTATGCTGTTATAAAACCAGCATTCAGGGTGTCTAGATGGACGCAGGGACAACCATATGTTTTTCAGTTTCCACACTATTCCTTGAAAACAAACTTGCTTCATTGGGCTTTTGCCAGCCAGCCTTCCTAGCCCCTTCCAATTGCTCCTCCCTTAGGGTTGCACATTGTTCTTATTTCAATTGCTGTTGCTTAGGGTCTTACAGAAAACCAAGCAAACCACTAAAATATGACCCTGTTCCCCACTGACTTTGAATTTTACTGCAGCCTGGATCCCTCTGCTATAATGCTACAACTTATCAAGTCACCATGAATTGAAGTAGCTTAAATTAACCCGGAATTTGACACTCCCCTATTGGCACTGTATTTTGGACTGTCTGCCAACTATGAGTGCCAGTTTTTTCTACTTTGACTAATCATTCCACACTTTGGGGTTCTAGCATGCCTCACCCAAACCTGTTTTGTTGATAAAAGTCTCCATGTCTTTTCTCTTTCCTTCTGGAAACCCAGATTTGTCCTTTAAAATCCCACTCAGGCACCAGCAGCACCTTCATTTATTCTCTCTTGGGATGGTATTGTTAAACATATTAGAACTAAATATTTCCTCCACATTTCCTTTAGTTGTTTCATAGCATTTCTCTTGATATAGCAGGTACATACGTATTTATGGATTTTTTCCCTTTATGCTAGATATTTCAGTAATTTGGCCTCTACTAAATAAATCCCGCCATCATGTAGTCATTTGTATTGATTTGTGCTTATATACAGCCAACTCTATTTGCATAAATGACTACAATACACAGAAGTTTTGATTACTATTACAATTACTGAATTGCTTTCTTGTAATTGTGGTAGTAACCATTTTAAGGTTGATATTCCAATTTCTACATATGTTTAGTTTCTCTACCTATGTCTTACTTATTTCTATTAAATTAGACAGTTTCTCTCCAAAGCTACATATGTCTTACACTTATTTCTATTAAATTAGATGTGTGCTTATTAGACAGTTTAATAAAGCAGAGGAACAACCTCTGCTTTATTAAAACTTTCCATAGCAGAATGCACTTTCCTGCAGCAAGAATCCTTTGATCCACTTTGGACACATTCCAGCATATTGTGTAGCACCTCTGTTAAAATACTATTTTTGTTTTTTTTTTTGAGACAGGGTCTCGCTCTGTCACCCAAGCTGGAGTGCAGTGGTGTAATCATAGCTCACCGCAGCCTAGAACTCCCGGGCTCAAGCAGCAATCCTCATATATCACCCTTCTGAGTAGCTGGGACCACAAGTGCACAATACCACATCCCGCTAATTTATTTTTTTATTTTTTTAATACATATGGGGTCTCCCTATGTTCCTAAGGCTGGTCTCAAATTCCTAGGCTCAAGCAATCCTTCTACCATGGCCTCCCAAAGTGCTGGGATTATAGGCATAAGCCACCACACCTATCCTAAAATATTCTTGAAGTCATGCTTACTGTGCTACATCAATTTGTTTCAGCCCACAACTGAGGATCAATCTTAGAAATGTTATTTACTCATTTGCCGTAACTTATTGCCTTAATTACATATCACTTGCAATGTCATCCACCCTAAAGCTAAGCTTTCATGTACTGTCTGGTTCTTAGTTTATCAGAACACATTAATATCTATAAACTTTTCCCTTTGCACTTGATCTTTTAATAATTTGATCTCTTCTGAATGAAACAATTCATCAGGTTTTGTATTTGTATTGATTTCAACTTACGTCCTTGTCACTTCATCACTCAAATGCTTTCTAATCTACTAGATTCTTAAAGGCTTGTTTAAATGCTGGCATATCTTTTGAAATCATTCAAGTATAAAAAAAATTCTAGGATTCTCATTCCCAATTTTTGTTTTACCCTCTTCTTAGTGGTTTCTGTGTCAAACAGAAGCAAGAAGGATTAAGTTCCTTAAATTATTCCTAATTTCTATTCATTTTTCTAAAGAATATGTTAGTAACTCCTACAGGTCTCAATGTCTTGAAGTATTGACAGTTGATCATTAATGTCTATTTGGTAGGTACCATTTCTTCCCTACAGTGTATTTTTATAAAATTGCTTGCTTCTGCCCAATAGTCTCTAACTTACCATCAGCTGGAATGAACGATTTTTACCCTGTTCAACTCTACATGTCCCAAGGCACTAAGGAAAATAGGCTCTTCAAATGAAAACAGCTCAGACAATATTTGTTGAATTAAGTCATTAGATGTATTGAAGGAAATGCTCACAGGCCCAAGTCTCTTAAATTAATGCGAATAGCTCTTCTGTGGTAGCTCTCTGGTCCCTAAATTGATCTATTTTCTTAGTTTTCTATTATAGCTCCACTTAGAACACACAATCAATAAAAAATAAGTAGCCCAGCCCAGCCAGGAAGTACTTGACAAAAAATTAACTCTAGGCAAACAGAACTCAAGGAGTCACTATATATAGTTAAAATCACCTAGCCATATTCTTAACTCTTTTAAATCTTTATGTGTTAAAATAATAAAGTTTGTTTAGATACCATCTAACTGAAAGTTTGTTTTTATAAAATTCCATCTCTTAGTTCCATCTTTTTAAAAAAATTATTCAAGTTTTGATGTTTATTCTAAGACTCAGTGATACTATGATTTCATATACTTTTTATTGTTCATTTGCTGGAATAAAGAGAGGAAAATTTTATTCCTTAGGATGAAATGCTTTCTGCTGGAACAGAATTGTTTTTCTCATTCAAATCTTTCAGTGCTTTATGAGATTTAATGGCAATAAAATAGCTGCACCTGCATTTTTGTAGGAATGAAAAATACAAGTGAAACTGAACTGAGTTTGACCCATGGGGGTCAAACAGGAAAAATTCATTTGACACCATTAGCTTTGGGGTCCCATGTGAGCATGTAAAACACATTGTACTTCCCTGTCTGAGAGCATAATCAGAATCTATCCATACAATGCCAAACATGTGGAACATGAGCAACCCAATCAATTAGTCACCTAACATTTAGTCTGGATGATGCCAAACATCTGGATACTTGGAAATATCCAAATGAATGGGTGAACTTTTCACTTTTCTTCCGAATTTTTTTGGCAGCATATGAACACAGCCAAATGTGGGCACTTTGAATTGTGTTGTTATTTTTAGGCAACAGGTTCCAAAATCTCTTAAAAGACCTAGCTCCTCAATAGCCAAAGAAAATCTATTTACAATGCAGTCTTTCATGATTAATTTTGATAAAGAATTTATGTGTTAAAACTTACAATGGCAAAAATCAGGGTCATTAAATAATATGTATGTTTATTTAATAGGCTTTAGAGAGCAGAGCATTAATGTTCTGCTTTCCCGGGAAAGTATCTATATTAGGATAATCTGCTTAAGCTTATTATGTACCCCATTTTTAACTCAGCATGCTCCTGTGCCTATCCTCTAATCCTTTCCTTGCTGTCTCAGAGGTTTTTACAAGAGAAATGTGGGACAGATTTATGGCTAAGAGCAGAAAAATGAAGAGGGTAAGGGTGCAACGCCCAAAGGCCAAAGTGGGACAAAGCATTGGCAGTGGCCTCAGATGCAGACTGACATCCAAGTGCTGGCAGAAGATGTTCTGTAGGGAAAGCCCAAGAGGATAGAGAATACCCTCTCCCAATACAAGGACAAAGCCTTCAGGAATGTAGACCAACTCCAAGAAAGTGGGAAGAGAAAGCAAAAAGCCCAGGGTCTGTGACTGAACATTTTAACACTGCTATTCTAATTCTCTTCCTTTTTGTCTTCTCTTCTCCTCTTTCTCCTCCACCTGTTTATCTTCCTTCTCCTCCTCTCTCTCATTCTCTCTCTCTTTCTCTGTATATTCATGTCCCCAAACATAACAGGTCAACTCCACAAATAGAACCTTTTCTTAGGACCCTACCACTCTTCATAACCACCATTCCATAGCTCATTTCTTCCTGGATTAACTCCTCAGGCCCCTGCAGGAACTTCATTGCCTATCCACTGGGCCCTCCTTTACTCCCTGCAGGCCAGTTTCTGTTCCTGCTGTTCAGTATTAGATTTTCCATTAAGCTAAGGAAGCTTAAGCTTCAGGGGCCCTCCCATAAAGGAGTCTACTAGCTGAGGCCCTGGAAGTGGCCCTGGCAATGTGTTCACATAGACATATGTTTTAGTAAAATTGGCGACATGACATGAAGTTGCAGGGTCAGAAGTTGTATTGTAATAGAGCAACTGACACCAGAATTGTGTTGAAATGGAGGAGAATCAAGATTTGGAAGGTTCAGAGCCAGAAACTAATCAGTAGAAAGTTACAAATGGAACATTCCCTTCTCATTGATGCTTAGTCAAAATAAATTTCTCCTTTATCAACAAATGCTTGATCAACATGACACATACAATTTAAGGAACATTATGTATTTCTTCCTTTTAATGGAGATCATAATGAATGAAATTAATCAGAATCCCCATTCGTGGGGCACACATCTATAGCAGTGCAATGAATACTAATATGTCTGCTTGAATTAACATGTTTTATGCATCCCAAATTATTGGATAGTATCTCAGGATATCTGATGCACTTTATCCTTATTAAAGACTAGATGTTGTACTCAATGCTGCCCACAGATTGCCACCAACACAGATAAATTGCCTGAAGAAACAAGTATTCCAGTGACAAAGCTCCTGCACATATTGCATTAGGAAGTAATCCAGTGGTGGCATAAGAGTAATTTATTCAGAATTATGTTGCTGAATATAATGTGGTTGTAATTTTAAGTACATTTGAATAGCTCCTGCGCATGCCTTAATTTCAAATTAATTTTGTACATTTTCAGAATTATTCATATAAAACATCAAATATATTCTAAAGAAGTATCCCAGTGGAAGCCAAACCTGTTAACCAAAAGAAATAAAATTGGCAGAAACTTCAAAATGTCTTTAAAGTGGAAGACAATTGTACTTTTCAATGTATAATTTGTTATTCCTTTTCTCACTCAATAAATATTCATTTTATTCCTATTCTTTTGCTTAAAGTCCCTAAATAGTATTAGTTTCTGGTTCCACAAACCCTGATTCACCCTGACTTCACCATTGCATTAGCGTTTCACAAATTGAAGTGCCAGAAGCTTCTGCCTCAGAATCACCTGGAGTGCCTGTCAAAATGCAGAATCCCAGACAAAACACTAGATCTATAGAATTACTATCCACAGAGGTCGCTCTGGGACTTGCATTTTTAAAAAGGTCTGTGTGTCATTCTTATGCACACTCAAGATTGAGAGATGCTGCTCTTTTAAAATGTTTTCTCAAAAGTGTCTGATAATCTATATCCTGCCAGCTCCCTTTCTCTAGGTCTCATTCTCCTCATTATTTCCATTATATATGACACTGATGAAGCTCTCTTTTTTTGAAAAGTAGAGCTTGTTTGAGTTATTTCTGGTACTTCTCTGCTTTTGTTTTCTTACCTCTTTTGGGCTTCCACCCACCAAGTGTTGGCACAGCACACCAGGGTCTGATTGTACCCCTCCATTTTTATGAATATTTTCTTGCCCCATTAGTGAACCAATTCACTATCAGACCCAGTTATCACCTGTATAGTTTCCAAGGGCTGCGCAAACTAATTACCAGAAACAGGGTGAGTTAAAACCACCAAAATTTTTTCTCCCATAGTCTGGAGGCCAAAAATCTGAAATTGAAATATCAGCAGGGTGTCTGGAGGCTCAGTGAAGAGCGTGCTGCTGGCCTCTTTTCTATCTTCTGTGGCTGCCTCTCAAATCCCCACCTGGTGTGTGTGCCTCAATTTCTCTCTTCTTATAAGGACACAAGTCATATTGGACTGGGGGCCGCTCTAATCCAATATGACCTCACTACAATTGATTCATCTGCAAAGACTCTATCTCCAAATAAGGTTAAATTCACAGGGTCCAGGTAGATAAGAATTTTGAGGTGACACTATTTAACCTGGTATATCATCCCTGTGGAAATGGATCCTTACAACTTGAGAACTAGTCTTGAAATGCTCCAATATCCCACTAAACTCAAGAAGAAACAAACACAATTCATCAAAGTATCTTCTTCTTTCCATTTGCTATACAAAACCATTCTTGAGTTGTGGATGGACCTTGCACTGCTTCCTCATTTGGACCCTGTTTAACCCAGCATGGGCAGATCAAACCAGGACATTCATTCTACACTACTGAAGAAGTGTATCCATGTAAGTGGGCCATGGGCCAACAACTGTAAACATTGTCTTCATTTCACATGTGTCCTTTATAATGACCTCACAAACTTAGAATGAGTGGTGTCTTGGGACAATCTGGTCATGGTCATTTACTCATAGCTTAAAGAAAATTAATATTTCCTTGTTATATTAATTTATATATATTAATATTTAATATTTCCATGTTATAAAATAATCTTCATTGGGGATTAAACTGCTAAAGTATAGGTATTCATTTGAATTCACCATCTCAATAAAGTTTGCAATGAGTTAATAAAATTCTTTAAGAATAGGAGCACACCATGTCAATATTGTATTTATTATATCCCCTCAAAACTGTAGGGATGACTTCAACTCTATGTTTTAGGGGTAATGATAGCAACTCATTTAGGGACGGTGAACAGTTATTCTTAAAAACTACAAATGGATGTTATCATTTGAAGAAAGAATTATCATAAGTCATATAAGTAGTACACTACTTCCAAGGACTATGATGGACTTTACTGATAATATCATGGTAATCATAATTACATGTTTGGAAAAATAAATATGAAGAGACTAACAGTTTAAGAGATTTGCCTCTGATCACTGAGTCATAGTGTCTTGTAGCTTAAACACTACTCAAAGTGAATCTGGGTGATTGTGGTCATTCTCTAAACATTTTTGTCAATTGCCAAGTAGCTGAAATTTTCTCTAAGTCTTCTTTGGAAAAAGGGACAAAATAAAAATCTCTATGAAATTCTTTAAATGTTCTTCGTTTAAAAAAATAGATGTTTAACATGTTGAACAAGCAGAATATTATAACTACTTCCTTTACATCTGTTGAAATCAATGTTTATTCCGCCTGAACAAATTGTTTAATGTGATAAATAGTTTGAAACAATCTGATAACATTCTGAAATCATTTTTTCCTTCTCTCCATAGAAACAGGAGGAAATAATTTTAAAGGGAAACTGGAAGTATCCAAGGTTGCATGGCTGAATTTTAGTTCAAAATTCAAAATACTCTGGCCCTTAATTTTGTTGTTGAATAAGTGTCCCTCATAAAGGATTCTATATCTAAGTAGCAATATTCCAAGCAATTACACAGAGTTACAAGGGCATTCATTGCTCACAAGATTAGAAATGGGATATTTGCACAGGTAATTAAAATGGATTGTGGACTCATCAAAGGTTATTTTGAAATGATCTGCGGAAAGGGTACAGTTTTCTGTCACTCACTTAGAAATTATTCCCTCAGCCTCCTCAAACACTTGCCAGTTAATTTTTTTAAAGGCAATTCAAGAGCCAAAAAGGGGTCTTGAATATAATTTTTAGACATAAAAAGAATTACAGAATGAATTTACAATGAATAAATTTTGCTGGGCTTCCAAACTGTGCTTTTTGTAGTTTGAACACAGAAGTAAGGGGTAGCCATATGGCATGGGCCACCCTTCTCCAATACAAAAAGTTATTAAATCTCCTGGAGTTGGCTAAAGGAAACCATAATTATTTTCAAATGGAAAAAAGCCACAAATTTCCTTCTCCTCTCCTTACAGATCATTTTCTTATCCCAAGTTACATATTTTCAACTTCATCACACATCAGAATGTTAGGTCAAACCCCCATCTTAAGCATATTAAAATTCTTTCCTACCGTGAACCTGTGGCACAAAAAAGACTGCTATTTCAGTATCATGAGTATTTTATAATTGCATAGTGGGTTTCCTATCAGTTGTTTTTCAGTGTCAACATGCACCACTGAGAGCACATATACTACCTATTATAACTGTCTTCAAGAAACAGCTAAAACTCTGTCTCCTGTCCATATCTACTAGCATTTCCACAGAACATTTTCAGCGTTTCCCTACTATCTCTGATGAAGTATCAGCACCATTAAATGGAGATATTTAGACATGAATGAAGCCAAAACGAATTTTTCTATTAAGGGGTCATGATCTGATTTTCTCAATCCTGATCTTCATTTTATTTACTCTGAACCACACTGTTTTCCTATAGGTGCACCATGGATACTAAGCAGTAGGAAAACATAAAAATTGATAAGTAGTTGTTCTATGTTTCTGGTAAAGAAATTGGGCTAACTTAATAAAACCTCTATATAATAGACTTTTCTAGAGTAAAGCTTTTCAGATACAAGACAGACTGTTTTTTACAAAAAATTCCAACATTGCCTCTTTATAAGTCCAGCCCCACCTAATCTCCCCCAGTGACAGAACTATGATGAACTTCAGGTTAGTTAGTGTGCCTGTATTTTGCAATACTAAAAATTGCAATTGTACTAACTAGGGAATTTGAGCATGAACAAAAAATTGTCACTGAGGTATAGTTAAATACTAATGAGAGGAGTTTAATAATTGATCGTAGGGATGAAATTGCATTATTTTCTACATAAATATGACAGAGTAAGTTCAGCAGTTCTCTTTGAGAAAGACTTGGATAGATATTTAGGATGAGCAAAAACTAAAATTCATCTTTCTCATTTATAATCACTAAATATTCTGTTACTCTTTAACTTATCAAAAAGAACAGCATCCTTAGGAATGTGTCTAGCAGCTCACAGTGCCACTCCCTGCCTTATAGAAGCACATCCTATATATTATGGTGATTATTTAGTCTGCTATGCATCCACTGAGCTATGACTGTTTGAGGATATAGAATGGTTTGCATAGTCAAGCACTTGGCACACCCAAACATATAGTTGTCAAGCAAGAAATATCTAAAAACTGTAACTTGGAAGACTTCCAAATTTTGAGAAATGTTACACTGAGGAGAAAAAAAATGAAAAATGGAGGACATGATCTAATGTTATCACTCAGAAACTCTTCAAAGCCTGAACTCAAATGCATTGTGTTAATGAACAAATACTCAGTAAGAATATTTCTAATAATTATGTGTTAAATGAATGAAAATTCTTTATGCTAATTATATAGTACATTTTGTAGATTCTTTGGGTCATATCCTTTCACATATTAACAATTCTGATATCAGGATACATCTTACCATTGATGGCACAAATAATTCATCTGTGTTTTCTTTCTTGGTTACACCTAAAATAATGGATTATCTCACAACTGATAAAGGTTTAGTTTTGATGTACATTCCCTTTTGTTTTTAAAATGCCCTCAGACTGTTCTGAAGAAATTGTACCTTGAATTTGAATGCTATAGACTCGTTGTTTAAATGCAGGGATTTCTATAGGGTTATTTATCAACTTTCATTTTGCAAAGAAAAGTGATTACAAATATGTGTACCAATACTATTTTTTTAAAGAAGGATATTCTAAAAGCAAATGAAGATCTTCATCTCAGAATTATGATGAATCTTTTAATTTTAATAAAAGTTTCACTATGAAACACTCATATTGTCTTTATTCTTCTCCTATGTGGATTTGTATTAGTCAACAGACTGGCATTGTGGAACCACTCTCTTGGAGATTGGGGCACAAACTCTCTAATATTCATCAACAGCCCCAATCCCGTAGACAAGGAATCTTAAGAACAAAACACTGCAACCATACTATCTAAAGAAGATGAATGTGTTTTCAAAACATTTTTCTCTTGGTTTCAAATATGTCTATCCCAGCTTCTTTTAAAGAGGCAAAAGAATTTAATTTGATCTAAGTAGTACCCCTTGAACTAATTTTTATTTGTATCATTATATTTGGCATTATAATTATTTGGCATTATGTTATTACATTGTATTTGGCATTTGTAGTATTATTTGGCATTATATTATTTTAGGGCCCAGAGCAATGACTGAGCAGAAATGTAAATCCATTTTTCTTATTTATGATCCCTAAGAAAATCCCCTGTTACCCTTGAGTTTATTTGGAAGAACACCATCCTTGTGAATGTATCTAGCAGCACACAGTAGCCTGTCCCCCATCTTTCAACCATTGGTTGAGGTCAGTTTCATATGCGATCTGCTTTCTGTACAAATGTATTCTGAACTGGCAGGGGAATGGGTTTGGTAATATAATCCTGTGGATCTTTTCCATCTCTAATGTCTGTAATCTAAAATTAGCTTGTCTCTGGCTTTAAATCCACACATTGGGCTTCTTCCCCTTAACCTGGCCCTTGTCTCCCATATCCAATGGAAGCCAAACCCAAGTTATGCATATTTCTGATCCAAAAAGTATACTTCCATTTCTGAGCCACTCACCCCAATCTTACTTCTTCTTTCACTTATCTGAACTCCTCCCACATAAGCACATTTAGAAAGTGTTCAGACTCATTTCTGTAGTTTATAGTTTGGTGAACATTTTTCCTCATCCAACCCTTATAAAAAAGTTTAACCACAGACCCAAAACTCACTAGACATTTGTTAAATAACAAAACAAAAACAGAATTAGCTGATGAGCTGCAATAATTCTATTTACATACAATACTTAATAGTATCTTGATTCCCAGGTTTGGCTCTAAAATGAATTTTTCCTTGGGTCTTTAGAATACGTGTGTGTGTGTGTGTGTGTGTGTGTGTGTGTGTGTTTTCTTCAGAATAGTAGATAATAAAGTAGAGAGACTATTCACAGAGGGATGACTACTACCTTTTTGATATAACTTCTCAGTTAACATCTTAGTTGAGCTGCAGGGGTAAAGTTGTTACTGGGCACGGGGCTTCTTCAAGTTTTAAAAACAAATCAGGCTCCATTAACCTAGTGGAATACTTTCATTCTATAGATGGGTAACTGAGAGATAAAGAGAAGAATTGGCTTGCCCTAATTCATATGAGGAAATAGCAGCAAACCTGGAACTAAAACATCTCCTGATTTCAATTTGGCTTGCTAAGAGAGAATAAATACCAGATCTCACTTACATATAAAAAAGTTAATACAAATGTATAAAAGTTTCAATGCAAAGGCTTTTACAAATATATCTTTAACTACCACCTTTAAGAAACCAAATATTTGCATCTCTAGTGAGTAGCACAGCACCTGGCACATAATCAGTAATTTAAAAATCTTTGGCAATTGAATGAGTGAGTGGATAGATGATAGCAAATATACATCAGACTCTTCCAATATGCTAGATTCTATAAGTGCTTAGGTATGTATTGTCTTTTAATTTCTCATAGCCTGAGTGAATATAATTAATGTCCCCATTTTATTGATAATGATCAATTTCTATTTAAAAATATTCTTTTTTAAGATTTCCCAATAAAATATCCAATAGAACTGTGTTTCCATTTACATGTGTAAACAATTAAGTTTTTCAAATCTCCCATGTTTGCCCCTGAAATTAACACTACGTTATAGCTGCTGCTCACTAAAGGTAAAACAAAGTTTGAATGATAAGTTGCACTAAGTTACAGAGGATAGAAACACCTTAGACTTTCCACTGAAACTCCAGAACTCCAGAACCCACTGTTTATGCATAGTCTGTTCCAGGACTAAGTGATTTAGCACGACTAACAACAAAACCAAAGCAAATATGCCCTAACAAAGTGTAAACCCAAGCCTCCACTAACCTAACATGATCAATCCACAATTCAAATGCTTACTAGAACAAAAAAAAAGCACTCTTTCAAGGAAAATAACAGAATCCAAAGCCTCTATAACATATCATAAATAATGCCAAGAACACAATAAAAAATTACAAGATATGTAAAGAAGAATAAAACTGTGACTTAAGGTCAAAAGAAAAAACAATCAGTAGAAACAAATCCCAAGATGATTCAAATGGTAGAATTAACAGACACAACAATTATAAATATGTGCAAAAACATAAATAAAAAGATAATTATAATGAATATAATAAATGGACAGATGAGGACTATCAGAACATATGAAAACTAAAATGAAGAGCCAAATTGAAATTCTAGAGCTAAAAAGCATATGTGAAAAAAATATGTATATTCATTTCTTGGGCTTAACAGAAGATTGAAGGTAACAGAAAAGTAGATCAGTGAACTTGAAGACAGTCAAAAGGAGTAACTCAATCTGAGCAACAAAGAGTAATGGTAATAAAATAAAATGAAGAGTCTCAGTAGTCCATGGGAAAATATCAAATGGCCCAATTTATGTGTAATTAGAAATCCATGCATTGAAGAAAGAGAAACATGGACCAAAAAAACAATACTTGAGGAAATAATGGCCAAAATAGTCACAAATGTAGCGCAAAATATTGGCTTAAAGAACAAAGTTCATAGACTTTCAAGCAGTATAAAAATAAAGAACAGCAGCTGGGCGAAGTGGCTCATGCCTGTAATCCCAGCACTTTGGGAGGCCGAGGTGGGCAGATCACAAGGTCAGGAGATCAAGACCACCCTGGCTAACACAGTGAAACCCCATCTGTACTAAAAAATACAAAAAATTAGCCGGGTGTGGTGGCGGGCGCCTGTAGTCCCAGCTACTTGGGAGGCTGTGGCAGGAGAATGGCGTGAACCCGGGAGGCAGAGCTTGCAGTGAGCCGAGATCGCGCCACTGCACTCCAGCCTGGGCGACAGAGCAAGACTCCGTCTCAAAAATTAAATTAAATTAAATTAAATTAAATTAAATTAAATTAAGAAAATAAAGAGCAGCATACCAAGGCACATTTATGTCAACTGCTATAAAACAAAAGCACAAAGGTAATCTTTTAAAAAGTCAGAAGAAAAAAGACACATGCACTTATGGTTACATCAGTAGGAATGACTGCTGTATTATCCAGAACAATGGAGGCCAGAAGAAAAAAAAAAATCTATCTTTTTCCATTACTGAAAGAAAAGGCTGTCAACATAGAATTCTATACCAGTGAAAGCATCCATCAAAAAAGAATGTGAACTAAGGATATGTTAAGATAAACAAAAAACAGAAGGCTTCATGCCAATACATCTAAATTTTTTACAAACACAAAGAAAGTTATTTAAGTTAAAAGGATATGAAACCAAATGGAAACTCAGGTCTATAAAAAAATTTTTTTAATGGTAAAAATGTACTTAAATAAAATAACCTTTGTTCTTCTCTTAACTCCTTTCATTTCCTTTTTTTTTTTTTTTTCTGAGACAGGGTCTCACTCTGTCGCCTAGGCTAGAGTGCAAGGGCACGATCTTGGCTCACTGCCACCTCCACCACCTGGGTTCAAGCGATTCTCCTGCCTCAGCCTCCTGAGTAGCTGGGATTACAGGCATGCATCACCATGCCCGGCTAATTTTTGTATGTTTAGTAGAGACAGGGTTTCACCATGTTGGCTAGGTTGGTCTCAAACTCCTGGCCTCAAGTGATCCACCCGCCTCAGCCCCCTAAAGTGCTAGGATTACAGGCATGAGCTACCATGCCCAGCCTCTTAATTTCCTTAAAGCAAAATTTGTTGATTTGCATAAACTTACAACATTTAAGATTTGTGTGTAACAGATGTAGATATAAAATGTATGACAAAAAGGATGGATGTAGATAGAGCTATATCATTAAAAATGTCTTACATTTTAAATGAAGTCAGTAAAATATTAACTCCAATCAGCAAAGAGGCATTGGTAATCTCTAAAGAAAACAGTAAAAAAGTAATGCAAATTTGATAGATAGATATTTTTAAATAGTTATAATTAAAATAAATTTAATAATTAAATAGAATGCTAAAATAATTTGATTATCCCCAAAGAAAAAGAGAACATAAAAAGGAAAAAAAATACATTATTCAAATAAACAATAGGAAACGGTGGACATAAATCCAAACATATCAGTAATTATATTAATGTAAATAAACTAAAAGCTGCAATTAAAAGAGATTGCCAAATCAAATATCTAAAAAGTACAACTACAAGATATATACTTTACAGATAAAATCACATAAGTAAAACATAAAAAGATGGAAAGAATATTCCAGGCAAATGCTAAGCCAAGGAAACTGAAGTGGTTACATCAATATAAAAAAGTAGACTTCAAAATACTACCAGAGAAATGTGTATGTGTCTAATATGCATTTAATACATCTAATATACAGTCATTCAAATCCATAAAACAAAAATTAACAGACCTCAAGGGACAAAAAAGATCACATTCAGAATTGAATATTTTAATACATCTCCTTCAGTAATTGATAGATCACCTAGAAAAAAAATCAGTAGATATATAAACCACTTCAACAATACTATAAATGATCTTTATCTAACATTTATAGAACATTAAAACTACATCTCCAAAATATACACATTATTTTTGAGTGCTTATCAGATGCTCACAAAGATGGACTATATCTTAGGTAATAAATGTAATACATCTTAATAAATGCCCAAAGATTAAAATCTTACAGAACACGTTATCTAACAACAGTGGAATTAAATGGGAAGTCAATAATAAAATATATATTTAAACCGAATATGTGGAAATTGAACAAGACACATATAAATAAACCATGAAAAAAAAACCAAAGGAAATATTTCAAACTGAATAATGATAAAACACAACATATCCATTTTCTGGATCCAGCTAAAGTAGTATTTTAATGGGAATGTATCATTTTTTATTTCTACATCTGAAAAGTAGAAATTTCTAAAATTGTTTTCATTCATTTACTCACAGAATAAAGCAGAAAACCATATGATCACCTAAAAGATGCAGACAAAACCATTTAACACTCATTTATTATTTAAAATTAAACTCTTGGCAAACCAGAAACTTAAAGAAATTTTACAACATTCTACTTGAAATTTTAACAAAGCAATAAGGAAAGAAAACAAAAAAAGTCAAACTAATTAAAATAGGCCAAAAACTGCCCTTATTCACAGATGACATGATTCTGCACATAAAAATACAAAAACAGTGACTATAATTAATATATGAGCTTAGTAAAGTTGCAGGATACACTTACCAATACTGTGCCATATTGAAAAATAAAATTTGTGAGCAATTACATTTATAACAAAATTTAATAACATAAAAAACATAAAATACTTGGGAATAAATTTAACAAAGATATGCAAATTCTCTGAACTAAAAACTACAAAACACTGTTTAGAAAAATCTAAGACCTAAATAAATGAAGATATATACCATGTTCATGAATTTGAAGAGTCAGTATTGTTAAGATAGTTCTTCCCAAATTGATCTATAAATTCAATGTAACTCCTATCAAAATCTAAAGAGGTTTTCAAATATAAACTGACAATGAGAATTATATTTAAACACAGAAGAGCTTGTATGTCAAAACAATCATGAAAAAGAATAACAAAGTTGATTCAACTTTGATTTTTAGAGTTACTTTTCAGCTATAGTAATCAACACGGTGAATTAGGATCATAAATATAAGCAAATAGATCAATAAAATAGAACACAACCCAGAAACAGATTCAAACATATATAGTCAATAGATTTTTGACAAAAATGTTAAGATTATTCACTGGGGAGGAAAGGTTTTTTAATAAAAGATACTGGAAGACCCAGATAAATACATAGAAAAAATTAAACCTTGGAGCCTCCTTCACACCATACACAAAACTTACTTGAAGTTGCCTAAATGTAAAAATAAAAACTATAAAACTTCTAGAGGAAAACAATACAGTAACACAGTAAGCAAATTAGCACTGAACACTTTTTAATTGCTAATTTGGACTTCATAAAATTAAAATGTCTAATAATCAAAAGCCATAATTAAATATATGAAAAGCCCCACACATTGAGAGAAAATACTTGTAATGCATATATCTGACCAAAAAACTCCTACAATCAACTAACAGACTACGTAATTCTTAAAATAAGTCAGGACATGAAAGACCACATTGTATGTGACATTCAAAAGGCCAATAAGCACATGAAAAGGTTCTCAAAATCAAGGAAAGTCATCAGGGAAAGGCCAAGTAAAACCACAATTAGATAACATTTTACATCCACTAGATTGGCTAACAACAGTAAAACGAACAACAATAAAATGTTAGTGAGGACATGGAGCAACTAGAACACTCATTCACTACTAGGGAGAGTGTACACTGGTAAAACACTTTACAAAATTATTGTTAGTTTCATTGTAAATATCAAAGAGAAATGAAAATACATGTCCAAAAAAAGAACATGCATCACAGCTTTCTTTCAAAACTACCAAAACTAATGTCCAAATGTCTGTCAACAGGAGACCAGATAGCAAATTGTGGCATATTCATATAACAAAACTCTTCAGCAATAAAAAGGAATGAACTACTAAAACACACAACAACATGAGCAAACCTTAAAAATATTACGTGGAGCAAATGAAAAGACATAAAAAGACATACTATATATCTGTTTAGTGAAATTCATAAACATGAAAAACAAATCCATATGACAGAAATCAGAATAGTACTTGCCTGTGGAAGGTAATGATTGAGAAATTTCTAAGGTGAAGGAATGGTTCTATCTGCACATTGCACTAAAGTTAATTTCACCTCCCTTATAAAAATTCAAAAAAGAAAATAAATCAACTGATTTTAAAAATTAATGTTTTCCTCCACCAGGTAATTTCTTTAATTTGCTGCAGGTTGAATATCCCTTATCCAAAACACAGTACCAGAACTGTTTCAGATTTCAGAATTGTTTTTATTTAGGAATATTTGCATATACACGATGAAATACCTTGGGGATGGGACCCAAGTCTAAGCATGAAATTCATTTCTGCTTCATATACACTTTATAAACATAGCCTAAAGGTCATTTTATATAATATTGTTAAGAATTTCTAGCATGAAACAGAGTTTGCATTCATTGAACCACCAGAAAGCTAAGGAGTCACTAACTCAGCTACCAGTGATGTAGGTCTTGGCCCCATGTGGGGCATCGTAGGGAACTTGCCACTTGTGCTTCTGTCCTGAAAGTGCCCATTTTATTACCCTTTGTGGGTGTGCTTGGGGGAATCTGAGTGTGTGTGGAAAAGATATATCACAAATAAAGGGGGCTGAGAGGGTCTTTTTTCTCTTGGGGACACTAAAGAAACTGTGTGTTGTGTGCCTATGTTTTGACTGCAAGCCATCACGAGGTAAGGTATGATATTTTCCACTTGTGGCGTCACATCGGCACTCAAAAAGTTTCCGATTCTGAAGCACTTCAGATTTCAGTTTTCCGGATTAAGGACACTCAAACTGTACTACAGAAATTTTCACCCAGATATACAGTAGAAAAAATGGAAAAATGGACCCCATTTTCTATTTCCCAGCTTTAATAATTACCAACTTCACAGCAATTTCATGAAATAATTTTGTTAATGAGAAAGACATAGCGGCATCTGGAAAAAAATTATTGATTGAATTAACGACATTAATTGGAAGACACAGGGTAAAAAGAGCATTATAGAATTTTGGTGTGTTTCATTCTCATGGTAATTACCTCTTTCTAACTTATATTTCAGCTATTAATTTATACCTGAATTCACCTATAAAATAGAGTGTTTTTTCATTCTAATTAATCTTTTATTTAGGAAGGTGAAAGAAGGCCCTTGTGGAAAGATTATATTTGATTAAATGTACAATTTAGTGGTTTTTAGTATGTTCACAAGTTTGCGCTACCATCACCACTAACTCCAGAACATTTCTATAATTTCCCCAAAAAAATCAGTACCCATAATAGTCACTCCCCACTCTCTCCTCCCCCAGCCCCTTGCAATCAATAATCTACTTTCTGTCTCTATGAATTTGCCTATTCTGCGCATGTCATATAAATGAAATCATGTGTTACACGGTCTTTTATGTCTGACTTCTTTCACTTAGCATAATGCCCTCAAATTTCATCTTGTTGTAACATGTATCAGTACTTAATTCATTTTTGTGACTGAACAATATTTCATTGTATGAATTTACCACATTTTATTTATGTAAACGTGGCACCTAGTAATTGATCAATAAACACTAGCTTTCATCTTCATTTTTCAACTAAAAGTAATTTTTAAAAACTATTCCAAAATTATGACTTGAAAAATGCCAAATTTCCCTTTGATCTGTAAAACAGATACTCAATTTCAGAGGCTTTGTATTACAAGATAAACTGTTTTTTAGAGAAATTTCCTCTTTGTAGTTTCTCTCAAGGGGTGCTTCATGGTCTGAGCAAGGGATGCTTCATGCTCCCTGGCCTGGTCTCCAGCACCCATCACAGACAGGTCAGCATTCCTACATTACAAATTCCAGATCTCTAGACTTTCTGAGCAGGCAAAACGTGCATCATAATAGAGAAAGAAAAGGATTTTTTCTGTTGCTTTATTATGTCTCCACTAGTCCCACCGCCCTCAGAAATTCTGATGAGGGCTTTTTCCATGCTATTTACATGATGAAGTATGAAGGAAAAAGGAATTACTTTCTTAAAAGACTCCAGAATATTGGTGGTGCAATAATCTCCCTTAATCCACAACTTGGATCACAGTCTTCTGATAGCAACCCAGCTCCCCGAAGTAGAAAAGGCAAAAGGTTTTTATTTTAATTAGCTGAGACAAGGGTATGTTTGCTATTTTGTTGGGCAGATTTATTTGAAATGTGAAGTTTTATTGAATCTAAAGACTAGCATATTTCTTGTAAAGGGTAACTGGTTGAAAATCCCTTTAAAAATCTTTCCTAACACCTCTGCTTCACTTCATCCCTCTGCTCCAAATGTTGAGAAGCCATGTTGACAATAACCTGATAGCTCAATACCATCTTTGATTCATGATTGCGTCTGATTTGATGTCTTCTCAAACTATAATCTGCAGTGACTATATTTTAATTTATTTGTATAACAGATTTCCAGGAGTTATATCAAATGATATCTTTTGCTAGGACAACTTTTTTCAATCAATCTAGAACAAGTAAATATAAAAAGGCAACTTTCTATTGTCTGGAATGATAAAGTTTTTCTAGTCTTTTTTTAAGTGGTATACAAATCAGCATGTGTGTACCAAAAGAAACTAGAAATGATCTAAAGGAAAACTGATTGCATATACATAAAGATGTGTACTATTCAATCACAGCAGTGATAATATATTTTTTAGGATGTCTTTGGGTATCACAATACTAGAATGTTGTAGAATGAACTGCTAAAAAATACCAGGCTAAATATGTTAAGTTTAAATAGAATTACACAATTTGCAAAAGAAGCAAAATAAACAGCTTCTCCTCTTTTTACTGATAGCTCTCTATCCAGTAGAAAAGACAATCTGCGAAAGAAGCAAAGCAAACAACCTTATCTAAATTTATTTATGGATCTCAATCCAGTTTAGAAGGTTATAAAAGATGCAATAGTTTCTACAGTTAACCTCATGGTAAGAATTCAGTCCATATATTCTAAATTATTCTATTTTCTTCTTCAGATTTTAGAAACAGAATGAAGCATGATACAGATATCTTTCCTGGAAGCAAGGGGTAGCATTAGATTACTTTTAGATGTCCTTCCAACTCCATGATTCTATGATTCATTGCTGCTTAATGAAAAGACTTGCTTGTCGACTAGGACGTTGAACTTGACACCCTCAAAATATACAAAGGAAAACAAAGAACTATTTGTTATGACACCAAAGACAAATTTGCCAAAGTATCTCAGTTCTCTGGAAAATCCTGAACCCCAGAATCAAACTAATAGATTTATTTTTCTTTGACTAAAAATAGCAAATTATGCTTTCTGATAAATCAGTGAGCATAATAGATGCTGTTTTAAAATAGAGGTAATGGAATATATATTTAGCCTTTAAGGATGTTCCCAAAGTCATCCAGTCCTTAGCACTAATCTAATTTGTAGTCTGATTTAAGTATTTGCCTACTTTGAATCTTAAGGGAGAAATCCAATTCATTTAGAATAAACTGTTTACCACTTTTAATTTCAAAAATATCTGGTGCAAAACCATAACCCAACATATGTTTTGTTTCATGTTCTTTTTTCCCTTCAATTTTGGCTGACTTTTCTCACATTATGTAGAACTGGAAATTTTACAGATCTTTAATTGAAACAAATGTGACCAAAATTCAAGTCTGAAGTTACTTAGTTGCATAATCATAATTTTCTAATTCTTCTGTTTAATTCTTACCCCATTAACTGACCACAGCTGTTGGTATTGGTTCACTAATAACTACTTCTGAACTTTTACTACCCTAGAATTCAAAGCAGGGGTTCAATGAGTACTGACAACCCAGAGTTTTCATGTAGACTTCATCCCTAATCTCAAGAAATTTTCTGGCAATTTTATGCAAAGACTGAAATATGCCGAATGCCACATAGTCTATGTTTAACGTATCTTCTCTTCTGGGTAAAAATAGCCATGTGTCAGCAGCAGGGAAAAGGGAAGTGTGTGTGTGTGTGTGTGTGTGTGTGTGTGTGTGTGCGCGCGTGTGTGTGTGTGTGTGCATTTGCCTGCCACCATTCTCACCACACTCACCAGTCACCATGGACAGTTGGCTGTTTTCATCTTATTCAACTTTAGGGACCATTTGCAATAGGTAATTTTTTTCTATCTAAACTGCTTTACCCTATTACATTATATAAAATACAATACTATAATAGATGATAGATGATAGATAGATAGATAGATAGATAGATAGATAGATAGATAGATAGACAGACAGAAAGAATAAAGGAAACTTGTGACTGAACCCAAGGAAGGAAACAAGTGTGAATGCAAGGCCAGGAAAGAAAAACAGCTGGAGAGAAACTGTGCAGAGGGCTGAAATTGGGACATATTTAAATGTGGATAGACAGATTGGGGAGATTTCAAGAGCAAACATGAGTGACAGAATGGTGAGGAATGAGGATCCAGAATGTGGAAAAAAGAATGACTAAGGAAGCCTCCCAGCCTGCAGGTGTGGTCACTCACGGTCTTGAACCAGTCCCATAGCTGGGGTGCTGGATCAGCGGGTTCTGGATCATGACCATCAATCTTAGAAGTCTGGATTTTGTGTTTTTTAGAGAGGAAGTCTCGCTAAGTTGTTCATGCTGCCCTCCAACTCCAGAGCTCAAGCAATCCTCCAACCTCAGCTTCTGAGGGACTGCAGGAAGTAGTCCTCAGTAGCTGCGATTACAGCTGTGCTCCACCACGCCTGGGCTTATGTTTGGATTTTATAGACCAACTAATTTTAAAATAAATAAACGATCCAGATAGAATGGTCAACTTTTAAATTTGTCAAAGTTTTTTTTAACTGCCTATCACCATCATCTTTTAAAGAAACTGGAAAGGAACTAATTTCAAGAAATGACAGTTCCTTAAATTTGCAAATTTTACCATATGAAGCTTGTTTGTACTGGACTAACAGAAAGGCTCTTTACAGTCTGCCATTGGCCTAAACCAGCATTTGGGATCCAGATCAGGCTCCCTGCCTTCCCAACAAAATGCACTTATGGTTCTGGGCTTGTTCTTCACTGGTATACCAGTACTCCAGGCTCACTGGGCACTTCCTTCTTACCACACTACCATGTTTCTTCCTCATCCTTCAGTCCACATAGGGAATAACCCAGTTTTTCTATAAATGCATCAACTACTTCTTCCAAATTTTTAAACTCCCATTGCCCAACTAGTTTCTAATCCCTTTAAGAGCAAGGCTGCCATTCATTTTAGAGTCTAGCAGAATGTCCAGCTAAAAGGTGGTGCTCCATTTGCTGTAATAATGAATGCATTAAGAATGAATGAATGAATGAAATCCTAGAATTTTTATGACTGCCTGTTATTTGGAACTCCCTACAACACTTGTTCCATTTGTGCTTAGACATTCTGGAAATGTCCAAGCATTTTGAACCTTTGACTCCATGTGTTTGTATGCAACCTTCCTTTGCTACTGCCTCTCCAGTAGCATTGGGCCCTTTCTTTATATATTCAGTCTTTACATTTGCTCTCCTGTGCTGACAGCTGTTCTTTTCCCAAACTTAAAGACTTCAGTCATAATCAGTAGAGAACACACTGTTTCAAGGAAGTCTTTTTCAATTTCTTCTCTAAATGAATAATAATCTCCAAGAGTTTGTTTTTAAACTGAATTTCCACATCTTGAAATTGTGTAGACATATTGGAGGCTTATAAATCAAATTATGTTTAATTTCAGAAATCAGTTAGTAAAAGATTTGGGACCTTAATAAAATTGTGGCCTCAGGAATGGAGTGGCAACCCAAACTTAAAACACAATGAACAAAAAAAGTGTCGGAAGTTCAATATCAGGCTACTGAGTTGAGGAAGTGACAGAATAGCTAAACACTAAGCTTTGCATGACAATAAGCTTTTCAGGAGAGTCCTTATAGAAGTAGGGCAGAAGGTACCGGATCCTCTGGGAAGCCTGGAAGTAAACATGGGTTGCTATAAGGAAGAACTTAGGCCTGAAAAGGCCAAAGTATTTCCCCGTATTGTCTCCAATGTATCTGAAATACCACATTCACAGATTCAGTTATTTGAATTAGTATGGTCATCATCAGGTGTTCTCTTGAAATGTGACTACACAGTATTATGAAAACACGCATTTAACTTAGCTTAACAGTTTTTACAATCTGTGAAGAAAGTTTTAAATGGTAGCAAGAAAGCCCTGGCCACGAGCATGAAGAAAATTGAACAGAAATAATAGACTAAGAAAATTTAATAGAGAAGTATACTTTTACCACTTCATATTTCAGTCTGATAAATCAAGATGTGTGGCATGGGGAGAGGTGGATATGGGTATGTCTCTAAACAGCAGTGAAGTCTATGAACGAAAGTGGTACAAATGAAAGATTGTTACTTTCCATGGTAAGGAATAAAATGTTCAGAGCCAGTCTTAAATACTTTAGGAAGAAAACTGATAATTTCCTACCGATAGAGATACTATATTAGATTATAATTTAATGCCAATTCTTAGATTAAATTTTAAGTTATAAATACTAAAAACTGTAATATTACGGATCATTTCAACTTGGAGTTAGAATAACAAAATGTGGAAGTTTTGAGGACTTTGCTAATTCAATGGGAAACATTTAGAGTAAGAACTCTTACAAAGTTTATGCCAATTTTGTTTTACATAGTAAGCCCTATCTCATTAATCTTTTCAAATTACTTCAACACATAAACACATGGCCATAAAAATTCAAATAGCCTTTTTATTCACTAAGTCTTCACTCAGTCTTTTTATTTTATGTTCCCCTCAGTCAAAGGTTAGGACAAAAGGAACCCAAAACTGAATCAGCTTGCTTATTAGCTGCTAAATCTATATGTTCTTCATCCATTTGATGTCCATGGTACACCCTTTTTAAATGAAACTCATGGGGGACCCATGAGTCATAAAACTGTGTTATCATAAATCTGCTACTTACATAGTAAAGTAGTCATAAACAAAAGGCACAATGTCCTGAAGGAAAGTGGCCCAAGTCTTTCGTTGTTTTTAAATCACTACAAATCTAAGGGCTCCTTAAATCAAGCACCCTACCTACTGAGCACAAATCTTGGACTTTTCAGAAAATACAAACTGGTTGAGTTGAGACTCTCATAAAATGTAAATTTGAAGTTAGAAAAGTACTATTAGAATACTTGCAGATTACTGATACTTTAAAGACTAGCTAATTATAGTTTCTAAAGGGCAGACGTTAATATGCAAGTGTTTTGAAGCATCTTCTTAAAGAGCATATTAAAACCTACTATTTCATTAGAAGGGAAATATTTATGCTTTTGAAAGATTTAATTCAACAACAATTGTTAGTTACGTGAGTTTGCAATATATATTTATAAATAGAGCAACTGTCTCTGCTGCTTATAAAAAATAAGTCTTAGTAGGCACTTTAAATATTTTAGGAAATAGTTAATTTCCTAGAGACAGAGATGCTGTTTTAGGTCAAAATTTTATTGAACTCTAATTCATATACTAAAGTTTAGTGTTGAATTTTGCTCCAGCAATGTAGCAGGCATGATTAACTCCCACTACAAAATATCTACAAATGTAACAAACATAGTTTTACATGCAAACCCTAACTCATTACGAAAAAAAAAAAAAGACTTCTAAAGTAACAATAATTCAGCAGAAATAGCTCTGGGTATATGCTGACTCAATAATACGAGAGATAGGTTGGATTACTTAAACAAGCACAAGAAACATACACTTAGAAAATGAGGAATTAGGACTGATATCCTTAGTGCAAATCAGGAACTCACGGTGGAAGAGATATACCTTCAGAGAAAATGTGAGCAGGTGAAAGTATGTACACTGGCAAGGAATACAACAGGATGACTTGTCTCTTTTTGTGTATGTTTGGGCTGGAGGTTAAAAGAGCTTCTATTAAAATTTATGACCATACCCCTGTCTCAATGAGGACTGAGGTTTAAATTTACACTATTCATGTGCGGCTAAGGAATCCTCCAGACTTAGTGACCAATGTAAAAATGGCTCCAAACTCATGCTAACTCTGCAGTGCCTACAAGAAGCAAATGCAAAATTTCTCTAGTGGAAAATGTTCTCAGTCTGGCTCTGAAGAATTCCCATGGGAAAGGTTCAGTGAAAAGGAGTTTACAATCAAAATTTTAAATTAATGAAGAAGAGTCACTAGGTATAATTAATAACAATATTAAATTTTCCAATAATGCCAAATGCTATAGCTATTGACTAGATACTCCAAAGTAGATATATAAAAATAAATATCACTTACAAAAATAAATAATGTCACTTACAAGATATATAAAAATAGTGTCACTTACAAAAAAATTGAAAATATAAAAGAATACAAAATTTACTAAAAAGCATTAGAGAGCTTGTTAAATAACCAAATAAGATTTACTAAATTTTTTAAAGTCTTTATTACAACAGTTTTAATGCAAAATTTAATTTATGGTTTAAAGAGAGTGATAATGGAAAGAATGGGGGAAAGGCACAATTTGAAACATAATGGGTAGAATTTTTCATAATTAATAAAAGATAAATTCTCAGCAAAATATAAGATAGCAAAAAATGAGATGGCATTAATGAAAACAATATTAGAAATTAAAAAAAACAAACAAACAAAAAAAAACACCTATTGGCCCAGGAACCCAAGACAAGTTTAAAGAAATACAATGTTGCAATGATTTTCCCTACCAGATATGAAGACCTATTATAAAATATAGTAATTATGTTATTGTAGTATTGGCTCAAGATAGAAAATGAACTAATGGAACAGAGTAGAGAGCCCAAAAATAGACCTACACACATACGAAAATTTGGCAGATGACAGAGATACCATTGAAAATAAGTAGGGAAAAGATGAATTATAAAATACTGCTAAATTAATTGGTCTTCCACAGGTAAAAAGAAATGAATTTATATCCTTCTTTACCTCTACAGATAGGCAAGAAAGCAATGCATATATATGTAATATGTGTATATACACACACACATATATATATAACATGTATATATATGTAGATTAAAGACTTACTAGTAGAAAATAAAATGTTAAACATTTTGGTGCAGAAAGATATTTTAAATCACAAAAAGTGAGAACCACAAATAAAAAGATGAATACATTTGACTACATTAAAATTTAAGACTTCCAAACAAAAAAGTTATATACACACACACACACACACACATATATATACACATACACATACACACACGTATGTCATAATCAAAAGGCAAAAACAAGCCACATGTTTAAAGAACGTATATACTATCCAGATTATATATGAATACTTATAAACCAATACGAATAAAAAACTAATTCAGACTGCACCCAGTGGCTCATGCCTGTAATCTTAACACTTTGGGAAGCTGAGGCAAGAGCATTACTTGAGGCCAGGAATTCAAGACTAGCCTGGGCAACATAGCAAGATCTCCATCTCTACAAAAATAACAATAATTAGCCAGGTGTGATGGTATGCACCTGTAGTCTCAGCCACTTGGGAGGCTGAGGTGGAAGGATTGCTGGAGCCCAGGAGGTCAAGACTGCAGCAAACTATGATCATGCCACTGCACTCCAACCAAGGTGACAGAGATCCCATCTCTAAAAAGTAATAATAAAATAATTCAATAGATAAATGGGCAATGAATTTAAGCAGACAATTTACATACACATCAGGAAAGCCTTACGTCCAATATACATATAAAAAGACGCTCAACCTCATTAGTATTCAGAGAACTATTAAATAAAACCACAGTGAAATATCATTTCACACACGTTAGATTAGATTGGCAAACATTTTAAAGTCTGACAGGTCTAACTTGGACAAGTCAAATTCTCATACACAGCTGAATGGAAGCATAATTTGGTACAACTACTTTGACAAAGTCTAGTTAGGTTGGAAGTGCACGTACTCATTACTCAGCCCTTCTTTTTTTGTTGTTGTTTTTTGTTTTTTGAGATGGAGTTTCGCTCTGTCGTCAGGCTGGAGTGCGGTGGTGTGATATTGGCTCACTGTAACCTCCACCTCCCAGGTTCAAGCAATTCTCCTGCCTCAGCCTCCCGAGCAGCTGAGACTACAGGCGCGCGCCACCATGCCCAACTAATTTTTGTATTTTTTAGTAGAGACGGGGTTTCACCATGTTGGCCAGAATGGTCTCAATCTCTTGACCTTGTGATCCTCCCACTTTGGCCTCCCAAAGTGCTGGGATTACAGGCGTGAGCCACCATGCCCGGCCTACTCAGCCCTTCTATTCCTACATACCACAGTGAAATTCTCATACATGTGGACAAGTGCACATGTGCAAGAATGTTTATTGCAGCACTGTGTTAAAAGTGAAAGCCTGGAGACAGTCTATATGTCCATTAGCAGGGGATTAGATATATTCGAGTATATTCATATAATGAAAATGAATGAACAAGAGTTACACGTACCATGTGCTTAAATCTCTAAAATATAATGTTGACTTATAATATGATTTAATCTCTAAAATATAATGTTGACGTATAATATGATTTAATCTCTAAAATATAATGTTGACTTATACTATGATTTACATACATTTTAAACATAAAAAAGATACTATATATTTTGCCATTTTATAGATATATGAATGAAAACATACCAGAACTAATAAAAAGGAAAACTCAGCATGGGAAAGAGAGATGTGAATAAAATTGAGAAGGAGCATGTAGGGGTCTCAAGTATACCTGTAAGGATTTATTTCACTTTAAATGCTCTTAAAAGTGTAAAAATAAATAATAAATTAATATGAATTTAAAATAAAGCACAATGTGAGTCCTAATTAAAACTAATATAATTTGATAGTGTGAAAAGCATGTAATTCAAGATTAAGTAATTAAAAGTACTAGATTCCTAGCTTTACTGCGACTGGTAACTGTAGATCTTCAACAAGCAAGTCACTTAAATTTTAGGGGCCTTACTTGCCTCATCTGTATAATGGGAGAGTTAAACCAGGTAATCTCTAAGATCTCAGACAGCTATAAAATTCAACTCAAAGGACTTCACAGGATTTGTAGCAATAAAAGTATGAATAATAACTTGAATTTTAAAATTAATTTGAAACTCGAGGCATGAACGTATAATTTGGATGTTATTCCATGACTTCTTACACTGTTCAGTTGTTCACCTCTGTGTTTGTAGCCATTATTGTGTTAAGTGTCCTATAAGTCTGTCTTTCCAGCCATATCTACCTTGTATTTTGAACTGGTGAATAGCAGAAAATGACTTCTCCTTCTGCTGTAGTACCAGTTACTCCAAGCCTAGGCATATTCATCTTCTGCTGCATTGTGAGGGATATCCGGGTAATCCTTTACTTTTTGAAAAATTTTTGAGTCCTAATTTAGTCACTATTTAACCTTTAGGGTTTTTTAGTGCAGGAAACAGAAACTGATTATCTCTGGCTTATGGGGGGTAAAGGGCCGGGAAAAAGACAATTATTGAAAGGATTGTGAGTATCTCTTGGAATTAAAGGAAGAGATGGTGGCCGGGCGCAGTGGCTCACGCCTATAATCCCAGCACTTTGGGAGGCTGAGGCAGGGAGATTGCCTGAGGTCAGGAGTTCAAGACCAGTCTGGCCAACATGATGAAACCCATCTCTACTAAAAATACAAAAATTAGCCAGCTGTGGTGGCGCACACCTGTAATCCCAGCTACTCGGGAGGCTGAGGCAGGGGAATCACTTGAACCAGGGAGGTGGAGGTTGCAGTGAGCCGAGATCACACCACTGCACTCTAGCTTGGGCAACAGAGTGAGACTCCGTCTCAGAAAAAAAAAAAAAAAAAAGGAAGGGATGGTTTAGGAAGGAAAAGTTTCAAGGATTTCTGCATCAAAAGTTTATATTGGCCTTCCTCCAAGAGCTCTACCATTTGCAAAACTCAGCCCCAGATATCCTCAGTTTTCTGATCACTCTTTTCCAATTCTATAACTCCTAGGATACAGCATTGGTCCAGCTTGGGTCGAATATATTCTTTTAACTCAATTGGCTGTGTGGACAGAGCCATGTATTAAAGACAAAGCCATTGGGAGTCTACCTCTGAGTCTTAAGTCCAATTTCCAGAAAGCAATAATTGGGAGCAAACAGGCAACCCCAAAATTAGTCTCCCATGAGCAATCTATGCCATGGCATGGGTCAGATGAAGAGAGTATGTTGCCTGCTTTTTATTAACAGCTTAAAGTGTTTTCACCCTGGAATCAGCACAACAGGATGCATTTTCAAAATATTTCCAAATATTTCTTATTCTTGACATGCTTGGAATGATTTGTACTCATTAACATTTATGTGCTAATATTGAGCTACAAGTTGGAGTACTTTCTCCCATTGGTCTCATAACCCACTAGCACCTCTCAAGGTCTAAAAATATTTGCTGACTACAATAAACTTTTTTATATTCTAGACTAACCAACTGAAGAAAAAGTAAAGAGAAATCAAAGAGTTGATTTATGATATTTGGAGGAAGGAAAGTAGAACTGCTTCTAAACATCTCTTTGTGAGATTCAATATGGAAATCATTGACAACCAAATTCAATGTTTACATGCCATTAAAGATTCTTACTCTTTGATCTGAAAGCTGATTAATTTGCTGGTGTTTCTAAAAACTCAGAATCCTTCTGCTTTAATACAACCTGCTTTAGTTGTATGATTTAAAATTCAGGTGTGTTTCAGGGATTTTTACAACCATGCAAATTATCCTCTTTATTATTCAAGCTTCTTCTTATTTGAATGGGATGAAGTAAGAAGCAAAGACAGGCACAGAGCCTCCTTGAAATGATTTCAACTGCTTCATTATTCTGCATGTTGACACTGAATTGCCACTAAATGCGCATACTAGTGTGTTTTCCAATAGGATGTTTCTCTAGCTCTCTGAAAATAGCAGGTATGGCTCTTGAGGGTTAGTCTACCTTTATCAGGATTCATATTTACAATATTTTATACCACTCCTATCTCCTGCTTTAAGGTGTAAGCTCCTCAGGACTAAAGATTGTCTTTTCATTACTTACTATCTCTCAGTATCTTAGATTCCATGTTATAACCTAATGCTTTGAAAGAGAAGATTTCTAAGAAGTCATTTCCAATAAGTGGTTTGCCGATTTATTTTATTTACAAGTAATATCTATTCAAATTACTTTCATGTTAGTAGAATAGAAATAATATCATGCAAAACATGTGGCTGCCATTCAATATATTTTTAAAGCATTTAATTTTAGGATCAGTTACAAATGGTTGAGCTAAAATGTAAAAACAGACAAAAAAGTCATTCTCTGCCAAAGAAAAAACAACCATAATGAAAATTTGGAGGCATTATAGAGAAGATAAGAATTTGGAATATCTATGTTTAAACCCAATTCTGTTGGAAGATGAGCACTTTTTTTGTATAAAGTCTCCTTAAACTTCTATGTAAAGTTACTTAAACATCACTTGCTAACTCAACTACCACCTGAAGGACTATCATGAGATGATGGTAATTCCTTACAGAACTAGGGATAAAAAGAGCAATTTGTGAAATTATGATTACTCTTGGGACGGCTGAAGGAAGGGGCATGGTATAAGGCCTGACTCTATCCATGAGCAGAGTTGGCTCAAAAAGTTCATGTCTGATAAAGACTAAGTAGAATGAGAACTCATGCCATACTTTGTCTGTTCCTAGAGCCATTCCAATTCCCATCTTCTTTGATACTCATCTCACTCTGGGAATAACAGGTCCTAGCACAGAATTTTCTGTATAGTAGATCTGGCACTTGATTATGTTCAATTCAGTACCTTCATTTTAAATCTTCAGTATATACTGATGGTCTAATTACTTCATGAGAACAGTTCAGTGGCCTACTCCAATCAGCATTTGTATTGACAAATGCAGGAAGAAAGTGTCTAGAGTTTAACTGGCTGACACTGTCACAGACACTGAGGAATAATGAAATGATCACGGTCTTTATTCTTGAGTAAATAACTATTTAAACATGCAAGAACTTACATGAACTGCACAGTCTGAGGGAACAGTCCCCAGAAGACTGCTGTCACTTCAGAGTGGGAACCCCAGTGGGTTCCCAGGGCCACCATCACTTCATACCAACTGGCTACAAATTCAGACCATCCTCAGGTTTAATAATTTGCTAGAATGACTCAGTGAAAGCTATAAGATTCACTGCCATGTTTACTGTAGGCAAAGGTACAAATTAGTACCAGCCTAAGGAAGAAATGCATAGGAGGAAGAATCTGGGAAGTTTCCAAATGCAGAACTACTAGTCATCCCTTCCTTCCCCATGGAGCCACAGACTGCACAGTTCTCCAGTGTCAATGTCTGACAGTACACACAGAGTATTGCCAATCCAGGAAGCTCACCAGGCCTTCAGTATCCAAAGTTTTTATTGGGGTTGATCACATACATCCTGTGTGGCTGACCTTTACCATACCCTCCTGAAGGTCTGGGCTAGTGCCTCTACTCTCTTCGGGATGTGGCACATCCCTTCCAGGCACCTAGAGATCACCTCCCGATAGCCAAAGGAAATGCCAGAACTCTCTCTAGGCAAGTTTAATTCTTTGAAAAAACAGTTGAAGATACCAGGTTGAACCATAGGCAATTCCCAATATTTAATCATTTTGACATTAAAAAAAAGACAATTCCCTATGGTTCAACATAATAGGATGAAATTGTTCATTCATCAAATATTTACTGTGTGCATAGACTATGCAAAAAGTAAGATACTTGATAATGAGCTCCTGTGCCTTTGTAGTACAGATAATCTAGTAAACAGGTTAGAAAATGTTCATCTAACAAATATTTATGAAACATTGACCATGTGCTAATCCTTATTCCAGGTCATGGAAATGTAGTATTAAACAAGACCAAATGATCCCTGCCCTCGTGGAACTTTTAATGTTGTGGAGTTAGGAAGGGAAGGGGGCAGAAACAGACATTCAAGGAGTAAACCAGTAAATACGGCAATTTAATACAGTTGTAAGTTTTATAAAGAAAATAGTATAAGATAATGGGATAGAGATTCTAGAGGGGAGGTAAGGGCTAATTTAGATAGGATGATCAGGAAAGGCTCCTCTGAGAAAAGACCTTAGCACTAGAGCCTAAATAATGAGCAGGCACCAACCACGGAAGGATCTGGAAGCAGAGCCTTGCAGACAAATGGGACAGCTGATTAGTGGCAAGGAAAGCTGAGTTTACTGAAGAATATAATTGCCTATGTGGCTGAAGCCTATTGGACTAGGGGACAATCATAAGATATGATGTCAGAAAAGCTGGAAGGAGCCAGATCATGTGAGGCTTTATACATAATAGTAATAAGATTTTATTCCAAGTACAAAAGAACCAATGATCTCATAAAAAATTTAATATCACAGTTTTTAAATTAACAATAATATTGATACCAACATATCAGTGACAAGTGCTATAGAAGGAGCAAAACAAAGGGCTAGAGAAAGTAGGATAGTCCCTTCCAGCTCCAATAAAGCGAATTTTTAGAAAGTTGACATTTGCACAAGGCCTTGAAGGATGGCGAGTCCATCTATTAAATGGCCAGGGAAGGCGCTGATGGAATCCCAGTCCAGATGAGATGCAGCCATTCATGGAAGCACAGGAGCAGCTCAGTCAAGAACCTGGTCAAGGAACACACCCTCCAGCCCATCCAGAAGATGGGATGATAGGGATACAGGCAGAGTGGAACGTTACTCTAGAGAAGAAGATTTGGACTACGCCAAAACCAAATACCAAACTGAGGAAGTTGGGTTTTATTTACTAAATACTGGGAAGCTTATACAGAGTTTAAGTGACAAATATTATAAGCATAAATGTGCTTTAGGTAAAGGGTAACAGCACTATTGTATGTTAGAATGAGTGAATGACCAGAAAAAAAAAATTTACTTGCTAGTGCTAGAAATACATCTCAAACTAGCTTAAAGATTATTGACTCAGCAAGTGAGAAATCCAAGGGTAAAATACCTTGAGGAATGGCTGAATCCAAGGCCCTAAGGGATATTGCAACAGAAATGCCCACCAGGGTCCCTGCTTTCCTGTGAGTTATGCACCCTCCAAAGGAAAAATGGCCACCAATAGTTCCAACTTATTCTCGTAGCTCATGATCTCAGAGGGAGAGAGAGACCCTCTATCTTCCAGTATTCATATATTAAAGTTTAGAGAAAATAATAATAGGCATGACAATGACTAAAATTTATTGTTGCTTACCGTGTGACAAAATGTGCTCCAAATACTTCACACAAAACATTTCATTTAACTGCCTCAAGAATCCTATGAGGTAATAATACTATGAGCCCCACTTTTCTGATTATAAAACAGAAAGGTGAAATTATTTTCCCACAATCACGTATTTACTAAGTGGTGGTACAAAATTCAAATCCAGGTGGATAAACTCTAGAACTAGCACGCTTATTTTACCATTTTTATTATAAAGAATTTTGAGGCCGGGTGCAGTGGCTCACACCTGTAATTCCAGCACTTTGGGAGGCCGACGCAGGCAGATCACGAGGTCAGGAGATCGAGACCATCCTGGCTAACATGGTGAAACCCTGTCTCTACTAAAAATACAAAAAATTAGCCGGGTGCAGTGGCGGGCGCCTGTAGTCCCAGCTACTTGGGAGGCTGAGGCAGGAGAATGGCGTGAACCCGGGAGGCGGAGCTTGCAGTGAGCGGAGATCCAGCCACTGTGCTCCAGCCTGGGTGACAGAGCGAGACTCTGTCTCAAAAAATAAATAAATAAATAAATAAATAAGAAAGAATTTTGAACATGTTCACATTAGTCAAACTAGTATAATGAATGCCCATAATATTCATTACTTAAGTCCATATAAGCCAATCCAGACTAAACCCTCCTCCGTGTTATTTTAAAGCAAACCAGACATAGCATCATTTACATTTAATCCATAAATTCTTCAGTATATATCTCATTTTAATAAGACCACAGTATAGTCTCACCTGACAAAATAAACAATAATTTCTTAATATCATTAAATAACCAGTCTATGTTCACATTTCCAATTAGCTCATAAATATCATACATCATTTTTATTTCTATATTATGGTGATGCAACAGCAAAATTCAGACTGTAGGAAAAACTACAGGATAACTAGTTTTCTTCAATAAGCAGAAAAATGTATAAATTAAAAAAAGAAAGAAAGAAATGTGGAAATATGGATTATAAGAGACTTAAAAGTTATTTCAAACAATCACTGTATGAACTTCATTTGGATCCTGAATACTGGAAATTGTTTAATTCTTTTTTGTGCACTAGGGATGGAGAGTCAAATTACTGTGTCTTCTAAAAGCCCCAGATTTCACTACCACACAATTTATCCATGTAACAATCCTGCACTTGTACCCCCTAAATCTATAAAAATAAAAATTTATTTAAGATATTTTTAAAAACAACAACAATTGTGCCTTAAAGCCATTGGGAAGAGTTCCTCTCTGTGAAGGTGTGCTCCTAACTGAACACACAAGATTTGTAAAAATTGCTTTTTTATTTTTTGTTTTGTAATTACGTAAAATATTTATGCAGCTCAGAAGTCAAGTTTACAAGGCAAATTCACTTCTGTGCCTATTCTCTTTACCCTACTTTCTCTCTCCCTTTTTATGTAGTAGCTGATTTTTATTTTACAGCTTATTCTTCCCTTGTATATATGTGCACCCTACCTTTCTCCAGTAAATAATAAATACTGTATACACTTTACTCTACATTGCTTTATTCCAGTGGGCAATATATCATAAAGATATTCCTCATTCCTTTAACAACTGCATAGAACCATATTGTGTGGAGTATCATAGTTTATTCAACTAGCTTCTTACTCTGGGAATTTGGAGTTGGTTCTAGTCTTATGCTACTCCAGTAGATATCCAATGAAAGCCATGTCCACACACCTTTCTGTAATTTTGCCAGTGGAATAAATTTCTAGAAGTGGAGTTGTTTTGTCAAAGAATAAATGCATATGGTGTTTTGTAAAACCATTTTGCAATCACATCAACAATGTATAAAAATGCCCTTCAGCTTCTCCAACTAAGTACATTGTCACACTTGAACCATTTACCCATCTAATAGTTGAGAAATGGTATTCGTTGTATTTAATTTGCATTTCTCTTACAATCAATGAAGTTGTGCATCTTTTTATATGGCTATAAGTCATATGCTTTTCTTTTTCTCCGAACTATGTTCATTTCTCTCAACCACATCTTTCTATGTGGTTGCTCTTCCCTGTTTTGGGACACTGTATATTAGAACAGGTAACACTGTCCGTGATGTGCAATGGAAATATGTTTTCCTAGTTTGTTATTTTTCTTTTTACTTTGCTTATCATGTTCCTTGATACATAAAGTTATATTTTTTCTAAATATAATTAAAAATATTATATTCTTTCCTTTATTGACTGTACATACATTCTACATTACCACATGCTATGGGCTGAATTGCATCCCCTCAAAACTCATGTGTTGGAATCCACACCCCCAGTACTTCAAAGTATGACTGTATTTGTAAATAGGGCCGTTAAAGGGTAATTAAGTTAAACGAGGCCTTATGGGTGGGTCCTAACCCAATATGACTGGTGTCCTTATAAGAAGAGAAGATTAGGACACAGACACTTGCAGAAGGAAGACCATGTGAAGACATCTGAAGATGGCCATCACAAACCAAGGAGAGGGACTCTTTGAAGAAATCAACCCTGTTGACACATTGATTTCAGACTTCCCACCTCCAGACCTATGAGCAAACAAATATCTGCTGTTTAACCTTCCCTGTCTGTAGTATTTTGTTATAGCAGCCTTAACAAATTAATAATATTACATATACTATTTTGAAGGGTGAATTTTTCATTCTTGTTTGTAGAAGAATAAATCACTATAATTAGCCATTTGTCTCTTAGACTTTTTTATTATATATATATTTTTTATTATACTTTAAGTTCTATTCCTCAGGGATCTAGAACTAGAAATACCATTTGATCCAGCCATCCCATTACTGGGTATATACCCAAAGGATTATAAATCATGCTGCCATAAAGACACATGCACATGTATGCTTATTGCAGCACTATTCACAATAGCAAAGACTTGGAACCAACCCAAATGTCCAACAATGATAGACTGGATTAAGAAAATGTGGCACATATACACCATGGAATACTATGCAGCCATAAAAAATGATGAGTTCATGTCTTTTGTAGGGACATGGATGAAGCTGGAAACCATCATTCTCAGCAAACTATCGCAAGGACAAAAAACCAAACACCGCATGTTCTCACTCATAGGTGGGAATTGAACAACGAGAACACTTGGACACAGGAAGGGGAACATCACACACCGGGGCCTGTTGTGGGGTCGGGGGAGGCGGGGAGGGATAGCATTAGGAGATATACCTAATGTTAGACTTTTATTTATTTGTAGCTTTCTTAACAAAACAAACCTCTGGGCCAGGCATGGGTGGCTCATGTCTGTAATCTCAGCACTTTGGGAGGCCGAGGTGGGTGGATTACTTGAGGTCAGGAGTTCAAACCCAGCCTGGCCAACATGGTGAAACCCTGTCTCTACTAAAAAAAAAAAAAAAAAAAAAAAAAAAATTAGCCGGGTGTGGTGGCATACGCCCGTAGTCCCAGCTACTCAGGAGGCTGAGGCAGAAGAATCACTTGAATCTGGGAGGCAGAGGTTGCAGGGGGCCGAGATCATGACACTGCTCTGCCTGGGCAACAGAGCAAGACTCCGTCTCAAAAGAAAAAAAAAAAAACAAAACAATCAAGAAAAACTTCTGAGATGACATTTCATGTAAAATGTGGACACCCTTTCCACCTACACATTTAAGGGTTACTCTGGTTCTCCTGTGATGGTCGGGGACACCACCATTGTATTTCACTGTTGTTTTAGGGCAACATCTCTTCAAAGATCATGATGATTTTTTCATTTTTCTTCCTAGGTGACTGTACTTTTGTTGTTGTTGTTGTTATTGTTGTTGTTGTTGTTGTTGTTGTTAGCAATGGGGTCTCACTATGTGGCCCAGGCTGGTCTTGAGCTCCTGGCCTCAAGTAATCCTCCTATGTCGGCTTCCTGAAGTTCTGGTATTACAAGTGTGAGCCACTGCTCCCAACTTCTGGGTGACCATTCTTTAGGAAAACTGAAAGACCATACAACTGAAACAATGACAAATATTGATTTGATCTTTAGGTACTGTTGTCTCTGGGGATTTAGAAGGCAGCTAAAATTTCAGGAAAACATTCTTAAAAACATTTCTTAAAAATATTCTTGGATATTGTCAAGGATAGAGCTTTTAAAATTATTTTATAATGTGAACTAAATTTTAAAATTATTTTTAAAAATTAATAGGTAATATATGCAAAAGGTAATATATGCACAAGGCACAAAATTCAAGTTACCTTACAAAAGGATTGTGGAGAGAAAAGTACATATCTGTTTACCCATGTTCCACCCAGTTTCTTACTATTTTCTTCTTGATGAGCACTGAACAGAAAAATTGAGTACAGACTGCCTGAGTAACAGTCTACATTTTTATCTCATTTCTTAGCAAATGTGTTTGTTTATTTAATTTTTCAGTAATAACCTATACTTCAAAAAAAGCCTCTCAGGGTACAAAGACAATAAATCATTGATAAATTGGGCTGGAAAGAGTATCAAAGATTGTCTGTTTTAGGATAGAACTGGAATGAATAAAGCATTTTTATAACAAAAGAAATGATTGCCCAAGGAAAACTAATACTTCTGAGACTCATGTATCCACCATTGAGTCATGTGTCATAAGCTTTTATAGGTTCTACCAGTTATCAGTTGTTGTATAACAAACTATCCCAAAAATTGGCAGCTTAATAAAAAGCAGATTTTATTTTATCACAATTCTATGGGTCAGGAAATTGGGCCGGGTTGAGCTCAGCTGAGCATTTTCTATGCTGGTTTCACCTGGGATCACATATATGGCTACCATGAGATGTAACTCACATAGGACGCACTGGCATCACACGGCCTCGTTCACCCATCTGGAAGTTGATTCTGGCTGTCAGCTGGATCACATATCTTGATCAGGCCAATACAGGCTTCTTCACAAGGCAACAGCATTCCAGGAGGAAAAAGCCTTTTGTACAAGCATTTTTCTGGCCTCTGTTTGCAGCACATTTGCTGAGTCCCATTGGCCAAACCACATCACATGACCAAGTCCACAGTCCATGTAAGAAGAGGCCACACACAGGTACGGATGCAAAGAAGGGTGATTTATAAGAGGCCATGGTTATAACAATCTACCACATAGGTCTAAGCTCAAAGTAAGCCAAGTGCCATCAGGATAGAGTTCTATCATTTCTGGGTGGAGTGAGTAAGGGCAACACAGAAAAGACTTAAAATAATGGGGCAGTTATTTTGTATGTATTTCCTATGTAACCAACATGAAAAAGTTAACAATAAAAACAAAGGCCTGAGAACATGACAGCATTTTATGGCAAGAAATCAAGAAGATGTCTGTTCAAAAAGAGAAAAACAATGTCATAGATGTAATAGAAAGAAAGATATCTAAGTATTAGAAAAAGGCTCTTCTAGCCAGCATTCAATCTAAGAGACATTATCATTTTACAACTACACTCCCATTCCTGAAACTTCTTCCAGAAATAAAGCAATCAGTATTCAAGAAAAGTAACGTGGAACAGTTCTACAAGAATGTTACATTTCTAGCTATAACTATAATACACAGAATTGCAAATATTGATAGCAAGAGCATTGAAAACACAGTTGTTCTAAATGCAATGTTGTATCCCGGACTGGATCCTAAAACAGAAGCTCTTTATTCAAAGATTCAAATGAATGTCCACTTTTAATCAAATAAAATCCAAAATACTCAACCTTCTTGTTTGATTAGTAGAAAAACTGGTAAAAGATTAGTCTGCACTTTAGTTACCAGTACTATATTGTATGAATGATAATTTCTCCATTTTGATAAATGTATCATAGTTACATAAAATGTTAACATTAGGAGAAGCCAGTTAAAAGGTATATGGAAACCATTTGCACTATGTTTGCACTTTTATGTAAATCTAATATTATTTCAAAATCTGAAAGTTTAAAAAATATGTATAGTCAGTAAACTAAGTTATGTGTGTGTGCACATGCATGCATGCCTATATGCAATATTCATGTATATCTAAGCTAGCAGAACTAGGAACAACTGCAGAGCCTAGGATTTCAATAATTAACATATCAAATTTTAGAGTAAAAAGTCGCCAATGAGGAAGAACAGTGCAGGATGCAAATCAGACTGCAGCACTGGAAATGGAGGAAATGGGTTAAGGTCTGAAGTCACTTCTCAGAAAGACATATAATTGAGATAATTAAAGAAGAGGAAATAAAAGGAGGATATATATACCAAGGTAGAAGCAATCCTCTAAACATAGAAACATTCTACCTACAGGCTTCACCATCATCCTAGAGATAGGAATTGTTAGCTAACACTTGACCAATGATAAGTTTGTATCTTCCACATAGTAGAGGTTCTCTTATGTCACTCTTCACTCAAAGGCTCAAATGGATCTCCACTTTTAATCAAAATCCAAAATACTCAACTTTCTTTTCTGATTCAAAGAAACTGCACTTTAGTTTCTGATATTGCAGTTTCTGATATTCCAACTGCTACAGTTTGCCCCGCTTCCTCCCAGTCTTTTCATCAGATAAGGGTAATTGCTTTATTCCTGCCATCCATCAAGTACCACTTTCTGTCTCCTTCCACTTTGTCCCATACAACCACAGTTAACCTTTTAATGTCTGGTTTTAAAAAATGTATTTGGTGAGTTATGACATGTGGCTACAGAATACTTCTGGTTAAATCCCACCCCAGCTAAATGAACCATCATTTGTCTTCATATTCCAATTTAAACAAGGCTAAGGTTAATCATAAGTACTTTCTAGACCAAGTAACAAAGGAATAATATTATGTGAGACATTGAAAATGGTACTCATCAACAGCACCATTCAGAGGCCAGAGCCCAAGGGCAAACAAGGGTATAGATCAAGCAATGTGTTGTTCAATTTGTTTTCAGGAGGTTCATCTGCAGCATTGCCAAGGTCATCCACAAAGCATAGAATTCCTCTTAAGGACCCAAACCAAATGTGTGTGCCTGTAGTGCCTATTTGACCTGCTGATGAAGATACTGCAGCTGCTGTGAGTAGAATGCAGTTGACCCCTCAAAAGGAGAAGGATCCAAGAAGTCAGTAGATGCTGACTCTCATCTTATGGGATGAAGAATTCTTAGGAGTATAAAACAATATAAGAGGGAAGTTTAAAGATTTTAAGTGCTAATTCAGAAATCTATAATAACCTGCAAACACTGTATTTGTTAGTGGCAGGTAGAGTCTTGGATGTGTGAAATAGATGTTGATCAATATAATCCACAGACATAATTTCTAATACTTAGACCAGAGGTTGTTATCTATTTTTGCATCATGGATACCACTGACAGTCTGGCAAAGCCTATGAACACCCTCTCAGAATATTCTTTTAAATTCACAAAATGAAACACATTTGGTTACAAAGAAACTAGTTATATTGCAATACAGTTGTCAAAATATTTTTAAAATAAACACGTGCTGTAGCAATGTATGTACCCCTTTACAAAATATTACATAACAAGATCTGAAGGGGCAGTGTGAATAATCACCATAGTGAAGAGCAGAAGCAGTATTAGATGTCTGCAACTACTTGTCTAGAAGTCAATATTGTCATGTTTCTGCATGGTTTGGGGTTTCTGAGTAAATTTTACTGGAATTTACATTAAAGGACAAATCTTGGAGGCTAAATGAAGACAGAATGGATCATGAGCAAACTCAGGAAAGTGATTTGTGTCCACGGAGGTATATACAATCAGCCCTTCATATCCATGGGTTCTACATCCGTGGATTCAATCAGCGTGGATTGACAATATTTGGGGAAAAACTGTGTGCACTGAACATGTATGGACTCTTTTTCTTGTCATTATTCCCTAAACAATACAGTATAACAATTATTTATATATCATTTATATTGTATTAGGTATTATAAATAAACTAGAAATGACTTAAAGTATACAGGAGCATATACATAGGTTAGATGCTAATATAACACTATAATATATAAAGGACTTGAGCATCTAAAGATTTTGGTATCCACCAGAAGTCCTGGAACCAATCCCCCACAAATACTTAGGAACAGTTGTATTTACATTTCAAAAGGAGATAAAACCTGGAACCAAGAAAACATTCCAGGGTTGCAGCCCAGAGGGGTTTATCTTCTCTTTGGAGATTAGGTTAATATTTCAAACGATGAGTACCCAGGGAACTTCCCCTTCTCTTCCCAAGAAGGTTTTTTCTACAACAGAGTAATTAAGTTTCTATTCCTCTCTCAGGAGGGGAGGGGGCAGTGTGTGCATAAGCTCCCAAACTCATAATTTGGGGGTTCCTCTCTTGTGATGCAAGAAATCCCATTTGTGGTCCATCCGGCTCTCATCACTTTACCCCAGAAGGAAGAAGAACTTAACCACGGATAAGCATACTGCTCTAGACAATAATAGTAAATCTGTTTTACTGAGGATACCCCACGTTTGCATCCATGATAATACCAATAAGCATAGACAGTAAAAATTATTTAGCTTGTATTAGGTTTATGAAAATGGGAAGGATTGGAAAAATTGAGAATTAGATCTGTCATCACTAATGACAACATCATCAGTTCATCTATCACATATTTTTTGAACACCCAATCTGTGTAAAACAGCATATATCTTATATATACTTTTATATATACAATAAATAGTATATATACTATTATATATATGTATAATATACAGTATACATATATACTATTTATCTTGTATTATTTAATTTATAATTTATTATACTATAATAAATAGTATATATACTATTATATATAGTATACATATCACATATCATATTATATATAGTATAATATCACATATACTATTATATATAGTATACATATCATATTATATATAGTATACATATATACTATTTGTTATATATACAACAGTATATATAAGACATACTATTTTACACAGATTGGGTGTTCAAAAAATATTTGATAGATGAATTGATGATGTTATCATTGGCAATGACAAATCAATTCTCTATTTTATAATATATATAGTATATATAATGTTTATTACATATAATAGCATATATATTATAGTATATATAAAATAGATACTATTTTACATAGATTGGGTGTTCAAAAAATATTTGTTAGATGAACTGATGATGTTATCATTAGTGATGACAAATCTCATTATATATATACATGTCTACATTTCTAGACACATATGCCTGAATAAAACAACTCTAGTCCCTGTCTTTTGTGACACTTGCAAGTCTGGTGATCCCAGGAAGTGAGAAGTGAGAAGAAAATGGGAAATAAAAAGTAAACTTTTAAAAACATAGTAGGTACCTAGAAGAGAAACAGTGCCAATTTCTTTTAAAATGAAATAAAGAATAAAGGGGTTTTGCAAAATCATGCCCAGATAGTCAGGAAGGCCTCTTTTCTTCAATGTCTCGAAGGTGAATGAGTCAATCATATAAAGACCTTGGGGGAAAGTGCTTCATCAAAACGGTTCAAAGACCCTGACACAGAAAAGATTTTGCATCTATTTGAATTAAGCTCAGAGCTGTTTGAGAGAGAAAGAAAGAAGGAAGGAAGGAAGGAAGGAAGGAAGGAAGGAAGGAAGGAGAAAGGAGGGAGGGAGGGAGGAAGGAAGGAAAGAGAGGAGGGAAGGAAGGGAGAGAGGGAAAGAAAAGGAAGAAAACGAAGAGAGAGAGAGAGACAGAAGGAAGGAAGGAAGGAAGGAAGGAAGGAAGGAAGGAAGGAAGGGAAGAAAGAAAGAAAGAAAGAAAGAAAGAAAGAAAGAAAGAAAGAAAGAAAGAAAGAAAGAAAGAAAAGAAAAAAGAAAAGAAAAGAAAAAGAAAGAAAGAAAGGAGGGAGGGAGGGAGGAAGGAAGGGAAAGAAAGAAGAGAGAGAAAGAAAGAAGAAAGAGAAAAAAGAAAGAAAGAAAAGAAAGAAAGAAGAAAATGAAGAAGGAAAGAAAGAAAATGAAAAAGCAAGAAAGAAAAGGCTAATTATGTTTTGGTAATCATGTGCTACCATTGCCTATATGCTTAAATATATCATTTTTTAACCTGTCTCCTTAAATGGATTCTACCCTTTCCCTCTCAAAGCTAACTAAGCTGTGGCAAGATGTTAGAACTTCGCAGATACAAAGACCAGGTTTAGCAATGTAGTTCTAAGGCAATATATTAATAATAAAAACAAAAATGCTGTGATCTAATGTCACATGAGTCATATGTATCCAAAAAAGCCATGTTTAATGAAAATAAAATAACAGTGTCTTGTCTGGTAAAAAGCAAACAGCTTTTACCAGTTGCCAAACTGCGTATCAGTTGTCGTATCTCACAGCCAGACCTACTGGCAAAGGTAGGACCAACCGCCCTGCTGTAATGTACCAGCAGAGAGCTAAGAGACAACATAATTTCCCCTTGAGGAATGACACCACTCACTGGATTTCACACAGCGCCCTCTTACAAATTACAGTCCTGAAGGCTAAGGTTGAACTGTGCAGCTTGCTGTAAGTGAAATTTGTTCAATATGGTTACCATCACTTTCACCCACTCACTCCCAGGCAAGAATCTTAGCTCTTCAGGTTGTAGGCTTTTGTTTTTAGAAATGGGGAAATATGACATTCTTGTTACTCATGACAATAGTGACAAGTACTCTTCATCCCAAATACTTGTGTGGGAGCCAATACTAAGTTCTCTGATTGTTTCCTTTTTATTTTCCTTCCAGTTTGCTTAATTTCAGTTCAGAAAAAAAGCACATGTAATAAACCCTATAGGGAAAAAAAAAAGAACCTACAAAAAGAAATGTTTTGTTACTTTGAGTGTTGACAACCTGGAGCTTTAAGTTATTTCCAATGTTTTTAACTATTTAACCTGGGGAGTAAAACTACATTTTAGGGCAAGGTTTATTACTGCCTCCTTGCCTCTGCACAGATCAGAAGCTTGGTCAATGTTTCTGTCCCCATGAGAAGAGCAATTGGAGTTGCTTCACCCAATAGAAAAGCAATCCTTTTAAGTCCACAATAGCAATATCTGTCTATCTATCTATCTATCATCTATCTATCTATCTATCTATGTATCATCTATCTCTTCTGATTATCCCAGAGCTATGATATAAGTGAAAGCAATAAAGATGAGGAAAGAGAAGAGTTTCAGGATGGAAAAGAAAAATACTTATAATAAAAAAGACTCAGGCTCCCATCCAAGTAATAACCAGGCCCCACCATGGCACATGTACCCCAGAACTTAAAATAAAATAAAAAGCATTAACCACTAGATTGCTGAAACATTAAAAAAAAAATACAGGAATCAGTATACCACAGTGTAATTTACAATGAACACACTTTGGTCCCATTTCTACTATCTACTACCCACATAACCTTGAACACAAAAGACAAACTGATGTTCGTTGTCTTTATCTGTATAATGGTGATAATAATAACTACTTCAGAGAGTCACATTAAGGAAGAAATGAAGTAGGTAATGCAAAGCACTCCGCACAGCATCTGACACATTCAAGAGACGGTAGCTGCAGGTGTTGTTACTGCTGCTGTTGTTACTGTTTGTGTTGTTATAGGACAGTGAACCATTAGAATCCTTTATCCTCTGAAATTTCTCACCAACATTTTACTTGGCTTTATTCTATGCTAACCTACAATTATAATATATAAGAGTTAAAGGAAGCTTAGAGTTCTCTTTGATACCTTCATTTCCTAAGTGTAGAAAGTAAGGCCCTGAAAATTAAGCAACTGATCCAGAAACATGAACCTGGGTCTATAAATTACAAATGCCAGGCTTTTCCTACTTTATTATGTTGATACTCAACCAGGGCCTGAGCATAAAAGACTGACCACTTCCATTTTTTATGACACTCCACTATAATTTAAAAAATGAAGTTCCCACCAAAATTCCAATAGCCTTTTCTTGCAGAAATAAAAAAGCCAGTCTTCAAATTTATATGGAATTGCATGGGATCCCAAACAGCCAAAACAATCCAGAAAAAGAACAAAGTTGGAGGCCTCATATTTCCGAATCTCAAAACCTACTGCAAAACTACAGTAATTAAAACAGTGTGGTATTGTCATAAGGACAAACATAGAGACCAATGGAATAGAATTGAGAGCTCAGAAATAAATCCATATATGTATGGCCAATTTTTTGTCATCAAGAGTCCCAAAACCATTTCAATGGGGAAAATGGTCTCTTCAACAAATGGTGCTGAGAAACTGGATATCCACATGCAAAAGAATGAAGGTGGACTGGCTACATCACACCATATATAAAAATTAGCTGAAAATAGATCAATGCCCTAAGTATAAAAGCTGAAACCAGAGAACCCCTAGAAGAAAACAGAGATAATTCTTAATAACCTTGGATTTGGCAATAGATTCTTGGATATGACACCAAAAGCATGAGCAAGAAAAGAAAAAATAAATATAATGTCATTAAATTTAAAAATGTTTTCTATTAAAAGACATTATCAAGAAAAGGCAACCTACAGGGTGTAGGAAAATATTTTCAAATAATAGCTCTCTTGGGTCTAGTGTCCAGAATACATAAACTCTTACAACTCAATGACAAGAAAAGCAAGCATCCCAATTTTAAAATAGGCAAATCCCCAAACCCGAATATGTTCTCCATTGCTACAGTTTTTTCTTTCCAAGAATGTAATATAAATGGAATGTAACCTGTTGAGACTGGCCTCTCTTACTCTGAATGCCTTTGAGCTTCCTCCAAGTTGTTGCATGTATCAATAGGACATTCTTTTTCATTGTTCAGAACTATTACATTATATGAATACCCCACAGTTTATCATTCACTTGTTGGAAGACATTTGGATGGTTTCTACTTGGAGGCAATTATGAAGAAAACCACCATAAACATTTATATAAGCGTTTTGTGTGAACACAAGTTTTTGTTTCTCTACAGTAGACACCTAGAAGTGGAATTTTTGAGTTATATGGTAAGTGCAGGTTTAACTATAAGAAACTGCCGAAGAATGTTTCAGAGTGACTACACCATCTTGCTTTCCCAGGAGCGATGTATGAGACTTTCACTTGATCTGCATTCTCCCGCACTTGGTATTGCCAGTATGTTTAATTTAACCATTCCAATAAACGTTTTGCTGTTATTTTACCATGCTTCTAATTTGAATTTCTTTAACAATTAATGATGCTAAATAACTATGAAGTGGTTATTTGCTATCTGTATATCCTCTTTGATGAAATGTCTGTTAAAGTCTTTTGTCTATTTTTTTAATTGAATAGTTTGTTATAATTGTTGCATTTGATAGTTGTTTATATGTTTTAAATACATGACCTTTGCTGAATATGAGATTTGCCAATATTTTCTACCAGTCTGTATTTTGTCTTTTCCTTGTCTTAACACTTAATGCAGAGCTCTTAACAGAGAGCAAAAGTTTTATTTTAGATGAAGTCCATTCTATCAAGATTTCCTTTTATGCACCATGCTTTTAGTGTCATGCCTAAGATTTCTTTGCCTAATCCAGGGCACAACAGTCCCTTGTCCTCTTGTAAAACTTTTATAGTTACTTGTTGTTCATCTATATATGTGAAGTAATTTGAGTTAATTTTTCAAAGCATTAGATTTAGGTTGAGGTTTTTAATATTGATATTCAATTGTTCCTATACTACTTGCCAAAAACATTATAATATCTCTGCTAAATTGCCTTTGCTTCTTTGTTAAAAATCAATTGGCCATATTTCTGTGAGTTTATTTCCTAGACTCTCTGTTTTGTTCAATTGACCCATATGCTTATCCCTTCACCAATGCCACATCAACTTGAATACTGTAGCTTTGTGGTAAGTCTTAAAACTGGGTAGCATAATTTCCCCAACTTGGTCTTCTCTTTAGCCAATTGTTTTGGCTATTGTAGTTCTTTTGCTTTTCCATGCAAATTTTAGAACAAGCTTATCTATATCTACAAAAACATCTGCCGGGATTTTGATTGGAATGGCATTAAATGTACAAATCAGTTTGGAAGAATTGAAATCTTTGAAATGTTGAGATTCCCAATCCATGAAAACAATTTGTCTCTCCACTTATCTAGGCCTTCTTAGATTTCTTTCATCAGCAATTTGTCATTTTCAATATATAGATCCCAGTACTTGTTTTGCTAGATTTATGCCTATGTATTTCAAAGCTATTGAATTGGTAGTTTTCAAATTTTTTCTTTGCAATTGTTTATTCCTAGCATATAAAAGTAGGATAGATATTCATGTGTTTATCTTACATTCTTTGACCTTGATAAACTCACTTGTTAATTTACAATATTTGTTTATATTCATCTTGGGATTTTCTTTTTCTTTTCCTTTTTTTTTTTTTTTTTTTTTTGAGATGGAGTTTCACTCTTGTTGCTCAGGCTGGAGTGCAATGGCACAATCTCAGCTCACTGCAACCTCCGCCTCCTGGGTTGAAGCAATTCTCCTGCCTTGGCCTCCCGAGTAGTTGGGCTTACAGGTGTGTGCCACCACACCCAGCTAATTTTTGTATTTTTAGTACAGACGGGGTTTCACCATGTTGGCTGGGCGCATTGGCTCACGCCTGTAATCCCAGTACTTTGGAAGAAGGCCTAGGCGGGTGGATCACCTGAGGTCAAGAGTTTGGGATTTTCTACACTAACAATCATAGCATCTATGAATTGGGACACTTTTATTTTTTCTCTATCCAATCTATATATCTTTTAATTCTTTTCTTGCCATATTACACTAGTTGGGAAGTATAGTATAATGTTGAATAGCATTTGTTGACTTATTCCTAATCTGAGGGGTAAATCATTCAGTCTTTCACTGTCAATTGTGATATTGGCTCTAAAGTTTTTATAGATTCTGTTTATCAAGTCGAGGAAATTTTCTTCTATGTAAGCTGAGAGTTTTTATCATGAATAAATCAACATTTTGTCAATTTCTTTTCTGCATCAATTCTTTTGGTTATGTGGATTTTCTTCTTTACACTGTTAATATATTGGTTTACAAGTGCACCCACTCCAAGCTCCCATGGGAGAAACCCCAGCTGTGTCTGAGTGGTGAATGAGGGGGAGAAGAAGTACCCTTCTCCAAGAAACTTCACGAGCACCAGGGCTACCTGACTATTGGGGTAGAGCTGCCGACTTTCCTTCCCAAGCCCAGCAGTGCACTATGCCTCTGTTAAAAAAAAAAAAAACAAAAAACAAAAAAACAAAAAAAAAAACTTTTCATAAGTGGAAAGTGCTGGGATTCAAGTTCTGCTGTCTGAATTCTTTTGTTCCACAGGGTGCTCCTTTGATGCAGTGCACTCCCCTTCCCCCTAGGAGCAGGAGTCCCTGAAGGTGAGAATACTGTGAATGCTTCTACTCCTGTGGGTCTAGCTGCCCAGTGGGACTGCCACACTCCAGGCTGGTGCTAAGGAATGTCTTCAAGTGACCCAATGATGTGACCTGTCCTCAAGTCTCCCAGCAATGCGTACCAGAACCAGCTCTGATGGGGGTGGCAGGAGACTGATGTAGACTCTGTGAGGTTCCTTGGTTATAAATAGCCTTAGTGCACTGGCTTTCTGAAATGCCAGTTGTAGTAGTAACGAACTAGTCATGTGGACAGAACAGACTCAGGACCTCCTGGTTAGCCCGGGTGCTGCAGGCAATGATGATAGCTGAGGTTCAGCTTCAGCGAAAGTTTTCTCTTTCCTGGGCACTGTGTTATTCTGCTTGCAGATGTTGTAATGGACTGTGTTTATTGGCCTCCAGCCAAGAGGTGGCAGAGATTTGTGCATGCCTCATGTTACCCAGGGGAGGCTCAATGGCGTCTCAGGCAATGAGCAGAGCCACAGAGCTCCCAAAAGTTTCTGTCCTTTGTGTTAAGCTACCAGGGCAGGTGGAGGGGCAAAGCCAGGTTGGGGCTGGGTCGGGCAAGTCCACACTCTGGCTTCCCACATATGGCACAATAAGTAGTCCCAGTGGGGATCAGAGGGCAGTTCTCTGGCCACTGGGGTAATGATCCAGGGAAGAGCATAGCTGCCTCTGCTCACAGTGCTCCGCTAGCAGCAGCTAGTTAGGTTCTAGGTAGTCTGAGCTCAGATCTGAAAACTGCACCAGGGCCATAAGCCTCCCTGCAGAGACAGAAACCACTGCTTTCCAGCCATGACCCTCCTAGTCCATGACCCCTTGGTTCTGGCAAAGGGGGATCATCCCCACTAGAGATTATATTGAGAATCTCAAGTAGGGTTGAAATCCCTACTTGGCCAGAACCTCTCTCACAGTCCCCCTTGGCCAGAACCTCTCTCACAGTTAGGGGTTTCTCTCAACCAGTGACTGCCACCTGAGTTAGCTGGCAGACTTCTGTGAGGTCCACTGTGAAGTAAGGTCAGGAATGGCTTCCCTCTATCCCCACTGGAGACTGGGAGTGCATGCAGAGCACACCCCTATGTTTCTCCCTCTCATATGCTTCCCATCACTCACTAAATCAGCCCCAGCTCTGGGCAGGGATAAGGCTTTTTCCTGAGGCCTGGACTGCCAGGTTGCCCAGTAGGTGTGTGTATCCCAGAGGCAGTTTATCCCCCACTCACACTCTGTGGACTTACAGTTTTCTGCCTGGCTCACAATGTAGGTGGCAGCCCACCACATATTTCAAAGGGTCTGTGGTTTCTTTCAGTTGTCCTGTTAAGCTACTGTGTTGCTTCTTGGAAAAAGTTCAGGGTGAATCTCTACACACTATTAATATTTTCTTTCCAAGTGGGGGAGGCATGCTAACGATGCCTCCAATCTGCCAGTTTCATGCTTTTCTTCTATTATTTTGAAATAAATTGTTTTAAAATGATGTTAAAATTTCTGCTTTCAATTTTCAAAGTTACTTAGAAGAACTCATCATCTATTATGTTTACCCAGGTATATACATTATTGCTGTTCTATAATTCCTAATATATCAAGTTTTCTTCTGGTATCATTTCTCTTCTAACTAACTCTCTTAAAGCAATTCTTTTAAAGCAGCTTTGCTTCATCTGAGACTCTTTTTATTACTCTTTCACTCTGGAAGGATATCTTTGCTAGACATAAATTTTGGATTGAGAGTTCTTTTCATTGAGCAATCTAGAAGTGTACCACTCCTTTCTGCCCTCCCTGGTGTTGAATTAGAATCAACCATCACTGGAGTTATTTTCCCTACAGGTAACACCTTTTTTTCTCTGTTTGCTTTGAATAATTTTTTTCGTCTTTAGTTTTCAAGCAGTTTGATTATTATGTGTCTGGACATGTATTCTTTTGTGTTTATCTTGCTTGGGGTTCATGGAGTTTCTTGAAGCTATAGGCTTTGTGTTTCACTAAATTTGGGAGGTTTTCAATCATTAAGTTTTTGAAATCTTCACTCAGTTTTGCATTCTTTATCCTCATTCTGAGACTCTGATGACATCAGTGTTAGACCTTTTGGTATTGTCCTACAAGTACCTGAGGCTCTGTTCTTTTTTTTTTTCTTTTTAATTTTCCTTCTTCTTTTAACGTTTTTCTCTCTTGTTCAAATTGGATAATTTCTATTGATTTATCTTCAAGTTCAGTGACTCTTTCCTCTGTCATTTCCATTCTGCTATGGAGCTCAGCCAATGACCTTGGGGTGGGTTTTTTTATTCCAGTTATTCAGATGAAATTACTTATTAAATTTCCATTTGGTTGTTCTTCATCTCTTGTATTAGTTCACCAATACTTTCTATCTTTCCATACATTTCAAGAATGCTTGCTCTTATTCGAGTAGTGTTATAATAGTTGCTTGAAAGCCCTTGTCACATAACTCCAACATCTTTATTATCCCAACATAGGCATCTGTCGATTGTATTTTCCCATGTGATTTCTTGATGCTTCATATGCCAAGTAATTTGGATTACATTGAAGACATTTTGAATATTATGTTAAGGGACTCTGGATATTGATCAAGTCCAACAGATAGTATTGATTGTTTTTATTTGGGCATTCAATTGATCAGATTAAAGTCAATCCACTTTCTGGGGGTTGTGGTTCTAATGTCATTTCCATTTCTACAGCATTTACAAACCAGTACTATTCTGATCTGCCTGGTGTACACATTTGCCATTGACTAGTGTCGGAATTTGGTAGTAATCTAGCCGATAGTTTGAATCTCAAAGTCTACATATGCTTTTTTAAAGATCCAGGCTTGCACAACTCAAGGGTGAGCTCAGGAATTCATAAACAACTTGAAGAGTCACTTTCTCAAAGTTCTCCCTCTCTGAAATTGCTCCAGTACTTTCCTGTTCTCTAGTGCTTCCCTTTTCCAGACCTCTGTGCTTTCCATCCTCTGGGGGCATTATTGACCCTGCTCTGTTATGTACTTCCTATGGTTGCAACCACTTTGGGGCCAAATGGTGAGAGGACACAATGAGGAAAAAAAAAAAAAAAAGCTTAGGAGTTTATTCCACCCACTTAGGACCACTCCTTCTCTAATCAAAAAGGAAGATCGCCTCCCTCAGAGATTTAGGCTCCTACAGGCCCTTGTTTCTGCTGCTGCCAAAATCTCTACAGGAATGCTGGAGAGATGGGGCATGAGAAAACAGAGTGGGGGAAATGGGTGATTTTCACAGTCTCTGACTGTTTAAAATATTCCTTTCTAATTCTCAGTAGAAAAATACATATACATAACTAGGACTAATCCATAACTAGGACTTCTCCTGGTGCTCATTCTCCCTCTCCCCACATCCCCACTGATATCCACTTTGGGGCTGGGCTGTGTTGGATCCAGCCTGAGGGAAATACTGGACCCGGAAGGGGGAATGGTAAATTCACTACCACTTCAGTGGTATTTCCAGTTCTTGCCTTCTTCCTGAATCTGCCTGCTACTCTACTTTTCAAAGTCCTCAAATAGCTGCTCTGTGCATTCTGTCCAGATTTTATAGCTGCATTAAGTAGAAGAAACAGGGGAAGCATGCTTACTTCATCTTATCCTGAAACAGAACCCCTCTCCATTACTTTTAGCATACACACTTGAATTGTAAACATCTGTGGTTAATGTATACAGAGGCTTCAGAAATCTTTTTTTTTTTTTTTTTTTTTTTGAGACAGAGTCTCGCTTTATCGCCAGGCTGGAGTGCAGTGGAGCGATCTCAGCTCACTGCAACCTCTGCCTCCCGGGTTCAAGGGATTCTCCTGCCTCAGCCTCCCAAGTAGCTGGGACTACAGGCACGTGCCACCACGCCCAGCTAAATTTTTTTTTTTTTTGTATTTTTAGTAGAGACGGGGTTTCACCATGTTAGCCAGTATGGTCTCAATCTCCTCACCTTGTGATCCACCCGCTTCAGCCTCCCAAAGTGCTGGGATTACAGGCGTGAGCCACCGCACCCAGCCGAGGCTTCAGAAATCTTTAAATCACCCTCTGGCATGTTACATAAAATGTTTAAGTGTTTATTTCATCTTGTTATTCACCTTGTTGTTTCTTTGCCCTCAGTTTTTGTTAGTATTTGTGTTAGTAAAATTTTGTTTTGCCTTTATTATTAAATTCTAGATTGACAGTAATGTTCTCTTAATACTTTGCGTCTATTATTCTACTAACTTCTATTTCTTTTTGTTGACAAATCTGCTGGCAGTTTAACTGTAATTTTCCTTTTAAGTAACATGATTTTTTCTTTTGATGCTTCTAAAATCATATTCTTTGATTGACACTTGCTGCGCTTCCTAAATCTGAGAATTTGTGTCTTTAGCCATTTCTGGAAGTTCCAAGGCATTATCTTTTCAAATATTGTCTATCTCTCATCCTCTCTTTGCTCTTTCTGGAACTTCAGCTTGACTTTTATATGTTGGACTTCCTTATCACATCTTTCATATCTCTTTAATATTTCTCATCTCTATGTATCTTTGTGTTACATACACAAAATTCTTCAAATAAATTTTCCATTAATCATTTTCTCTTTGTCTAACTATAATCTGATTTTTAACTCATCCAATGAGTCTGACTCTCATATAGTTTATTGTTTTATTATATAATTAGGATTGTGAACTTGTTTTATAGGGCTTCATCTGTAGGAATCTTGAATGACATCGCTAAGAAAATGTCCCAACTTTTATCTCAAATTTTTAAAGACATTTTCAAAATAAAATACTACCCTTAATGTTTCCAAATTTCTGACAGATATTTATGTTTGGGACACAGGAATGAAAAAGTGGTATTCCCAGGAATTCTCAAGAATTTGCAAAGTTAATTCTCATAAGTTATAATCTCATAAGTTATTATTATTTTTTTTTTGAGACAAGGTCTTGCTCCATTGCTCAGACTGGAGGGCAGTGGTGCAATCACAGCTCACCACAGCCTCGACCTCCCAGGCTCAAGTGATCCTCCTACCTCAGTGTCCCAAGTAGCTAGGACTACAGGCATAAGCCACTATGCTTAGCAATTTTTTTTTTTTTTGGTAGAGACACGATCTCACTATGTTACCCAGGCTGGTTTCAAACTCCTGGGTTCAAGCGATCTTCCCACCTTGGACTCCCAAAGTACTGGGATTGCAAGCATGAGCCACTGCATCCAGCCATATTTTCTTAAAATATTTCCAACATCCTCATACTCTTTATTTATTGTTGTGTGTATATATATATATATATATATTTGCTTAATAAATAGTAAATACTAGTTTAGTAGTATTTACATGTAACTGTAGACTGTAGCAAACATTCAAACACTGAAAATTTCAGCAAACACTATTGGATAGTATTCTCATAACATAACATTCAGATTGCCTAGCAAAGTTAATAGCATTACACAGAATCAAGAGTCAAAATTGTCCATTTGAGGACTTATTTTGCTTCCAAAACAAAACGAGTGATATTTCTAAGGATACCACTCATAGGAGTTGTAATAAAGTATGCTGTATTAGTCTGTTTTCACACTGCTATAAAGGTACTACCTGAGACTGGGCAATTTATAAAGGAAAGAGGTTTAATTGACTCACAGTTCGGCATGGCTGGGGAGGCCTCAGGAAACTTACAAACATAGCAGAAGGAAAAGAAGCAGCAAGTACTTTCTTCACAAGGCGGCAGGAAAGAGAGAGTGAAGGAGGAACTTCCAAACATTTCTAAAACCATCAGATCTCATAAGAACTCACTATCATGAGAACAGCAAGAGGGAAACCTCCCCCATGATCCAATCACCTCCCTCCCTCAACACCTGGGGATTACAGGTCCCTCCCTTGACACATGGGGATTACAATTTGAGATGAGATTTGGGTGGGACACAGCCAAACCATATCATATGCTATGTGTAAAAACATATTAACATTTATTTAATTGCAAACACAAGTCCTCATTACCAATACAGGGCCATAAGAACACACTTCAACATGGCAACAGCCAAAATAAGCCAGAACAACTGAGCAGATCCTGACCACTGAGCTGCTTCTTTTCACATGCTTCTGTTCAGGTTCCCAGACTTGTCCACCTTAAGATTTGTCTCCACATCTCCTGCTCTTACTTTTGACTTGATGTCAGTGGACTCCTTGGAACCAGTAACTATGATGTTGTTAAGCTTTAACTCATACAAAGAACTACTATACTTTTCTCCCATTTTCCTCATTTCTCCATTGAGTTTTCTCAATATTCAAAGAAAAAGCCCATTTTAAATATCCCAAGTAATGCTGGGAAGAAATTTCTACATGAAAACTCTAATACTGAACTGTAAATAACTATTTTTAATTATGTCTTGTCTAATATTTCATGTTGATAGACTCTTATGTTTTCTCAGTAACTGACTCTAATTTAGTTATGAAGCCTCCATTACTGCTAATGGTAAAAAATGTAACATCGCCAATTCCCAATAGTTTCTGGTTGGAAATGCAGATAAATTCAATCAATTTAAGATTTCCTCTTGCTATTTTTCTTCTCCCCGTGAATGCTGTAATTTTCAGCAGACTTCACGTCTTGGTGGATGAGTTGGCACCAGAATTGGCATCAGAATGTCCCATGGTGACTTCATTTAACTGATTCAAGAGACAGGTGGAACTTAGGTCATATGTCATATTCTCTTGACAATTCTCTCTTACATCTCTCTCCATTATCTTTAGTGATAAGCATGCACTTATACAGAACTGGGGATACTGTTACTGAAACACCAGGGGTTCAGTCTAGGTCCTGCTGCTCACTGTGCAGAAAGCCAATCACTGAGACAATGAGTATTACCAGGGAAGAAGGCTTTAATTGGGTGCCACAGCCAAGGAGATGGGAGATCAGTCTCAAGTCCATCTTTCTGACCAACTAAAATTTGGGGTCTATATAGCAGGGAGGAAATGTAACTACATGCAGGAAAACAGGAACTAGGGAAGGGTAAGGAAGAGGAGGTGATCAACAGGAAGCAAGTGGTTGCTTAGGCAATCATGATAGGTGGGGATCTGGCATCTCATTGTCCAGATGCAATAACCTGGTAAGTTTCAATTCCTTGATACTCTCTGGGAGGCCTCATGAATGATTTCCTGAGAAAGGAACTGAGGGTCAGGTGCGGTGGCTCACGCCTATAATTGCAGAACATTGGGAGGCTGAAGCAGGTGGATCATTTGAAGTCAGGAGTTCAACACCAGGCTGGCCAACATGGTGAAACCCCATCTCTACTAAAAATACAAAAATTAGCAGGGCAGTAATGGTGCATGCCTGTAATCCCAGCTACTCCGGAGGCTGGGGCAGGAGAATCGCTTGAGCCTGGGAGGCAGAGGTTGCAGTGAGCCAAGATCGCACCACTGCACTCCAGTCTGGGCGACAGAGTAAGACTCTGTCTCAGAAAAAAAGGAAGGAACTCAGATAAGAAAAAATGTAACTTTCTCAAGTTTCAAGATCAGAAAAACTGATTTCTATGTTTATTCAAAAGAAACCATAAACATCAGCTTTATGGGACAATTGGGTCAGTTTCAATACTGTCAATATATTAGGTACATCTAATCATAGGCCAAAGGGAAAGAGAACATTAAACGAAACTAACTAATCATATCTGCTTCCAGTTTGGGGCTTCTATAAAAGTTTTGACATTCTGATTGCACATCAGAATCACGTATAGAGCACTTTTATAAACTTATATTTTTGAAGAATGGGGGCCATAAATCTTTATTTTTACACGTACCCCAAATGACTCTGGTGAAGGTAGTCTGGGACTACATTGCAAGAAACAGCCTTTGAAGCTCTACAAAGACCCACTCCAGTTCACCCTAGAAAGGGAATGGTGACCGAATTTCCAGCCAATAATAAAGGATACCTTTGTTTAGAGCCTGGGCTATGTCTTCCTCAGGATTCCAGTGGGGAATACTCACTGCCACATTAGAAGGATTCAAGGATTGGGGGTCCAGGATGGCCTTCATCTTAGAAACATCATTAACCAATAAGTCGAGAATTCAATACAGGGGCTCGGGCAGATAATTCAGAGTATGGTGCCACATTCTACTCTTTCACCCATGTCTTAGGTCCATTTGGGCTGCTACAAAAATACCATAGACTGAGTCGCTTATAAACAACAGAAATTTATTTCTCATAGTTCTGGAGGCTGACAACTCCAAGATCAAGGTACTGACAAATCCAGTATCTGGTGAGGATGTGTTTCCTGGCTCATGGATGGTGCCTTTTCATTAAGTCCTGAAAGACTAGTTGGAAAGGGAAAGGCAGCTCTCTGAAGCCTCTTTTATAAGGACGCTAATCCCATTCATGAGGGCTTCGTCCTTTTGACCTAATCACCTTCCAAAGGCCCCACTTCCTAATGCCATCACACTGGGGATTAGTTTTCAATAGATGAATTTTAGAGCAACACAAACATTCAGACCATTTCAAGCCACCTCCACTTGGAGATACCCTGGGAGAACTTGACAATCTCCAATGGAGAATGCATTCAAACCACCATAGAAATACAAAAATAGATGCAGGGAAGAATTTTTTTTAAAGCCCGTCCTCAGAGAAGACAATAAAACAGATATACTTTCACTCTTCCTCTTTTCTTATTTTGGAACATACAGGCCTCGAGTGTGAAATTTTTGCCTGACAGATTTTGGTTGCTCAGGAATGTAAAAGAATTGTAAAACTTAAAGGATACCTATCAGGATGTGTCTTGAGTGAAAATGTAATTTGGGCTACAAGTATTTTCATTTAGGGAAGTTCATTTGATTCTGAAAAGTTGAGGAAAGAAATAGAAAATTTTAGACTTGCAATTTGGTGTTTTAAGGGAGTTTTTCCTTGAAAAAAAAATTAAAAGAAGAAGTAAATATCTAGTTTCTTTTCCTGTTGTCTAAGTCAGTTTGCCAGCAGAAAAAAAGGAACAGAGAGTAGGGGCAGAAGTTCTGACCAGGAATGCGGCCTGCAATTGTCAAGGTATTGCCAGAGGACTTGTCCTCAAAACTAATACTGCTCCCTAAGAACCACAATTTCTTTCATTCATTAATTCATTTATAAAGACAGGTATATTAGTCAGGGTTTTCTAGAGGGACAGAACTAATAGAATATATAGATATATGAATGAATGGAAGTTTAGTAAGGAGAACTGACTCACACGATCACAAGGTGAAGTCTCACGATAGGCTGTCAGCAAGCTGAGGATCAAGGATGCCAGTAGTGACTCAGTCTGAGTCCCAAAACTTGGAGTCTGATGTTCAAGGGCAGGAAGCATCCAGCACGGGAGAAAGGTGGAGGCCAGAAGACTCAGCAAGTCAGTTCATTCCATCTTTTTCCACCTGTTTTTTCTAGCCACACTGGTAGCCAGTTAGATGGTACCCACGCAGATTGAGGGTGGGCCTGTCTCTCTCAGTAAACGGACTCAAATGTTAATTTCCTCTGGCAACACTCTCACAGACATAGCCAGAAACAATACTTCGATTCAATCAAGTTGACGCTTAATATTAACCATCACAATAGGGTTCTCATTAAATTGTCCAGGCTGGTCTCGAACTCCTGGTCTCAAGAAGTCCTCCTGTCTGAGCCTCCCAAGTCTCTGGGATCACAGAGGTGAGCCACCGCACCCAGATCACAATTTTTCTGATTAATGGAATACATGTAGTTTTCTTTTGTACTTCCTGTTAATTGAAGCCTAAAAATTACATAACATAAGGGTGATTGATTATAGAATTTTTTTCAAGTATGCCAACTCCAATGAAGAATTATGTCAGCAGACAAAATTATATTCTGGTGATTCTAAGAATAAGCACCTAAGAAACTCTTGGTGGGCCTGATTAACAGCCATTCTAAGTAAACCTTCCCTTGTGAGTTAACTGCACTCAGCTACCAACAGGTATTCTATGGAAGCCCTCCTCTAGCTTTGGAAGATGAATTGTCTCATGTTAAGTTAATTTCTGGGACTTCCCTAGTACCAGCCTGAACAATTATTTGTCAAAAGCCGCAATCCACTATGGAAATCCATGGTAGATGTAAAGAATGAAGTGGTGCTGAATTATTAATACTATGCAAACTTCACCATTTATAAATGTCACCAAGTAGAAAAATAAGTGGGAGAGAGACAACATGATATCCCCCATCAGTTGGTCTCAAATTAAGCAATAATAATTGCAGGATTTCTTAAGTGACCTTAAAATTGTACCCAGTATAGAAGGTTATTAAATAAGACTGCTGCTGTAAATGCAATTTTCCATGGTTTCTTGTAATAAGTAAATGGAGCTGTTCATCCAGGCAGAGCTGATGTTTCAGACCAGATTTTCTTGGTATCACAGAGTATTATGTTAATGCCGGTCCTGTTAGAAGTGCATGTGTGTTTATAGGGCTCAGTCCAAAGTAAAGTCTCAAGCACATAAAACAAACAGTGTTGCTGAGTCAATGTTTATTTATCATTGCTAGCCTAGAATTCATTAAATGGCACGGAGTGTCTTAAACTTTAATTTGAACCACAAATATTCTCAACATATGGCCATGCTGTTGAAAAGACATGTGTACCACACATTTTTACCTCATCTGCCTTTCAGCATCTAAGAATTACAACTCAGCAGTGATTAAAAACAGGATTTAAACTAAGACAAGGTCAGGTGAGTATCTTAGATGATCCAAGTCATGTGGATCTGGCTGAACAGTTAGCTTTTGTTTATGCCAAGGCCTTTATATTCCTACATTAAAATGGTTTAAAAGCCTAAGCAAGCTACTGACATTTATTGATTCTAATATATTTTTGACTCCTTGGAAAATCTCCCATGTGGAAACTTTCACAATTCAGAATGTCTCATCGGATATCTATTCTCTGCCAGAACACACCATTCCGTACCCCAACATCTCCCCTTCATGGTCTCGATGTCATATTAATGACTGGCCTCCAATGCTGAAATATTGAAATTCTACTCCTTTGGACAGATTTTTGCCCTGTAAATGTTCACTCATGTTTTAGTTCCTCAATATCTCCCCTTGCTCAATGTCAGGAGTTACTGTGATGCTTCAACTCTGCTATTCAAGATGGGTTTAACAATTTTGAAAATAATAGGACTATCTATTCACTCAAAATATTATTTTTAAATTCAAGAAAAATTAAGTCCACATACATTAAATAGCAAATTTTCAGTAAGTACAAAAACGAAGATATGAAGATGACACTAGCAAAGCATGAAAGAGGGTCCTTAGCCCAGCACGGACAACAGTAAACTTTAGTTTGCTTCAGTTTAACAAACACAGTTGGCCTTCCCAATCTGTGGGTCCTTCACCCATTGATGCAACCACCTTCAGATAAAAAATGTTTGGAAAATGAATTTTGTCTACACTGAACACGTAAAGACTTTTTTCTTGTCATTATTCCCTAAACAATACAGTATAATAACTATTTACATAATGATATGGTTTGACTGTGTCCCCACCCAAATCTCACCTTGAATTGTAACAATCCTCACGTGTCAAGGGCCAGGCCAGGTGGAAATAATTGAATCATGGGGGTGGTTCCCCCATATTGTGGTAGTGATAACTCTCACAATATCTGATGGTTTTATAAATGGGAGTTCTCCCTGCACAAGCTCTCTTACCTGCCACCATGTATGACGTCCTTTTGCTCTTCCTTTCTCTTCTGCCATGACTGTGAGGCCTCCTCAGCGATTTGGAACTGTGAGTCCATTAAACCTCTTTTTCTTTATAAATTATCCAGTCTTAGGTATATCTTTATTAGCAGCATGAGAACAGACTAACAAATATACATAATATAATTTACATTGTATTAGGTATTATAAGTAATCTAGAAGGAATTTGAAGTATACAGGAGGATATGCATGGATTTTAAGCAAATACTACACCGTTTTATATAAGACATGAGCATCTTTGAATTATGGTATCAGCGGTTGAGGGAGGGTCTTGGAAACAATCCCCCATGGACACTAAGAGATTACTTACTCTGCACCCTCAGTGTCTCAAGAATATCCTCAAATGGTGAGAGAAGCAGATGGGAAGGAGAGATAACACTGACATAGGTTCAAAAGTCATGGAGGAAAGAGAACGGTCTCCCTAAAGATCAGCTGACAATATCAATAAGCATGGACTTGTAAGGAACAGAGCTTTGAGAGGTATTACAGAATAGTGGTTAAGAATGCAATCTCTGAGGCCAGACAGACTTGCTTCTGGAGTCTTCACTCCACACCGAGTAGCCATGTGACCTTAGGTGAGTGACTCAGCTTTTCTACATCTCAGTATATTCACTTCTTAAAATGAGAATAACTTAATAACTTATATTAAATATATTTATATAATATACATCTTGAAGAGTTTTGCCATGATTGATTCTGTTAATTCATATAAATGGCCCGGCACATAGTAATCATCTAGAAAATGATATTACTATTACTATTAATGATATTACTAAATACTAGCTACTATAGGTTGGTGAAAAAGTAATTGTGGTTTTGCCATTTAAAAGTAATAGTCAAAACTGCAATTACTTTTGCACCAACCTAATACTATTATTACAGTGATGTGATTAATAAGCCTAAGACAGGATTTTTTTTAAGTTAATGCACAAAGTAAATAATTCTCACTTAGCAATCAAATGAGAGTATGCAGGTATCACTTAACATATTCCTGGTACATTGTAAATACTCAAGAAATAGCCATTATCATTATTTTTATTAATCACGAATTAATTTGTCTCGTGATCTTTTTATTATCATAGAGATTTCTAACATTCTCAATTATTTGTACTGGATAAACTCAAAATACTATCCTATGATCTTTCTTTTTTACAGGCTCATATTTAAAGACTGGTTATTCACACATTTTGCTCAACAAAGAGAATAAAAGACAAAACTTTGCAGATATAGACTGTCAAAGCTTTATACATAACACCAACTTAGTTTGAGTATTGAGTTTTTAAATCTCAGTTGAGTCTTAACAAAAAAGCAGCTCCATCAAGGTTCACATTTAAACATAGGTAGACAGGCAGTACGCTTCTAATGATTACAGTTCATCCTCACTGTTCTATCAAGTGATCTGTAAAAGTTACTAACACATACACTACAGAGACCCGGCAAGGTCAGAAATCTGCCCAAATGTCTTACCCAAATGCTGCTGACCATAATCCATATACTTTTACTGGAACTTCTGGTGAAATTTAGTAGATATGCTTCACCAGCAAAAGCTAAAACGTTAAGTGTGTAAAACTTATAAATATTTGGCCAGCTTGTTTAGAAAAGAAAATTCCACCATCTGGGTTCATTTGCAATTCTAGTCATCTCCTATGTAGAACGGGTAAACTGAGATATTCACCCAAATAAAACATGTAAACATGCCCTGTGCTTTTCTCTGACAGGATAGAAAAAAAATTAATAATTAAACTTTTAAATCTGTTTGCAATCCCCTCTTCTTCTATTTCCTCCTTTTAGATTTTATTCAAATAAAACAATAAAATGCAGTCAATACTGTAATGAAATTGGTAGGATGGAGACTCCAATACTAATAAACCTTAAACAATTAAGATAAAGCATCTATATCATTTTTAAAAACCCAGTGTAGTCAAACTAAATGAAATATTTAAATGTTTTTAATAGGCCAAATACACCCAGAGAATGACTCTCCCATCACTGCGAGATATAAAATTAGCTTATTTTAACATCAGATTGTTTGGGCACTATTATCGTGTATGTGTTTGTAATGAAAATGTCCATTTTTATATTATAGAACTATTTCTATCCAGGTGCTATAAATTCCTACATATCCATTAACTTTTTTCTCATTAACTTTTGAAAAACATCATACATTGAAACTTGAATTGTCTTTACTTAGAACAACTCAACAACAACAACAACAACAAAAGAATAAGAATAATCAATTATATATCTGTTCAGATATATCTTGACAAATAATTTTATGAAGGAGTAACTTCTACTAAATTGGAAATTTTACAGGTTAACTTTAAGATTTTTTGTATATGCAAAAAAGTCATTTGTTTATATTTAAAGTAAAAGTATTTTTTGCTTTTAGTGCAAAAAATTAAAAGCTTTGGGGAAGGAGCCAAGATGGCCGAATAGGAATAGCTCCAGTCTATAGCTCCCAGCATGAGCGACACAGAAGACGGGTGATTTCTGCATTTCCATCTCAGGTACCAGGTTCATCTCACTAGGGAGTGCCAGAAGTGGGCGCAGGACAGTGGGTGCAGCGCACCATGCGCGAGCCGAAGCAGGGCGAGGCATTGCCTCACTCAGGAAGCGCAAGGGGTCAGGGAGTTCCCTTTCCTAGTCAAAGAAAGGGGTGACAGACGGCACCTGGAAAATCGGGTCACTCACACCCTAACACTGCGCTTTTCCGAAGGGCTTAAAAAACGGTGCACCAGGAGATTATATCCCGCAACTGGCTCGGAGGGTCCTACGCCCACGGAGTCTCGCTGATTGCTAGCACTGCTGTCTGAGATCAAACTGCAAGGTGGCAGCGAGGCTGGGGGAGGGGCGCCCGCCATTGCCCAGGCTTGCTTAGGTAAACAAAGCAGCCGGGAAGCTCCAATTGGGTGGAGCCCACCACAGCTCAAGGAGGCCTGCCTGCCTCTGTAGGCTCCACCTCTGGGGGCAGGGCACAGACAAACAAAAAGGCAGCAGTAACCTCTGCAGACTTAAATGTCCCTGTCTGACAGCTTTGAAGAGAGCAGTGGTTCTCCCAGCACGCAGCTGGAGATCTGAGAACGGGCAGACTGCCTCCTCAAGTGGGTCCCTGACCCCTGACCCCTGAGCAGCCTAACTGGGAGGCACCCCTAGTAGGGGCAGACTGACACCACACGGCCGGGTACTCCTCTGAGACAAAACTTACAGAGGAACGATCAGACAGCAGCATTCGCGGTTCAAGAAAATCCGCTGTTCTGCAGACACCGCTGCTGATACCCAGGCAAACAGGGTCTGGACTGGACCTCTAGCAAACTCCAACAGACCTGCAGCTCAGGGTCCTGTCTGTTAGAAGGAAAACTAACAAACAGAAAGGACATCCACACCAAAAACCCATCTGTACATCACCATCATCAAAGACCAAAAGTAGATAAAACCACAAAGATGGGGAAAAAAACGGAGCAGAAAAACTGGAAACTCTAAAAAGCAGAGCGCCTCTCCTCCTCCAAAGGAACGCATTTCCTCACCAGCAATGGAACAAAGCTGGACGGAGAATGACTTTGACGAGTTGAGAGAAGAAGGCTTCAGACGATCAAACTACTCCGAGCTACAGGAGGAAATTCAAACCAAAGGCAAAGAAATTAAAAACTTTGAAAAAAATAGAGACGAATGTATAACTAGAATAACCAATACAGAGAAGTGCTTAAAGGAGCTGACGGAGCTGAAAGCCAAGGCTCGAGAACTACGTGAAGAATGCAGAAGCCTCAGGAGCTAATGCGATCAACTGGAAGAACGGGTATCAGTGATGGAAGATGAAATGAATGAAATGAAGTGAGAAGGGAAGTTTAGAGAAAAAAGAATGAAAAGAAACGAACAAAGCCTCCAAGAAATATGGGACTATGTGAAAAGACCAAATCTACGTCTGATTGGTGTACCCGAAAGTGACGGGGAGAATGGAACCAAGTTGGAAAACACTCTGCAGGATATTATCCAGGAGAACTTCCCCAATCTAGCAAGGCAGGCCAACATTCAGATTCAGGAAATACAGAGAACGCCACAAAGATACTCCTCGAGAAGAGCAACCCCAAGACACATAATTGTCAGATTCACCAAAGTTGAAATGAAGGAAAAAATGTTAAGGGCAGCAAGAGAGAAAGGTCAGGTTACCCACAAAGGGAAGCCCATCAGACTAACAGCGGATCTCTCGGCAGAAACCCTATAAGCCAGAAGAGAGTGGGGGCCAATATTCAACATTCTTAAAGAAAAGAATTTTCAACCCAGAATTTCATATCCAGCCAAACTAAGCTTCATAAGTGAAGGAGAAATAAAATCCTTTACAGACAAGCAAATGCTGAGAGATTTTGTCACCACCAGGCCTGCCCTAAAAGAGCTCCTGAAGGAAGCACTAAACATGGAAAGGAACAACTGGTACCAGCCACTGCAAAATCATGCCAAATTGTAAAGACCATCAAGGCTAGGAAGAAACTGCATCAACTAACAAGCAAAATAACCAGCTAACATCACAATGACAGGATCAAATTCACACATAACAGTATTAGCTTTAAATGTAAATGGACTAAATGCTCCAATTAAAAGACACAGACTGGCAAACTGGATAAAGAGTCAAGACCCATCAGTGTGCTGTATTCAGGAAACCCATCTCACGTGCAGAGACACACATAGACTCAAAATAAAAGGATGGAGGAAGATCTACCAAGCAAACGGAAAACAAAAAAAAAGGCAGGGGTTGCAATCCTAGTCTCAGATAAAACAGACTTTAATCCAACAAAGATCGAAAGAGACAAAGAAGGCCATTACATAACGGTAAAGGGATCAATTCAACAAGAAGAGCTAACTATCCTAAATATATATGTACCCAACACAGGAGCACCCAGATTCATAAAGCAAGTCCTGAGTGACATACAAAGAGACTTAGACTCCCACACAATAATCATAGGAGACTTTAACACCCCACGGTCAACATTAGACAGATCAACGAGACAGCAAGTCAACAAGGATACCCAGGAATTGAACTCAGCTCTGCACCAAGCGGACCTAATAGACATCTACAGAACTCTCCACCCCAAATCAACAGAATATACATTTTTTTCAGCACCACACCACACCTATTCCAAAATTGACCACATACTTGGAAGTAAAGCTCTCCTCAGCAAATGTAAAAGAACAGAAATTATAACAAACTGTCTCTCAGACGACAGTGCAATCAAACTAGAACTCAGGATTAAGAAACTCACTCAAAACCGCTCAACTACATGGAAACTGAACAACCTGCTCCTGAATGACTACTGGGTACATAACGAAATGAAGGCAGAAATAAAGATGTTCTTTGAAACCAACGAGAACAAAGACACAACATACCAGAATCTCTGGGACGCATTCAAAGCAGTGTGTAGAGGGAAATTTATAGCACTAAATGCCCATAAGAGAAAGAAGGAAAGATCCAAAATTGACACCCTAACATCACAATTAAAAGAACTAGAAAAGCAAGAGCAAACACATTCAAAAGCTAGCAGAAGGCAAGAAATAACTAAAATCAGAGCAGAACTGAAGGAAATAGAGACACAAAAAACCCTTCAAAAAATTAATGAATCCAGAAGCTGGTTTTTTGAAAGGATCAACAAAATTGATAGACCGCTAACAAGACTAATAAAGGAGAAAAGAGAGAAGAATCAAATAGACACAATAAAAAATGATAAAGGGGATATCACCACCGATCCCACAGAAATACAAACTACAATCAGAGAATACTACAAACACCTCTATGCAAATAAACTAGAAAATCTAGAAGAAATGGATAAATCCCTTGACACATACGCCCTCCCAAGACTAAACCAGGAAGAAGTTGAATCTCTGAATAGACCAATAACAGGATCTGAAATTGTGGGAATAATCAATAGCTTACCAACCAAAAAGAGTCCAGGACCAGATGGATTGACAGCCGAATTCAACCAGAGGTACAAGGAGGAACTGGTACCATTCCTTCTGAAACTATTCCAATCAATAGAAAAAGAGGAAATCCTCCCTAACTCATTTTATGAGGCCAGTATCATCCTGACACCAAAGCCGGGCAGAGACACAACCAAAAAAGAGAATTTTAGATCAATATCCTTGATGAACATTGATGCAAAAATCCTCAATAAAATACTGGCAAACCAAATCCAGCAGCACATCAAAAAGCTTATCCACCATGATCAAGTGGGCTTCATCCCTGCGATGCAAGGCTGGTTCAATATACGCAAATCAATAAATGCAATCCAGCATATAAACAGAACCAAAGACAAAAACCACATGATTATCTCAATAGATGCAGAAAAGGCCTTTGACAAAATTCAACAACTCTTCATGCTAAAAACTCTCAATAAATTAGGTATTGATGGGACGCATCTCAAAATAACAAGAGCTATCTATGACAAACCCACAGCCAATATCATACTGAATGGGCAAAAACTGGAAGCACTCCCTTTGAAAATGGGCACAAGACAGGGATGCCCTCTCTCACCACTCCTATTCAACATAGTGTTGGAAGTTCTGGCCAGGGCAATTAGGCAAGAAAAGGAAATAAAGGGTATTCAATTAGGAAAAGAGGAAGTCAAATTGTCCCTGTTTGCAGATGACATGATTGTATATCTAGAAAACCCCATCGTCTTCAGCCCAAAATCTCCTTAAGCTGAGAAGCAACTTCAGCAAAGTCTCAGGATACAAGTGTGCCGTATTCAGGAAACCCATCTCACATGCAGAGACACACATAGACTCAAAATAAAAGGATGGAGGAAGATCTACCAAGCAAACGAAAACAAAACAAAGGCAGGGGTTGCAATCCTAGTCTCAGATAAAACAGACTTTAAACCAACAAAGATCAAAAGAGACAAAGAAGGCCATTACATAATGGTACATGAACATGTACAAAAATCACAAGCATTCTTATACACCAATAACAGACAAACAGAGAGCCAAATCATGAGTGAACTCCCATTCACAATTGCTTCAAAGAGAATAAAATACCTAGGAATCCAGCTTACAAGGGACGTGAAGGACCTCTTCAAGGAGAACTACAAACCACTACTCAATGAAATAAAAGAGGATACAAACAAATGGAAGAACATTCCATGCTCATGGGTAGGAAGAATCAATATCGTGAAAATGGCCATACTGTCCAAGGTAATTTATAGATTCAATGCCATCCCCATCAAGCTACCAATGACTTTCTTCACAGAATTGGAAAAAACTACTTTAAAGTTCATATGGAACCAAAAAAGAGCCCGCATCGCCAAGTCAATCCTAAGCCAAAAGAACAAAGCTGGAGGCATCACACTACCTGATCTCAAACTATACTACAAGGCTACAGTAACCAAAACAGCATGGTACTGGTACCAAAACAGAGATATAGATCAATGGAACAGAACAGAGCCCTCAGAAATAATGCCGCATATCTACAACTATCTGATCTTTCACAAACCTGAGAAAAACAAGCAATGGGGAAAGGATTCCCTATTTAATAAATGGTGCTGGGAAAACTGGCTAGCCATATGTAGAAAGCTGAAACTGGATCCCTTCCTTCACCTTATACAAAAATTAATTCAAGATGGATTAAAGACTTAAATGTTAGACCTAAAACCATAAAAACCCTAGAAGAAAACCTAGGCATTACCATTCAGGACATAGGCATGGGCAAGGACTTCACGACTAAAACACCAAAAGCAACGGCAACAAAAGCCAAAATTGACAAATGGAATCTAATTAAACTAAAGAGCTTCTGCACAGCAAAAGAAACTACCATCAGAGTGAACAGGCAACCTACAAAATGGGAGAAAATTTTTGCAACCTACTCATCTGACAAAGGGCTAATATCCAGAATCTACAATGAATTCAAACAAATTTACAAGAAAAAAAAAAAAAAACCCATCAAAAAGCGGGCAAAGGACATGAACAGACACTTCTCAAGAGAAGACTTTTATGCATCCAACAGATACATGAAAAAATGCTCACCATCACTGGCCATCAGAGAAATGCAAATCAAAACCACAATGAGATACCATCTCACACCAGTTAGAATGGCAATCATTAAAAAGTCAGGAAACATCAGGTGCTAGAGAGGATGTGGAGAAACAGGAACACTTTTACACTGTTGGTGGGACTGTAAACTGGTTCAACCATTGTGGAAGTCAGTGTGGCGATTCCTCAGGGATCTAGAACTGGAAATACAATTTGACCCAGCCATCCCATTACTGGGTATATATGCAAAGGACTAGAAATCATGCTGCTATAAAGACACATGCACACATATGTTTATTGCGGCACTATTCACAATAGCAAAGACTTGGAACCAACCCAAATGTCCAACAATGATAGACTGGATTAAGAAAATGTGGCACATATACACCATGGAATACTATGCAGCCAGAAAAAACGATGAGTTCATGTCCTTTGTAGGGACATGGATGAAACTGGAAATCATCATTCTCAGTAAACTATCGCAAGGACAAAAAACCAAACACCACATGTTCTCACTCATAGGTGGGAATTGAACAATGAGAACACATGGACACAGGAAGGGGAACATCACACTCTGGGGACTGTTGTGGGGTGGGGGGATGGGGGAAGGATAGCATTAGGAGATATACCTAATGTAAATGACGAGTTAATGGGTGCAGCACACCAGCATGGCACATGTATACGTATGTAACTAACCTGCATATTGTGCACATGTACCCTAAAACTTAAAGTATAATAATAATAATAATAAAATAAAAGGAAGGAAGAACTGTAAAAAAAATAAATAAATAAAAATAAAAGCTTTTTATTTTTATAAAATAATATGACATTGGAATTGTGGAAACCAATAAATTTCACGGGTTTTTAAAAACATTTTTCTGATGTTAAAAAATATCTTTTTTAGACATTTCAAAACCAACTGTATAAGGGAGGAGGTGTTTCCAGTTCCCAAAAAATTATAATGTAAATTCCAGTGTTTCTATTGTAGAACTCCTTAAAGCAGTGGTTCTCAAACTCTTTTGATTGTGATACACAGTAAGGAATTTGTGTACATATATATGGGAAAAAATGTTTCTGTCCAGTAATACTTCTCCTTACTACACATGTGAGACACTCTGACATTTACTCTTACTCTGTTTTCCTTTTTAACTTCACCGTACGTTAATATGTTGTTACCACTAGCTTGTAAACCCTGCCTTACATCTTGACTTTATGTTTTAGTTCTTTTAACCCATTTTTCCATCTTACTGTAAAGTCTAAAACAACATGGTACATCTATTAGAGGTTAAAATAAATGTGAGTAGCCGTGGGATTCTAATAAACTTCCATTAAGCCTAAAACCAAATGACTAGAGATACAGATACAGGTGTTTTAATAGTTGGCTTTATTTAGATTTGACTGAAGATGCAATTAAATCCACTCCCATGTTAGAGTTTTCCACAGCATTGCAGACACGCCCACATACATTAGGGCAACAGGAAATTACTAAATGGCAATGCGCTAGTGTCACTCATATGAAAGCAGGATTGTGTGACCCTATGTTTAACCTCAACATACTGTATTGCATGCATACTCACAGCAACTTAGCTTAGGACAGCTACACAATGAAGTTGTCTTTTATACAAAGGGATTGATTATTTCTCTTCATCCAATTTACTATTGTTCTTCAAGAAGAGAAAGGACATGAAATTAAGATTCCTGTATTCTGGGTGTTTAATACCCAGACTGTTTAATATCCAGGTGTTTAATATCCACCTCTGACACATACTGGAACCTTTACATGTAAGTCAGATACAGTACTTGGACAGGACCAGGTCCCTGAACTTAAAAGTAAGATTGGTAGACACTAAATTGCACCACATTTGAAATATGTTATTGAAGTGGTGTCCATACTCACTAACATGCTTAAAAATTCTGATCAAAGCCCAGGTTTATCTTCTATAAAATAAGGTGAACAATATCTTCCACAATTTGTTCATTCATTTAACATTCATTGTTTGGGCATCAGAAACTGAAATAAGCACTGTGGATTCAAGTGAATAAAATATAGAAAATGCCCATGAGAAGTTTACAGGCCAGCAAAGAAGATCAGAAGACACTCCAAAGGGATGAAACAAGATAAAAAGTCCAGTTAAAGCAGCAATTTCTGGGCCTCTGGCATGCATTTAATTTGCAATTGATGCAACTTCAGGTATTTGCTCCACTTTGGGTTTCACAATTTTACTTCCTGACATGACCTGGTTCCCATGATGGCCCTCTCCAGGTATGAGTCTTCTTTGGGCTGCCATTTCCAGGTCCCTGTTTCTTGGCTCCTGACTCCTTCTGTCACCAGCAGTATCATTCCTAATCCCCAGCTTAGCTTAACTCCACATACTTAACGCAGCACCCTCTCTGAGTCACCACCTCATCACGCCTTTGTGTTCAGTCCTCTGGTCAATATTGACATATATAGTGTGAATGGGTGTGTAGAGCCAAGGTACAAATCAAGTGCTTTAAAAAAAATGACTAACTCTGCTTGGGGAAGCTAAAAAGTGACCATTAAAGCTAGGAAGAAGAGGAAGGTATTCTAGAGAGAGGATACCAAGTGAAAAGCACAGAGATGTGAATATGTGTCTCCTTCAGGGACCCATCAAATGACTGGAGTGACAACCACTAGAAGGTTCTACCCAAAGTGATTGATTACCTCTCCTATCTTGAGGCAAACACTCACCTGAGAATTTTACCAGAGTTTGTGATATGGTTTGGCTGTGCCCCCACCCAAATCTCATCTTGAATTTAACTCCCACAATTTCCACGTGTCATGGGAGGGACCCAGTGGGAGGTAATTGAATCATGGGGGTGGGTCTTTCTCCTACTGTTCTCATGATAGTGAATAAGTCTCATAAGATCTGATGGTTTTAAAAAGGGGAGTTTCCCTGCACAAGCTCTCTCTCTTTGCCTCCAGCCATCCACGTAGGACGTGACTTGCTCCTCCCTGCCTTCCACCAAATTGTGAAGCCTCCCCAGCCATGTGGAACTTTAAGTCCATTAAACCTCTTTTTTTTGTAAATTGTCCAGTCTCGGGTATGTCTTTATCAACAGTGTGAAAGTGGACTAACACATTTTTCCATAGAAAGTCATATAAGAATGGAGTTATATAAGCAGAATTATGTAAGAATGAGGGGAAAAAAGGGTATAAAACAGGGGAAAATAGAAGTCTCAAAAATTATCCAAACAGTGTCTACCACCTTCAGGGTTCTAGTTATCTCTCAGAAGCTAGAGTTATTTAGCTCTTAAAAGTATTCATAGATACATGTGTCATACTGAAAGGTATTTGCCCTCATTTAATTACACTTGAGTATTGCAAAACTTAAAGGTTTACAATAGTTTTTTTCATAATTAGTTATAGCAGTATTCAATGATCTACTTTTTGCTGGCAGGAGTTTAGTTTTTTAATTAAACATACAATATATTTTGTTATTCTCCCAGGTCGACAAGAAACACCTGGATAGTCCTAGTCCACAGAAGTTTCTTTTTAAATTTCTGCCCCTTTGTTTTCTTTCCTTGGTCACAATAAAAAGACCCAAAATAGTCATTATCATTTTTCTAGGCTGTTCAGAACATTTTGATCCAGGATACCTCACACAGTTTATGCACATTAAACAAAAATTTGGGGCCAAGTTTTTCCATCTAAACTTCTCTGAGGGCTTTCATTCATATCTTATACCATCATTCCTTATCCTAAACTTACTGAGCTCACCCAGCAAAAGAAGAGGAAAACAGTGAGACAATTTTAAAGCCAGTAATTAGGAGGTGAAAAGAGGAAACTGAAAAATAGTTTTTTCTCATTTTTTTGTCCATATCAGAAATTGCCAGGTTCTTTTTGTGTTTTTGTCAATCTCTTTACCAGAAAAAAATAACTATTTAAATTAGATAAACTTAACCAGGAAAATGAAAAGTATGTGCTATAATAAATTCTCATTGTTATTAAGAATATTACCCCATATGATGCAATTTCCAGACACTGATGAATATATGAAACCTGTTCCTTGTAAATGTAAAGTTCACTTAATATTTTAGGTATTGATAACTCACACAAAATATTAGCATAAAATGCAATCTATATTAGTAAAGTGTATATTTTACTAGGATTCTGTATAGCGCTAGCTTCTGTAACAAACTGCCAAAAGTCCATGTCTTGACCCTGTAGATTTTTCTGGCTAATGTAAACTCAGTATGGGTGTTCTTCATCTGCAGCAGGTTTCTTCCATACACGGCTCCTTCTGTCCTTTGGCTCTGCCATTCCCTAAGCCTTGACATCTGTATCTATTCTAGTGAAAGTAAAAAGTGTTTGGGGAAAACTGAGATTTGTGTTGCCCTCTCTATGGCATAAATCACTCTGCTCTCATTGGGTTGGCAAGAACTCATCACAAGACCATGCCTACTTCCAAAGGATGCTGGAAAATGTAGTTCATGGCTCCACATCCATTTCCAGGAACTGCTCTGTTCTATCAAATGGGGAACATGAATGTTAACGGGTTACTACTTCTCACTAGTATATAATATGTGGTAAAAGTAAATACTACAAGCTAAAATGTAGATGATATTACACCACAGATAAAAGCATGCAACAACAGTAATCAGGAAAACATTTTCCACTGAGATCAGCATAGGCCTTAACCACTGCTATATGGGCCATACAAATTGTCCATTTAGGTTTTATATTCTTCTCTCGTTTTCTTTGTTTTTTGAAATTATTGACATCAAAAATTGTTATAGTTCTTGCTAAAATCCCAAACTAAGATGTGTTTGATGATATGGAATATTTTAAATATCACATTGATAAAACTGGGAAGTACTTCCATGATCATTTAATCTAAATCCTCACTTTATTGTTAGAGTAAGGTTACACAGTGGTAGGAGATAAATCAAATAAACTAAATAACTGGATCTGATTTTATTGCGCCCTGTATCTGAAATCAATATGTATTATTAAATAAAAATAACTGGCTGGGCATGATGGCTCACACCTGTAATCCCAGCACTTTGGGAGGCCGAGGAAGGCAGATCACCTGAGGTCGGGAGTTCGAGACCAGCCTGACCAACATGGAGGAACCCCATCTCTACTAAAAATACAAAAATTTGCTGGGCATGGTGGTGCATGCCTGTAATCCCAGCTACTTGGGAGGCTGAGGCAGGAGAATCACTTGAACCCGGGAGGCAGAGGTTGTGGTGAGCCAAGATCGGGCCATTGCACTCCAGCCTGGGCAACAAGAGCGAAATTCTGCCTCAAAAAAAAATTGCATATTCTTATATCTGAAGTCAATAATAAATATGTGAATGTAACAGATGTACCTTTATATATTTTGCTATGTCCTAATATTCTTAAGTCCATATCACAAGTGATGCCAAAATTAACCAGTAATATTAACTTTGACCATAACTGATTGATATTCTACTCTGTCAGTAAGAAAAGATGTGGGGGTGGCTGGCAAGATGGCCGAATAGTAACATCTCCAGTCTGCAGCTCCCAGTGAGATCAACGCAGAAGGTGGGTGATTTCTGCATTTCCAACTGAGGTACCCAGGTCATCTCATTGGGAAAGGTTAGACAGTGGGTGCAGCCCACAGAGGGCAAGCAGAAGCAGGGTGGGGCATCACCTCACCCAGAAGCAGAAGGGGTCAAGGAACTCCCTCCCCTAGCCAAGGGAAGCTGTGAGGGACTGTGCCATGAGGAACGATGCATTCTGGCCCAGATACTATGCTTTTCCCATGGTCTTTGCAACCCGCAGATGAAGAGAATCCCTCAGATGCCTACACCACCAGGGTCCTGGGTTTCAAGCACAAAACTGGGTGGCCGTTTGGGCAGACACCAAGCTAGCTGTAGGAGTTTTTTTTTTCATACCCCACTAGCGCCTGGAATGCCAGCGAGACCGAACCGTTCACTACCCTGTAAAGCGGGCTGAAGTCAGGAAGCTAAGTGGTCTGGCTCAGCAGATCCCACCCCCATGGAGCCCAGCAAGCTAAGATTCATTGGCTTGAAATTTTTCCTGCCAGCACAGCAGTCTAAAGTCAACCTGAAACCAGCTTGGTGGGGCGAGGGGTGTCCGCCATTACTGAGGCTTGAGTAGGCAGTTTTCCCCTCATAGTGTAAACAAAGCCACCAGGAAGTTCAAACTGGGCAGAGCCCACTGCAGTTCGGCAAAGCTGCTGTAGCCACACTGCCTCTCTAGATTCCTCCTCTCTGGGCAGGGCATCTCTGAAAGAAAGGCAGCAGCCCCAGTAACGGGCTTATAGATAAAACTCCCATCTCCCTGGGACAGAGCACCTGGGAGTAGGGACAGCTGTGGGCGCAGTCTCACAGACTTAAACATTCCTGCCTGCTGGCTCTGAAGAGAGCAGCGGATCTCCTAGGACAGCGCTCAAGCTCTACTAAGAGACAGACTGCCTCCTTAAGCAGGTCCCTGATCCCCATGCCTTCTGACTGGCAGACACCTCCCAGCAAGGGTCAACAGACATCTCATACTGGAGAGAGCTCTGGCTGGCATCTGGCGGGTGCCCCTCTGGGACGAAGCTTCTACAAAAAGGAATAGGGAGCAATCTTTGCTGTTCTGCAGCCTCTGCTGGTGATACCCAGGGAAACAGGGTGTGGAGTGGGCTTCCAGCAAACTCCAGCAGACCTGCAGCAGACAGTCCTGACTGTTAGAAGAAAAACTAACAGAAAGGAATAGCATCAACATCAACAAAAAGGACATCCACACAAAAACCCCATACGAAGGCCACCAGCATCAAAGACCAAAGGTAAATAAATCCATGAAGATGAAGAAAAACCAGCGCAAAAAGGCTAAAAATTCCAAAAACCAGAATGCCTCTACTCCTCCAAAGGATCACAACTCCTTGCCAGCAAGGGAACAAAACTGGATGGAGGATGAGTTTGATGAATTGACAGAAGTAGGCTTCAGAAGGTAGGTAATAACAAACTCCTCTGAGCTAAAGGAGCATGTTCTAACCCAATGCAAGGAGGCTAAGAACCTTCAAAAAAGGTTAGAGGAATTGCTAACTAGAATAGCCAGTTTAGAGAAGAACATAAATGACATGATGGAGCTGAAAAACACAGCAGGAGAACTTCGTGAAGCGTACGCAAGTATTGATCTAGCGGAAGAAAAGACATCGGAGATTGAACATATCAGAGATTGAAGATCAACTTAATGAAATAAAGCTTGAAGACAAGATTAGAGAAAAAAGAATAAAAAGGAATGAACAAAGACTACAAGAAATATGGGACTATGTGAAAAGATGAAACCTACAATTGATTGGTGTACCTGAAAGTGACGGGGAGAATTGAACCAAGTTGGAAAACACACTTCAGGATATTATCCAGGAGAACTTCCCCAACCTAGCAAGGCAGGCCAACATTCAAATTCAGGAAATACAGAGAACACCACAAAGATACTCCTTGAGAAGGGCAACTCCAAGACACATAATCATCAGATTCACCAAGGTTGAAATGAAGGAGAAACATTAAGGGCAGCCAGAGAGAAAGGACAGGTTACCTACAAAGGGAAGTCCATCAGACTAACAGCAGATGTCTCTGCAGAAACACTACAAGCCAGGAGAGAGTGGGGGCCAATATTCAACACTCCTAAAGAAAAGAATTTTCACCCCAGAATTTCATATCCAGCCTAATTAAGCTTCATAAGCAAAGGAGAAATAAAATCCTTTACAAAAAAGCAAATGCTTAGGGATTTTGACACCACTAGGCCTGCCTTACAAGAGCTCCTGAAGAAAGTACTAAATATGGAAAGGAAAAACCAGTACCAGCCACTGCAAAAATATACCAAAATGTAAAGACCAACAATACTATGAAGAAACTGTATCAATTAATGTGCAAAATAACCAGCTGGCATCATGACAGGATGAAATTCACACATAACAATATTATCCTTAAATGTAAATGGGCTAAATGCCTCAATTAAAGACACAGACTGGCACATTAGATAAAGAGTCAAGACCCATCAGTGTGCTGTATTCAGGAGACCCATCTCACGAGAAAAGACACAAATAGGCTCAAAATAGAGGGATGGAGGAATATTTACCAAGCAAATGGAAAGCAAAAAACAGCAGGGGTTGCAATCCTAATCTCTGATAGAACAGACTTTAAACCAACAAAGATCAAAAAAGACAAAGAAGGGCATTACATAATGGTAAAGGGATCAATGCAACAAGAAGAGCTAAATATGCTAAATATATATGCACCCAATACAGGAGCACCCAGATTCATAAAGCAATTTCTTACAGACCTACAAAGAGACTTAAGACTCCCACACAATAATAATGAGAGACTTTAACACCTCACTGTCGATATTAGACAGATCAACAAGACAGAAAAATAACAAGTATAGTCAGGACTTGAACTCAACTTGGACCAAGTGGACCTAACAGACATCAACAGAACTCTCCACCTCAAATCAACAGAATATACATTCTTCTCAGCATCACATAGCCCTTATTATAAAATCGACCACATAATTGGAAGTAAAACACTCCTCAGCAAAGGCAAAAGACAGAAGTCATAACAAACAGCCTCTCAGACCACAGTGCAATCAAACTGGAACTCAGGATTAAGAAACTCACTCAAAACCACACAACTGCATGGAAACTGAACAACCTTCTCCTGAATGGACTATTGGGTAAATAACAAAATTAAGACAGAAATAAATAAGTTCTTTTAAACCACTGAGAACAAAAACACAGCGTACCAGAATTTCTGGGACACAGCTAAAGCAGTGTTTAGAAGGAAATGTATAGCACTAAACGCCCACATTAGATAGTGGGAAAGATCTAAAATCAACATCCTAACATCACAATTAAAACAACTAGAGAAGCAAGAGCAAACAAATTCAAAAGCTAGCAGAAGACAAGAAATAACTAAGATCAGAGCAGAACTGAATGAGAGAGAGAGAGACACGAAAAACCCTTCAAAGAATCAATGAATCCAGGAGCTGGTTTTTTGAAAAGATTAACAAAATAGATAGACTGCTAGCCAGACTAATAAACAAGAAAAGAGAGAAGAATCAAATACACACAATAAAAAATGATAAAGAGGATATCACCACTGATCCCACAGAAATACAAACTACCATCAGAGAATACTATACTATGCAAATAAACTAAAAAACATAGAAGAAATGGATAAATTCCTTGACACATACACCCTCCCAAGACTACACAAGGAAGAAGTCAAATCCCTGAAAAGACCAATAACAGGTTCTGAAACTGAGGCAGTAATTAATAGCCTACCAAACAAAAAAAGCCCAGAACCAGATGGATTCAAAGCTGAATTCTACCAGGGGTAAAAAGAGGAGCTGGTACCATTCCTTCTGAAACTACTCCAAACAATCAAAAAAGAGGGACTCCTCCCTAACTAATTTTATGAGGCCAGCATCATCCTGATACCAAAACCTGGCAGAGACACAACGAAAAAAGAAAATTTCGGGCTAATATCCCTGATGAACATTGATACAAAAATCCTCAATAAAATACTGGCAAACCAAATCCAGCAGTACATCAGAAAGCTTATCCACCATGATCAAGTCGGTTTCATCCCTGGGATGCAAGGCTGATTCAACAAATGCAAATCAATAAACATGATCCATCACATAAACAGAACCAATGACAAAAACCACATAATTATCTCAATAGATGCAGAAAAGGCCTTCGATAAAATTCAACACCGCTTCATGCTAAAAACACTCAATAAACTAGGCATTGATGGAACCTATCTCAAAGTAATAAGAGCTATTTATGACAAACCCATGGCCAATATCACACTGAATGGGCAAAAGCTGGAAGCAGTCCCTTTGAAAACCGGCACAAGACAAGGATGCCCTCTCTCACCACTCCTATTCAACATAGTGTTGGAAGTTCTGGCCAGGCCAATTAGGCAAGAGAAAGAAATAAACGGTATTCAAATAGGGAGAGAGAAAGTAGAATTGCCTCTGTTTGCAGATGACATGATTGTATATTTAGAAAATCCCATCGTCTCAGCCTAAAATCTCCTTTAGCTGATAAGCAACTTCACCAAAGTCTCAGGATATAAAATCAATGAGCAAAAATCACAAGCATTCCTATACACTAATAATAGACAAACAGCCAAATCATGAGTGAACTCCCATTCACAATTGCTTCAAAGAGAATAAAATACCTAGGAATACAACTTACAAGGGATGTGAAGGACCTCTTCAAGGAGAACTACAAACCACTGCTCAGGGAAATAAGAGAGGACACAAACAGTGGAAAAATATTCCATGCTCATGGATACGAAGAATCAATATTGTGAAAATGGCCATACTGCCCAAAGGAGTTTATAGATTCAATGCTATTCCCATCAAGCTACCATCGACTTTCTTCACAGAATTAGAGAAAACTACTTTAAATTTCATATGGAACCAAAAAAGAGCCTGTATAGCCAAGACAATCACAAGCAAAAGCAACAAACCTAGAGGCATCACGCTACCTGACTTCCAGCTATATTACAAGGCTACAGTAACAAAAATCGCATGGTACTGGTACCAAAACAGAGATATAGAGCAATGGAACAGAACAAAAGCCTCAGGAATAACGCCACACATCTACAACCATCTGATTTTTGACAAACCTGACAAAAGCAATGAGGAAAGGATTCCCTATTTAATAAATGGTGTTGGGAAAACAGGCTAGCCATATGCAGAAAGCTGAAACTGGACCCCATCCTTACACCTTATACAAAAATTAATACAAGATAGATTAAGGACTTAAACATAAGACCTAAAATCACAAAAACCCTAGAGGAAAACCTAGGCAATACCATTCAGGACATAGGCATGGGCAAAAACTTATGACGAAAGCACCAAAAGCAATGGCAACAAAAGCCAAAATTGACAAATGGGATCTAATTAAACTAAAGAGCTTCTGCACAGCAAAAGAAACTATCATCAGACTGAACAGGAAACCTACAGAATGGGAGAAAATATTTGCAGTCTATCCATTTGACAAAGGGATAATATCCAGAATCTATAAGAAACTTAAACAAATTTACAAGAAAAACACAAACAACCCCATCAAAAAGTGGGTGAAGGATATGAAACAGACAGATCTCAAAAGAAGGCATTTATGCGGCCAATAAACATATGAAAAAAAGCTCATCATCACTGTTCATTAGAGAAATGCAAATCAAAACCACAATGAGATACCATCTCACACCAATTAGAATGGTGATCATTAAAAAGTCAGGAAACAACAGATGCTGAAGAGAATGTGGAGAAACAGGAATGCTTTTATACTGTTGGTGGGAGTTTAAATTAGTTCAACCACTGTGGAAGACAGTGTGGGGATTCCTTAAGGATCTACAACCAGAAATACCATTTGACCCAGCAATCCCATTACTAGGTATATACCCAAAGGATTATATAGATTATATATCATTCTACTATAAAGACACATGCACACGTATGTTTATTGCAGCACTGTTCACAATAGCAAAGACTTGGAACCAGTCCAAATGTCCATCAATGATAGATTGGATAAAGAAAATGTGGCACATATACACCATGGAATACTATGTAACCACAAAAAAGGATGAGTTCGTGTTCTTTGCAGGGACATGGATGAAGCTGGAAACCATCATTCTCAGCAAACTAACACAGGAGCAGAAAACCAAACACTGTATGTTCTCACTCATAAGTGGGGGTTGAACAATGAGAACACATGGACACAGGGAGGGGAACATCACACACCGGGGCCTGTTGGTGGTGGGGGCGGTTAGGGGACGGATAGCATTAGGAGAAATACCTAATGTACATGATGGGTTGATGGGTGCAGCAAACCACCATGGCACTTGTATACCTATGTAACAAACCTGCACATTCTGCACATGTATCCCAGAACTTAAACTATAATAATAATAATAAAAAGATCTATATACCACCTATCTCTTTATCCATAAAATAAGCGACTTGGGTTTGGTAATATCTAATTCCTACCGCAGAAGATGTACCATGATCTTTAAAAAATTCCTTAAAGTCCCTTTCCAGTTCTGTGATTCTAGTATTTTAGTAGAAGTTAATAGATTAGTGTTTAGCTATTTAGCATCCATATTATTTGCTTTGCTAGCAAAGCATTCAACTGTGGTTTGGAATAGATCCATACCCATATGGATATTGTTCCTTAGTATACTTTTTAGTGTAATTTCAACATGTAAAGTCAGTATTGCGACTTCAGCTATAAATAAAATGGGCATAGTTGTAGTAACTGCAAAATATAGAGTGGATTTTACTCAAGACATAAAGATGTAAGTCGGTGCAGCTACACAATGATACATAAGCATGGCATTTCGTTGGCGACAGAGATCAACTTCTTACAGTGTTACTTAGTGCTTTTTTAATGAAGTTATATTGAATTTTTGTAGTGAAACCTGAAACCAAATGAAATCTTCTTGATGTGGGGTTTATTTCTAGAGGTTTGGGGTTTCTCTGTAAACTTGAAATCCATGTGTGGTTCACAGAAAATGTTGGTAAGACTCAATCAACTTTTGGAAAACCTGGATAGAATTTCGAGCAATTAGAAACAAGAGACTGAATGTGTTTTGTTTACTTTAGGCCAAATTTTGTGGGTTTTAAATTTAGAGTTGAACAATTGGGGTTTAAGTTCCATTCATAGGGAAAACATGACTTCCTAGTGGAAAGAAAAGACCTGAAGAAAACAATTTTTACTTTGGAAAAATATAAAAATTGTTCATGCATGGGCTCTGGAACCAAAACAGTGGTTGAAAAAGAGATTGCCTGAGAAGAATTTTTAAAAATTGTATAATACAGTTTGTTACTGCCAGTTTTTATTTCCCCCATTGAAGTGAATTACCAGGAGCTACAAGAGGCGTGAACACACACAATCTTCTCGGGGAAGAAAGTGTTAACTTACATTATATATTAATGGACTAAATTCAACAAATTGTTTTTAAAATAAACATCAGAATGTTTTAAAAAGCAAGCAGTTATCAGTGCATTGTCTGAATTCAGCTGATTGTATTCCAAATAAGAAGTTCCTGTGAAGTAAATAATAAAATCATTATTCTCATCATTTCAGAGGCAGGAAATCTGCACCTTGGAGTTAAGGGTTGAATTCATGCGTGTTATGTAACAACATGAGACTTAAACGATCTTACTTCTTAGATACCTACAACCACCAAGATGCAGGGTTGATTCACAGGTTGGAAAAAATATCTGTTATATTTGTGAGTGTATGTGTTTCCTTTCTGGCATTTCATAGATTTTGATTGGAAGGCTTCATGGAAGAAGTGAATCGGCAATAGGTGCAGCTAAAAACCAAACCTGATAAACTGGCAAACTAAGAGAAAAATAACTTCTTCCAACTGTATGGAGAGAGTATGGAAAAGAGGTATGGCTCATTAATGTCAGAGGATGTAGATAAAGAAGTGATTAAGCCTCTGACTGGAGGAAGATGAAAAGAAAGATTTGGAAATGAGATTTCTGTCAAGGCTTATATATAGTGTTGGATTCTCTTTTGCTAGAGAAACACATTTTTAAATTAAGGATGGAAATATTTGTAGAAACTGAAAAACAGATTATTAAATCTAAAACTTTTGAAATCAGTTCTACTACTCAAAATGCAGCCAGGTCCTTCTCTCTCAAGAGAAGAAATGGGATTTCTAGAGATGAGCTTTTAACTAACCTGGGATACAATTTCAGTGGAATGCATTTGGAACAAGTCCAGGTCAATTTAAAGCCAATACCATCTGGTTTTTAAATAAACCTGAACTGAGTTAAATGCTGGGCTGAAAGCCATCAGAAACCTGCAAACAGGTGAAATTTTGCAAAGCAAGCTAATTTGAATTAAGATTTCCCCCAACCCAATTTTGGAAGGGCTAACTAAGGTACTGAAAGGTCGATCTGAATTTGGATGTGTTTAAATAAGTTTGTATGCAAACACCCAGGGAAACAAAATGTCATGTTTCATGGGACTTTGGTTAACTTGAGTGTTATACCTTGAAAAGACCCAGACTTAATCCAGGTCTATAAAATGTGTTAGAAAGTTTTACAAACATTTTATAAGCTGATGGATTTGTAAGCAAATTGAGAAAGAAGTTTGTTGTGTTTGGTTTTTAGCTTAAATTGTATTCAAATGCCATGAATTCTAAAATTTTAATTTAACAAATAAGAGTAAGAAGCTTAGAACTCCTGACAGGAAAGGATTCCAGACAGTAACTGAAATAAAAGATAGACAAAATTAGTAATCCAAAAATTATCCACCTGAATAGTTCAAAATTCCAAGCTGATACATACTCAGGGAAAAAAAAGTGAAATTCTATACAGAAAAAAAATTGTTACAATCTCATCCAGATTATAGATGAGAACAAAAGCTCCAGCCTTCCATTTGTTTTTCATTAATTATTTTTCTAGATACTATTTTAAGATCTAAGTCATGTATTCAGTATAATCATTTAACACAGATAAAGAGAATTTAAAAGTAGTATTTGCCAATGAAAAAAAGGATGATAAATTCAGGGATTAATTCCAAGCACGTTACTCAATATTTTTTATTAGGCAAAATCAGTAAACTATAATCTATATTCTTTTTTAATACCCATGTTATCTAATAAGTTAGCTAGAGAATAGAATCCTATTATGACTTCATGCTTGTAAATATTTAGAACATACCAAGTTCTAGCCACTGAAAAGATCTAGAAAAAAAAAAAAACCACTAGCAATGAGGAAACTTCCTATAATTTCCCACTAACAGGAATTAGGACTCTTTAGAAAAATAGCTGATTCCAAGTCTGGGGCAAAAAATGTAAAACACGAGCATGAAGTACCTTAACATACCAGAAATCAAGGAAGCTATCAAATTATATCATGAGCACAAGAAAAGAACTCAGGAGCCAATTTGAATAGCTTAAAGTGGCCAAAGATAGGACAATTTGCGCATCCATAAAATAATAAAGGCAACAGATTGAAATATGTGAAGTAAGTGTAAATCATAATAGTACCAAGAAAACCCTCATTAGTCATCTTTGAAGGATACTAGGGAACCAACCCACTATTTTGAAAACTATAAAATAGTAGGAAAAAAAAAAGTTTGGTAATGTACCCCAGCATAGTGGCCAATATTAAAGGAAATGAAGGCGAAAGCAGAGGATTGACCTCCCAAAGATAAGCCAACTACTGATATAAAACATGGAATACAAAGTAAAAAGTTTAAGACCTCTCTCACACATATCCCTGCAGAATTCCAATCGCCTCTCCAGAATCAGCCACTATCAGGAGTTTCAGTGTTAAATTTTTTCACATGTACTTACTTTTTTTTTTTTTTTTTTAATTTGAGATGGAGTTTCGCTCTGTCACCCAGGCTGGAGTGCAGTGGCATGATCTCAGCTCACTGCAACCTCTGCCTCCCGGGTTCAAGCGATTCTCCTGCCTCAGCCTCCCGAGTAGCTGGGATTACAGGCACCTGCCACCACGTCCAACTAATTTTTGTATTTTTAGTAGAGACAGGGTTTTGACATGTTGGCCAGGCTGGTCTCGAACTCCTGGCCCCAAGTGATGTGCCCACGTCGGCCTCTCAAAGTGCTGGGATTACAGGCATGAGCCACCATACCCAGCCCTACTTACTTTTTTTTACATAAATAAAATCACACATAATAATATACATATCTATGAATCTTCAGTTTGCTTTTGGTGATCTTTCTACTCACTCTTAATAGCTGCATAACATTATGGTTGTACCATAACTAGTTTAATAATTTTCTTACTGATAAACAAGATTGTTTCCAGTTTTTTTGTTACGAACTCTGCTACCATGAACATCTTTATTCATGTATCTCTGTACATGTATGTAATTACTTTAATAAAATAGTCTTAAAACTCAAATTATTGGGTCAGATAATATAAACAGCTTTGTTGAGGTATTATTGATATAAATAAACAATTTGATAAATTTTGACTATGAATACACTCATTTATCATCACCACACACACAGACACACACACACACTCAAATAACATCCCTCACCCCCACATTTCTTCATCCCCCTTGGTAATCCCTTTCTCCCTCACCTACTCCAATCCCCAGGCAATCACTGATGTGCTTTCTGTCACTTGTCAAAGAAAATTGCACTGGACAGAGTTAAACAGGATTAGGAATACTTTATTTAAGACTATCAATAGGGAAGAGATTGAATTTAACTCCACTGAAATAAAAGGCATGAGCATTTTTAAGCACTGGGGTGAGCTGGTGGAAGAGTCCCAGAGAAAAATCATGGTGTGTATTTTATGTTGATTAGACAAAATTATACACCTGGGCCTTAACTGCAATATTGTCCGTTCCACAGACTTAAACTTGAAGATGGTTAAAGAAAAATTTTTGTCTTTTAAATGGTGTCCTAAGTCTTTAAACTTACATGCCTGAACTACCAAAAAAAACTCACGGAATGATTATTTTATTTTTCAAAGAATTCTAAATGTTTTATCCTTAGAATTGCTTTTAAATCTCTCTCTAAATTTATTTTGCATATATAAAGGAATTTTAAAGTGGAGAAATACACTGAACATGCCCCTTTGGTGAAAAAAAAAAAAGACTCTGTAGGGTAACCTATGTCTTTAAATGTGCAAGCATAAATTTTTAAAAATAATTCTAGGCAAATTTTGCCTCACAGTGTTATCAAGGATTTAGGAGACTTGAGTTCTAGAATCATCCATCAATTAGAAAAGCCGGTTTGGGGACAAGTTACTTTTCCTATATCTCAGATTACTCATCTGCAAACTAAGAATATTAGATGAAAGACTAGTCACTAATCATTTCAATGCAATATTTTTATACCGTGAATCTCACACAATATTCATCCTAATTGCTAGTGTACTTGTGGGCTTTTGTTTCTGATGACTAAAACTTCTTTGTAAAAGAAGAAAAATATTTTCACCTCACAAGCATCATCAGCTGGCTTCACACAGCCCACGAAGCAAGGCCATTTATACCACAGCCTGATCCTGCTACAGATCCACCTCTTGCTCTGACCCCACTCAAAACTGCGGTCAATCCACAAATGAATCAGAGCAGTATCCCAAGTGCAGTATATTCTGCTATCAAAATCCAAAACTGGCCAGCCAAGTGCTGTGCCTCTTTCTTAGGAGTAGAGGGTTTAAAGCACAACTGGCCTTTTATGTTGGGGGTGAGGTCCCTGCATGCATATAGATCACTTGACCCCTAAAATCTTTACTATTGAGGCAGGTCTCTGCTCCTATTTAGGATGTTTTGCTCCTCTGATACGTGTCATTCTTGGGCAAGTAGAGTACTTCCTACTAACCTCTATCCAAGTCCAATTAACCTGTCACCACAAAAGAGGACCAGCTTGACATTCAACAGAATGTTGAACCGATCCAGATCCCTGCTATGTTAAGATGCAGAGCAAGAACATTAACATAGCCCTGGAGCAAGACAGGAAAGGCATGCTTTTGTCTTTCCCACATAAGAGACACTGCTTTCTATCATTTTTACATATGGGAATTGCAAGTTAATAGCTGCATTTCAAATGCCAGAAGTCTTCATATGTCTCAATAAAGATACCACAGCAGCTACAAGTAGGGGTCCTACTTGGTAAAATTTATTTTAATAATACAATCATCCACCATGAACCATTGGGTTTTAGAAGGTCTAAACAGGTGATGTGAACAGGGAACCACTACCCCTGTATCCTTTAAGTCTTTGATGCCAACACTCATCTCTGAAACTCCTCTGAGGATGTAAGATGGTTTCTAGTTTGCCATTTTGATTTGCAGCGTTGCGGGACACTTTTACAACATCATTGGCCTCTACTTGGCCCTTCCTACACAGTGGCTCTTACTCCACATACCAGGAAATTCATATGAGGGTTCCAAATTCATATGGAACCCTCATATTTGAAAGTTGGAACTGCCCTCAAAAAGCCTGAGTCGGACCCTGAAAGTCGGACAAACATGACCCTTGCCTTGGATCTCTCTATGACCCACATTTAATGGAAGATTGCTCCAGCCTCCAACAAAAACCCTCCCTGTAAGAGTCCATAGGGCCAAGAGGACATGCCCTCCCAGGGCTCACACCACCACTTCAAAACAATACTCCAAGGACCAGGGACTATGAAATTCCCTGCTCAATTAGCCCTAAGCCCACTTCTAGAACCTATAAGCAACTCTTCCCTAAGTCTTTCCTGTCAAGGGTAGATCATGCTGCTAGTATGTACTCCTGTAAACTCACAGAGGAAGTGGGTTGTGTGGTTGTTCAGTATGAAATGTGCATATTGGAATATATACATATGTGTGAGTGAGGCCCCCAGGTGGAAAGAGAAATAGGATAGCTATGTATGTGCCAAGGGCTCCCATTTGTATACTTGCCTGAATCCTCCCCATTTTGGTAATTATGTACACCTTTCCTCTGTTAGTTATGTGCTGCCACCTGGCCTCTGCTAGCTCAGAATCCTTTGGCAGTGATACTAAGTTGAGGACATTGATGCTAGTTTGATGGCAGTATCTTCTACTGTCAACCCTGGTCAATCAAGAGTAGCCCACTAAACCAATCAAACATTCCCCTCCCAGTACTGCCCTTAGACTCAAGCAAGAAGTGTGGGTTCCACACCCCAGGGAGGCCACCACTTTAGAGTGTTTCCCAATATTTTCTCAATCCACCTCTTGTGTGTGGGACTGGCTGGGGCCAGCAATGTCATCTAGGTAAAGAACGCTGAGCTCAGACCAGGAGTTGCATGGACTCTGGCCCCACTTCTCCCATTTTGGATGCTCTCCATCTAACCTACATGTGGGGTCACCAGATGCCCTGAGGAACACTAAAATGTGCTCCTAGGAGAGTGTCTTTGAGTCCCACAGTCAGGTCAAATTCCAGGAGAGTGGCCTGGTAGGCAAATCACTCTCACCGACCAGCACAGTTTTTCTTTCACATAATCACATGAGATTAGTTTGCCAAAATGGCACTGATACACTGATTTTGGGGGACTCTCACTCATGTCAGACATAGGACAAGTTCAGGGCTCTGGGCCACTGATGGCCATCCGTGGGTTTAAGTAAGATGTGTGAGCCCATTACCTCCTCACATAGCATGTTTTTTGAAATTCATCTATATTAGTGTACATATTAATGGTTTGTTCTCTTTTTATCTATGAATTGTATTCCACTGTATGAATAGAACAGTTTGTTCATTCATCCACAATGTACCTTTGGATAGTTTCCAATTATTGGCCATTAGTAATAAAGCAGCTATAAACAGTGAAGTGAAAGCCTGCACAAACATGTGGATATTGGTTGTGATTTCTTTGGGATAAATACCTAAGAGTGGGATTGTTAGGTCATATATTAACTGAATTTTTAATTTACAAGAAACTGCCACACTGTTTTCCAAAGCAGATGTGAATTTATCTTCTTTAAGTAAATTATAAAAGTTCCAGTTACTCTATATCCTTGTCAACAAATAGTATTGTCAGCCTTTTAAATTTTACCCAGTCTAGTAGATATAAAGTAGTATCTCATTGCGGTTTTAATTTGGATTTGGCTTAGACTGTATATTAATAGTTTCTATGTTAGTATAATGATTGGCATATTTGATTTCCAACTGAATCCAATTGTTACATGAGATTTGATGAATAACAATGTTGAGCATTTTTGTGTATTCTTACTGACTATTCACATATCCTCTTTGTGAAGCATCTATTCAAGCTTTTGCCCATTTTTATTGAGTTGTTTGTTGTGTTATTATTGAATTGGAGGTATACTTTATATATTTCGACTATACATCCTTTGTCAGGTATATATATTGTGAATATTCTCATCGATTCTGTGGTTTGGCTTTTCATTTTCTTAATGTCTTTAAGAAAACAGGCAGTTATAACTTTGATAACATCTAATTTATCATTTTTTATGGTGAATACTTTTCTGTGTCCTTTCTAGTAATCTTTTCCAGTCCCAAAATAAATGTTTTCTTTATTTTCTTCTAGAACTTTTATAGTTTTAGTTTTTCTGTTTAGGTCCATGACAGATATCAAAGTAATTTTCTGTACAATTTAATATTAATATTGAGGTATATGTTTTTAATGTGGATATCTACTTATTCAAGTGTCATTTTTTGAAAAGACTTTCTTTTCCCAATAAAACAGAATCGACCCCCATGCTTTAAAAAGAAAAAAAGTTGACCATGCATGCAAGGTCTATTCTGGATTCTCTATTCTGTGCCATTGATCTGTATGTCAACCTTTCTGCCAATACCATACTAAGTTGAATACTATAGATTTCTTGTCTTCCTTTTTTTTTAAAGCTAGTCAAGTGAAGCAGTGGAAGTGGAGAAGAAACAAACAAAAAAATCTGTAACTGGTTGTGATCAATTAGTTGTAAACACCACCGCACTCAGAGCCAGCCTATTGTAAGTCTTAAAATAAGATAATGAAAGTCCCTCTGGCTGGGTGCGGTGGCTCACGCCTGTAATCCCAGCACTTTGGGAGGCCAAGGCGGGCAGATCACAAGGTCAGGAGATCGAGACCACCCTAGCTAACACAGTGAAACCCTGTCTCTACTAAAAAATACAAAAAATTAGCCGGGCTTGGTGGCGGGCGCCCGTAGTCCCAGCTACTCAGGAGGCTGAGGCAGGAGAATGGCGTGAACCCGGGAGGCAGAGCTTGCAGTCAGCCAAGATCGCGCCACTGCACTCCAGCCTGGGCAACAGAGTGAGACTCCATCTCAAAAAAAAAAAAAAAAAAAGATCCCTCTAACTCCAGTGTGTCTCAAAATAGTTTTAGCTATCTATTACTATGTCCTTCGCATTTTCACATAAATTTTAGATTAAAGTTGTCAATTTATTTTTAAAAGAAGATGGGACTGCTGTAATGGTGATTGGCACTTCATTCAATCTACAGATACATTTGCGGAGAATGGACTTCTTAACAATATTAAATTTTCCAAACCATGCATATGGTATATCTATTTATTTCAGTCTTCTTCAATTTCTTTTATCAATTATTTGAAGATTTCAATGTGGCTGTATTATACATCGGTTAAATTCTAAGTGTTTAGTGTTTTACCTTTTTTGGTGTACTACAAAAGGAATTTTTCACTTCATTCTTCAATTGCATGTTGTTAGTGCAAATACAACAATTGAGTTTTATATGGTGATCTTGCATTCTGAGAACTTGCTAACTTCATTTAATATTTCTAAGTGTTTTTTAGAAGATTCCTTAGGAAAAATCATATCAATTACAAATAGAAACAATTTTTCTTATTCCTTTAAAATTTTATACCTTTTATTTCTTTTAGTTGCCTTATTGCACTGGCTATTACTCCATGGGATAACAAGTAGAAGTGATGACAGTAAATACCTTTGCCTTATTCCTGATCTATAAAAAGGAAAAACTTCAGTCTTTCACCATTAAGCATGATACTAACTTTGGATTTTTCATGGATGTCTTCATCAGGGTGAGGAAGTTTCCTTCTATTTCTAGTATCCTGAATGTCTTTACCTTGAATATGTGCTGAATTTTATCAAATCTTTTTCTGCATTTACTGAGATGGTTATATGATGTTTCATCTTTATTTGGTTAATGTGGTTAATAACACTGTGTAATTTTCAAACATTAAGCCAAGTTTGCAACCATTATATGAACTCTACTGGCTATAATGTATGACGTATACTTTTGAAATATATTAATGAATTTCATTTGCCTACACTTTATTGAGGAGTTTTGAATCTACAGTCACGAGGAATAGTTGATCTCTTTTTTTTTTTGAGACAGAGTCTCGCTCCATGGCCCAGGCTGGAGTGCAGTGGCGCGATCTCGGCTCACTGCAACCTCTGCCTCCCAGGTTCAAGAGATTCTCTTGCCTCAGTTTCCCAAGTAGCTCGGATTACAGGTGCACACCACCATGCCTGGCTAATTTTTGTATTTTTAGTAGAGACAGAGTTTCACCATGTTGGCCAGGCTGGTCTCCAACTCCTAACCTCAAGTGATCCACCCACCTTGACCTCCCAAGATCTGGGATTACAGGCATAAGCCTCCACACCTGGCCCAATATTTTTCTTATTTAACTCAGATACTGGTATCAGGGTTATACTGGTCTCATAAGATAATTTTGTTAAGCACTCCCTTATCTATGTTTTAAAAAAGCTTATGTACAGTTGGCATTATTTCTCACTTCATACATGATAGAATTTACTAATAAAACCATTTAGGCCTTGAATCTTCTTTGTAGAATGGTTATTTTTTATTACAAATTCAATTTGTTTAGTGGATATATGGCTATTCCAAATTCCCATTTCTTATTGGGTCACTTTTGAGAAGTTGTATTTTTCAAGAAATTTGTCAATTTCATCTAGTTGCTAAGTTAGCAACATTTGTTCCTAATATTTTTAATTTTCTTATTAAACTCTGCGGGATATGTAGTGACATCCCTTCTATTTGTGTTATGTGATATTGGTAATTTATATTTCTCTATGTATTTCTTGATTTATCCTTTTGGGGTTTATCAATTTTGTTAGTCTTTCCAAGGATGAATTTTGAGTTTCGTTAATTTTTGTTTCTGTATCATAGGTTGCTGCATTGATTTTTTTTTCCTTCTACTTATTTTGGGTTGAAACTTGTTTTGGGTTTAATTTGCTCCTCTTTCTGTAGCTCTTTAAGTGGAAACTTACATGAAAAATTTTAAGCTTTCCTTCTCTTGCAAAACAGGCATTTAAAGCTATAAATTTCCCATTCTACCGGAGGTACAAGGAAGAGCTGGTACCATTCCTTCTGAAACTATTCCAATCAATAGAAAACAAGGGAATCCTCCCAAACTCATTTTATGAGGCCAGCATCATCCTGATACCAAAGGCTGGCAGAGACACAACAAAAAAAGAGAATGTTAGACCAATATCCCTGATAAACATCAATGTAAAAATCCTCAATACAATACTGGCAAACCGAATTCAGCAGCACATCAAAAAGCTTATCCACCATGATCAAGTGGTCTTCATCCCTGGGATGCGAGGCTGGTTCAACGTACGCCAATCAATAAACATAATCCAGTATATAAACAGAAACAAAGACAAAAACCACATGGTTATCTCAGTAGATGCAGAAAAGGCCTTTGACAAAATTCAACAACCCTTCATGCTAAAAACTCTCAATAAATTAGGTATTGATGGGACGCATCTCAAAATAATAAGAGCCATTTATGACAAACCCACAGCCAATATCATACTGAATGGACAAAAACTGGAAGCATTCCCTTTGAAAACTGGCACAAGACAGGGATGCCCTCTCTCACCACTCCTATTCGACATAGTGTTGGAAGTTCTGGCCAGGGCAATCAGGCAGGAGAAAGAAACAAAGATATTCAATTAGGAAAAGAGGAAGTCAAATTGTCCCTGTTTGCAGATGACATGATTATATATTTAGAAAACCCCATCATCTCAGCCCAAAATCTCCTTAAGCTGATAAGCAACTTCAGTAAAGTCTGAGGATATAAAATCAATGTGCAAAAATCACAAGCATTCTTATACACTAATAACAGACGAACAGAGAGCCAAATCATGAGTGAACTCCCATTCACAATTGCTTCAAAGAGAATAAAATACCTAGGAATCCAATTTACAAGGGATGTGAAGGACCTCTTCAAGGAGAACTACAAACCAGTGCTCAACGAAATAAAAGAGGACACAAACAAATGGAAGAACATTCCATGCTCATCGATAGGAAGAATCAATATCGTGAAAATGGCCACACTGCCCAAGGTAATTTATAGATTCAATGCCATCCCCATCAAGTTACCAATGACTTTCTTCACAGAATTGGAAAAAACTACTTTAAAGTTCATATGGAACCAAAAAAGAGCCTGCATTGCCAAGTCAATCCTAAGCCAAAAGAACAAAGCTGGAGGCATCATGCTACCTGACTTCAAACTATACTACAAGGCTACAGTAACCAAAACAGCATGGTACTGGTACCAAAAGACATACAGACCAATGGAACAGAACAGAGCCCTCAGAAATAGTACCATACATCTACAACCATCTGATCTTTGACAAACCTGACAAAAACAAGAAATGATTCCCTATTTAACAAATGGTGCTGGGAAAACTGGCTAGCCATATGTAGAAAGCTGAAACTGGATCCCTTCCTTACATCTTATACAAAAATTAATTCAAGATGGATTAAAGACTTAAATGTTAGACCTAAAACCATAAAAACCCTAGAAGAAAACCTAGGCAATACCATTCAGGACATAGGCATGGGCAAGGACTTCATGTCTAAAACACCAAAAGCAATGGCAACCAAAGCCAAAATTGACAAATGGAATCTAATTAAGCTAAAGAGCTTCTGCACAGCAAAAGAAACTACCATCAGAGTGAACAGGCAACCTATAGAAAGGGAGAAAATTTTTGCAATCTACTCATCTGACAAAGGGCTAATATCCAGAATCTACAAAGAACTCAAACAAATTTACAAGAAAAAATCAAACCCCATCAAAAAGTGGGCGAAGGATATGAACAGACACTTCTCAAAAGAAGACTTTTATGCATCCAACAGATACATGAAAAAATGCTCATCATCACTGGCCATTAGAGAAATGCAAATCAAAACCACAATGAGATACCATCTCACACCAGTTAGAATGGCGATCATTAAAAAGTCAGGAAACAACAGGTGCTGGAGAGGATGTGGAGACATAGGAACACTTTTACACTGTTGGTGGGACTGCAAACTGGTTCAACCATTGTGGAAGACAGTGTGGTGATTCCTCAAGGATCTAGAACTAGAAATAGCATTTGACCCAGCCATCCCATTACCGGGTATATACCCAAAGGATTATAAATCATGCTGCTATAAAGACACATGCACACATATGTTTATTGCGGCACTATTCACAATACCAAAGACTTGGAACCAACCCAAATGTCCATCAATGATAGACTGGATTAAGAAAATGTGGCATATATACATCATGGAATACTATGCAGCCATAAAAAATGATGAGTTCATGTCCTTTGTAGGGACATGGATGAAGCTGGAAACCATCATTCTCAGCAAACTATCGCAAGGACAAAAAACCAAACACCACATGTTCTCACTCATAGGTGGGAATTGAACAATAAGAACACTTGGACACAGGAAGGGGAACATCACACACAAGGGACTGTCATGGGGTGGGGGGGGAGGGGTAGCATTAGGAGATATACCTAATGTAAATGACGAGTTAATGGGTGCAGCACACCAACATGGCACATGTATACATATGTCACAAACCTGCACATTGTGCACATGTACCCTAGAACTTACAGTATAATAATAAAAAAAAATAAAAAATTTTTAACAAACTATAAATTTCCCTCTAAGCACTGCCTTTGCTGTATCTCACAAATTCTGAAGTGTATTTTTATTATTCAACTCAAAATATTTTCTTTTTTTTTTTTTGAGACGGAGTCTCGCTCTGTCGCCCAGGCTGGAGTGCAGTGGCGCGATCTCGGCTCACTGCAAGCTCCGCCTCCCGGGTTCACGCCATTCTCCTGCCTCAGCCTCCCAAGTAGCTGGGACTACAGGCGCCCGCTACCACGCCCGGCTAATTTTTTGTATTTTTAGTAGAGACGGGGTTTCACCGTGTTAGCCAGAATGGTCTCGATCTCCTGACCTCGTGATCCGCCCGCCTCGGCCTCCCAAAGTGCTGGGATTACAGGCGTGAGCCACCGCGCCCGGCCATATTTTCTTATTCCCTTATGATTTCTTCTTTCAGCCATGGGTTACAAATGTGCTATTTAATTTCCAAATATTTGAAAATGTTTAAAATATTTTAGTTGTTGATTTTTCACTTAATTCCACAATGGCCACAGAATATACTCTGCAACATAAAAATCTGAATATTTAGTGAGATTTGTTTTATGGCCTAGAATATGTCTACTTTGATGAGCATTCCATATGCACATGAAAAGAATGTTTATTCCACAGTTTTTGAGTATGTCTAGTAAATGTGAATGAGATCAAGTTGGCTGACAGTGTGCTCAGATCTTCTATATCCCAATTGAATTTCTGTCTATTTTATCTATTCATTACTGAGAGAATAGTGACAAAATCTCCAACTAACATTTTCCATTGGTTCTGTCAGATTTTGCCACATACATTTTGAAGCTCTTAGATGAATATGTATTTATGATTATGTCTTCCTAATAAATTCTTTTGTGATTCATAAATGTCCCTCTTTGTCTCTTGTAAAACTCTGTCTTAAACTCCACTTTTTCTGAAATTAATATGGCCATACCACCTTTCTTGATGTATACCTGGTATATCGCTTTCCATACTTTTATGTTCAGTTTATGCATGTTTAAAGTACATCTCATAAATAGCGCATACTTGTGTCTTGCATTCTTATCTGATCTCTGACCTTCAATTGGAACATTTTACATTCAATGCTATTTACATTTACATATCATGCAATTATTGCTTTGGTGTGTTTAAGTCTACCACCTTGCTATGTTTTCCATTTGTCCCTTCTGTTTATTTGTTTTGTTGCTTCTTTCATTGGTATTTTATTTCTATTTGTTTCTTAGGGATTTTTTAAATTTTAGTGTTCCTCCAGAGCTAACAACGTGTTCTTATCAGAGTTTATTTAGTGTCAAAATTGCACTACTTCACCCTTGACACTACTTCCTTCTTCACACTTCCCACTTGATACTTTTCATTTGGCACATCTGTCCTCACACTTCATTCTTTACATATCACTAACCTAATAGCTTTACAATAGTGTAATTCCATTCATCCACTTCCTCCAACCTTTGTGTTTTTCATATATTTACTTCCACATATATTATAGAGCCCAGAAATTTACATTTTACATAATAATGCTATTATTCTTGTTCTAAACAGTAACCTTTTAAGGAAATTATGAGGCAATGAAAGTCTTTATATGTACCCATTATTTGCCATTCCTGGCACTACTTTTCTTTCCCCTCTCTGTGGATTTGGTTTCCATTTTGTATCATTCTCCATCAGTCTGAAAATGGCCTTTAGCAGTTTTTGGTTTTGCAGGGGCCTGCTGGATCCAACTTCTCTTGGCTTCAATTTATATGAAATAAAGTGTCTTTAAAACCCAAGTTTTTAAGGGGTATTTTCTCTGGATATAAAATTTTGAATTGGCAGGATTCCCTCACCACCCCTTCCCACCCCATCAGCACTTTAAAGACATTTTCATTGTTGTCTGCATTCCACTATTTCTGGTAAGTCAGCACACATTCTTATCATCATTCTCTTGTGTATATCTTTTTTTTCCCCTTCTAACTGCTTTCAAGATTTTTTTGTTTTCAGCGGTCTGACAATGATATGCCTACGTGAGGCTTTCTTGGTATTTATCTTTCACTGAGTTCAGTGATTTTCTTGGACGAGTAAGTAAATGTTTTTTCATCAAATTTGGGAAAATATGGCATTATTTAAATATATATATATATATGCACACACACACACACACAATTTCCTGCCCCATTCTTTGTTCTCTTTTTAGAACTCCCGTAACACACATATTAGACCAGTTGATATTTTCCACATGTTCCTGAGGCTGTGTTTCTTTATCTTCCTTTTGCCATCTTCCATCTGCTGTGAAGCCCATCCAATGAATTTTTCACTTATGTAATTTTCTAAAATTTCCATTTGGTTTCTTTTAATGGTTTTAATTTCTCTCCCATGATTTTCTGTCAATTCAATCAGACATTTTCTTTTAATTCTATAAACATATATTGCCTGTTAGCTGCTTTAAAGTATTTGCTAAATCCAACATTTAGGTCATATCTATTTATTACTTTTTTTCAACAACAGTCCTATAACTTTGCTTGTCTAGTAATTTTCTACTGTGTCCTGGACATTGTTAGTGATACCTTATGGAGACTCTGGATTTTGTTATATTCTCTCTGAAGCATGTTGATTCTTGTTCTAGTAGGCAGTGCAGTTACTGGCTAGTCACCTTTAAACTGTGTACGTTTTGTCCTGTGCTTTGTTATGGAGGGCACATAGAAGCCCAAGATGTTTCCCAAGCACCTCTGACTTGGCAGAAATCAACCTCCAGAATACGTCTCCCTTGCAGATCTTGTCATGACTTGGTTTCAGGCTTTTTTAGGATGGGTGCAGAGCAGTGGTCTTCAAATGGAGATGATTTTTCTCCCCTGGTGACATTTGGCAATATCCAAAGACATTTTGATTTGTCACAATTGGGGTGGGGAGCACTACAGGCATTTAGGAGGTAGAGGCCAAGGAAGCTGGTAAACATCCTACAACACACAGGATAGCTCCACACAACAAAGAATTATCTGGTTTACAATATCAATAGGGCCAAGATTGAAAAATGCTGGTAAGCCTTACTCCAGGCCATGGTCCTTACTCCTGACTAGGGGATTAACAAAGTGTTAATGAGGCCCTCCTCTACCTGAAAGGAACCTCCAGTGATTTTCAGCACTGCTTGATGTCCAATATCTCTAGTAAATTGCCCTCTGATAGGACTCATGTAGTCTTGCTCTGCAGATGCTATTTCTTGATGGGAAAGTTTGTAACATCATGTTGCAAGGGAATGAGCAGAGCAATAAGAATTTTTACAATGTAACCACTTCTGCTTTTAGTGCTAATTATTTATAGTTCATATCATTTTTGTAATGCAAACCTTCATTTTCTTTTGAGCACTGAACTTAATAAATGTAGGCTCTCTGAAAACCTGTCTTCATTATATTTTTATGACATGTATTTGGCAATGTTTGCAAGTAATTTTGTTGAGTATTAGATTCTTAAATTCAAAAGGTAGTTTAATCTGAAGATACCAAAAGCTGTACTTATACATGCTGGTCATACGCCTGAAATTTTACTTTGTTAAAAATTAATTTACATATATGGATATGAATACTGTTTTTGGCATGGAAACTTGACCCTTTCATTATGTTTCACTAAGCTATACTATTGGCTCTCCTACTAAGGGATTTCAATGACAGCACTTTGTAATTAAGGAATCAATGCATAAGTAATAAAGTAAAAGACTGAAGACAAAAACTTGTTAACTTTCCCAAAGGAGTTTTATGACAAGGTAATGTGAATGAAATAGATACACCACCCTACTTGAATCAAAGAGTATATCAAGGCCCACCACAGGCATGTTTTGTCTCAAGTGCTACAGAGCTGCTCTACCCCACTGCCTTCTCACCAATGCCAATCTCTCCTCCCTCCTAACACAGTCAGGCCCCAACTTAGGTGCAAGCAATAAAGGATACTGCTGTCATCCATCCACTGTCTAATCCATAAACTGAGTTCTTTCACTCCTTCTCTTCATTTTCATAATGTAATACATAATTAAAACTACTATCCTCACACTAGAAATTACACTTCCTCACTTTGTTTGGAATCTACTACCCTACCTAGTAAAACAACTGTTCTGGAGTATTATAAAATCAAGACATTCTGATATGGGTAAGCAGAGATCAAGTAAATGGGCCAATAGTTGGCATAAACAATATGATGGTTATATCTGAATACTGATTTATTTATTGCATTAATTTCACCTTCATGTCTTTACCATACTGTTTTTTTTTTCTGAGCAGACTACGAAGTTAGATATTCAGGTGACTTTCCATAAGTATTCAGTATTGTTGCCCTTTGTTCTTGTTTGTAAATTCAAGGAAAACAATGCCAATTAGACTTGCATTTAATTTGCTTTGTTCAGTGCAAAATGAAAGTACTCAATTTCTACTTGATTAGAATGGCTAAGCTTACTAAGCTAGAAATGTAGAAGGTAATTTCAATATGAATAATCCATACTCAATAAAAGAGAATTAGCTATGTCAAAAATATACATAAATATGAGTAATACTTGAAACCCAGTAAACATGTAAGAAAACTATTTTGCAAAGATAAGTACTCAGTGTTCATCATTTTCATGCTCTCCCATGGTAGGTGGCTGGCTGCAACAGAGCTATATTAATGAGCAGCATCAATGTTATTCTTTTTTTTTTTTTTTGAGAGATCAGTGTTATTCTTTAGGCCGCTATTCATTTTAACCGTGCATATTTAAATGAAGCAAGAGTCAGCAATTTTGTTATAACGAAAATATGGCATCCTATAGCTAAGTATCTTGAATACCTAACCTCTGCTTATTTTACCCTTTTAACTACCACATGATGCTTTGATTTTAAATGAAAAAAATATATCTGTTTTCCAAAAAAGATTACAAAGTGAGTACTTTGTTTTAGGGTTCATATTTATTTTCCAATTACTTTTATTGATCTTACAGAATAGTGTCTTGGTCTCTCTACTGCATTCAACAACACCAAAAATCTACAACGCTGGTGTCAACAGCAATAATTACTAAAAATTGAGCAAGCAATTTATGACTATCCGCAATTATGGAAAATGGATTCAAAAGGCATCTGCTGCAATAACAATAGTATTTATGTGTGTTAAGACACAAAAAGCCAACATAACTTTAGTACCTCAGGCATTTTTCTAATTGTGATATTTATACAAATTTTGGAAATTGATGAGTACACTGACCAGTCACCGATAATCATGAAAAAGAAAATACACATAAGTGCCTATTTAGCTAATACTGTGTTTAACTCTAGCTTGACATTGTGTGATACTGTAATCCCTTTCAAAGCACTGGAAATCACTCACATTTGCCTCAAGCTTTTTTTTAAAACAGAAGAATAATCTGATGAAGATGCCCTTATTTCAGAAACTGAGGTCATTACTATCTTTGCTTGAAACATTTTAGAAGAGTTGCTGAACAAAAAGAACACTCAATCTTAGTCTACTGGATAAACAGCGACATCTAGTGGTCATTGTATCCCTAAACAAACACCTTAAAAGCACAAACTCAAGTATCCATGAAATATATGAAATTGCCACTATCTTTAACGTATTTCCAAAGAAACTGTACAAGGAAATTATAAACACATTCTAGAAAGATTCCCTATGATTCAGGAATAATATAAATTGAAGGAAAAGTTAACCATGGACTTCTAATTTTTATTCTTAACAACTTTTTCATAGGTAAATATCCTTCAGAGGTTTTTATAAAAATCCAATTCTTATTTCTTCACGACTCAGTTCTTGTTTCTAACAGAGTGACATAAAGAACTCAAACACTATGAACTAATGAATAATAACTTCTATGGCTCTAATGAATACATGGATTGGTATGTCCCAGCAACAGATTCAGACACTCCATATGACAACACACTCATGTGCAAATTTTAAATGTTATAAAAGCTGCTACTCAATTATTGTTTGACTGAGTTTACTCTGGAGGTTTTATTAATTTTTTTGTAAATCGGGAACATATAGTTCATCAAGGTTTTCTAATACAACTAGGTCATGAAATGGAATTACAGCATCAAAATAGAATTAAAAAATCATTTTGCCATCAAAAAGTCATTGTTTCCTAGGTATGACTTTCCTATTAATGATAAAGTTAGTACATTCTTTGGCTACTGTTGTTCACTGGGACCTCGGCACATCATCTCTATGCCTGCTACCCACCAGACACCAGAAATGGCTTCTAAGGCCTTCATGGCCAGCTCCAGGGAAACTGTCTTCCTGTCACCATGAAAGACTTTTTCTGAGCACAAACCATTTGTTGCAGTTCCAAGGTTATTCATGGGACACACCGAGACTGTCCCTTCCACATGAACTGAGGTATCCCCCCCAAATCCCTTAAACATACATCAGTGAATACAGGTATGCATCACTATCTACCCATTTAATTCATCTTCCCTAGATTAACTGCCAAGTGCTAAGACTAGACCTTTCTAACAAGTCTTTGTTGATGATCATAAACAGATGAAAGATCTGGACAACAATTTTTGTGTTTACAGACCAGCCTCCCCAAACGAAGAATGAACATATTTGGTGCTCCCAGATCATCAAAATACCCACTACCCAGCCAATACCTAGACATGCTAGTGATTAGCTGGGACATTCACCTAAATGCCACTTATGTGTATGAAGAGGGCTACAGATGCCACCCTTTCTACCTCCCACTGACTGGACATGACCATCCAGAGGAATGGTATCTCACAGGCACCATCTAAAACAGTAAGGAACCATTACCACTTGGTAATTCAAATTGCGGACCATCTGAAATGGTAAGGAATCATCTTAATATCACTTAAGACTTTTACAGAAATGCTAGGCAGATGTGTTCCAATGAGCATCAAATTTCTAGTATATAAGCACTTAATCTTACTAAAGCAATGTGTGTGATTCATAAGCATTTAAAATTAACACTGAGGTCAAAGTATACATATAAAGCCTGGGGTTCTCTCCAGCCCACTATCCCCAGTGATTCCCTAGTCCTCTCCTAAGAGTTCTCAATTACAGAAGTGTATGTGTGGGCAGTAGCCACAAGTAACTAAATGTGAGGTTTACCAATGAGACAGGCAGCCATGAACGTTGGAGGCACCCGAAGCTTACTTTCTATTGCTCTACCCTATACAGACTTCATTCTCTCATTTTTCCTTCTCTTATCTCTTTGCCTTCCTATTTCTGCCTGGAGCTGGCAGTTGTAGAATAAAGCAATTTTGTGTCCTATTGCTACCTGAACCCCTGTGTTGTGTAACAAAGATGACTTCTGAATTTTAGGAAAAAATACTGCTAACTACTCAATAAGACAGACTCAGAGAGCCACGGGCAATCACAGGGTCTAGCTAAATGCTTGGATGAGCTGCCACGACAAGATCCCAACAAACCTAGAAATAATTTGGTCTGGGTCTAAATGCTAATATCATGCTGCCAAGCCTCTTTCTGAAAAGCATAAAAGCAAAATATCCCACTCCTGCAAGCAAACCAACCACAAGGGTCGTGCCAAGAACTTTTGGGGCCCTTTTCTTGGCCACCCGGAATGCTGTTGGCAGCACTGCAGAGATTAATATATTGTTGACATGTCCTAAAACCTTGTTAAATGTTTTTCTCTTCAAGACACGCTCGTAATAGGTTTCCAAGTTTGGTCGCTTTCCGTTTCCCCAGTTTCTCCTTGCAAACCCCAGGAACTTCAGTCGATGCAATGTGACAGCGAGTGAGACGTCTGCCAGGGTGAAGGATTCACCGCAGAGCCAAGGTTGCTGGCCCTCTTCTAATTAGAGAAAGGGACATAGAGAATTAGAGGCAAGCACTCTACAGACAGACTCCAGCTGGTATCAGTGGTCTCACCCTTAAGGGTGAGTGTGAGTATAGCAAAAGATGAAGGACATTATATATTTATTTTCTTGACAGCCACACTCAGAGAATAATTTCATGCTTTAAAAAAAAAGTCCATGCAAACGTATCCTAGGCCAAAGGAGACTTGCTTGACGTCTGTCAGCCATCCAGGTCCCTATGTAAGATTGCAGCCACTTGAGCTTATCACTTTGTAAAGGACACTAAGGGGTTGGGAGCCTCCAAGCTAGTTAAAAGAAACTTCCTTCTGGTTTATAAAAACAGTTCTGCTTTAGAAAAATCCATAAAGCTGAGTCTGAAACATCACTCAGTGGCTACTGCTCTTAGTCATTTAAAGCAGAAGAGCTTTTGTGACAGGTAACATAGTCTTCAACTCTAGTCGGAGTAGCATAAATGGCCCATGTGTATACACCTATGGCTTAACCCTGAAGCCAGTTCACTGGCATGCTTACCAGCCAGTCTACAGATGCCCACGTGCTGGTCCTTATTACACTTTAGATTGGAGGCTGTCTCCCTGCCTAAGGAAAAAACTAGAGGGAATATTCAAGCAATTACTCAAGTTATTCAACCAAACTAACTACTGTAATTACAAATTTGTAAAACAGGTAAAAATCTCCCAAGCATAATTTAAATTATGCAGAAAAATCCTTCACGTAGATGCAGATTGAGTTACAATTAGACACCTGGGTTTTTCTGGGTGCAATATCATTATTGCTATCATAATTAAAACTGCCTGTGAATAACAACAATGAAAAGCAGATTACAGAACGTTTTTGGTGAGACCTAAGAATGTTCCCATGAATAATACTGATGTTGAAAAGAGAGAAAGAATATAAATGAGAACCTACCTGGGGTTTCTTCATTTCTTCTTTGCAATTCAGTTTCAACCTGATCCAAGACTTTCTCCAACTCATCAAGAATTTTCTTCAAATACTTGACATTGTCATGATCAAGCAGCTTTGACTAATTAACCACCAAAAAAAGAAACCAAACATATTATTTGCACCTTTAAAAAAAATAAATCTAGGTAAAGCAGATACAAACTCTTACAGAGTTCAGCCTATTTTAGACAACGAGAAGAAATAGAAAAACTCAGCAAAAAAAAAAAAAAAAAAAAGAGAGAGAGAGAGCTAAGTTGAAGGGAAATATCCCAGCTGTGAAAATGACCCAGGAGCAGACCCACCACTCACTGGCAGCTCCTATGAGGCCAGATGACCACAGAAGGCAAAGAATGGGAGGGACACGAAGAGCCATCTGCCAAGCCCAACTCAGGAAAAGAATTCTAGCAGCCGTAATTGAAAGAGTAGCTGAAGGGTCAGGGATGAGTAAGAAGTCCGAGTGAAGGAGTTAAACGGCGAGTGGAGAGTCAGTCAAGTGACTGTGAGTGCAGGTGTTTCTTCTGAGGAGCTCGTTTAGCTACGATAGGATAAAGGAAGGTGGGAAGTTGGGGAGGGTTGGGAGTGCTGCTGTTTTCTACACTTTTAATATGAGAGAAGCTTGCAATAGTTGCTGGGCCCGGGGAAGGAATCAACAGAAGGAGAAAGGCTGACCATAAAGCACACTCCTCAGGGGGCAAAGCAAGTCAGGGCGACACATGGAGGGATGTAGGTCTAGCGAGGACTTCCAGTGGTGGAATACCTGAAATGACAGATTCTAGAATATGTTATGAACTTCCTTTGCATTTCATAACTTTTTTGGCAACCAGCATGCTCAATATCTGCTTGTTAAGCACTTGTCATCAAGTTTCAATATCAAGTCTAATAAAAAATTCTTTCTAAAAGGAGAACATAAGCCAAAGGTAACATGTGTACTGGTGAACTGCAATATTTAAAAGAAGATATTCTAGAAATAGTGGTACTTTACAAAAAGTAGAACATTTACTCCGTGCAGTGTATGTCAACTGAGGACAGCTGATTGGCTTACTTTAAGTCGTTTCTGTTTTGCAATGTATGCTTCTTGTAAATCTGGGTTTTCTTCAGCAAGTTTCTTCAGCTCAGACTCTGTGTTTCCAATTTGGCCTGATAATAAAAACATTTTGGAAACAGAAAATTATTTTCTCCCTTCTACACCAGTAACAAGGAGAAGCAGAGAAACTCAATGACAAGAGCATGAGCTCTGGGGCTCATGCCCTGCTTCTCTGCCTTGGGCTTACCCTGTCTATGCCTCAGTTTCCTCACCTTTCAAATGGAACCATAAGAGTATCTGCCGGCTGGGCGCGGTGGCTCACACCTGTAATCCCAGCACTTTGGGAGGCCGAGGCGGGAGGATCAGGAGGTCAAGAGATCGAGACCATCTTGGCCAACGTGGTGAAACCCCGTCTCTACTAAAAATACAAAAATTGTCTGGGCGTGGTGGCGCATGCCTGTCATCCCAGCTACTCGGGAGGCTGAGGCAGGAGAATCACTTGAACTCAGGAAGCAGAGGTTGCAGTGAGCCGAGATGATGCCACTGCACGCCAGCATGGAAACAGAGCGAGACTCCATCCAAAAAAAAAAAGAAAAGAAAAAAACAAAGAATATCTGCCATGAAGACTAAATGAGAAGCTTCATGGGAAGCACTTAGAGCAAGGCCCAGCACTTTACAGTGCTCAGTGCAGGCTTGCTGCTCCGCCTTCCTCTACCTTTCAAGCTTTCTATAATGAACTCCTATATGAAGGGAGGAAAAAGCCTTATTTTTAAAAAATATTAACTATAGGTCATAGAATTATAGTCAAAACTCTTGTTTCAAATACTATAAAGGGTATTTATGAAGAGGAGGAGGAATAAGAGGAAAGAGAAGCAGGAAGAGAGGGCAGTGGAGAAAAAGGAAGAGAAGGGAGAAAAGGGAAGAGATGAAAAGGGAAGGGAGAGGAGAGGAAAAGGAGGGGTATCAAAAAGGAAAAAAAGAATAATAAGAATAATAAAGGTGAGTATCACATAATGGGGAACACATGGTTTCTGGATTTAGAAGATCTGAGTTTGAGTGTTTCTGATCAACATTCCCAAAGTGTGACCACTGCCACAATCCTTTCCCTTCTTATCTCCAATTATCTCTGCTATAAAGCACACCTCCTGCTCCACAGATCATGCACTGACTATTCTCATGACAGGAGGAAGGCAGAAAGCTGGATGTCACAACTCAATCCCAATAAATCTACTATCACTGAACATAGAGACAGAGTAATAGTTAGACACCCTCTAGTCCAGTTTCCTCAAATAACGAAAACAACAATTAAGGACCAGTAACATGAACTCAACTGCCCATAATCCTAGGCAGATCCCAGGTTTTCAGATTCCTAGTCCATCTGTTCATGAGAACATGTTATATTCTTTACTCTTCCATAATCCACTCTTCTGAGTTTTACCCAAGATTGGCCCTCAAAGCCAAGAGCTGATAAATCAGGTCCTATAGACAATAAATGTCCAATTGAGCAAGTGAAGCACAGATTAATCCGACTGGTTCATGGATCGATCCATAACATGCACATCCATGAAGCAAACTCAACAACCCTATTCCCAATCTTCTTTTAGTGACCATGAGACATGCTAGGTCTCAAAATGAATTAAAAGAAAGTGTCAGACAGAATTCCAGGTCTTTAAAATGTTTACATACTACGAATCCTTGTAGTTGCATAAGCCGGGATCATGGAGTCCACAGTTAACTCAGGATGTAAAATGCAGCCATGTGTATAGGCATCCATTGGCAAGGAGTCAAGCAGCTCTCGGTAATGTTGTACCCGTGGGTAATACATGCTTTCTTTATCAGGCATTAACCTGGGTGTTCTTTCTAAAATACACACACACAAATATTGAAGAAAAAGTTACACATGAGTTGTTACACTCAAAAGCAAAACAAAAACACTATCCACTCATCATTAACATTTTCAACATATCTGTATATTCAAAAAACACTGTCTCCTCACCTCAGACATTCATTCAAAGTTTGAAATGGCCTGATGCACCAGACAAGATCCCAAACCATAATCACATTGGTATTCTCTCATTTCTTCACCTTGCAAACTGCACTCAGCCCTCAAGGCCCAGTTATTTATGCCATTTATTCCATGAAGCATTCCCTAACCTCCTACAACTGCCAACATCTGACTGGCTCACATGTGCCTTCTTCTATACATCCATAACACATTACACACACTCTGTTACAGCCCTTATCACACTGTAATTCATTGCATCTTTTTTCCCCATGACTGTCTTCAGGGAAAGGAACCTGCAATCCAGAGTCTAGCACAGTTCTCCACACACTTGAGGCCCTCAATAAAGTTTGGTTAATTGAATGAGGGCTCATTATGGAAAGATAATCAGGGGCTACTCTTTTCTAGGTGCCAACCAACATCAAGAGTGACCCTACTGACACATGTGAATGTGAATGACAATCTATATGGAACAGGAAAGGCCTTTGCTCAAATATCGCAGGTGCACTTTCCCCAGGAATTTCTAACAATTATCTCTGGAAAGTGGGTTCTACATACATCCTTATTTGCTAGTTAAAATCCAAACTGTAGAGTCCTTGAGGGCAGGGACCATGTACTGCTCTCTGTTAAATCCCCAGTGCCTAGTATAATGTTTGACATGTAGTAGGTGTTTAATAAATTACAATGAATACATTCCAAAATTTCCAATTATTATATAGATTACTTGAGCTGGAGAAGTGCTGCAGGAGTTAACATGTACACTCAGATACAAGGGCTGAAAATTTCTCCCAAGATCCCACAGCTAATTAGAGGCAGAGCTAGAACTAAAGTCATCTGATTCCTAATGTAATGTTCTCTTTGATTATACCATCATAACATTTTCAAAGGATTTTCATTTCATAGACTATCGAAAAAGAATAAAAGTGAAGGATGCAACCCAAAGGTCAGGGCTATGTCCCTTCAGAATCTCTTCCTATCTCTGGCTGTCAAACTGTCCCTAAAAAATGTCAGGTCTAATAACTATCACAATTTCAAAATATTAAGATATCTGCAATAACTTAACCATGAACATATCTGTGAGTTCTATTGGTTATCAAAGCCAGAAGCACTCCTGATATTGCCATGGATTGTGCCTACATTGCTAATGGAAGGAAATAATTCCTTTAAATAGAGATACAATTATTCCCTATCCAAGATCTCAAATCTCCTGAATTCTATTCATAAACCCCTAAGCGCAACAGTTCTCACACTATGGTCTGAGGATCCCTGGGTTTTCCTAAAACATGTTTGGGGGATCTACAAAGATATTTTTATAGAAATACTAAGACGTTAATTACTTTTTCACTCTTATTCTCTCTCAAGTGTACAGTAGAAGTTTCCAGAGGCTACAGGAAACATGACTCTATCACTCTGACAGCTAGTGGGATTGTGCTTAACCAGGCTAATATTTTAAGTTTTCTCAGTTTTGCTTTCTAAATGGTAAATATTGATAGCTATGATCCACATAAACAAATGCTCTCTGGTATCCTCAAAGACAAAGGGGTATAGAGACCAAAAAGTTTAAGAACTAATGCTTTAGGGGTCCAAGAACCTCAGGCTAATAACCCTAAATAGTACATTTTCAAATGCTTCCCAAAAGGTCCAAGTAATGGCTAGTGGCTCTGGCTGCTTTCTGGTACTGGGCCCTGGGGCTTCTCTCCAGAAGAGCATACCATTTCCTTCCTAGGAAAGTGAATGAGAGCAGGAAAAACAATGTCTAATTGCTTTCTGGGGAAGATCCATCAGGCCAAGCCCAAATTCTTCAAGGAGGACAAATGTTTAAATCCATGAAAATAATTTTCTTCTACTCAGTGTGCCGTTACTGTCTAACCATTTCCTGAAGCACTCTGTCAGAGCATGAGATACCCACTGAACCCAAGTTATCTCCCCATCTCTCTTTCTTTGTGCGCATCAAGCATGCCCTCTCCAGTATCACAGGGGCACTGCGCTGCCATCCTCACACTGAAGCACAACAGTATCTGCTGCTTCTGATAAAAGAGTTTTTCAAAGGAAAACTGGGAATTTCCTTTGAATTATAGAGGAGATCTTCCCTCTCAATCCCATCCTATTTTATTTTCCAGTTCTTCCGTAGAGTACCTTTATCAAAATACCAAAAGCAAGAATTTTTTTCTCAGTAATGTACCTCAATCAGGAGTGGGAAAGCAACATAAGGCATAGCGGGGCAGGACAGAGAATTAGGGAGTTTTAAGAAGCAGGCAATGAGAGGAGGTCCCAGCATTGGGGAGTGGGATTGCAACAGTGGAAATGAGGCTTGGTATTAAGCTAGAAGAACAAATAAGTTGGCACAAGATCCGACTTGCCGGAAGAACTGAGTAGGGGAAAAGTTTTATATTACACATAAATTTAGGCAGCAAATTATAAACCAGCAGATAGACATAAAGCAGAAAGATTTGATAAACAGCAGAGGAAACCAAAAGAAGCAAAAAATAAAATCAGAAAGAAACAATAAAAGCATTCTGCAGCCATGTAATGGAGACAAATGGGCCTCTACATTCTCAAGTCCCTGTAATGCTGAGTAAAATAACAATGGCTCTGAGCCATTTTTTTAAATTACATTTGGTTTTCCCAAGAGTAAAACATAAAAAGAAATTAGGGGCTTAAAGGCATAAGTTTTCATTATTTTACAAAATTCACTACTCTGGTTACCCATCTTTCCTAGTAAAGGCAGATAAAGGAGGCATTATTATGCCTTGTTTTCAAGAAAGACTCCCCTAGGTCTACTTGTACAACTTTCAAGTCTCCCTTACTACTAGCTCAATGGAAACAGATTAGATTTCATTCCTCACTCTAGCCCTTTGCTGTTTATTTTACTTAGACTGTATAGTGATTGCATCAGTATATAATATGCATAATACAGCTGAATAATATTGTACCCTTCAACTAGTCACACACTAGGCTATTTTTAAAAAATTCAATAATAGGCTGGGCACGGTGGCTCATGCCTGTAATCCCAGCACTTTGGGAGGCCAAGGCAGGCAGATCACGAGGTCAGGAGATCGAGAGACCATCCCGGCCAACATGGTGAAACCCCGTCTCTACTAAAATACAAAAAATTAGCCGGGCGTGGTGGTGCGCGCCTATAGTCCCAGCTACTCGGGAGGCTGAGGCAGGGGAATCGCTTGAACCCAGGAGGTGGAGGTTGCAGGGAGCCGAGATTGCGCCACTGCACTCCAGCCTGGTGACAGAGCGAGACTCCGTCTCAAAAAAAAAAAAAAAAATATATATATATATACACACACACAAACACACACACACACACACACACACACACACACTAAATAATATTAAACAATTAAGTTATGACCTGAGGCAAAAGATATGGTAGCAAACTGATTGATTACAATTCAGTGCTGTCATAACTCTTGAACTAGAAAGAGCAAATCTAAATACAGATAAGAAAAAAAACAAAAAGACCCGGTGTCAAATTATATCAGTTCACTGTATGCATCCAGGATTTTGAGACAAATTTATAGCATTATTGTCAATAAATTTTATGCACTATACATTAAATGTTTAACTACTTTTAACTGGTATTACAGTTAAGACTTTTAACAGAAACATTTTTAATGATGGAAGCAAAAATTCCTTTATCAGACAGTTTGTTCCAATTGTTAGATACATATTATATAGAAAGAGGGCCTCTGAATTTTAATACCCCCAACCTGTCTGCTAAAACTGGACAAATCACAAAGAGAAGAAAAGTTACTTTTTAAAGCAACTTTTACTGACACAATAATCAAAGACTGATATTCTTTTCCATGCCATATGGTATATTTTCTCCACATTTTGTGCTAATCTGCAATTTCAGTATATGTGCTAAAAGGCCTATATTCAACTATATACAAGAGCCTTTTCTTGATGAACACAAATATAAATATTAATTGGTAATTCCTTAAATAACTATTTTTAATATAACAGTGACATCAGAATTAACGTTCTTTTTTAAATGTTACATTTGATGAAATTCAAATGTAACATTTAAATGTATTTTATAAATAACATTGTATCTATAAATTTAGATATCCTAATAAGATTTACGTGATTTTAATATCATACTAGAATAGTTTATTTCCAAACTAAATTCTATTTCCTAAGAATAAATTATATATCTAGACATAAGACATGAACGTGATGTTCAGAGAACTGTTACATTAAATCACAAAAATCCATTATTCTTGATTCCAGGTTACCAGAGTTATTTGGTAGTAATACATATGTTCTAGTATTTTATAGTTATTCCATATAATTTTGATTAGTAGCCAAGTTAAATTTTATTTAAAGAGGTTATGAGTACAATAGATAGATTGAAAAATCCACATTTGTGTGTACATTCACCTTGTCACATCCATTCTTTCTCAGTTTACCTAGTTTGCTTACTCTCATACCTTATCTAGCTTAATCAATTGCTTGCTGTAAAATAACTATTCCTCACCACATGCTCAGAGTTAAAGAGGTATCATGTACATGAAAGAGTCTATAAAACTGTACAGTAATAGCAAGTATATATGTTAAGGACAGATTTGGAATTATCAGCAAACTTATAGAAAGAAATTATCTTTGAAGACTAGCAAGCTGCTAATGATTTCGGATCTTTAAAACATCTCTGAAGTATCCCAGGACCCTATACCAAATTAATACCCAATAAATGGTTACTTAAAGAATAAATGAAGAGATAGCTCTCGGCCAGCTCTTAGTTTGGCAGTCAGGAGCATCATTCATGTCTATACCATTCTTCTGTATGACTGCTTTCCAAAAAAAAATCAAATACAGCCATTATCCAACAGATATTCACTATTTCAGGCTATGACTTGAAAAGGGTGACCTCAGCTACCAAACTACCAATTATTTAATGAACTATCCCGAAAGTACAAGGATAGAAATATGTAAATGTAAACAAAAAAGTTGAAAAATGTTTCTAGATCAGCAAGTCATCGTTTTTCGCATAATCCCCACTGGATCGATAACAAGGGACAGCAAATAACAGTGAAGGACATACTGGTTCACTACATTCTGTTCTTTAGAGGAATGGCTACACTTACAGTCTCCTGTCATGACCATGGGCGACTGCACACCTCATGAAATCCATCCACTTATTCTATCTCATCAACATTCCTCAAAGTTACATCCATAATTGGACAAAATGTCAACTATTCCAAACAGCTCAGAATGCAGAGGGTTACAACTCACCCTGTTCTCAACAAAATTTACAGTTTTCAAAGAACCTGAAATCACACTAGCCATTTGTTTTAACATTGGTAACTTACTATCTATTAACCAGGTTCCCCATTCTTTTGGAATGCAGCTGGTTTTTTAAAACAAAAGTCTCATGCCTATTTTCCTCATAGCCATTTTACATTTAGCCTTGTTAAACTTTATCTTATTTTTCCATTTTGTTGTATTTCCATAAGAAATATTTTATAAGCTAGTCATCACTTTGACTATTTACCTTTTCTGTCATTCACAAATGTAATCGTATTTCTTCCATGTCTATTCAAATCATTGATTTGTTAGGCTCAAGTCAAAAAAGAAGCCTACAAGAACATTACAAGGGATCCCTGTACAGGCTAACATCTGTTTCAATAATTTATTCATTTTAATCATTCAAAATATTTATTAAGCACCTATTAAGAAACATTCACTGTATAAGGCATTGGGGATAATTTTTCATAAGATACACTATTCCCAACCTCATGGTACTTACAGTGGTGTACAATTCAAACATTTAAAATAAAGTATAAAAACAATTATAAGTAAAATGAGAGTCTATAGTTGAAGAGGTAATCTGGTATGAGAAATCTATAAAGTAATATTCTTTAATATGGTAGTTTATTCATCTGCAAATGTGCGTTACAATCTTCTAGCTATATTTGCTCCTTTATTCCACAAGGGTATATGTAACGTAATCGCAAATGTTCTACTTAAATCAAGATATACTATATCTAGAACCATGCCTGGCACATAATAGACAGTTTTTTAGAAGTGTTAGGGACATTCTCCAGCAGTGTAAAACTTAAATTGGTTCCTTTCACTGAGATACACAAAAATTTTAACATATTTAAATAACTATTCACAATCTATTCTAAATTTCCACCAGATTTAAAGACAGTAATTTACACCAGTGCTTACTTAACTAAACACTAATTTATAGCAGTATTCTCAAACTTTAATGTACATACGAATCACATGGGGCTCTTGTTAAAACAAAGATTCTAATTTGATAGGTCTGCAGAGAGCTCTAAGGTTCTGCAGTTCTAACAAGCTCCCAGGTGACACCAATGCTGCTGATGAATGGAACATACAATTAGTAGCAAGGGTTGGTAGAATTCACTTTTCCCCGTCTTTGACAATAGGATGTTTGTCTATCTTGTCTGACTTTCATTCTCCATGAGTTCTTAAAGATAAAGCATCTTAATTATAATTGTGATAACGCTGTTTTTAAAATTTCAGTACTCTGAGATAAACTTCTTCTTGACCTCGATTTATATAACTTAGCCTTGATTTATATAAACTATTGTTCTCTTGCTGTCGTCCTATCTACCATAAGTTTTGGGTCCCTTAATCGTTTTTTCGTCCTTCCCAATTGATTGAAAGATATTCAACAAGTTAGTGGCAGCATCAGACTAAAAGCTAGGACTCTTGATTGCTGAGTTACAATAATAGTTCAACCAGAATTAAAGTCTGCACTTTCCATATTTCCATCCTGTCACAGCCTACAGTGCCTTCTCTTCTAATTCTTAAGTAATCAAAAGAACTTAGCATTTCCTTTGTTTGGTTATTTAAATACAACTTAGCAGGACACAGAACTTATTTCTGCTTTGTTACTATTCTGTACTAAAAGCAAAAGAGAAAGACTAAGGAAAATTGTAAGAAAACCTAATAATTGGTAACATTACTATGTTGTAAATATAATTTATATCACTGAATTTCTTAGAGGAAAAACAGTGTAAGGAGGGGATGGAGGAGGGGAATGATGATAGTAGAAGCAGTTCAGGCAATGCTACCAAAAAACTTAAATGGGATTTTCCATTTAGAATACCTTTTTAAAGTTTTTGATCATTTAAAATAGATTTATTAACACAATTATTTTGTTTTGTTCCATTATAATTACATCCCCCAAGAAATACAAATTAACACACTTATCCATTTCCAAAAAGCTCAAGATTGAGAAAAATTCTCTTAAATGAACTAGTTGTCATTTTCAGTACAGTCCCCAGCATATAAATTTATAAGGAATAGCAAATAAAGATGAAAAGAAAGTACATCATTAAATGCTTTGGTTTACGCTAAAGCTACCTTTAATTAAAACCGCCAATCACAATCCTAGGGGACTAGCACTTAGATTAAGAACAGGGGTAGCCCATTGCTAATCTAATTCCCTGGGCTTCCCCCTCGCCACTGCCCACCATCTAGGCCTAATAATACTCATTTTCCTTCTAAGTACATGAGACTTTTTTTTGTCCTAGTAATTTCCTTTGTCAGCTTCCTGTAGTTTGGGGCTAGGTTCTGCTTTCACCTACCCTATTAACATCAACATAACTGGTGGCAGATGAAAAGTAACAATCTCATACAGCCTTTTTAGAAGAGCATTCAGCTGGAAGCTCTGAGCACCATGTTCTGCTCTCATCAATGTCCATTGTGATCAGCTGTGTAGTCTTTGGTAACTCTTTGAAGCTACAGTTCACTTCAAAGGATTATTATTAGGAACAAGCAAGACAATGTGTAAGTGGCAAGGATTATGGGAGACAGTCAGTGTAGTATGAAGGCTTTGGAGACCAAAGACTCTGCCATACAATAGCTATATTACTTTGGGCAACCCTGTTGCTTTCTCCTCATTTACATAATGGGAATAACTTGTCTACCATGCCTGTCTCAGACAGATACTTTTGAAGACATTATTGAAGAAATTATAAAATGTCTGACACATAACAAGCTGTTAATAAATGATTTACCTAAATGCACTATACAAATTTAAGCCCTATAATTCCTTAGTAAAGATATAAAATTCAAACAATTCAGAAGTGACTGGGGCAAAGAACTCAGGTATACTAACATTCTATTCTCCTTTAAGATTTATTGCTCTTTTTTCCCTCTTGTTTTTAAGGTGAAACCATTTGGTATATTAGATGAAATCGTCACAGTGCACATTTAGAATATTATGAATTTAAGACTAAGAAATCACCAACACAAACCACACATTTGCAGTTTTTTGCAAGTGAATTTTTTTAAGTTTCAACATTAACATTTGTATTTTGCATTAAATTATTTTAAATAGCATTACACTAGCCTATACAAAATTTGTTATTGACCTATTTGATATTTGTGTGCTTATGGAAATGGAAAAGGTTTTTAATCCCAAACCACCATCATGACACAAGAGAAAGAGAGAGAGGAGAGAGAGAAAAAGAGAAAGGGAACACATAGTTGTGTTGAAAGTAAATCCAAGAAATCGCAAGTAGCCTTAACATTACCATCCAGGAAAGTCTGTTCAAGATAATCAATGATCTGAGTGGCCTCACAAATTATGTTTTCCCCGTGGATAAGGACAGGCACTTCTCCAGTTGAGTTCAAACGCATAAACCAAGGCTCATTGTGCTCACTCAAGGGCAGACTTACATCATGTTCCTCGCACTTCAATGCCTTTTCAGCAATTACCAAGCGCACCTGGAAGAGTTCACACTGGTTACTACAACACATGTAAGCTTTCAATTAAATGACTTCCCTGGACACCGCTAAGCAGCCTTTCTGGGCTTCCCTGTGTTACCGACATTTTCAACAGTCGTTTTAACAATTCCTATTCCTGGAATTAACAAGTAAGGAAAGAACAATACTCAACAAATTAAGAGAAGAACACAAAATAAGTAATGAAATGATTCTGACTGTATTCATTAAACAGTCACCCTCCTCATCACTACCACTTTCTCGGTGTCCTAAACCTGATTATGGGTCCTCCCCAGACAAGAACCTGACATGTAGGTACATCAGCTCTTGCTGAAGACAGTGAATGCGAGAGAGCAAAAGAAGAGATCGCAGATTATGAGGGTCCACAAAGGCACCTCCCTCTGCCTCTCTCCGAAGACCAGCAGGCAAGGCCTCCAGACCAAATACTGAAAATGATGCTTTTTTGTCGCATTTCGCGAGAGGCGGAGCCTGGGCCATAGCCACATAGGATCATCTCCGATCGATTCTCCCCGCTCCCCACCCGGGCGCGTCCCCGCCTGGAGGGAGCGCCTGCCCGGGGTCAGGACACTGGAGGCGGATTTCTAGGTGGACCGGCTTCCCTGGGCGGGACTCAGAAGGAGCTGTCCCAGTGCTGAAGCCCGATCCGCGCCACCCTCCGCCGCCAAGGCCTGTTGTACCTTTTGAGAGCTGAAGGAATGCGTCCAATGGTACAGAATGAGCTTAACCTCCGCGTCGGCCTTGCCTTCCGCCCTCAAGGGCGGGCTCCCTCTCTGCTCTTCCTGCCTCTCAGCCATCTTGGGGTGCGCGAGCACGGGTGCGCCCAGCCTGTCCGCCCTGGACTTCTCCCTCCCACACTGCCCCGCAAGGCGTTTCCGGGTTTTGAGGGGTACCTGCCGGAAGGAGGGCGCGCGGCCCGCTGGGAAATGTAGTTTCGCCGGCGGCAGAGTCTGCGAACACGCGGGGTCTGCGACTGGAAAGCCCCTGGCAAGCCTGGGAGTGCACCTGGGAGGTGCAATTGAACGGTTGTTTTTTGGGTTTGTTTTTTTTTTTAGAAGAAAAAATAAAAAATATGAGACCCTGGTTATGAAGGGCAGTAAGGAAGAATGATGATAGCAAATTACTCTTCGGTTTGGAGGTTGCTCAGGTATAAAAGCAGCAATTTCCCAAGATACTGAGGGTTGCTCTTGGAGCCTGTTCCTTTGTTGGAAAGGAAGTTCCGGTCGACAAGCAAAGCAACAGGAAAAGGATCTATGAGCTTTCATTAGAAGATGCTACTATGACATTAGTGGACTAATTCCACAAATTTGACTAACTGCTGTAGATTAGAGAATAGTCTTGTATAAACAGTAAGTACTTGATTTTGATAATTAAACTGTGCTTTGTAAAAGAAAAAAAAATACCACTATGGAGTCATGCAAAAAAACTGTTTTTGTCATAAACAGCTAATAAACAATGGCGATATAAAATAGCCTAGTTGTTAAACACAAAAATTCTACAACAGTACTGCCTAAGTTCATATCCTGGTTTTTCCATTTTCTAAGTAAGAATAATAATTTTATTGTTTCCCTCATAAGATTTTTGTGAAAAATTAATAATAAAATGTTAAACACTCAGAACACCCTGTCACGTTGTAGGCACTCAGTCTTAGTCACAGGTTCAGTTGTCTTATAAACATTCTGTTATAACCATAGTCAGAATCATAATTTTATATTAGTCTAGTTATTATTGTATGTCTTTAAAAATTTGGCATCATATAGTAAGTTGATTTTAAAAATCTCTTTCAGTAATATGTATAAATATGACCATAGAATAAATGCCTGTATAATTTATCTGGCAAATATTTATTGAGCACCTACACTGTTCCAGACATTGTGCTGGCTCCTGGTAATATAAAGATGTGTGAAATCTAATATCTAACACTCAAGATATAATCTGGCAGTAGAGACGACCAAGGAAATAGACAATCACAATAAAGATGAGAACTGTCTTAGGGTGAACACAGAGTACTATGAGAAAGGAGGGGCAGGCAGCCAACCCAGGTCAGAGAAGGGCCCCTGGAAAAGACAAAATCTCATGAGGTTCTTCCTTGCCTTTACAGTACTTCATTTGTTACTCTCTGTAATTCTTTCATAATTTTTTAAGATTTCATAATGTCTTTTATATCCTTCAGTTAATTCAAGTGCTATAGAAAAGGTGAATTCCTTGCCAAAATTGTTTTTATCAGTTCACACTTAAGAGTAAGAGCGGAAAGAGGAAAACTTTGAAATCGGACAGAGTGGGGTTTAAATTCTAGCTCTACCCTAACTTGAGCTTTCTTGAGCTTTGACTTCATTGTGTGTAAAAAATGGATACATAAAAATTATATGCCTACCCAGATGGCTGTGGGAATTCAAGAAAGGATATATATAAAGCACCTAGGGTATTGCCTGGAATGTAGCCATTGATAAAAACATATGTGTAAAAGCCCCTTCACTGACATTAGGAGGGCATTATATTACATTTCATCCTCTCTCTGTAGGTCTCAAAATTTTTACAACTACCCATATAATCCTCCTCTCCCATTCCTCTTCAGAACTTCATTTTTTAATTATCCACCTTCAGATTCCTAGTTTTCTATTCCATTACCTTCAATAGCAAACACCACGCTTACTTTTGCACCAACCTTAATACTAAATCATCCTAAATATTTGAATAAATTCCAGTACTCGTGATAAGCCATGTGTCACCTGCAGCTGAAAAAGTCCTGACAATAAAGCCCTGGTCCCTCAAACACAACACTTTTCTCCATCACATCCTGCCCACAGCAAAGCCATAGAAGAAACACTGAATGACTTGATTACTTGGTGTTTAGTACAAAGCATTCATAGATCTCATTGGGAGTGTAAACATGCACAGAACTTCTGAAGGCAAATGTATCAATATGCTTCAAGAATCGTGAAAATGGGCATAACTTCTAACCTAGAAATTCCTCTATTTGCAATTTAAGGAAATAATTCTGACAAATTCTGACAGTTGATCCTACCTATTTTTCCCTTCTTCCGTGGTAATAGAAATTTTAGCTGAGCACATGACTGCTGAGAATAAAGACTGTATTTCCTAGGCTCTATTGCAGCAAAACATGGTCTCCTAACTATCTTCTAACAAGGGGAAAGTCATGGATGTGCCACAGGGCAAGTGCTGGGAATCTTTCTTAAAGAGACAATTAGCCCTGTGCCTCTTCTTCATCCCATCCTCCATCCTGCTTCAGAGAGGATGGATTCTGACCTGGACCATGAAGAATGGGGCCACGCCTTAGGAACAGCTGGGCCATGAACTTGGGGAAAATTGAGCTTCTAAAGACACTGAGGAGCAGAACCCACACCAACTTGGGTCTGCAAACCTCCAAACTTTTACTTGAAAAGGAAAAAAAGGATCTTGTGTAAGGCACTGTTATTTGGTGCTTTCTGGATGCTATTGTCTTAACCTATCCTCATCAATACATCAATCTTGTAAAATATAGGTGGCTTTTATTTCTTTATGATTCTGTATACTCTAATTGTTTTATAATGAATGTGTGTTGCTTTTACCTGTTAAAGGTGTGAACACTAAAAGAATATCATTAAATAGATGACATAAGGAAAAATGTGTTTGTTTTATCACAATAGAACTGCTACATCTACTTCCAATGATCTATAATCACTTTTTTCCCATCCCAATAAAAGCCACTGTTGGTAATATAAAAACCTTATTATCCTTTCACATGTTTATTCAGAGCTCCTACTACACTGTGTATTCTGTGTCTATGGTTTTTGTAGATCATAGACATGATCATTGTGGGCTCCTTGAGGACAGGAGCCAGGTCCAGGTAAATTTGTTTTCAATATACATTTTTTGAGCCTTAAGTGCTAGATAGAGAAGATACAGAGTTCAAAGTCAGTCACAGTCACTGGCCTTAGGGAAATCAAGTGTGAAGGCAGAGAAATGAGATCCCAACACAGTGTGGTACTTGCTGTGACATCTAGAAAGTTATAGTAGGAATATAGAGAAAGGCACCTAACACAGATAGGCTTCCCAGAAGAGGTGATAATCTTTACCATAACTAGTACCATACTAACACAATTACCATTATATCCAGGGTGGTGCCCCCACTGGCTCATGATAGCTGATTGTTAAATTTTCAGGAATTTGCAAAGTGGATGTTCAACTCAGCTATTAATCAAAATTAAATCAAACTGAGTTGCATTTAAATGAATTATTTCCGCCGGGCACGGTGGCTCATGCCTGTAATCCCAGCACTTCAGGAGGCTGAGGTGGGCGGATCACGAGGTCAGGAGATCAAGACCATCCTGGCTAACACGGTGAAACCCTGTCTCTACTAAAAAATTAGCCAGGCGTGGTGGCGAGTGCCTGTAGTCCCAGCTACTCGGGAGGCTGAGGCAGGAGAGTGGTGTGAACCCGGGAGGCGCAGCTTACAGTAAGCCAAGATCACGCCACTGCACTCCAGCCTGGGCGACAGACTCCATCTCAAAAATAAATAAATAGATAAATAATTTTAAAAATAAAACTAGCAAATACTTAAAACTCATCACTTCCTAATTATGTGTATTATTATCTATACTCCTGAGTTTATTTGTGTCTATCATATCCATACAAGGCAAACAGTATATAAGGATGTGCTACTTGCATATCTCTTCCTCTCTGTTCAGTGATGTCATGTTAGTGACTTGAAATTGGCCATGGTAGAACTATTTACAGAAATCGGTAAATGCTATCATGTTTAACTTTTTCCCAGAAAGTTGGTTGTTAAATATTTACTACTATACCATTGAATGTATCTATCTTATTTAGTATTTAATAAATTGTTTTGATGAGGAGAAAGAGAACCCTGGGTAAATTTGTGAATGAGTAAATTTGCATACTAATTTGCTTTCGGTACCTTTTACTTTCCTAATCAGCTTTTGCTTCCTTCTCCATTTCCGAGACACCCACTATGCTTATTATTTTTTCATTCTCTTCACTATCCTTAGGAAGAACATGGATATGCACAGGTCAATCTGCCCACTATCAAACACTGAGCACTTTCTCTAGCACATATTCCCAGCAGCAAAACCATGAACTAGTAAACACTGATGAACTGATGACTGCACTGATGTTCAATATTAATACTTTATAAAGAAAAGGTATAAAGTAGAACGTCTGCATCTAAAGATCGCAAATGGCTTTCTTACAATCTCATTTGATCTTCATGATAGCCTGTGAGGTAGCTACCATCCCTAAATTAGAAGAGCTTCCACTACAGTTATAGCTAAAGAAATGAGGTTTAGTAAGTGAAATACTAGTCCAAAATCCTGGAGCCGGTGACAGAACTACATCTCAGACACACATTTTCTGATTACTAGTCAAGTATTAGCTTCTACTACACTATGCTAGCCTTAAACCAAAGAGAGAAAGTTGTGGACTTGCAAACTTTAACCAGCCTGAGGTGGACTTTGGAGAAAAATACAGCCACCTTATTGAAAATGAGTCCATGCAGATGGATACTGTTCCATTAAAGTCCTTGTCAAAATGCTGTATTATTAAACTACTGTCTATATGTCTTTCTGGTGCATCAGATTCTGAGCCTCTGAAGGGCAAAGATCCAATATTATTCATTTTAGTGTCAGGAGGAACCCAGAACAGTGCTTGGTACATAAAAGATGAACCCAAACTGCTTATTAATTAATGGAGGAAAATAGCAGGTAACCACTACCGACAACAAATAACAAATAAAATAATAATAAATTGTGGCCTAATAGTCTGCTGCTCTAGAAATTCTATATGTAAAAGTAATTTCATTTGATAAATTTTCCTATTGATAAATCCAGACTGTAGATCATGGCTCTGTAAACTGACTTTTATGTTAATATTTATTTCAAGTTCTTTCTTCATTTTGCCTATTTCTGAGTGAATGAAGTTCACATGAATTTGATTGATGTTATGAAACAATGAATCATATAACTTCTGAGCCTGAGTCATCTTACCTATAAAATTATGATAAAAAATCTACCAGATATGCTGGCTACACAGATATATCCAATTTAGGAAAATTTCTCAAGCTGGACACTTATGTTTTGTGCAATTTCTTGTATGTTTTTGCTTTATGCTTCAATAAAGTTTTACTTTATCCTATAGTACTGTTACGGCTGAGGTGCGTATACATTTATATAAGTTACTGTTATGTAAAAATCCTATTACTGACTTATCGTATATATTTTGACAGGTATTAGGTAATTCCTATATTTAAAAAAAAAAAAAAAAAGAATGACAACTAAGCTAGAGAAACCTGACAAATTAGAATACTCTGGATTTCTGTTTTTTTCCGGTACTTTTATGAATGGCCACAAGAGGTCTCTAGGCTTTTAAGAATAACCAATCCCCTGCTATTTTTCTTTCTTGATAAGTTAGAAAATAGAAATGGTGATATTCTCCAGAGAATATATTTACCTAATTAAGCTAGTTCAATACCAAATTTTCCAAAATTAAAAAAGATCTGTTTTTGTTGTTGTTGTTGTTGTTTTTCTGAGACAGAGTCTTGCTCTGTCGCCCAGAGCTAGAGTGCAATGGCATGATCTTGGCTCACAGCAACCTCCGCCTCCTGGGTTCAAGCAATTCTCCTGCCTCAGCCTCCTGAGTAGCTGAGATTACAGGTGCGTCCCACTTGGTCCGGCTAATTTTTGTATTTTTAGTACAGACGGGGTTTACCATGTTGGCCAGGCTAGTCTCGAACTCCTGATCTCGTGATCCACCCGCCTCCGCCTCCCAAAGTGCTAGGATTACAGGCGTGAGCCACTATGCTCAGCCATTTAAAAAAGATCTTTTATACCTGCAGAAAAAAAATAGAATTGTCTCCACTTTCTCCTGACAGTAGCAATGTTAATACTATTAATAAACACCCAGAAACTACTTTGTCTGCTCAGCCTTGATGCATGCCAGTAATCTGATCCATGTGAATTACATAAGATTTTTAATTGGGATACACATAAGAATAAAGGGCAGGGGAGGGGGTGTTCACCCACATAGACACAGGCTTAAGAAAGCAAGCAAACTGCGTGTGGCCAAGCCATACTAGAACCACAGCACACTGTGGACAGGTGCTCAGTGATCAAGGTTCAGTGCCATGACAAAGGTATACTGTGTCAAAGGGGCTCTGTGATCAATATGCTGGGAACAATGCGTTGGGGACCAAGAAGCACTGTACCCCCCACAAAAAAAGGGGTGTCATTATTTTAAAAATTTTTTCTTGAGAATTTTTATTTTGAATGTGAACAATTCTTGTTAGCTGATATTCTCAAGTGTCCATAAAATTCTAAATATTATCTCATTAAATGAGATAAAAAGATGGTTCATCAAGTACATTGATTTGATAAAGAACTGTGATGGTTCTGGCTAGTTTACCAGAGTTCCAATCAACTTGACTCCTGTACTGTATTTGATTTATTGCAGTGTTTCAAAAAGTATGGGCCCCTGACAAGAAGTGCAAAATTACCTAACTTCTTAGAAATGCATATTCTACTCAATCAGAAACTCTGGGGGTGGAGTCTAGAAATCTGTTTTAACAAGCCCTCCAGGTTTTTCTCATGCAGGTAAAATTTACAAACTATCAATTTAGTGTATAATTGATGAACCGTCTCAATTCTCAATCCCTAGTTTTCCCTCATCTGTAAAATTTTCAGAGCAGAATAGTGAGAGTCTAAAAGAAAAGGATAAATAACTTGAAACAACCTCCACAAAACGATCTGGTAAAAACCTCATGGTGTCAAGCCACCAGTTAGAGGCCCCAGGTTCATGGTGCTAAGATTCCACCACCTTCCCCTCAAAAACCATAGATTACCCTCTGAGGGCTTCTAAGCAAAAGCCTCAACAACCTTAGAACAGCCCAGACTTGATTTTGAAACTCTAAAATGTTTTCTTTCAATGCATCCCAGAACAAATAATCATATTTAATAACAAGTGCAACTCATTAAGTCAGGACACCTTTGCTTTGAGGTTACTGTAGACTTATAATAGTTTAATATTCTAGTTTCCCAAAGAATGGCTAATAATGTTAATGATGCACTAAGTTCTTTTAATAGGAAATTCACTTTAAGTGAAAATTCACTTTTCTTGTGAAAAATATTTGACATATCTATCTATGCTCTTTCATCCATCTCTTCTGTGATGAACGGTGTACATATTCAGAATAAGTATATGAATATAGACCAATCAAAGATGCATTTGCACCACGTGGTTGCTAATATTTCTTAGAGTGTTTTCTGTGTGCCAGGAAATGTTTTAAGGGCTTTATATGTATATTGTACTTAACACTTGCAAAATCCCTTAAAGCAGGGAGAAATCCTCATCCCTGTTTTACTGATGAGGATACTGAGGAACAAAAATTTTCCCAAACTCACACTGTTCATGTCAAAATTGGGACTTAAACCCAACAGTCTGGTCCAGAGATTGTGTTCTTACCACTACACGATCTGGCCTTACTGTATGAGGCACAATCACAGTCATCAGTTTGATTTCACTAGTCCTACATATAAATATCACCTATTCCTTAAGTCACTAATTATTTTACCTTAGGAAATTTTTGCCCAAGATTGTTTTGAGTTCATAGAAAAAAACTGGGAGAAACAGAGTAGAGAGAATATCCTGCTAAAAGTAAACCAACACTTATTACAAATTTGTCCCAACATTGCTTTAATAATATCTAATTTCCTTCTAAAAGCTTACAAAGTGCCTTTGTAAACAGTACTCATTTGATTTTTCCAACAACCCTTCCAGTAGAAATAAGAAATTAGCACTGAGGTGTGAAGTTCACTACCTCACTAATAATCAGTAGAGCTGGAACTAAAACCCAGCGCTTCTAGCTGCAAACTCACTGTATGCTCTAATCATTTCCCACAGCCTCGGTGTGGCCTACCACTTGCCTCAGCTTGTATGCAGAACCAACTCTAGAGCCCTCTCTTTACCTATTGGCAACACAGCCTGACTTCAGTTCAGTTTCTTGGCTTTTGGACACATTGATTCGGTCATGGAATCTTCCCAGTGTATGAGGGCAATGGCTTCACCATGTAATTTCTCCACTGTAACATAGCATTACCCTTCACTCCAGAATATGGAGTTGTAGTTAAGAGCTCAAAATCTAAAGCCAGAACTGGATTCAAATCTGGCTTCACTGCTCACTAGCTATGTGATCATGGGCACGGCTTCCTCATCTATAATCCAGGTAAAGTAATTACACCACCTTTATTGGGATATTTTGAGGATTCATTGTGATTTTTAACATGTTAACTAACACAATTTTAGCACATGGCACATAAGAAGTATAATAGATAATAATGATAGAATGGTAAAAATAACTGACTTTTTGAATACTCTGGGTAAATGTCAGCTAATAATGTGTTCTCCAGTGTATCCTGCCAGATTGGCTGCACTCTGTAACTTCATTTTTGGCAATTCTCTCTAATGGTTTACAATGAATTTTAGGTATTTATACTTCAAAAATACATGTGAAATAATCACCACTAGCTGGAAATTACAGTTGATGAAAGAAATAACAAATAATAAAAATTCTTAAATACTACTCATATTTCCACAGATTCTTTTCTTGACTTCATGCTAAGCCTGTTGAAAATCATTAAAAGAACATCTCAATGGTTATATTAATATTCTGCAAAAATCACTTATAGTATGAAAGTAAGAAAAATCTAGGAGAAAAAAAGGAGGCACTTCCCACTGTCATCCAATATTTGAATAAAACTAATAGTATCACAAACATTTGTCTTATTAAGAATAATTAAGAGTTATATTTATAAATGCAACTATAAAAGCCTGTAGGATATTTTAGACACAATCTTAGAAACGCACACTGCACAGAGGATACTTAATGCTTAGGTTTGAAATTGCAGCTTTTAATTAGTTATATTTCCTAAAGTTAAGTGCTTTCTTACTAATTTAAAATGTGTTTCTGTACATTTTAACTATCCTCTCAGTGGAGAGTGCCTTTTTCTTGCTATTTCCCAGTAAATGATTCAAGTAGTCTTCCTGGACATCTTATTTTATCATTCTCTTTTCATATTTAAAGGAATCTTTCCAGAGACTTAAGATCATTTGGAATATAGCTTTGTCATTCAAATTAGAGTATTTAAGAATACACTGGAATTTATTTTTCAAACATCCTTGCTGTTGTGTTCTTTTCGTCACTAAATAATACACAGAAAAGTTAATTTATGTCTGCATTGTCTCTGGCTACGTGAGAAACACGGCATAAAAACTCAGAGACATAAGCTTTAAAGAAAGAAAATGCTAATGTTGCAAAGGTTTCTCTAAGTAAGATTTTGCTTTGTAACTGTATAAATAGGGCAAGTTAAAGTTCTGGGCAGCAGCAGACAATGAGCAGCAATAATCATTTATGTTTCTTTGGCACCAGCTTCAACACACTGGTATGATTTTTTTTTTCTTAACCACCCGTTACCAAGGACAGTGACAGCACAAATATGAGAATGATTACAGTACTATAAAAACATACTTCACTTACCTTGTTTGTCTTAATAAGATCCTAAAGAAGCATAAGATAACAGTGACAATAGAATATAGTGCTGAATTTTACAGAGACACCAAAGTGTAAAACAACATTGGCTTTCACTTAAGTACTATATTTTTCAAATAAAAGTAATATTGCAATCCATAAAGAAAAGATCAATTTAAATCCTCAGTATGTAATTGAAACAAATGAAAGCACGGAGTTGAGTCTGTGGTTACTAAAGTTCCATGAGAGAAAGGGGTGATGTGGCCAAAGTGAACCTGCTTCCAGGGATTCCCTGCGGGGACAGGTTGGAAAAGTCGGTGAACCACAAAGATGGCAGAGCGGAAAAGCTTCACTTTATGAAACTGCATCATTTTGGAGCAGGGAAGTTTAACAGAAAAAAGGGAAACTGGTCAAATTCAGGTGATGCCTTGGTTTCCAAAGCACATATGAAGAATCAGCTACATATGTTAGCTTGAAAACTATTCAGCCTAAGAGACTCCTGCTGTATGCAAGTTATGAAAATGCATAAGCCCCATCCTACCAGTTTCAAGTGGCAAAAGAAGATGGTAAAAACACAACTCCCCAGAGATATGGACATTTAGTATATGAAATTGGAATATATATGAAAATAGAGAGATGAAGTTGAGGCATCTAGAGCCTTAATGGCTAAAATCCAGTGGCTTGGTCTGGAAGGGAAGCCTTGATGAGTTTTGAAGGGAGATATTCCTTCCTGTTAGACTTCCCAGAGCAAAGGTGCTGATTCTGTGCAAAGAAGTCACTGAAATCTGATGGGCCCTCTTTAAATAACTGATGATCAATGAGAGCCCTCTTTTTTACCTTCCTGATTACATCTGGGCCTTCACGGCTGTGGCAGCTGCAGACAACAGCAAGTTCTCAGGCAGACATGCAGGGAAGTTCTCAGCTCCGCTCTCAAGAGCCCTGAGCCAGTTGTCCTGAAAGCTGATTTAGAATGTCCTCCCCTGTGGCCAAGAGGGTGCCAAGCCCCTTCTAGCTCTGAGTTGGGGTCTAGACCCTATGCCCTGTTTCTTTCTGTGCTAAGTCACAGCTCTGAAATCAGCACCAACTTTTGTACACGTTGCTTCCAAAGCCCTGAGCCACCCCTCATAGCAGTGGGCCTGCTGGGTGCCGTAAATGTGATCCTGTCTGTCGTTTTAGCCTCAGCAGAAGAGCGACATGACCATATTTATTGCTGTTGCTATTCTGGGGGGTGGATGACGTTTTTCTCCCCTTGTGGCTGAGCCCTGCCTGTTCATCTTTCACCACTCCCTCCAAGTCTACAAGACTAAAACCAGTGATACAAATAGATTCTATCAGGAGGAAAGTTAAAATGAGAAGTTCTTAGGCATTTCCAAATCTATCTGCTGTATGTCATCAAAAGCTTCAAAATCTGTTGGCCTACATTTTAAACGTGTACTGTTAGCATCCCACTAGTACCATAAACAGCTATTGGTGGTAACCTTGTTAAGGAAAGAAAAGATGGATAAAGGGTGGGGGCGGGGGGAGCGGGGGGTGAAAAAAACAGTTTGACTGATAAGCACAGCTTAGAAATTTGGCAAATATTGGCTTTTTCACTGCGGAGTGTTGGGAGTGTCCAAGTGTTGCCAGAACACTTGAAGATTTTCTACTTGCCTGTGTGTGAGCTCAGTCTCTCCACTCTTCCTAAGACACTCCTCTTTTGTGACGTGAAAGAAACTAAATGACAAGCCACCGAAACTCCAATTAAGGATAAAATGATACAAGGCACAGGTGACGGCTCCTGGGACGTAAGTATACACAGGTTTTCTAAATGAAGGACTTAGATACATAAATAACTAATTACAACATGCATTACATGATGCACCAAAAGAGAAGGACTCTTCCTGCTTTTTGGGGTTGTAAAAAGGAAAGAAAGAAAGAAAGAAAGAAAAACAACAAATGAGACTGATTTTGGCTCCCTCCATGTCTGTATGCACCTAGTTCATCATATGCATGTGACATTTTAGCTTTGCTAAAATGACTGTTCAGATTCTTTGTGCTCTTCTGCAAATTTGATTTGAAATGTACACAGAAGCAGAACAGTATAGCGGAGGCTGCAGGTTGCAGAGGTGATGAGCATGGGCTGTGGGTGTAGAGCCCCGCTTGGCCACAGCCCAGGTGTGGAAGTGCTTGAAGATGCCATTTCCTCTGTAAAATTAAGGTCATAACAGTAGCCACCTTCTAGGCTTGTTGTGAGAATTAAATGAGAGAAATCTCTGAAAAAGCAGTTAGAAAAATCAAAAGGCTGAGAACAAGAGCCTTGTTTGCATTTTAGTGCAGGGACATTTAACCTCACTCTAGCAAGTTTCCTTTGGATCCATTGTAGTTCATGCTCAACCTGTCCGTTCAGTCTTAAAATGACAATACACAGGAGTTGTGCTCCACATTCCAATGTTTCTGGCTGTCTGCCGGGGAAATACCTTTTCAACATTCAGGTTGAAAAGTGCACTATCAGCTGAAGGCTCGGCTAATTTTCTGAGACTGAGAAGTCCATAAACTATAGAATTATTTAAATAATAGCCTTAGAACAAGACCTGGTTCTTAGTGCCAAGAAAGTGATATATATATGTAAATATATATATAATCTTACAATAAATGAATATATATATCACATATATGGCTTTTCTGCACTGACGTGTTTTTTTCTTCCCTCTTTTCAGTTGCATATTTCTGCACAATTACATCACAGATGTGTACAAATGAAGCTATCTTATTTCTCTAGGACCAAAATTAGTAATTCTAAAGACCCATTTCTACTGATGGTGGAAAAACTCTTCATTTTGTCCCTTTCAGGGAAACTTGGCTACCTCTAGTATAATATAATCCTTTTTCAGGTAAATATTCAGTCACCTTTCTCTGTCCCTCTGGTGGTGGGAGGAAGGGTGGAGAACGGATCTAGTTTTCGGGTGGCTTGGTATCCTCTTGCCTCAGGGGAGGGGCATCTGGTTTAAGAAACATCCTCTTGTCCTCACTGGCCTCCCTTTAAGTGCCTTTTCCACCATCTTTGGCACTTGACCTCTGGCCTTGCTGCATCTGCTGAAAGCTTCATATCTGAGGTCACTCTTGGTCAAGCCTCCCAGCACAGTCAGCGTGTGGGTGGCCACTCCTCCTCCCTAAGGCTGACTCAATCTTGGCTCTAACTGATCCTGTGAAATACAGCCATGTCTTCCATCCAGCCTGTCCCTTTGTGATGCACACCCAAAGCCTCACCTCTCACTGCACCACAGCAACCCACCGGCAGCCCACCAGCTTGCAACTCTTACCTAGGTTAGGCCAGGAGAACTCATCTCCAGTTTCTTCCAAACTTCAATTCATGACCCAGAGGACCTACAGAGGCTTGTTGTAGCTACAGCTTCACAGGAAACAGACTTTGAGATTTGCTTACAGAAGGTTTATTCGCAAGAGTTCTCCATACAACATCCATAGAAGTGAGGGGAGCCAGGTTGAGCAGAGAGAAGTTAGAGCTGCCACACAGTTGCAAAGAAGCTGAGTGTACAGGGAACTGGAGCTGGGACAGCTTTTGTGAGCTGCTCCAATTGAGGCAAGGGAGCCAGACCTTTATCTCCCCGACAGTCTATCAGTTATTCGATGTGGGCTGCCCCCAGCGAGTTCGCATGGCCTCTCACTAGGAGGCCCTCTTTGGCTAAGAGCAATTCTGGGAGAAGGACTCAGTCACAGGCATCAGCTGCCAACACTCACATCAACTGAGCAACTGAATGCTGGATCCCAGAAGTGTGTCTGTGCAGCACTAGAGGGTCCGCTACAGGGCTATCTCAGGCTCTGCCTAAATACCCAAAACCAACCCCTCTATCCTACAGTGGCTGTCCTGAGTTGGTTCTGAATATTTGATGAGGCTGCTAACACAACTTCTCCTAAGACATAGAGAGGAAGTCTCATTTGAGACACTTGTGCCCTCAGATACTCAAATCTGGAAACTTCTATCCCCACTCCCTCTTGCAGACCTCTCCAAAATGCTCTGATATCATGTCCTACATCCTCCCTCATCTATGTTTCACAGTCAAACTCCTGTATTCAATTCTCCAATTGATAATTTCGGGGAACCCCATAAATCGTTTTTTCCTCCTTTCAACAAAACCTGAACCTTACAAATATTAGCCTTGATCTCTTGCATATCATTTCTTCTAAAGTTAAAATCCGTTTTCAAGTTGGAAGTTTCAAGTTTACACCCTTTGTAATTTGACCTCCTCTGCTCCTGAAGTAATGAACATTGTTGAATGATGAGAAGACTTGTGAAAACAGTGAAACTAGCTTAAGCTGATATTTCATATATATTAACCTAATCCGCTTACAAATGGAGACTACACCACTTTCTGCCATGTCATGAAATGTACATTTCTTTTATTGGCTGCTCTTTGCATTTGGCAAGTTATACAAAGTGTTTGGAGCTCTCAGTTTTACAGGGCCTCTACTCAAACTTCCTTGCGAACTGTTCTTTATGTGCCTGAGAACAGGGCTCAGGTTTTCCAGGGCTCTTATATTTTCTTCCCACAACCAATGGATCAGTTTGTGGACTTGACTTTGGAGCCTAGTTCTCTAAGCCTTTTTCAGCCACATGGCCAAGGAGGCAAAGACCTCTCAGTCGCCTTTTTCTAATTCTGCTTGTCCTGGATACCATAAGCAGGAATCACAGAGATGTGTGATCTCGCTCAAGTTGGTCTCTCCTTAGTCTCAGATCTTAATGATCACTTGATCTTGACCATACCAAACCTTGGGGTCTAATGATCCCTTTTTAGGATGTTAAAAGGTATAATTTATCCTGTCCCTATGGATCTATGTGAGAAGAAATCATTACCTTTATTTTTTTTCCTCTAGGAATAATCCACTCAGGATTCCAAACAGAAGTCCACGTACCCATGGGAGTTCACCCATGTATCCTAAGGGGTCTGCTGATTCTTTCCAGATTTTTCATCTCCATGGGCTGTTACTTGATTTCAGAGGCTGATTTTATGTTTATGTTTAGGCTGACTTTGGCACTAAGTCCTTCTACTTTAATTGTTTCTGACTAATGAGAAGAAAAGCAGACCTAATACATAATTGATGCATCTCCACCGAGCAATAGCCAAATGGTATGCCAGCACACTGTACAAAGAAAGACTTCCTACTAGATCACAAAGCAGAGTCCTGAACAGCATCTAGCAGGACGCATGGGCTGAAATTAGGAGTGTGGCTCCATGGGTAGTACCGTAACATTTTAAAATGAAAAACATCATCTGTCACACTAAATTCAGGTTGTTAACTTGAATATTATTTGTTTTCAATTATGTTAGCTTTATGTTGTAAATAAACTATAAGCATACGGAGGTGTATCTTATATTTTATGTATCAAAGTACACATATACAATGATTGTAAATTTAAATAAAAATAATAAAATTTAATCCACCATGGGAGAAAGGTCTGAACACATTTTTGTTTTCTTTCAAAAGTTATTCCTGGATTTCTCAAGTTTAAAAATAAACACTGTTCTATAGTAGAGGGGTCACATCTTGCTTCAGGATACGTATCAGAACCAATAGGGAGGGCTAGAATTTAACAACCTTTTTGTATTTTCTAATACTACACTTCTGCCTATTTTGCTTTCTCTGCCCAACCTCAGCTATGGGAGGAGTGACTAAACAGTCATTGCTTCTTACTGAACTCTTAGAGTAAGATCACAAACAGGCCCTGGTCCCTGCCTTCCTCCCCACCATCATCTCTCACCAAGATCCTCTCCTTTGCTCAATGAGCCTTCTCAGTCCCTTCAATGTGCCACACTCATTGTGCCACACTCTTTTCATAATTATTTCCTCTTCTCCAGTTGAACTACTTACTTTTCTGGCTGTCTCCTACTCATCCTCCAGAGCTCGGCTTAAATGTCACTTTCTTAGAGAAGCATCTGAGCAATATCTATTGGAAGAATGGATGGGTGGATGGGTGGATGGATGGATGGATGGGTGGATGGGCGGAAGGCGACCACATAGAGGGATGGGTGTGTAGATGGGTGGATAGTGGATGGATAGATGATGGGTGGATGATGGATGAAGGATGAAAAGGTGGGTAGATAAATGGGTGAATGAATAGATGGTAGATGCATGGATGGATGGATGAATGAGTGGATAGATGGTGGGTGGATGAATGGGTGAGTGGGTGGGTGGATGATGGATGGATGAATGGGTGGGTGGATGGATGGATGAGTGATGGATGGATGGGTGAGTGGGTAGGTGGATGGATGGATGGATGGATGATGTATGGATGAACGGGTGGGTGGATAGTGGATAAATGGATAGACAGACGGATGGGTGGGTGAATGGACAAATAGACTGTAGATGGATGGTTGGATGGATGGATGCATGGGCAGGCAGGCAGATAGATGAATAAATGGTGGATGAATGGACAAATGAATGGATGGATGGGTAGGTGGGTGCAGGGATGGATGGGGAGGCCTTCCCTGATCTTGCAATCTAACTCAAAGTATCCCTTGCTATTCTTTTTTATAGCACTACTGTTTCTTCTGTAGCACAACAATTGGCAATGATATATTGATTTAATATCTATCCTTTCAGTGGACTGTAAATTCCCTGAGGGCAGGGAGTTAACGACCTTATACCCATTACAAAGCACTCTATTTAGAAGGTACTTGCTACATATATATTCAGTAAATGAAAAAAGGAAATCTTGAAGATGATATTCACATCACTGAAATAGCTGTAAGGAGTGGAAAAGACCTTTTCTAACATTTTTAAATATTTTAATTAATGAATTATGTTAACATGGAACAATCTAAAAGAACAATACATTTTGAGAATAAGTAACCTGTGGCCTTTGACAGGAAGAATCATAAACTGAAACAGCATTTGAAGATGATCCTCCTCAGACATTAATCAGAGACAAAATATACACCATAGTCAGTATGAAAATGACCTCAGAAGCTGTATTTTGTAGGCAAAATTCCACTACTGCTTGGACAGAGTAGTTCTTGGGATATATATGATTCAGCAGTCACCACACGCTTATAGTAGTAGAAAAGAAAAATTTGGTTTTTTTCATCCAACAATAAAGAGCATCTTGAAAAAAAATCTGAAGTAGGTGGTCCCAGGATCACTTGAACATACTCTCTTCCTGTGTGTTCAACCCTATACCCCTCCTGTCTCAACATTGCTCTTAACCCCCAGGAGTGGTAGACAGGAAATCCAGCTAATCCAGATGCTGATACTCACAAACAGGGACAGGCCAATGTGCCCAGTTGCCACAATGTCCAGCTAGTCCAGGGCCATATGAAACTCGTCAGCTCAATCAAGGGTTCCAGCCATTCTAAAGTGGCTGGAAACCACAAAGGGCTAGGGCAGGGAGTACTTTACTGTGTCATCACCTAAAAGCAGAGCTCTTTGGGGCTTACTTATCCCAGATACTGAGCCCCACTACTTCTCCTAGGTGGATGAAAGAGACAGACTTCCCAAGACCAGTGGTCCCTAGACAGCACCTCCTGAGTTCAGTCTCCAGATGTTGGGCAAGAGAAGACAACTTACAAGTCCACCCACTGGTTTGGCCTAGTTATCAGGGTTTTGTTAAGGTCTTGGTTTCAAGGCCACCTCATAATGGCTGGTTTTGTTTTGTAAATGTCAACTATCCATTGTACACTTATCCTTAGAAGACATGCTATTATATAGTACCTTTGAATTTTGGTTTTAAATTGACAAGGAGAAGGATATTCTTTATAACTATGAAAGCACTTTGAGAGCTAATTCATGTGAAAAAAAATAAAGTCATGTTGGGATCACTAGTGTTAGACAACTTTGAACTTATTTGACTAGCTTAAAGAATCTAAGGTAGTCCACAGGAGAGGATTACCCTATAACAATGTTTCCCTGAAGAGCACTCAGTGTATTTCCTGAAAACACAGATTCCTGAACCTCAATGCCAAGCCCACGGAATCAGAATTCATCTGATTCCGTGGGCTTGGCATTGGTGACCTGGGCATGTGTATACAGACAGTCCCCTACTCAGGATTTTTTTGACTTTATGATGGTGTGAAAGCAATATGCATTCAATAGAAACCATACTTCAAGTACCAACACAGTCATTCTGGTTTTCACTTTCAATACAGTATTCAATAAATTACATGAGATATTCAATACTTTATTATAAAATAGGCTTTGTGTTAGATGATTTTGTCCAACTGTAAGCTAATGTAAGTGTTCTGAGACCTTTTAAGCAGGCAAGGCTCAGTTATGATATTCAGTAGGTTAGGTGTATTAAGTACACTTTTGCCTTACAATATTTTCAATTTATGATGGGTTTATCAGGACACAATCCCATAGTATGTCAAAGAGCATCTGTATTTAATAAGTTCCCCTCGGTGACTGTCAGCAGGGGAGTTTTGGAAATCGCCCTATGATAATGATTCTCCATCAGATAAGTACATTAGGATTGTTAGGAAAGCTCTCAGAATATATAAGATGGGGCCACTCTGTCATTTTGCTAGAGGAGAGCAGAACCTACACAAGCATCTTTTGAAAATGCTCACCAAAGGATTCTCACCTTTGCTTTGATGAAGTTATCAGTCCTAAAGGAACATTTAGTATGGATCTGAGGTGTGGAAACAAGGCATGATTTAGCATAGGCTGTTACATCGAAGGAAATGATGGTGCATACTTCTTTCTAGAAATAGCAAAACTTTCAGAACAACCAATATGGCAGGGCTGACACAGCTGGAGGTTTCTAAATGTCCACTTCTGTCACAGACAGGGAGACAGTCTATGAATTATTCAATCAGTTGGTGAGTCGGAAATCACTCATACCATCTGTATTACCCAGGCAGTCTTTTCCCATTTCAGATGGTAAGTTTTGGAGGGTCCTAAAATTTATCAAGTCCATTTATTGCTTTACACAGGCTATTGCATCATCTGCCTAACGGCGGTTCTATTCAGTTACATATACAGAATGGAATTTTCAAATAACTAAAATAATAAAATGCTAAGATGCTGAAGACTGACATTTCAATTTAATTATTAATAAGTACTATAATTTCAAGTTTCAAATTGCTCTTCAGCAAAGCTTTCCTACTCTCACCCCCTTGATTTTTATTTGTATCTTTACAGGTTTTTACATATGTACAAATACAGCAAACTATAGCATACTACATACATTGTTCAATATCTTGCTTTCTTTTCTATCTAATAGATCTTGGGGATTTTCCATATCAGTACATAGAAAGCTTCCCCATTCTTTTTTAAGAACCAGGAAATCTGATTTTAAACTCAGTTTAGTAAGTTGTGATTTAGACTTTCCATCTCTCTCTGACCAAGAACCACCTGTAAATGTAAGTGTGTATGTGTGCATGTGTGTGTTAGCTGTGTGTTCTTTAAAGACCACCGTGTGTAACAGTTCAAGGTCTCCAAGAAGCAGATTCCAGGATAGAATCAGACACACATGCAGGATAAAGACCACAGGAAGCAGGAGTAGGCGGGAAACCCATGAAAGGAAAGCAGGGAAGGAAGAATTGTGTAGAAAAGGCTCAGACTGCAGTGTAGCCCTTAAAAGGTTTTAGCCAGGTCAGTGGGGAGCACAGGAAATCTCACCCATCAGAGGAGGTCTGTGTTGAGAAGGAATGACCCAGTTCCTGGAATCCCACTGTGCTTGGTTATTGGCTAGAAACAGCTTAGACAGTGTGGCCTCAGCATGAATGCTATTGGAATTCAAAGGTGCAGCAGCTACAGGATGTTCACCAACCTCTTCTCTCACAGCAAGTTCTCCTGAAGGAAGATCTGAGTGGTGCACATCTATGACCACCACAATCTCCCCTTGCACTGCAGAGATTGTCTTCACATGTATCTGGGGGCAGTTCCTGGGGGCCTTTCTTCCTGAAGGGAAGCTCTGATAAGGGAAGTTAATGGGACAAATAGCAGTCCCTGTTTCTGAAGTTAGCCTTGTGGCTAAAAATGGTTCTCATCTTCTCCCTTTTCTTTACTTCATTCTCCTCACCATCAGCTATCACATAAGTAGGTTCTAGTGGCTTACCTAGTGGTATAACCTAATCCTTCATTTCTGGAAGGTCTGAACCCCTTGTAAGTCATACCTTTCTCAGACCAGGGTTGCCACATGACTGCATCCATGGATACAAGGGATCCATAGAGTCCCAGGAAGCACCTAAGTGGATCACCTGGGTCTGCACATATTCTTTTCTGTCCCCGTTATATAAAAGCCTCCTTCTGCTCATCAAAGTCAATCATTCCTGCCAATATGGTGATTCCTCTTCTTACCTGCTGATCCCTGGGCACAATCCCTGGATCTGCCAGGCAGGAGCCATAGTTTGCAGCTCTGCTTTGTCCCCTGGCAAGAGTGCTTCCCCTCTGGGAACCCTGCAAAGTCCAGAGATGCACCGATAGGAAAGACACTGGATGTGATAATAAGTGAGGTACTATTGCTTCTACCTCTTAGTTCCTAGGCTTCTATGTCCTCCCTATTAGAGATAGTGTCATAGAGAAATCCGATTCTGTGCATATATCACACCCCAAAAAATGCCACTCCATCTTTGCAGATTATTACCAGCAAACTAGAATTATAGCTGTACCTTTAGGAGACCATTCCATTATTCTATGAGGTTAGCCCCTGAAATATTACAGAGGTAAGCAGTAATACAGTGTCTAAGACGAAGCGGACCCCACAATCAGGGCTCGTTCTGGCACCTCCTTCACGGTGAAGTGGGTCCCCTGGTTGGAGTTTATGTGTGAAATCCCACGCTTGTGAATCAGGTATTCTATAAGCCACTGGACAGTGCTGGTACAGGCTGAGGCTCTGTGGGGAGGAAAGGTAAATCCATACCCAGAACGTCTATCCTTAGTAAGGATGAACCACTGGCTCTTCTAGGCTGAAATGAGTCTAATATACTCAACTTACCACCAAGTAGGTGATTGATATTTGCAAGGAATACTCTCTGTTACTAACAGATCTGACTTACAAAGTTAGGAGTAGTTAAACCAACCTCAATAAGCAGCAGTCCCTGCTCTTGGGCCCAGGTACAACCTCCATCTCTGCCACTGAGGCAACTAAGCTCATGTGCCCCTTGCTCCAGATCTGGGATGTCTGTTGAGGAAGGCTGACATTAACTGGCTGAGTCCTGTCATCTACTTGGGTTTTCAGTGCCTCTTCCACTTTGTGTCCATTCCCATATGTTCATCCACATGTCTCTAGCCTAGACCTCCATGTTTTCAGTCTTCCAATCCTTCTCTGTCCAGCCTCTGACCAGGCAACGCTGTTAGCCACTGCTCAGAAATCTATATAAATATTCCCACCTGGGGCCACTTTCCCTTCCACACAAAATACATGACTGGTTCAACATTCACAGTTCTGCCCACTGGAAAGATTTTCCCGGTCTACAGATGTTCAAGACCACTCCTGAGTGTAGATGTAATGCAGCCTCCATTCATTTTCAGCTACATCCACATACTGAGCTCATCCAACCGTAAACCAGATAAAGGTTTTTCCTCCCCCTTCAGCTAGTTATCTGAAACCCCAATCTGCTCAGAGAAGTGAACCAGTGGAACCCAGGTGGGGGACATGAGGGTCTGTCCCACACAGCCCTCAAGAAAAGGCAACCTGTTCTTGCAGCTTTTCATGCCCTCTGGTCCCCCTCAGCTTGCTCCTGGGGATCCCAGTCCCAACTCACAATAGATTGCTTCTGGGTCTGTCAAGACTTGAGTCAAGAGGACTCAAGCTCATAATGGGAAATTCTGAATGAACAGGCACTTTTTCCCATGGTCAAGCACTCCTTTACTACCAAGGCCAAGTAACTTTCAAGTAAACTGTTTCTCAAAAGATGTAAGATTGCCTGTTGCAGATGATATAGATCCTTGCTTTAGATCCCCATAGACTTGCAACTGTGATTCTTCCACAGGGGCTTGCCATAATCTTCATATATCTTTTCTCACCACTGATACCTCCAACACCATAGGATCTGCCTGATCATATGGCCCAAGAGGCAGGGCTGCTTGCATCACAACCTGAGCCTCTAGAAAAACCCCTTCCTGGTCTGAGCCCTCTCAAAGCTGGTGGCCTCCCTTCTGTGTCACCTAGCACATAAGCTGAAGTAGTGTCTAAGTGTGTATGTGTTGCTTCCAGAACCAAAGAGTAGGCCTACCAGGTGTTCTGCTTCCTTTTTGTAGCAGAGGATGCAAGATGCATCAATTTACCCTTAACTTGGAGGGGTTGTCAGGGGCAGTGGCCTTGATGCAAAACCCACAGGAGATGTGAAGTTGTGGCAGCTGGAGTCTCTTTGCCAAGTACCCTCCAAACTGTAGGTTCTCTTGAAGGCAGATCTGAGCAGTGAGCCTCCACAGCCACTCTTTGGGTGTTCTGATGTCTCTGTAAGCTTTAAAAAGTGCTTGCCACATGAAAATGATGTAAAATGCAAGAGATGACAAAAATGCTAGAGTGGGATGAAGGAAAGGAAGAGGAATTTAAGCTTTATTTGGAATGCAATCAGTATCTGAAGAATGGCCTACAAGGGCTTTGAGGTGTGCATGCTGAGCTGATATGCAGATTGGTACTGCAACTCTTGGCAAAGATACCACATCCCCCCTTGTCATTCAGTTAGAGGAAAGCCTCTTCTATTATTGGCTATTGTTTCAAATCCCATTCCTGAGCTCTTGGAACCATTCACTCCTCAATTATAATTTACATTTCTTTTACTGTCTAATAATTGATTGCGTTTTTCTTTCCTTCAGCTATGAGTCATTTAGTAGCTACTTACTCCTTTGCTTTCAACAATATTGTGTACCTCCCTTCTTTATGCAACTGCTTTATGAAAAGGTTATCTCATCAATTTTTACAACTTTTAACAACATCTCAATACTGACACTCTTCAAAATGCTTTTAGATTCCCTTGCTATCTCCAAGTCGTGCAATTTCAAATACTGAGTTGCCTTTCAGTCATAGTTTCAGAACAAAGCGTTGTGATTTTAAATGTAGGATGAGAGATGAACTCATCGCCATGTCTCCTCGGATGCCTGGGATTTCTTTTTCAGGAAGTCTCTTCTGTTCTTACAATCACAGATTGAAAGAGAGACTTGAAAGAGTGGTAAACCTTCATTCCCTTCATTCCTTCCCTTGGTAGGGTGCCTCTTAATTCAAGAAGATCATTGCATTATAAATATCTAGAAGGGTATGCCTTTACTATATCCATAAAGTTAAACAACATGCCAATGATTACTGAAAATTGTTTCAACCATAGCAATCCATTAAATCACTCTGTCCTCTGAACTCTTACGATACTTGGCACTTATTGGCTACTTGTAGTTATCTCCCTTGTATTTTTATTATTTTTCTTTTTCATCTCCTGTCTCTTTAGAGATATTTTATATCCTTAAGTGCAAAGGCTGAGCCTTACTTCTCTATGTCTCCATACCTAAGACAGTAACCATGTACACATATATAAGATGAATAAACATATGCACACATATACATACATATACGTACACATTTTGTGGTTTGGTTCAGGCACTACACCTCTAATACAGACCTGCAATCCACTCTGTCTTCAAGTTACCACTCTTTCAAGTCTCCCTTTCATCTGAGGTTACCTTTTTTATTGTTAGAACTTTCCTGAAACCCTCTGTGAGCCTCATCATTAGACATGGATGGTGTCCAGGTCTATGTGGAGCTTTCCCCATTAGGAAGAGGAGGCAGAGGGCCACAAGGGACGCATCATGAGAAGAAACCAAAGCATTGCCCTTGAAAGTTAAATAGGCTCAGCTGGTGTTTTTAGATCAGAATTAGACTATTTCTAAATCAGACTCTTGGCTTCTAGGGCAGGATTGCCTAGTTATACAAGATAAGCCAACAAATATCCAGCAATTATACAAAATTCTGGTACCATAAGGCTAATAGTTGGAAAACAACAGATAGCATAAAGTTAAGGAGACTAGAAAGGGATAAGAAGATGAAAAATACACAGAGAATGACACAGCTGAAGTGGTGGGAGATGAAGAGGGAGAAGAGAAGCACAAATATGGGCATCATAGAAGCCAAGGAGATGAGTGTCCCCAAGTATAAAATTCACTGCTGCCACTAGCAGGATAGGAACTGAAGATATGCCATCATATCTGTCAAACAGAAGGTCCCTAATGGCTAGAAAAGCTTCACTAGACCGGTGAGAACAGAATCCAAATCAAGTAGTACGTAAATTGGAGGCAGGGACATAAAGACCAGAATACACTCTTTCAAGATCTGCAGTTTCAAGAAAAGACATAGAGGACTTAAGGAGATGGTAGACCAGCAAATTAGGACTGTTTTAATATGGAAAACACAAGAGCTTGTTTGTTGGCTGAAAGAGAAGAAATTAAAACATATTTAAAAGAGAGAAGGTTTGGAGGCCAAGACGCGTGGATTGCTTGAGGTCAGGAGTTCGAGACCAGCCTGGCCAACATGGTGAAACCCCGTCTCTACTAAAAATACAAAAATTAGCCAGTTGTGGTGGCACACACCTATCATTCCAGCTACTCAGGAGACTGAGGCAGGAGAATTGCTTGATCCCATGAGGCAGAGGTTGCGGTGAGCCAAGACTGCACCACTCCACTCCAGCCTGGGCAACAGAGCGAGACTCCATCTCAAAAAAGAGAGAAAGAGAAAGACAGAGAGAGAGAGAAGGAACTGACCCAGAACTTGGGGAGGAAAAAGGCTATCTTTTCCTCTTGGAGGCAGGTGAATGGGAAGAGGAAGAAAATGGGAACCTGTGTAAAGTTTTTGAAGAGAGGAAAGGTGCAAGTGTTCCTAGCTCCTTCTTCCTCTGTGAGACAGAAGACAGTGTCCTCTGCTCAGCAGGAGAAAGCTGCAGTGGAGATGGGCTCCAGGATGGTGATAAATATCAGGAATCTGCCTGGGAAAAGTTGTGCTATGTAGCATGGAGGACTTTGAGGAGAACCAACGGAGTGTTCAGTGAGAGTGGCAATGAGGGAACGCCGTCAGAGTGGAATTGTAAAATCCCAGTTTGCAATTTTCAGCTGGACCTATACTCTCAAATTCCAGAGAGTTGGCCTTACTGGACCTTACTTGCTGGATCAAAGTCAAGTCCAGGCTATGTCCGAGGCCCGAGTGAATAGTGGAAGTCTCAGAAGGGGATGTTACTGAACAACGGCTGTCAGAGGAAGAAGAAAAATGGGCATTATTTACTTATCAACCTACTTATTTTTAATTTTTGACCTCTCCTACTGAATTGCCTACTGATCATCTCTGGGGTATACTTCTGGATCATTGTCTCCTAAATAAATATATCTTCTGCAGCCCCCATAATTTACTCTCCTTCCTCCTTTAAAAAAAAAAAAATCTAGACAGCAACATTATCATTCACCCAGGCAGCTAATCTAAAAAAATAAGAAATAAAAGTCATCTTTACTGCACCTTGTTGTTCTCCGCCGAGCATTTGAAAGCTCTCAATGTGTTCTCATCCTCTCTCCAATCAAGGACAGGAATAAAGAACCTCCTCTAAAGTCACACAGACCTGGGTTTGAATCCCACCTCAACCATTTCTACCTTGAATAATTCTGTACCTATGAATGTGCTAAACCTTATTTTCTCCTTCTGTGAAATGGTTGTACGACTAGTACAAATCATCTACAACTATGAGATTTAAATGAATTCATACCTGTAAAAAAAGCTTAGTATGGTATCTGTCATACAGTAGTTGCCATAAAAGACTTGAAGACCATTAATTTTGGAATTCTCTTCCTCTTCTGATTTCACACTGCCTGCAAAGTTTCTGACCATATTTCTTAATTTTTATATTTATCACGGACAAATTTCTTGAGTTTGTAAATTCTTTATTGCAAATATTCAAATTTTGATTATTTGATTGTATAAATCAAGATGGTAACACTTTTTGACTTATATATCAAGTGATTTTAATTGTATGTGTTTTTCTACACACTTTGAATCATGGTTTTTAGACAATAAACACCTACAGATTAGCTTTTTGTCATTTGTAAATTTTTTATTAAAAACTCTCAATAATCAGTCGGGGTTTTTTTGTTTTTTTGTTTTTTCTTTTAGAGATGGGGTCTTCCTATTTTGCCCAGGCTAGTCTCAAACTCTTGGGCTTAAATGATCCTCCCGCCTCAGCCTCCCAAAGTGCTGGGATTACAGGCATGAGCCACCTTGTCCAGCCAATAATTAATCTACTATGTAAATAAAATGAAGTCACCAATAAATTTTTAAATACACCTTCATTTTTTGAAAGACATCATTAAATTCCAGCAAAACATCCTTACTAATATGTTGTTAACTGGTCATAGTCACACTCAAAATAGCTTACAATATGTTATAAAATTTTTTAGAATGGAAATATATAATAACTAGGTTTTTAACATGGAGGAAAACAAACTATAGGGTAGTTGCTGGCCCCTGGATTTTCATGGCCTCCCCCGTTCCACCTGTCAAACCAACATTCACATTCTCTTCTTACTAATCCCTTCTTAAAGCTAAATTCAACTCCCCCTTATCCAGGGCAAAGGTTCAGAGGGAGAGGGAAAATAAGGACATTACTAACCCTGACTATTAAACTGCAACATTATTCCACTGTCTACTATCTGCTATGCCATCACTCTCAGCATCTCTTCCTCTTCCTAGTATTCTCTCCCCGTCTTCTCCAACCGTTACCATTGACCCTGAACACTTACACTAACACATATGTCTTCGTGACTGGGTAAACATTCCATTGTGATGGCAGCTGGTAAATGGAAGCATGGTTTATATGGTTATTTGCCAAAAATTGTTTAGTAATTTACCAAAAATACCAACTTTCTTTCATAAAGAAAGTCAACATCAGAGCTAGGCTAGGATTAAGATTAGTTAAAATTTAATCATACATACCTAGTGGTAAAGTCTCACTTTTAATTAAGGTTCTTTGCAAGGCATCTATTAGGGATAGCCACAGGAAAAGAGTAAGCAATAAATGGCCATGTCTTTTTTCCTCCCCAAATCTTCATATTCAATCCAGATGTGTGTGCACCTCCCACCACAAATAGACTAGATATCCATTACAGAAGCCAGAAACTTGGTTTGTGCTCTGTGTTCCAGAAAATCCCTCATTTGCATGACAACTAATTAGGAAGAGTAATAAATAAAGAGATAAAGGTTTCCAAAATTTATCCCCTTAAAGAACATATATGGGTCCTAACACACTGGGTGGATCCAAAAAAAAAAAAAAGGCAAAGGGACAAAGACTACTCTATGAGGAAGTCTAGTTTAGAAAGAGACTCCCCCATTCAAAATATTGGCTTGAGCAACCACACTTTTTCTCATATCATACAGAACCTCAAAATATATGGGAATGCATCTTTCTACATTAGCTCCTGATTCTGGTGTATCCCATAACAGGGAAATGGAATTATGGCTCAGCCGCAAAGCCCTGGCCCTCATCTTCCCAGCGGCCTAAATCAATCCCCAGTCCAGGACAAGATGCTTCGAGAGATGCATAATTATTTCAGGCCACTAGGGTAAGCACTATTCCTGGCAACTCTGCGGGCAGTGCCATGGATGAGGGCTTCTAATTCTCTTTGGTGATTTGGTTCTGCATAAACTGAGATTTTTCTTTCAGTCTTTCAGCCAGATAAGTAGGAAAGGTCGGCTCTCGTCCTGAGAGAGAGGCAATCAAGGTCAATTTCAGTTCCTTTTCTGTGCAGTTTAGTCTACTTTTTCCCAGGCTGTCTTCCTGACACCTGTCCTTATATCTATATCTGATTATCAAATACTTAGTGAGAGAACCTTTGGCAGCTTCTGATGCTCGCATAGTCACCCAAAGGCCTCTCAGCCTAAGAAATAGCAGGAATACACTCCAAATCAGTTTCCTTGAGAGGCCAAACTAAGACCCTAGGCTGTGAAAGTGGGAGAAGTTTCTCCCGTGGGTATTTTGAGGGTGAGGTGGAGAATAATGCTTTCTCTCACCAGAGGCAATGCTGATCCAACTTGCCTATTACCAAATCTCTAATTTTTGGTTTGGCACTGCAGCCACAATATACTCAGTTATTACCGAATATAGAAAGAGAAAGGCAAATCTTGTTAGTCCCATTCAGAAGATGGTGAAATGGAGGTTTAAAAGTTTAGAAGAGTTGCCTAAAGTGAATTCGACAAAGCAGTGTTGTAGCTAGAAAGTAGACCAGCTGACATCTGTCCCTGGTTTTGTAGGTCACAGTTTCTTTGCAAGTTTAGAGCAGTGCTTTACTTACCATATTCCTCCTTGCAAACCTCTATTTACTTTCTTAAACAGTGGATACCAGTGGAGAGGTGTGCATTCCAGACACTTATACAATGTACACAGACCGAGCCGTCTACCTGTTGGGCACACAGCTCCAGGCTCAAGAATCTCTAAGGCTGTTAAGAAGCACAAACGAGGCACGAGAGGGGGCAGGCTCTAATGTAAAAGGAATATCCTGTACCACTGCAAAGGCCGATTGAAAACATCCTCTTCATCACTATTAATAAAAAACTAACCAATATATTCTGTGCTTTTTCAAACTGTACTGCTCACCCTCAGTGTCTTCATTAAATAAATGCAAACACGTGTGCTTTGAAACGGGTAGGTGTAAAAGAACACTCTGCACAATTATATCTAGGCTGCCGCAGATTTACATCACATGCATACATATATCTAGGCGATATTAATTCACGATGACAGCTGAGCATGACAAATGCAACAGTACACAAGTTGGAATGCGAAAACAATGCAACTACAAACCCCATGCAGACAAACACGCATACAATGAGTTTTCCCTCAACACACACGTGGCCGCACTCACAGGAGCTTAACCACTTTGAAAAACCCCAAACACAAACACCGGGGGCTCCGGCGCCCGCGAGCGGCCCCCACACAGGCAGCCGCGCCTTCATCTCCAGGCAGGGATTCTCGTGCGTCCCCGGGTACACTCGCCCTCCCACCGGCATCCCACTGCGCGAACACATGCGCGCCAGCCGGTCCCCGCGCGCGCCCGCCTGCCGAGGAAGCGGCGGCTCCCGGGGCTGGGGGCAGGGCCCGGTGGGGCGGGAGCGCCGCGGGGCCGGGCCTCGGCGCCCGGGGAGGGGACGAGGGGCGGGCGCGGGGCGGTGCCCGGCTCACGTGGGCGGGCGGGAGCAGCTGAAGGTCCGCTCGGGAACCTGGGCTGTCCTCTCGCGCGCGGCGCTGGCCCAGGCGGCGGCGGCGAAGGAGGAGGAGGAGGAGGAGGAAGGCGGCGGTGGCGGCGGCAAAAGAGGAGGGAGGACGGGGGCGGCGTCGGACTGGAGCCGAGCGGCAGCGCGAGCTGCCCAGGGCGCTGTCGTGAGCTCGCCCGCCGGGCCCCCACCCCCGAGCTACACCCTGCCGTGCCCAGCACTGCCCGCGTCCGTGCCCCTGCGGGGAGCGCGCCGGGGCTGCCCCCCGAATGACGGGCGGAAGGTTCGACTTCGACGATGGCGGCACCTACTGCGGCGGCTGGGAGGAGGGCAAGGCGCACGGGCATGGCATCTGCACGGGGCCCAAGGGCCAGGGCGAGTACTCGGGCTCCTGGTCGCACGGCTTCGAGGTGGTCGGAGGCTACACCTGGCCCAGCGGCAACACCTACCAGGGCTACTGGGCGCAGGGCAAGCGGCACGGGCTGGGGGTGGAGACGAAGGGCAAGTGGATGTACCGGGGGGAGTGGTCACATGGTTTCAAGGGGCGCTACGGGGTCCGGCAGAGCCTGTGCACCCCCGCTCGCTACGAGGGTACCTGGAGTAACGGGCTGCAAGACGGGTACGGCGTGGAGACCTACGGGGACGGAGGTGAGCGGCGTAACGGGCGGCTCGGCTGCTCCGCGAGCTGGTGCGGTGGGCTCTGCCCCGGCTGCGGGGAAGCGGGGAGGACGCCGGGCGCACGTGTCCGGAAACCCGCCAAAACACCTGGGGGCGCCTCCCACCCCCGCGCCCGCGCCCGCCTTTCCCAGAGAGGGCGCTGGGACCGGACTGGGGCGCGAGGGCTGGATCTGACCCCGTTCTTGGAGCGGGCCGTGTATCCACACTCAGGGGAGCTAGGCGTGAATGTACCTGGCCGGCGCCAGCGCTGCGCTGCCACCGGGAGGGAGCGCCGCCCGGGAGGGTTGGGCTGGAGAGAGGACGCTGTCACTTGAGCCCGTCACATTACGTTCCTGATCCCTCCCTCTCCCGGCCGGGTTTGAAATCGCCACTCCCGTGGAGTTAGAGCGAACACCCTGAGCGGGTGAGGTTGGCGGTCCGTGCTGACCGCTCCCGGGATTGGTTTCACGTGGAGTCGTATTTCGCTTCTGGTCCTCCAGTAGCCTAAAGATAGAAGCCAGAACCCCGTAACTAGGATGTTGGGGAATTGTACCTTATTTGGGGGTGCATTTGGAAACGTCCTAGTTATGGGAGCAGAAAGGCCACCTGATGCAGGTGGAGTTCAGAGTGTGTGAGTTCCTAGTTTTCATTCCGTTTCTTAAAGTATTGGTCTTAAAAGAGTAGCAGTCTTTGCTGACCTGGAGATCTTGGACAAATTACTAGGAAGATATTTTAGAAATGGGTAATGAAGTCTACATTTTAAAGAATACAATTAGCAGGTGTGTTCCTATAGCTGCTAAGTTAGCAGCTACTACTCCTGAGAATGGCAATACTGAAACAATAATTTGCATTATGTGTGACCTAAGCCAGTATTCCTGGCTGTGAACAAAGATCACCTTATTTTAATATTTAACAATATTTGCCAAAGAGATTGTGTATATACCAGGACAGAAGTTCCTCTTTTATTAGGAAAAGTATACATTATTGAAACAGGTGTCAAAACCTGATGAATTTCCTTGTGTAATACGCTGAGAAAGATATTCATGAATAGCTTATGCTTTAGCAAAGTGCATTTCCTGATAAACATAATCATATTTAGTTGAAAAGGGTTGTAGGAGGCGACATCACTTTTTGGAATTAAGCAGCTCAGAGTTGGAGGATATTAAAGGGATGCAATTAAAAGTTTCTCCAGCCCACTGCAACCCCATTTATACCATTGCTTATATAAAAGCTTACACAATTTGTACACTTCACTTAGTCAGAACACTTGGGCCGTGTTTCAAATGCAAAATGGCAGAATGGTAGAACTTGCTAAAAAGGACATCTTTTCATCCTACAGTATAAATTAAGCATATGGTTCTCATGGATTAAAAGAAAAAAACGTTCTCTAATAGTTTTATGTGGGGCTGAGTCCCGAGTTTCACAGTAGTTAATTGGGACCCTTAAATGTTCTGAATGGGCATAAAGTACCTGGTTGACAGCGCTGTAAATATGTCAGTTTGTGACTGGATTTTGTTGGAGGCCCCAGCTCTACTATATAACTAAATTCCATGCTCAAAAGTAGAAGGCAAAATTTATTGTTTTAAATGTGTGCATTATTTTATAATCTTTTAAGAAGGCCAGGGATGGTTCTCTTCAGTTTTGGAAGGTTAAAAATCGTCTCCTTTTAAAGATACTATTCATTAAACACACTCTCTTGGTTTAGAGTATTCATTATACCTAGTAATCAAAATATATATAGCACAGTAGAGGCTGTCTGTGTACATGTCGTAGAAACCCAAATAAGTCTCCAGAATGATTTTATGAATAATCTGCCTTCAGTTTTAAAATAAACTTAAAAAAAAACTTAAAACTTGGCATCATCCTGGGTGGTACTGTGGTTTTCTTCTTCTACCAAAAAAAAAAATCTAATATGCTACAGTTAGGAAGAAAAACCTTAAAAATCACTACTGAATGTCTACTCTATGCTAATAGATTTTCTACTGTCTCATATGTAACTATTTCATTAGAAAGTTCTCAATCATAAAAAGGGAGTCTAAAGCAAGTTTATTGCTGTAACTTATTTCATACAAAGGTTTTGGCCAAAATAGGAATATCACTAAAAAATTAGCTTGTTTTCTGCTGTTCTCACTAAGGAGTTAGCTTGTTTTTGTTTGCACTCTCCCCATCGCCACATGTCCATCCCTGTACACCCTGTATCAGATTCAGGGAAAATCTGATTCCGAGTTTTTTTGTGGTGACATTAAACTGGAGGAGGAAGGAAGCAGTAATTCCATGTGAGACGTATCACTTATTTTATTAGTGATTTGTGTATTACATGTTGCTGAAATAGAAACCCCCTGAATATTAACAATAAGTTAGTATCATACTCATGAAATCCAAGTCTAGGTGCCCAGAATTTTTTGTGCTAATTCTGATCTGTACTTTGTTTTTTCACTTGTCATAAAACTATTGAAAATATCTGGGAAAACACAACGTTTTGTTAACTAGATGCATACTTGCACATACCCATTCGGAGCATATAAACTGAAGTTTGGCATAGTGCAGTGCAAATTTGACTGAAACTCCTAAACTGGATGCCTTCCACTACAAGATTGTGTAGTTAAAATGACTAAATCTAAAAAATTAGCTCCCAAATGAACACAGTTTAAAACTGGTAAAAGTAATTTTTATACTTGTGAAATATGCATCTACATTTTAGGAATCAAGAGGAACTAATTAGAACTTTATTTGAGCAGCAGGGAGAAGTTGGAACCCACCTGCTTCATAAAGAAATAGGCCCTTTCTTATTCTAGGTTCATTGACTAAACTAAACCTATTTTAAATTTCAGATGAACTGCTAACAGTTTGACTGCAAATTGGTTTCTAGCAATTCTGTGGAGGAATTCTTTCATATACTGTGATTTAACAAAATAGGAGAGGAATGTGGCCAATGCTCTTGTCCCCCCCTTCCCTATTTGACAGTTAAGCAGAGACTTAAACTTTCTAATTATTGCTGTTGCCTTAAACAGCTTGGATTTTCAAGCCATACTTTTTTGGAAATTCTAAATACTGTACTAGTCTTATTTTTGGAGATAACAGTTTAAAGAAACTAGCTGTTAATTTTCCATCAGTGTTAAACATTTACCAAGATGGTATGGCTGTGTTTTAAAAGTGCAGATACTTATTGATATCAAACAGCATCTCTGCAAATTGTTCTAGCAAAATTAACTTGTCACTATAGACAAAAGTTAGGAGGATGTGATTATAGCATTCTTTTAACCAACAAAATATTAAAAATAAGGTGGTTTATTTTAGTATCTTCAAGCCAGATTGTGAAACTTTCATCCTAGAATTTAAATTTTACCTGTATAGGCAAAGGAAAAGTCAAAGTCAAAATTTCCTAATAATTCCATTCCCATTCCTGTTAAGATGGCGGTATTTGGAGATGGCCAGTATTCAATAGGAAGCTTCTTAGCCTGAAATGTTTTACATGACTATCTTATCCTCTTGAGTTAATCTTTCAGAGAAAACTGTGGGCCACCCACCTCCTCAGAAGTTCATAGATGTCAAGTTAAGACTTCACATCTACCCAGAATATGACATTTACAGTACCAGACCCACTTAGTATTTCATTGTATATCTACTATTGCCTGTGTCACATATGCCAGAATGAACAAAAAGAGAAGGTAGTCTTGAAATTGGTCAAAACCGTTGACTTGGGAGTCATTATGGTTTTAACTTTTAAGTGCAATGAAATAACCAGCCATTGTTAACACAGTTATATAAAACCACTAGCATTTTTGCCCGGTGTTTTGAAAATGAATATGTGCCATGCAATGGAAATCTGTGCATGGAAATATAAAATGCAAAGTGACTGCAGGGTAGATCTATATAATCAGAAATGGAAAGAGGTCAAGACAGACTAATCATTATTTGTTTTCTATGACATTGTGAATTGTTATGAATAACACAGAAGTAATTACATTTTAAATTTTCCAGATAGCTTCTTTTGAGGGATACTGTAAATTAAAATTTACCCTTAATTAAAGGAAATTGATTTTGAAAAGAAACTTCTAAATTCCCTAATTTAACATTCATTTCCTCCTAAGATTATTTTAAAACCTGTACCAGGTTATTTTTTAATGTCTTTGCTTATTTATTTAGTAGCAAAAAATTCACTACAAATGCTCTAGATGACAGACTATCATGAAAAAGCATAATATTTGTTGACAGAGTCATCTGGTATCAACATTTTAATAGATAGTGTCAAATATACCTTTCCTCTGAGATGAAGTCCAAAATGGTAACAGTAGAAGATTTCATCTGGCCTTACATCAGTTTCTCCAAGAGTAAAGGGTATACTTTTTAGCCACCATAGCTTTTTACCGTCAACATAGTCATCAAACACCCTCCATCCACAAACACAGACCAGAGGACACATGAGAATTTTGTGTTCTCATACGAAGTAATTCCTGCCCTCAGGGTGCTTCTAGTCTGTGGTGTGATTCACAATGCAGTGGCAGCTAGGGAAATCCATAGAGGATGCAGAGATTTGGCAAATGATACGGCACAAAGCTTTGGCCTTTTCACTTAGAAGCACAAAAATGTTAAATTACTCATTTTTTTCATAATTCACTGTATTCATAATATATATTGTGGTTGTCGATTCTCTCTTAGCTCAAAAAGGTTCACCCAAATTCAAATGATAATCCTGAATATTCAACAGTTTTGTCTACACTAAAAAAAGAGATGCTGAATGTAGCAGAAAATTTAAGACGTTCATTTGATGACTGTGTCCCAAGTATTCCGATTTAAGCCTGTATACTTCTTGGAATGTTATACTGACATAGACCTAAAAGTCATTTTTTACAGTTTTCCAGCTAAATTAGTAATATTAGAATAAAATTTACACATAGAATTCATTTCATCTTCTACTGTTTCCTTGTCTTCTTCCCAAGAGGAATTTTTGATGCATTAATTTCAGAGGAGAATGTTGTTTCCCAGTGTTCACTTTTTGTATTAGAAAGTAGTGGTTTTCCTCTGAAATACTTGCATAAAATTTTAATGAAAAGCAAAAATTATCTGACTACTAGAAAATTCTGTGCAATGACATTAAAGCCTTACACCCAAAATTACAGGGCGGGGATTCACAAGTGGATGCAAAGTATCCCCCAGGGTTGACTTGGAAATGGGTCAGATTTGACCTTGGGCAGGCCTGCGCCAGTGTGCGCTGGATGGTGCAGGTGACGGTGCAGCTCTGCCCCCGACTCACGGTGCTTTCTTGCGGTCTCTCCAAGGTACCTACCAGGGCCAGTGGGCCGGAGGCATGCGGCATGGCTACGGCGTGCGCCAGAGCGTGCCCTACGGCATGGCCACGGTGATCCGCTCACCGCTGCGTACCTCGCTGGCCTCGCTGCGCAGCGAGCAGAGCAATGGCAGCGTGCTCCACGACGCCGCAGCCGCCGCCGACAGCCCGGCCGGCACCCGCGGCGGTTTCGTGCTCAACTTCCACGCAGACGCTGAGCTAGCGGGCAAGAAGAAGGGCGGCCTCTTCCGGAGGGGCTCCCTTCTTGGAAGCATGAAACTTCGCAAGTCCGAATCCAAGTCTTCCATCTCGAGCAAGCGCAGCTCTGTCCGCAGCGACGCGGCCATGAGCAGAATTAGTTCCAGCGATGCCAACTCCACGATCAGCTTTGGCGATGTAGATTGTGATTTTTGCCCGGTGGAAGACCACGTGGACGCCACCACCACGGAAACCTACATGGGCGAGTGGAAGAACGACAAGCGCAACGGCTTCGGCGTTAGCGAGCGCTCCAATGGCATGAAGTATGAAGGGGAGTGGGCAAATAACAAGAGGCATGGATATGGCTGTACCGTGTTTCCTGACGGCTCCAAAGAAGAGGGAAAATACAAAAATAATATTCTGGTCCGTGGGATAAGGAAGCAGCTTATACCAATAAGACATACAAAAACTAGGGAGAAGGTGGACAGAGCAATTGAAGGCGCCCAAAGGGCAGCTGCCATGGCCAGAACCAAAGTGGAAATAGCAAATTCAAGGTAAGTAAATGCAGGGTGGTTGGTTTTGCTGGGTTGGTCAGAACAATGGAGTATCAAATATTATGTTTGTCTATCTGCCAGTGACATCGCTAAATGCTTTCTACAACTACTAAAAAATCAAAGGTGAAAAATGATTACACTCAGTAGAATCAAAGTCAGAAATGTACCTGCACTGTTCTGAAACTTCCCATCATCAAAAAATGTCGAAGGCACTTTGAGCTCCCCTTCCTGTTCTAAATTACTTCCCTCATATTTAACAGCGTGAGGGAGTTCACTGAGACCCTGTGCTCATCTTCCTGAGCCCGGAAAGTTGCTGTTTTCTTTTCTTTTTTTTGTAAGAAGGACCTCTGAAATGCTGCCATAGCAAGCATTGTGTTTTGTGTACCAAAAGAAAATAGCAATCCACGTAGAAACATACTTAGTATAGATGTGTACCTTTATTCTGATATTTACATCGGAGGTATGTACACTTAGCCTAGCTTATACAATTCAGATTCTGTTTATGAAGTCTTATAGGTAAAATTGGTTTTGAGACAGCCACCAAAATCTACATATGGCAAAAGTGGAAAATAACATGACAAAATCTGGCATGCATTGTTAAAAACAACAGCTACATGGGAAAGGCAAAGAGACCTACAAGAATCGCCACATTCTATGCAGAAGAGATTAGGTCACTGGTGTATTAAAAGGAAAGGGGTGGAGGGAACCTGACAACCTGACATGGACAGATGGGACTCTCAATGTGCCAAGGTTGGAAGAAAGAAGAGCAGTAGAGAAGGGCTGGAGTGAGTAGGAGAAAACCGGTGAATAATAGATTGACAAGTGGGGTGTATGTGTGGGCACAGAAGGACTACGTGCTTGAAGTTTTACCATTAATAGCTGGTTTCAGGGATCCAGCAAGAGGGATGGAAAAATCTATTGGGAATAAAGTTCTATTAGGGAAGGATATCATAGGTGAGACAAAAAGAAAAAGGTGTGGTAATAAATGGAAAATTTTATTTTTAGTCTTATTTAAGTGAGTACTGACTAGCCACAGCTTTGTAAGACTTGAAGCATAAATGTAGCATAGAATATTAAAAATCCTGTTTCTGCTTCAATAACACTCTTCCACAGAAGTAAACGCCCTTTTGAAACCACAAAATGTTAGCATGTCTTCAGGTTTTTGTTATTGGCATTGAATTAATGAACCTCCCTTTTTTTTGATGGAGCCATATGAAATTTCCAATGTTCAAATTTTTTAATGTACAAAAAAAAATGGTGACATCATATGGTTCAACTTAGTACTTCTAGAGTTCTTTTTTTTTTAATTCCTCTACTTAAAAAATAAGTAGGGCTACCACTAAATAAGGTTGCATATTTTGCATTACTTTTAGATATATATTATATTATATATTAAAAGTCTTCAAGGTTTTCATCTTTATCCCAAACTAATTTCATTTCAAAGCTATTATTTTTTGTTGATCAGCACAAACTTTAATGAAGGGTCTCTCTCTCTCCTGTCTTCTCTACCAGGCATCTTTTACTTCAGATCACAGTTTTGGATCTACTTTGCTTTTCAGTTTGCTTATAGATCAGATACTCAGCACATCTAATCTTGCTGGCTTACTTTTAGACCTAGTGATAAACATTTGTTAGGCCTTGACCTCTAATTTTAAATGCACACTTGGATTCTTCCATGTTTTCTTGTTACAACTTAGTGACATGCTAAAGTCAGCTCAGTCTTGGGAGGTGAAAAATGAACCTGTGCAGAACACTTTAACAAACGACTTATCATTAGTTTCCATTGGAGGAGTTTGTATAACAGAAAGCGACTGGCAATGCAGAGATGATCTCTGATTATGCTAGTATCATAAAACCCTCACCCAAGTCCTAGCCATGTTCTCTCTGTTGCAAGTCTTTTGGGGGTAGTATTATTTCATTTGGGAATACTGTATTATATAGTTATAATCAAGAGATCTTTAGTTTAAGACCTTATACTTTTAGCCAGTTAGTTACTTCATAGTTACTTAGCTATGTTTAAAATGCTTAATTCATTATGCAAATGAAAGAAGTCAGTCACAGAAAAACAAATACTGCATGATCTCACTTAATCAAATACTGCAATGACCTGACTTGATCTAAAATGGTCAAACTCATAGAAACATAGAGTAAAATGGTGGTCGCCAGGGACTGTAGGGTGGGGAAAATGGAGGGTTGCTGTTCAACAGATACGAAGTTTCAGTTACTCAAGATGAATACATTCTATAGATCTGCACTACAACACTGTGCCTATAGTTAACAATACTGCATTTTGCATTTAAGAATTTGTCAAGGTCAGGTGCTATGGTACATGCCTGTAATACTAGCACTTTGGTATGCTGAGGCAGAAGGATCTCTTGAGCCCAGGAGTTCAAGACCAATCTCTGCAACATAGTGAGACCCCCGTCTCTGCAAAAAATAAGAAAATTAGCCGGACACGGTGGCGCACACCTGTCCTAGTTACTTGGGAGACTGAGGTGAGAGGATGGCTTGAGCCCCAGAGGTCGAGACTGTAGTGAGCTGTGATTGTGCCACTGCACTCCAGCTTGAGTGTCACAGCAAGACCCTGTCTCAAAAAAAACAAAAAAAGAATTTGTTAAGAAGGTAGGTCTCATGTTAAGTGTTCTTACAACAATAAATAAAATACTGTTCGGATGACACAATCAACAAATTAAAAATAAATATATTCAATTAACCTTCTATATTTTACTTACCTTCACTGTTTTAGTCCTTTTCCCAGATTCCTTGCTATTATATAATGAATACTTCCGATTACAGCTTTGTAACTTGTTTTTGGAGGAAGCAGTTAAAGGAATGACATTCCCCTTATAATAGCTCTGATTTTAGAGTTCTACAGTCTTTTAAAACCCTTAAAAATTATTCACAATAGCAAAGACTTGGAACCAACCCAAATGCCCAACAATGATAGACTGGATTAAGAAAATGTGGCACATATACACCATGGAATACTATGCAGCCATAAAAAATGATGAGTTCATGTCCTTTGTAGGGACATGGATGAAATTGGAACTCATCATTCTCAGTAAACTTTCCCAAGGACAAAAAACCAAACACCACATGTTCTCACTAATAGATGGGAATTGAACAATGAGAACACATGGACACAGGAAAGGGAACATCACACTCTGGGGACTGTTGTGGGGTGGGGGGAGGGGAGGGATAGCATTGGGAGATATACCTAATGCTGGATGATGGGTTGATGGGTGCAGCACACCAGCATGGCACATGTATATGTATGTAACTAACCTGCACATTGTGTACATATACCCTAAAACTTAAAGTATAATAATAATAAAATAAAAAATTTTAAAAAGCCTTAAAAATAAGAAAAGATTCTTTTAAGATTTGCTGCCTGGGAGATAGGACTTTTAGCTACATTATTGTCATTAACCATGGCTCTTTCTAATGCCAGAATATCTACACAATATCTGTACAGAACATCTATCTGACCCCTCTATGGTTGCTGTTATCAATGTTTTTGTTTGTAAAACTACTGAAAATTTAAGAACATAAGATGACACTCTTCCCACCTAGCCCAGTGCAGACAGAAGAAAAACTAGAAACTAAGTCTCTTGGTAGCTGCTGCTGTTGAAGTCACTAGTTCATCATTAGCAACAAAAGGAGATGATCAATGAATAGTTATCAACTATTCAGTTTGTCCACCCAGGTAGTGTAAATCACTATTCTCAGCAACATAGTGAGACCCTGTCTCTACAAAAAATGAGAAAATTAGCCGGGTGTGGTGGCATACGCCTGTAGTCCCAGCTACTCAGGAGACTGAGGTGGAAGGATGGCTTGGTAGAGAAGACTGAAGGCCCCCAATTTCAGATCTGGAAAGGCCAAGAGAGCGCATCTCGTCCAAGCCCCTCACATTCAGAGGCAGGGACTGAGGCTCTACCCAAGATCACAACACTGTCCCTGTAATGTTTTCATTCCATTTGTGTTATTTCTTATGCTTTAGAGACTTTTATTTGTTATTTAAGTCCCTGGGAAATGGACGCACCCTTGTACCATCATCCTATTTTATCTTGAAGCAAAGGTTCAAGTTGGCTCTAAGGGAAAACAATTATATTCTCCAATAATGTCTCCAGGAGACACAGAACAAACTGTCTTTGGCCCAAAGATTCATGAAAGTATGGTGGATCTGTGGACCTTTGCTTTGCTTCTCTGAAGAGGGAGTTGTGTTGCTCCCCAGTAAACACATACAGGAGGCTTGTTTCAGAAGGCTTATTATGGGCCCCTGTATAATTCCGACAGATCAAGGACTATGGGGATGACATAACAGTAGATAGTAGATATCACATCGTAGATATAGAGTTAATAGATTCTAGCAGGTTAACACTTAGCGTCAAGACCATAAGGGATACTTATAATTTGCTGACTCCTGGAACTTATTTTTAGGCCTCTGCTCTGCTCCAAAAGGTACTGTGTTTATAAGATTTACAAAATTTTATTTCCCTTTTGTCTTGGTCCTGAGGGTACAAATCACCATCTGGGATTGAGAAAGGGTCTCAACCTTTTTTTTTTTTTTTTAAGAAATGTTCAAAAGGTGGAAGAGCAACTCTAAATATCTCAAGAAATGAGTGTACCTAGAAGCTACTGAGACTGCTCCATGCTAGTAGCTGACATACCACCTCTAGTTCTGGATCCCAACTGCTCTGCTCTTAGATGAAGATGCTACTCTGAGACATAGCTACTAGAACTGAGGAGAGTGGAGCCAGTACCTAAGCCCAGGCTCCATGGTCTTTCCTTTGTCAGTGTGTACCCTTGATGGTAACTTGGCCAACCAGAACCTTTTGAGTCACTGGAGTGCTGTTTTAGAGCCCTAAACTATAACTAGAGCCTTATAACTTAGAATTGGATCCCCCAATATGCTGAATTTACTTTCTAGAAAATATAATAAGCAGAATCTGTTTTGGTAGAGGAGACAGAAAGTCCCCAATTTCAGATCTGGAATGGGCAAGAGAGAATATCTGGTCCAAGCCCCCCACATTCAGTGGCAGGGACTGAGGCTCTGCCCAAGATCATCCCACCATTCCTGTTGTTTGCATTCTATTTCTTAGGCATTCAGTTTTCATTCCCTTAGCTTTTGCCTCCTTAATTCCTTCAGCTGTTCCTGTCATTTTAACTATATTTCTCATTTCGTCAATTTTTACTCCATCGACTCTTGTCTCCAATAATTCCTTAAATGAGGTGTTCAAAGATGTCACTACTCCTTGAGAAAAATATTTAAAGAAAGAATCTTAAGGCATTTGGTTGAGAAAGCAAATAAGAAGTGACCCTTAGAAAGCCCCACTTCTGTGGAAATGAACAGATCACTTAGGAAGAGGTGTGGACAGAAGCAGAGCTTGGTGTGATCTGAATATTAGAAGAAATAATTATCTTGCAAGAAGATAGAAGATGTAGGAGGGGTGGGAGAGAGCTGGCCTCACGCGACTGAGAACCACAAGCCTTTGCTTGTATTGACTTTGTTATATCAGGCAGATAAGAAGAAATACTATAAAGTGAGGAGGTTAGCAAGTTAGTAGGTAACTTCCATTTTGTAGACTCTGGCTAACTGACCAGCCTCACTTAAGCTAGTGAAGCTCATTGGTACACAGCTGGGCAGGCTCCCCGTACTACCAGGAAGTGTCAGTGATGGGGATAGGTGGCCAGTCGCATGGGACTATGCTGCTCCTTTTGCCAACCTCTCCCTGACCATTACTGGCACTTCAGGTGATGATCAGGGCACCTAGACATGTAATCTTAGGAGGGAGTCTCTTCTGCACCCTGTTCAGCTCGGAACTAAGGTTGGATGCCATGTTTGCCAATTTTGGACTTAAATATAAAAACGATACATACTTTTCCTGTAGGATTTTAAAAAACCATTCCTCATACTTTTGTATAAAAAAGGATATATTGCATTTTCATGCAGATCTCCCCTCCTCCCCCATACTCAGAGTGGTTCAACCATGCCAGCTTGCTTTCTGTTGGAAAGAAGCTCTCAGCCCCTGTCCCTGCTCCCTCTGGCTGGCTCCTCAGGCTGCTGGGTCCTCACTCTGCTTTAAGCCTAGGTTCCTTCATAGTGGAAGTTTTCCTCAACCCCGCTTCTCTTAGCCCACTTCTAGTCTAAAATCTCCCCATTAGTCTAAATTGATATTTAATTTCACAATATTTGTTGAATATCCCTCACCCCAACTAGATTGGGAAGGATGGGCTGACTCTGAAGTCAGCTTTGCTCACTTTTGTACACCCAGCAGTGAGCTTAGATCAAGGCACATTAGTAAGTGCTCTAGTAAATATTTGGTGAATGAATTAATTAAATTCTCACAACTTAGGGAATTACCACTGCCAGTGCTCCTAATTTTGTTTTGCTGGGCAAAACCACATTTTAAAGATGGAAACTTAGCTCTCATAATTCATGCTATAATCTAACAATAGTCAAGGAGTGCAGAAAATGTCAAAGTGTGTGCTACGGGTAACTTTTTCCTTAATTAGGTCAACATTGTTACAGGACATAACCAGGGAACAAGAGCATCAGGTTGAGCCAAACTGTTATTTCCATTCTTCATAAGTATTGAGCTGGTCAGTGATACATGTAAGAGATTCCCTTCCAGATGTGGAAACTCCAGGAAGTCAGCTTATCCTAACTGTGATAACATTGGCTTAGCTTTTGTATTTGACAGCACCAAAACATGTGAGATACCAGAATGTGGGAGCTTATTATTAATTTTTTTGGAAAGTTTTTCTTGTTTGGAGGTCATTTTACTTAGACTCAAAGAATATCATTTAATTTAACACATAAAGTTGGCTGGGATAGAACAGTTATTCACAAGATCACTTGACTTGATTCACATTTTACTCATAAGTAATTAAAACCCAAAGTCAACTATGAGTCAATGCACATTATGGATCCAAATTAAACTGACTATTACCAATATCAGAAAAAAAAGCCTATTCTCTGCTAAGTTATTATAAAGGGCCAGGACTTTGAAATTCTTAAATTATTCTCAACAAGGGGATCTTTTGCAAGTCAAAGCTGTTTATAAGCTATCGTTATGTCTGTACTGTAATGATAGTGGTTGTATTATATTTTTAAACAAAGTTTAGATCACCTTTTCTACAGATTTTTTTTTCTTCTGGTGCTCTGGTTAATTTTCAGTAATTAGCACAAGTGATTTTAACGGGAAGGGGAAATCCTTCTGATGCCTTCTGAGTCATTTTAATGAATAGATTGTTAAATAGTTAAAGAAATTTTAGGACAAAATCACCTAAAATGTGGGCATTTATTGCTAAGGAAAGCATTAGTTATTTTCTTTAGTTCTGCTACCTGTATTCTTCTATATCTGCACCTTGGCTGCCTGTCACTCTTTGCAACTGTTGTAACCAGTGCTTCTAGGGCAAATTCCAGACGCTTGGTTGAAATACCCAGACTCTGAGGTTCAGAAAAGTTATGGTGAACAGGGAGCAATTATTACCTTACCCTTCATAGCAGGGTTGTTTTGAGAATTGAATGGGAGAGTGGGTATCACGGGTCTTTGTAAACTATAAACCACACATAGCAGTTGTTATTTAGGAAAATGTTGCAATCCTAGAAGTACCATTTTCACAAGTGAAAGTTGATAGAAGACCAAGAAGACAAACTGGGATGTAGGTAAAGATGAAGTGAGGAAGGAAACAGGAAGGGAAGGAAGGATTGGGAAGCAGGAATGGGGATAACCAAAGGAAGAGAGTTAAATCTACAGAGCTTTACCACCTGTGTGCAGATGTGAGCATGTATCAAAACAGCCCATTTCCAGCACCAGATCTGTGTGAAGTTAGCAGGCAATTTTATTTTTTTAAGACTGAAAAGTGAGCAAGGAAATATCAAGTTATGCCCCAGGTACTATTCTGAAGATAACGTAGGATAATAAAGGTCTTACCTTTATATTAAGTATGTTAGTGTAGGCCGGGCGTGGTGGCTCACATCCCTAATCCCAGCACTTTGGGAGGCCGAGGCGGGCGGATCCCTTGAGGTCAGGAGTTCGAGACCAGCCTGGCCAACATGGTGAAACCCCATCTCTACTAAAATTACAAAAATTAGCCAGGCATCGTGGCGGGCACCTGTAATCCCAGCTACTCGGGAGGCTGAGGCAGGAATCGCTTGAACCTGGGAGGCAGAGGTTGCAGTGAGCAGAGATCATGCCATTGCACTCCAGCCTAAGCGACAGAGCGAGGTCTCCAAGAAAAAAAAAAAAAGTTAGTGTAGATCACCATCATCCTTTTATACGTTATCCTTTTGTTGTACTTTATACTTTATATTGTTATCCTCTGAACTTCAGAGTCTGGGTGTTTCAACCAAACTTCTGGAATTTGCTCCTAGAAGAATATATAGTTTTCAAATATGTTTCTCTTCTTTATCAAAGAATGTCCATTTCCCATGGGAGAAAGGGGGGGTGCCTAGTCTAACTTCGTCACATTTTTTCTGGGCTCTTTAAAGAAAGACATGATTGTCCATATCAAGGGGCCCAGGAGCAATCATTGAGAATTCTCTCTGTGTGCATGCACTGAGGGAACAGCTGAAACTGGAAAGATGACCTAGGTGCCAGCTCTGTCCTGCCCCTACCTCCAAGCGAGGGGTTAGGCTTGGATGTAATAGCACTGATAGGTGTGACTTGGTAGCACAGAGAAACTCCTCTGGCCAGCTCCTGGCCTTCAGCTCTGATGTCATATCACTCACCACGCAACGGGTCATTACGCATAACATGGGAACACTTTGTGTTATGACAGCCTTGTAAAACCTCCTTAGGATATCTCGTTTCTAAAGATCTTTCTTTAAAACAAAACAAAACAAAACAAAAAAAACTCTTTCTCCAGCCCTCCCAAGTCCGGGCCCATTCAGACACTCGGAGGCATTGAGATGGACATGTGTTTTCGTGACTAACAAGTAGGTTCAAGAGAATACAAATATAATGAAAATTAGTCTTAGGCCATAATAAATGGGAAGGTCACACAGTTCTCCAGACTTTCAAGCCATTAAAAAACATGGTTTTAAAAACTTGAATTGTGTAGGCATGGACTTCCATTTTGATTAAACAGGGAGGGCAAGGAGAAGAGACTGTATAGGGTATGAATGGGATATGAGACAACATTCAGTTCTGCAGAGATCTACTTAGTAAAAGCTGGCACTGAAGACTGGAAGGGAAAACTGAAATTCCAGGATGATGATAAGCCAGGTTGTGGGGACACATGTTGACCCTGTTTTAACTGTAGAAGCCTGAGCTTGCTTAAATAGTACAAACTTCAACAGATTCCAGCTCATTTAGCCCTGAAATATGACCCTTTCTCAATAGTACACATATGAAGAATTAAAGTAGCAGTTTCTAATGCATCATTTGTAATGAAAACCACCCTACTCCTATGTTTTCTGGAAAGCCCCCAAAATGGGATTGCATTCATATTTTATCCTGTATGCTTTGTATGAGTTTCAGCTTTGACCTGGAGAAACTCTGTTTTTAAGCAAGTGGCAGAGTTCTGCCTGCATGCTGCCATAGCTGGTAGGCTTCTCCAAGCAGCAGCTGCCAGGCAGCCGAAGCACCCTGCTCACAACTTTCCATTATGGATTAAGCTGACTCTGCCAATCTCACTTTACTCAAGACACCAAACTGGACGCTTGCAAGACTAGTGCCTTGCAAATCTTTGAGATGCTTTTCTTATTATAGATGAAATATGAACATTGTGTTTAGGAGCAGGATCCAACAAATGCCAAAGGTATTTATGTAAGTCATTCAGCTTTAGTACAACAGTCTCTTGAGAATAAAGTCAAATCAGCTTTTAATAATTTCACCTTTCTGTTTTAGTTGCTGTTTCACATTTGTTTGTATAATATGCTAAATTCAAAATAAGCTGCTTTCTCAAAAATTTAATTAATATGTAAGGAATCAAGATTGGCTCCCAAATAGTACAACTCTTTGAAGTCAATTTTCTTAGGACTTCCATGTGGGCCAAAAGAAAGTTATTTAAGCCAAGTAAAATACATTAATTCACTTTCTATCACTTTTAATGCAATAGAGTGTCAGAAATTAACAAACAATTTTATTATTTTTTGTTAATTTTTAAACTTAAATATGGTAAAAATTTTGGTGACTTTTACTATATTGAATCAATAGAATTTTGATCTCAGTTGCTTGGTCTAGAAACCCTATCAATGCCATTTTTTAAATTGGTGTGGGAGCTTTTTTGAATTATTATTTCAAGATTTCAAACCTTCCATCCATTAGGGAAGCATTTGAGATACATGTAGGGAACATGTTTTGACATGTTGAGATAACCCATGGAAGCCAGCAATTTAGAGTTCAAGGGTAAGAATGGAAGAGCCTCAGATGATGGGGCTTACTGCCCCCTCATTTCACCCACCAGCCCCAGACACTTGTTCCCCATCCCGCTTCCTGCTCAGCCAAATGATTTGAAAATCAGTTGAACTGTGGACTAATAGATTACTTTGTAAAGACTCAAATGCCCTGGAAGGGGTGATGGTAGCCCAGGCCCATTTTATAAGCTTCAGTTCTTAATGAAATACCAACTTTAATCATTCTTAGTTACATTAATCCATTACATACAATGGAAATGTAAAATTATGATTAAGACCTAATCCTTTTCATCATGGAGTCTGGTTAGGACAGATGAAAAAGCAGTTATTACCCATTGGATTATCAGCACCTTGCTTAGGTAACGCATAGGAAGGGGTTGATCATAGCCTGGGGCTGGAGGCAGGTGTCTGCAGGCTGCATCCAGAGTGAGAACCAAAGGATGTGTGGGTGTTTTCCAGAAGATAGAGGTGGGTGCAAAGGACAGTGGACCATGTGTATTTGGGGTCTGGTAAAATGTACATTGTGGTTGGGAAAGAGTGCTAGGTGTAGGGTGTTGAGAGATGAGGAGGGTCTCTTGAACCTATAAGAGGGAGTTTGGACATTATCCCAAGGATAGGGGAAGGCTATTGATAGGTGTTAGGCAGAATTACATCATCATCTTTAGAAAGATCACTCTGGCTGCAGGTGGTATAGGGAATGGGGACAGTAAGGGGCAGTGAAACTGGAGACAGATTAAATAGTCACAGGCTGGGCACAGTGGCTCACGTCTTTAATCCCAGCACTTTGGGAGGCTGAGGCAGGAGGATCACTTGAGCCCAGGAGTTTGAGGCTGCAGTGAGCTATGATCACGCCACTGCATTCCATCTTGGGTGACAGAGCAAGACCCTGTCTCTAAAAATAAAAAAATAGTTATCTGCTAACTAGTGATCTAAGTGATAGCCTATGTGTTGGGCTAAGCTGTGGCAGTGGGATGGAAAGAAGCAAATGATTGAATGAGAGCCTCCCAAGCAGATTCACTAGGACCTGTGGCTGGTTGAGTTAAGCATGGTAAGCCTAGAAAAGGAGTCATCAGAGTGGCTCCAAGTTCCTGGCTTAGCCAACTAATGGATGGTGGTACTGTTTACTCAGAAGGATACCAGACAGGAAGGGACAGATTTAGGGAGGAAGATAAGTTTGGATTTTTGGCTTCTTGAATTTCAAGATGCTAGCCTAAAAGATAATGGGGGAAGATGTATTTGGAACTCAGAGATTTGAGCTGTGCTTGCAGAGCTTGGAGCCAAACCCTGGGAAAGACTTACGGGACATGCAGAGAAAGAGGAAATCCTTGTATGTAATACTAGACACAGCTCTTTTTAAGAAGTACAAGTAAAGCAGTTCTCACATTAAGTGACTAGGAATTTGTTGCCTTATGACAATGCAATTCAGGTATCTGAATTTCTATTCTTGAATTTGTGAAGTTATGCTTTCTAAGGTTTGTGCTCAAGGGACCTACCCAGTGAGCAAGCTCTGTTGGACTGTTTTTTTTTTTTTTTTTCTTTTCTTGGCAACCTACTGGAACAAAATATCACTCTCACAAATTATTATGCTAAAGAAACATCATTTGGCAAACATTTATTTAGTGCCAGCTCTGTCCAAATATGGCACTAGGCCCTGGGAATACAGAGATGAATAAGAAACAAAACCTGTCATTAAAAGCAAATACCCTACCAGGTTCACAGTACCTTTGTGCAACTGGCAGGTGCTATGAGGCTGCAGGTTGGAGGGACCCACTGAGAGGCACCTATGACCCATCCTGGGTGAGCTTGTCACAGGCACTTTCCTGGAGCTCTTTGCACCAGCAACACTCCTTGCCTGAATGCCTTCTCCCATGTCCCCCTCCTTGCCTAAGCCCTGTCAGTCCTTAGCGATTACACTCAAGTTCCATAGCAGGCATGGACTGCATTAAGAAATAAAATGTCTCTTCCAATAAGTAATTTTACACCTGATAACAGGAATGCTATCAATAGAGCATAGAAAATATATGTACAAATTTTATAATGCAAAAGGGAAAATTACTAGTGGTTTCTTTAAAAAGTTTAAAAAATTATTTCTACCTAGAGTCCATAAGATACAATTTTGGGTGGTAGCAGGATCTTATTAGCAGTATTTGTGTACAGAAACATTAAAGTTAGCAATTTGCAGTAAATGAATGTTTTGGCAGTGTTTCCAGATAAGGAAACAATGTAGATGCTGCTAGGTTTCCCTAAGGAAACAATGTAGATGCTGCTAGGTTTCCCCTAAGTGTGTTATGCACTGGTGCACATTGTTCTCTTCTTGTGGTCTGAGGTCAGTAATTTGGGTGATACCTTTTGGCTACACACAAAAAGACCCAACAGGTCTTGAGTGGTTACCTGCTGTGTGAATTTGACATCTGTCATCTCCTCTCATCCCCATGGCAACCCTGTGAGTTGGTAGGAAACTGAGGCATAGGAAATTCACATGGCAAGCACACGGCAGCGTCAGAGCCCCAAGCCCTTCCCCTCCACTGGGTTTTGAGAATTGGGATAGGAATTTTTTTTGAACCCATGTACCCTGCTTAGGCTCATAAAAGAAGATCTGTCTGGGAACAGTATTATTTAGTCATAGACTTCATTTGGCCACTGTTTCATTTAACAGACATTGTTCATTCAACAGCCACAAATCTTGTGAGCCAAACAATCATAAAAAGATAAGGTCAGTATAACATGGTAAATTCTAAGAAAAAAACCATGACAGTGCAAAAGAGGGAAGAACACTGAGGGCATATGGGGCTTACAGGGATGAGGCTGAGCCTGTGCAGGTGAAGAATGAGTGGAAGTTAGGGAGCAAACAGTGGCCAGTGTTGCATATTGGAGGAAGATCCTGAGCAAAGGTGGAGTGGAATGAAAGTGTACAGTGTGAGTTCCTGCAAGCAGTTGGATAGTGGAAGAACGCTTTCTCCAGGAGCGATCTGTCCGCCCACTGCAGCAGATCACAAGGGGTGCTTAAAATTCTCTAGTCCTCCACCCAGTACTGAATTAATGTTTCTTTGCATAAGGTCCAGAAACTTGCATTTGTTACAGACTTCTCAGGTTATTCTTGGGCACACTAAAATTTGGAAAGTGCATCGGGAGGATATGATAAGAAACAAAATTCCCAAGGTTTGGGAGCTGCATTTTCTGCTTTTGGCTTTGGGGAGTCTTCAAAGGCATTTGAGAAGGGAGCCATCTGCCTTTGAATGGATGGTCTGCCTGCTTCATGGAGAAAGAATTTAAGTGGGGCCAGGACCGGAGGCCTGGTCTGTGGAGGAGGTGATAAAAGACCCTGGTTGAGGGCAGGGTGGCAGAGACAAAAGGGATAAAATTAGCAGGACTTGATGGACTGCAAGTAGTGGGTTAGGAACAGAGGCAAGTCTGAGATGTTGTGTGGATGATACTCTAATACCCCTATTAAGGTTAATGAAAAAGGTTCATTCATTCCCAGTATATGGGTGATAAATTATTCAATTAGAAAATGTAGTGATTCATTCCCGGTATACGGCTGGTTGGGGAAATGGGGCGGGGGGCCAGTAAGGCTCCATCATTCATATGAAACAAGTACATATGAAACAAGTAATCTTTCTGGGTCTCTCTTTCTTATCAATGAAACGGGTGAGGAAGTGGAAAACTTGACCAGATTGTCACAGAAAACCTGAGTTTGGATCTCTACTCTTTTGTGAATTCCTCTCCTTTCGCCTGTTTTTGAACCTGACTTCACATAACAATACCAATGCTTCTTATAGAAATTATTCAGTTAGTAAATGTAGTGAGACAACATTGACATTTTACTTTTCCAACTCCAGATTTTTCCTCAATCAGAAGATGGTATAAAAGGGAAAATGTCATCCTGTATACTTCGGAACAAGATTATAGTTAGGACCCTCTAACCAAAATTAAAACCATTTTGAAGTAGCAGTAAACATTCCACGCACACAACTCACTTACCAGTTATTCTTGTTTATATCAGAAGTATTATCAATACTTACACACTTAGTACTGTGCTAGATGTGAATGGAGGAAAAAGCGTGGGCCTGACCCCCTCCGCCCCCCACAACGCACACACAAGCTTAGAGTCAATTAGAGAAAATGCATGTACATGGGAGGTAGTTAAAAAAATAACACGAAGCAATTCAGTCAGTCCCGTATTTGTTTATTAGTGCTCTGCCACATTCCATGAAGGTTTCATAGTTTATATAAACGTCAAAATGGCTAGTCTTCTAGGAATTAACAAAGGAGTGGATTGACTTGTTTATAAAGCAGTTCCAAAGACTTTTACTTGGCCTATAGCCTAGTGATATTTTGTTTTTGTTGTTTTTCATGGTACTGTGTGAATTTGACAGTAAAAGCATTTTGAAAAATTATTCTAACTCTTCGCTAGATCAGAGTAACTTTCAGCCCATTGTTGGAACTATGAAAATGTGATTCTAGAGTAAGTAGTCACTACTGTTTAATTCCGTAAGTGAAAACGAGGGCGAGAAGAACATATTGAAGGTTTTCTTTTCTTTTTTTCTTTAAACTTTTTAGTAATGAATCACTTTTGTGGTGTTAAAAGTTCAGCTACAAAACTTTATTGTTTAAAAGTTTTCTTTAAATTACAGTTGCTATATTTGTAACAGTTAAAGATGTGCCACTGTATTCAGCACCCAATGACAACATGTTAAAGATACTTCAAGGGAAATAGAAGGCATACACCAACAAAGGGAAAAAACAAAACAAGCCTCAGACAGGCACCCCGCTCCCCATAAACAGTGTCTATGTAAATATGCATATGTGGCTGTGGTTAAAAGAAAAACTTTAGCCAAATTTAACAGAGTTTAATTGAGCAAAGAACAATTCGCACATCAGGCAGCCACCCGAGCCAGAGTGGGTACAGAGATTCCAGTGCAGCTGTGTAGTTGAAGAAGGGTTATAGACAGAAGAAGGAAAGTGAGGTACAGAAACAGCTGATTGGCTACAGCTCGTCATTTGCCTTATTTGAACACGGCTCGAATCGTTGACCCCCTTTGATTGGCCCAAAACTCAGTGATTGACACAAGAGTAAGCTACAATCTGTATACAACTCCATTTAGGTTATAGTTCGTGGTGTGCAGAGAAACCTTTAGGCTGAATGTAAAATATGTAAGGAGGCAGCTTTAGGCTACACTTAACACCCTAAAGAAATACTGAATAATGAGAAAAAGGGAGAAATATTAGAAAGACGAGGTGAATAAAGAAGGTCCCGGTATGATTAGTGTGTCTGGTGCCAGGAAGAGTTGCTCTGGAATGACTTCGTAAAGAAGTTGGTCCTTCGGCAACATTTTAAAGGGAAGCTAAGGGAAGATTTGTTCACAGTGGATCGAAATTTTACCAGGTGGGAGAAGACCCCATCTAATGATGTACAGCCCGAGGAGAAAAAAACCCCCTCAAAGGCAGTAAAGGTCACCAGTGTTCATTATTTGTGGGCAGTGTCGTCTTCGTGGCTTTTTGTAATAGGTCTTAATTTTAGCTTCATAGCCTGTTTAATCTTCTCCTGATATTCTGGGTTGATGTTTCGTAATGGCTCCCATTGCCAGTAGTAGAACCTGAAAACAAGGATCTTTCATATGCACACAGGTCTCTCGTGCCTTCATTCTACCACCAGGAAAAACATCCAGAAAGGTAATAAATTTGTGGAGAACAGCAGTGGTATGACTACTCATATTTCTGAAAATGAATGCTGTTGTAGGAAAGTTAGGAAAGTGGTGGAGATATTAGCTACAGCCCTACTGTCAGATTTGTACCCTGTAGCTTCATCCTCTTTTGAAAAGTCTTACAACAAACCCACCTGGATTTTGCGTTGCAGTGCCGTCGAGTACAGCTGAGTCATGGCAAGAGAAGAGGACAATTAGATAAGGGGTGCCTGACTATTAAAGGATCTGAAAAGCACTAACCAGGGTATTATGCAACACACAAGTGGAAACCGTTTCAGAGTGCCGAGGAAGTTATTAACAGGAGCAAAACAACATGTGAGGAGAGTGATTTTAGCTACAGTGCTCAAGGTAGATTGCAAGCAGCAGAAGTTGGGGATGAGATCATAAAGGACATGAATAAATGCATCTAGGCAATAAAGAACTGCACCCTTGAAATTTGTAAAGGAAAACCCATCTTGTATACAACAACCAGCTGTATACAAGGGAGTTAACGTTCTAAGGATGTGAGTACAATTAGCTAAGAGCATAAGTGGCACCATAAAGGCTGATGGAGACATTATGGGGAGAAAGATAGTGAATCTGATGTGTGGACATTCAAGGTGATAGATAAAAAGATAACATGAGTTTCAAGTAAGAACAGTACTTTGAAGCCTTGAGCACTTAGCAGCTTCCCGAGGATATGAATACATCAAAATTGGAGATTGGCACTGGCATTTATAACAGCAATTATTAGGAAAGTGAGTAGAGGGGGCTGGAATAGAGAAATCTCTAAAGAAGAGGCAGAGATGATGACCTGTGTGTGGAAAGAAGCAGAGAATTATTTTTGTGCTACTATTAAGACAAAATGCTAGACAAGGTTCAATTGTTGTTATAAATGTAATTTCTCTATATAATTTCATCATCTAAAATCAAATTAGCAAGTACTTTTTATTTAAGGGGTAATAAGAGTAGTCATCACACTATCTAGATAGCCACACACTATCAAAGCTTTAACTCTTCATGTTGACTCTGACTACGTTTATATAAAAGAATGAAATTCACATCTATAACTTTCTTTGCCTTAGAAAAGGCATTTTCCAGTTTTTATTAGTTGTGTGCAAAATGGAGCAAAAGAATGAGCACATGGCTGACATGAAGATATTTGTCTTACCAGTTAAGCAGTGTGAAAACTTTGCAATGACTAATTTCAGGCCCCAAATGCAGTGGTCTGGGGCTGTACCTCTGGGAGGACATTACTAGGCATTTTAACTGCATGGAGTCGGTAGGGCAAAGAACAGTGAGTGAGTTAAGAGTCCCGCGAAGCACACTTGGATGCAGCTTGAGAACAAGAGCAAGGGGAGCTGAGGGTCTGTTTTGTGTTATGTTCTGTGGTACCATCTGTATCTTTATGTTCCTTGGTCCCTGCTGGAACTTGTCACATGTTTACTCTGTTTGACGTCCCTCTCTGGTTTGTAATAGAGAATCTACATAGTCTCCAAAGCTGGTCGGGAGTGCAGTCCAGCTGCAAATCTTTGGTGATGGCAAGTCCCTGCTTGAGAGGACTCCTTGCCCGTCGGAGTCTGATCAACCCTGCTCCTGCAAAGAAACAGCCAGGTGTTGGGTGTGTTTGATGAAGTACAAGAGTCTCTGTTGGGCAGTCTGATTTTTCTGTTAAGAAAATACTAGTTATATGAATGTTCTGCTGTAGTCCACCAGCAGTTTTTTTTACTGTTCATCAAACATGAAAATATGTAAAGATAAAAATATTTTTACTAAATGATGAACAAATGAGTCAAAATATAAAATTGTTTATGTCCTGAACTCTTCAGGTATCAATTTCTCCTGCAAAATCATAGCTTGCATTGGCTTATGCCTTATACTTTCTGTCTATACGTGGACTTCGAGTTAGCCAGAGATGTAAAAGTTTTAAGTTTTCAAGCCATGGAGGTTAAGAAGGGATTTCTTGGATATATTTATTAGCTTGATTTAATAATTCTGCAGTGTATCCATATATCAAAGCATCACGTTATACGCTATAAATATATACAATATTTATTTGTCAATTATATCTTAAGTTGAGAAAGGGAAGAGGGATTTCTTGGTAGAAAAAAATGAAATTTTTAGGCAAGCTGATATATTTGCAGGCCCTGAATCAAGCAGCTATAAAGACCTTTAAGAATTTAAAATAGGCTTTGCATAACTGGATTTTCTCATGACATTTTGAAGAACTTTTTTCCTTTGAGTTTTCTGTTCCTCCTTTCCCCATTCATTGCATCACTATGATTAATATGATATTCTGCTCACTTAAATTCTAAATAACTTTTAGAAGCCTGAATAAATACTGAACTAGTGAACTTTAAAGCCAGATAGAGTTGCTATAAAATATTTTTCCCAATAGTTAAGCATAAATCTAAAGCAAGTTAGGATCATTTTTAATGAGAACTAACTTTGGGTTTGTACCCAGAATAAAATGTTTGCTTATACCACTCTGGGAAAGAAAGCGATAATTATGAATAGGTCATTTTTAGATGTCAGTGGCTTACTTTATGCTTATTAGTATATACTATATAGCTAATAAAAATAACTCTGTTTTCTATACCTTGCACGGGACCCAGCACAGTTACCAAGACATTATAGGCACTCCAAATACTTGGTTTTGATTTATCTCCTTTGAGTTAATATTCTTCCTTGGAGATTTAGAATAGGCAGTATTAGGCTAAGATTTAATCGGGTTTCTGATAGTTCATCTATTAGCCCAATACTCCGTGTGTGTGTGTGTGTGTGTGTGTGTCCTTACTGAGATTGCTACATACCAGGTTGTTCCCTTTCGTGGAAATGGTGATTATTCGTAACTGAAAGTCCTTTGTGGTTAGTGATAGTGATTTCACAGGACTCGGGTAAAACACACACGCAACGCCTGAGTGGTTTGAGCTAAAACCAATGAGTTGCAGTTTTGGAGGTTTTCTTGACTCATGACCTGGGGACTGTACCCACTCCTTGAACAGGTTTCAGATCAAGGCCTAGGAGCAAGAACCCGAGAGACCCATCTGCAGGCAAGCTGCAAGAGAATATCCTGCTTTTCCTCAGGATACTAGCCCTGCCCTCTGTTTAGGGCCAAGAATGCCAGAAAGACTCTGGGACCTTATTAAACTGAGCTGAGGGGGGAGATTTTATTCAAGTGTTGTCTATGAGATCTGTTAAGCCTTAGATTTCTTACCCAGAAAATGGGATGATTTGGTACTCAGCTCACAGGAGTTTAGGAGAATTAAATGAGATCAAGTATATGTGAGTGCCCTTGGCACAGTGAGTAGCACTTAGTAGGTGCTAAATAAACTGTTACAGCCAACAATTGTTAAATATTTTCATGCCAAGTATTGTGAAAAGACAGTGTTCGTCCTCAGAGTGTTCTGGGCTGAGAAATTGAGAAAGCCAGCGTATAATATATGAGGTGATGAGAGCTGTGATATAGCAAAGAACTATATGTACACACATATAGAACTATATACACACACACACATATAGTCACATGGGTGACTATATCATCAATGTATACATGAGCCCAGCAGAGGGTCCCTAATCACTTAGAGGAACCAAGAGACCTTCTAGAGACTTGAGTCTTGAGCAGGGCCTGAAGGAAACCAGTAGGAGTTTCTAGAAATAGAAAGGGGAGAAAAGCTTTCCAAGCAGAGGGACCTGCAAGGGCAAAAGCATGGAGGATTAGGAGCTCTCATTTGTTTCTTCCCTGCTAAAGTGCTATTGTCATTCAAACTTATGTAGGTCCAGGGCACAGAGAAGCAGCATGTGTGGTTAGTGGTAAAGCACACACTCTGTGCCACCAGACAGTCGTTTAGACCCTGGCCCTGCCAATGCTGTGAGTTGGGCAGATGGCCTAACTGTTCCACGTCTCAGGCTCCCTCATCAGCAAAATGGGAAAAGAACAGCAATAGCTACTCAGAGGACCATTGTGAAAATTTAAAGAGTCAATAAATTTAAAGTAGAAAGTGGACACTAAATATTTCATGTTAGAGTAAATGTTGTGATCATTTGAACCAGCATTTTCCAAATGCCTGCTCTGTGTAAAGCAAGTACACATTTTGGTGCCTTGGGAGAAACCAAAATGAAAAAGATACGGACTCTATCCTTCAGGAAATTTATAACCAAGAGACAGATGAATATGTAAACAACTAGCAATGCAGCTTGAAGTTAAATAATAGCTACGTGGAGGTTCAGACAATGTGTGGGAGCATCACCAAAAAAGAAATTTGTTCTGAGGAAGAGGAAGAATTCTTGTGAGAAGAGAGATTGTTGTAGAATTTGTGCCTAGTGCTCATTTTGACTTGCTTTGTCTTGGTAGTACGTGAATCAGGACAGGGACATCCGGGCCTGCTTTTGGCCCTGTTTCCTCACCGTGGCCGACTTTGTCTTGGCTTGTCTCTGGTCTACCTGGACAGTGTTCAAATGCTTCACTTAGAAATGAAGCTCGAGAGGTGAATAAGGTAGGTTTGATTTATCAGTTTTATTACTCAGCTGCTTGAGAGAAGTGCAGAAAGAGCAGGAGCTGAGGGCAGGTGGCACGTGGGGAACTTTATCTTCAATGAGAAGAAATCAGGCTACAGAGAAGTCCCCAGGCCCTAGCTGTAGAGCACATTCACATAATTGCCCTTGTGGCCATTCATGCTCCTGCCTCCCACATTCAGAGGAGTTCCCTCAGGTGTGCAGGATTTTCCCCCACCACCAGCCCCCAAGGACAGACCAGAGTGACGCCTGCATTGTGTTTTGGAAGTCGGGGCTGAGATGAAGGCAGCCCTTTCCTGCAGTGAAGGGGGACCCTGGTCTGCGCTCTACAAAAGAGACACCCCATGCCCAACCTAGGGGCTGCTGGCTCTTGAGTGGGAGGTTGGTGTCAATTGGCCCCCGGTGTCTTTGTCTTCCAAAAGTTGGGTCCAGACTATCCTATTTTTGCCAGAAATATCTCACAGGCAGTGGTCCAAGCCTGGCATAGTCTCATAGTTTCAGCTCTGATAAAGTGCCCTCCCCTCTTTATGGTCAGTCTGGTCCTGGAAGGAGAAGTGGTAAGTCAACTCTAATTCAGTTATGGTTGCCAGAAATCAAAGAAGTGAATGTGAGCTGCATCACCAAGTATTACAGAAGGCAGAAAAGGCAAAGCATGCCTATAAAATCTTTAACATGACAGCCTGGTTTTTACTCAGAGAAATTTAGGGAATTATTTTGAAATATTTCTGCATGATGGGGTAGTGGTTCGTTCAGCTGTGCAACTTGAGATCTTGGTTCTGTCACTTTAAGTGGCCTTGAGCAACCGGTTTCACCTCTCCAAGCCTTAGTTTCCCCATCTGTAAAATGGGCATGATAGTTAGTGGCACCTCCTCACAGGGTTAGAATGAGTGCTTAATGAATTGGTGTGTGTTAAGTGTTTGGAACGGTGCCCAACGCTAGTAAACTCTGTGCAGGTGGAGCTCTTACTCTTATGGGGTCACATCAAGAGATTTTTGGTGAATTTGTTTTCCTGCTGCCACACTGGGCCTATCCAAGGATATAATAGTGTCTTTGAGGCATTATCCAAGGCTTTTGTGAAATACAGGTCATAATATATATTTTTTCAGTTACTAGATTAGTAGTAGAAGTTCATTGGCTCTCAGGTCTCTGAGAAAGATAGCTGTACAGGTTCCTACCCAAATTCTGGAAAAGAGTAAATTATTTTCTCCTAATACTTTGCATACAAATATGAGGAAGAATCCCAGCCTGTGGTTTGTATGACCACACCTCTGTTTGACGTTCCCAAAGGCTGCTCTAGGGTGTGTGCAAACTGTGGCTATAAAGACAGATTTCTTTGATGGAGGCTTCCTTTTTAAAACTCAGACCAGCCTGATTCACCCCTGCCTGCCATCTGCTATGAAGTTTAAACAGCTTTGAGCTGAACACCTGTGTCTTTGTCTTGCTTTTTGCCTTGCTAAACAGGACTTGATTGGATTTCCCTTTTCAACACAATTGCCCACCTACACATCTACATTTCTGTGTTGCTACCTCATATGGCTTTGATCAACCTGTTCAGAAGAAATAGCCAGAATTTAAAGTATGAGAAAATAACATTAAAGTTAGGTAGGAAATTCTCCTTACACTACTTTTCTGTTTGTTTGTTTTTTAACAGCAGTGTGAAACGTCTGTGTTAAGATTATTAAAATATCTTCATTTTACCCGTTTGTAAGTGTGTCTGTTTAGGCTTTAAGGAAATAACTGAAGCCATTCTTTTCCCCCATATGCAGCTGGGTAACTTGTAATCTGCAAAATGGCATCAGAAGAATTAGGTAAAACACAGGAAACACAGGGAGCTAGAAGTCAGTGACCACAGACCCCTCCGCAGTGTGTATTAGTGGCAGTTCATGGAAGACCTAGACCAAGCCCCTTGCTTATTGGCCGTTTGATGTCGCTTCCTTGAGTAGACACTGCTGGGTATTCAGGGGGTTCCAAGTGAGCATGGAATAATGCCAGCGCTCAAGTGGCATATTAGTTAGTAGTGGAACATTCCACATCACTGTGATACAAGGTGGAGAGTAAGTGCCATGTGGGAATCAGTTGTGTTTTTCAGAACGTTTTTTTCTGTTTAATTTTTTATTATTATTATACTTTTAAGTTCTAGGGTACATGTGCACAACGTGCAGGTTTGTTACATATGTATACATGTGCCATGTTGGTGTGCTGCACCCATTAACTCGTCATTTACATTAAGTATATCTCCTAATGCTATCCCTGCCCCCTCCCCCACCCCACGACAGGCCCTGGGGTGTGATGTTCCCCACTCTGTGTACAAGTGTTCTCATTGTTCAATTCCCACCTATGAATGAGAACATGTGGTGTTTGGTTTTCTGTCCTTGCGATAGTTTGCTGAGAATGATGGTTTCCAGCTTCATCCATGTCCCTACAAAGGACATGAACTCATCCTTTCTTATGGCTGCATAGTATTCCATGGTGTATATGTGCCACATTTTCTTAATCCAGTCTATCATTGATGGACATTTGGGTTGGTTCCAAGTCTTTGCTATTGTAAATAGTGCCACAGTGACATTTGCGTTGGTTCCAAGTCTTTGCTATTGTCAATAGTACCACAGTAAACATACTTGTGCATGTGTCTTTATAACAGCATGATTTATAATCCTTTGGGTATATACCCAGTAATGGGATGGCTGGGTCAAATGGTATTTCTAGTTCTAGATCCTTGAGGAATCGCCACACCGACTTCCACAATGGTTGAACTAGTTTACAGTCCCACCAACAGTGTAAAAGTGTTCCTATGTCTCCACATCCTCTCCAGCACCTGTTGTTTCCTGACTTTTTAATGATCGCCATTCTAACTGGTGTGAGATGGTATCTCATTGTGGTTTTCATTTGCATTTCTCTGATGGCCAGTGATGATGAGCATTTTTTCATGTGTCTGTTGGCTGCATAAATGTCTTCTTTTGAGAAGTGTCTGTTCATATCCCCACTTTTTGATAAGGTTGTTTGATTTTTTCTTGTAAATTTGTTTAAGTTCTTTGTAGATTCTGGATATTAGCCCTTTGTCAAATGGGTAGATTGTAAAAATTTTCTCCCATTCTGTAGGTTGCCTAGTCACTCTGATGGTAGTTTCTTTTGCTGTGCAGAAGTTCTTTAGCTTAATTAGATCCCATTTGTCAATTTTGGCTTTTGTTGCCATTGCTTTTGGTGTTTTAGTCATGAAGTCCTTGCCCATGCCTATGTCCTGAATGGTATTGCCTAGGTTTTCTTCTAGGGTTTTTATGGTTTTAGGTCTAACATGTAAGTCTTTAATCCATCTTGAATTAATTTTTGTATAAGGTGTAAGGACGGGATCCAGTTTCAGCTTTCTGCATATGCCTAGCCAGTTTTTCCAGCATCATTTATTAAATAGGGAATTTTTTCCCCATTTCTTGTTTTTGTCAGGTTTGTCAAAGATCAGATGGTTGTAGATGTGTGGTATTATTTCTGAGGGCTCTGTTCTGTTCCATTGGTCTATATCTCTGTTTTGGTACCAGTACCATGCTGTTTTGGTTACTGTAGCTTGGTAGTATAGTTTGAAGTCAGGTAGCGTGATGCCTCCAGCTTTGTTCTTTTGGTTTAGGATTGTCTTGGCAATGTGGGGTCTTTTTTGGTTCCATATGAACTTTAAAGTAGTTTTTTCCAATTCTGTGAAGAAAGTCATTGGTAGCTTGATGGGGATGGCATTGAATCTATAAATTACCTTGGGCAGTATAGCCATTTTCACAACATTGATTCTTCCTATCGGTGAGCATGGAATGTTCTTCCATTTGTTTGTGTCCTCTTTTATTTTGTTGAGCAGTGGTTTGTAGTTCTTCTTGAAGAGGTCCTTCACATCCCTTGTAAGTTGGATTCCTAGGTATTTTATTCTCTTTGTAGCAATTGTGAATGGGAGTTCACTCATGATTTGGCTCTCTGTCTGTTATTGTGTATAGGAATGCTTGTGATTTTTGCCATTGATTTTTTATCCTGAGACTTTGCTGAAGTTGCTTATCAGCTTAAGGAGATTTTGGGCTGAGATGATGGGGTTTTCTAAATATACAATCATGTCATCTGCAAACAGGGATAATTTGACTTCCTCTTTTCCTTTATTTCTTTCTCTTGCCTGATTGTCCTGGCCAGAACTTCCAACACTCTGTTGAATAGGAGTGATGAGAGAGGGCATCCCTGTCTTGTGCCAGTTTTCAGAGGGAATGCTTCCAGTTTTTGCCCATTCAGTATGATATTGGCTGTGAATTTTAGACCAATATCCCTGATGAACATCGATGCAAAAATCCTCAATAAAATACTGGCAAACCAAATCCAGCAGCACATCAAAAAGCTTATCCACCACGATCAAGTTGGCTTTATCCCTGGGATGCAAGGCTGGTTCAGCATATGCAAATCAACAAATGTCATCCATCACATAAACAGAACCAAAGACAAAAACCACATGATTATCTCAATAGATGCAGAAAAGGCCTTCAACAAGATTCAGCAGCCCTTCATGCTAAAAACTCTCAATAAACTAGGTATTGATGGGACGTATCTCAAAATAATAAGAGCTATTTCAGAACATTTTAAGTGCTAAGTAATGTTCGTAAGGGCAAAAGGCTTATCCATGCGGCAGCATCAGGAAAGGTCATGGGGAAAGGGGAGTTAGAATTGGATCTTGAACCATGACAAGGATTTAGGCAGGTAGAAATGGGGAGAGAGTGTGCTAAGTAGAGCAAAGAGGATGAGAAAAGGGCACCAATACAGGTGCTGGGGGCACCAGCAGCACTGTGGGAACACCAGTTCTTAGTGTGCTACTGCAGGGTTATGTTTATTGCACATTTTTCATTTAAATACCTTTAGAATTGTCTCTGCTTATTTTTCAGTCAAAGCATTAATCACCATTATTAATATGTTAGCCCGTCTGTTCTCGCTAAGGTGGTGTTACCTTTCTCTGAAGAAGGTCATGCTGTAGCTAGTGGTGTCAGTGGGTTGGACGCAGGCATTGCCAGACTGCAATGGTGTTAAGCCACAGTAGCCATTTCCTATTAATCACGTAAAGAAATGAAAATCAAATCTGACTGGACTGTTGCTCCATTTTCTCAAAACAGGAAGGTTTCTATAGAAAACGTCCTTTCCCGTTACTGAAGGTTGCCTGGTTTACAAGGTCCTGTGGTTTTAGTACAGATGTGTTTCCTTGGACTAGTTTGCTTGTATCTTTCAGAGTTTATGCTGCAGCTTCCCCACTCCCTTCACAGATGGGTGAGCCCATATTGGCCCAGCACTAAACTCTTAGGTAAAGTCTTCACTCCATGCACAAAAGAAGGGCATAGTTTGAGTGTCATTTTTAAGGCCAAGTCAGCTCTCTACATACTTAAAATATCTACAAGCTTTTACCTGAAATGTGCAAACAAAAGGTTATTCAAATAACTGAAGACTGTTACAGTTACATAAGTCTGTGGTTTCACACCTTCTGTTTATTTAGTATTAGGTTGGTGCAAAAGTAATTGCTATTTTTGCGCCAACCTAATTAATTGCAAAAACTGCAGTTACTTTTGCACCAACCTTGGTATTTACCAAAGATGACATGCATTCATCTCTCTTGAGAAATTGTCCATGGGCTTAACTCTGTGTTTCACCTTCCTAGTAAAGCATTTCCTTGACTATTCCTGTGCTCCTTAACTATCCTTTCCTTCTCCCTCTTGCGTTTTCTTGTCTTCTGCCCACATTTGCCATTCCTGCCCAACCCCATTTTCTTACTCTTCCCACCTCCCCACTTATAGACTGTGATCCTCTGTCCTTCTGGATGTCTGGCTCTACTTTCCCCATTTTCACCCCAAAGTCGTTCATCAATCTAGTTCATTTACTGGATGTTAATTGAGAGCTTACTCCTTGCTGATGACATGCATGCTGTTGAAGAAATGGGTTTTCAGAGGCAGCCCTTGGGTGAGACAAATAAGTACACAGCCAATTGCAAGGCATAAGTGCTGGTGCAGCTGAAATTCTGCTGCAGAGGGTGGCAGAGGCTTAGCAACCCACGGAGGATGGGAAGATGAAACCTGTCCTCGCCAAAGCCCCTCCTGGGGCTGCTTTTCCACCCGCCTCCATCTGCCCTCTTCTCCATGGCATTCAGTACAGACCTCTGTTTTGGTGTAATACTTATTAGACAATATTGTACTGAGTCCAGCCAGTTCTCTTTAATAATTGTATACCTTGCAGATAGAACACATCCAATAAATTGTGACTTCCCTGGAGTTAATTTTCTTTGCAGTAAAGCGAGACTGGTGACTTAGAATTGTTGTCAAGGGTTTTCTAGCTGAAAAAAAAAAATATTGTCAGCTAAAACAAGTACATATTTGTATTGAAAACGACATAGATGTTTTCTCTTTAGTTTGTGATTATAGGGACATAGTTTGAAAGTGAATTTCTTCAATAAGATTAATTTCCAAAAAAAAAGTTATTTTGTTTCATTTTTGCTGGTTTTGAATGCAACTGTTTGTTACCAGTGCCAAAACAGTGGATGTGAATGAAATGTATAGTCAGACGGAAATTTCACGTCACTGAGTGGAATTTCACCCTTCTTTAAAAGTCTCCGCTTTCTGCCTTAAAAAAAAAAAAAAGAAACTAGACTAATTGTTAAATTGTATGTGCAAACTAATGCAATTTAGTGACCTTCTCAAAAATCATTTTGAAGTGATTTCAAGAATTCTAAGAAAAAGATCTAGGCTGTTTCTAAATTTAGTAGCCCATGATTTTTAAAGATTTCAACCCTAGGTCCTTGGGGCTCATAACAATCAGTAGATAACCTTTTTTCCTTAACATTACAAGAAAAAATGTAATTTTTAACTCACAGTAATTTTTTTTTTTTTTGAGACAGAGTCTCGCTCTGTTGCCCAGTCCGGAGTGCAATCTTGGCTCACTGCAACCTCTGCCTCCCAGGTTCACGCGATTCTCGTGTCTCCGCCTCCCAAGTAGCTGTGTTTACAGGCACGCATCACCATGGCTAATTTTTGTATTTTTAGTAGAGACAGGGTTTCACCATGTTGGCCAGGCTGGTCTCAAACTACTGACCTCAGGTGATCCACCCGCCTCAGCCTCCCAAAGTGCTGGGATTACAGGTGTGAGCAACTGTGCCCAGCCAACTTGCAGTAATTCTTATTAAACCATATCTAATGCATGCAAGAGCTCCAAAAGCATTACTGGGTTTTCTCCACCACAAGTGGCTGTTTCAGCTCTTGAGAGTTGTAAATTAAAAGTAGCTCCCTGTTAGCCTAGGGTTCTATCTCCTACATAGACTCTTGTCATTACAGGTGTTGTGTGAGTCTTCAAAAGCCTGCCTTGATTATTTTTTCCATTTTATTTTCCATTTTCTTGGGAAATGATTGTGTTTTATAAGCTTAATTCAGTTTGGCAAATATTTTTCACTTACTGTTTGGGCAAGCCCTGGAAGGCACTTTAGGAAGATCAAACATACACACCATTTAACTAACCATCAATGTAAGAAAGACTGTACCAAGTAAAAATTTTAAAGCCAGATTATTTTATTTCTGCTTTCATGAATTTCCAGTGTAATGGAGAAGATAAGAGAAATAAGTAAGCATGTATCTGGCCAATTACTTATATGTTTTATAGAGTTACAGACATAATTATAAATCAGGTAGGTTAGGGAGATACAAGTTTCATTTAAGAAATGAACTGTAGGGGAAGGTAGTGGGGAAGAGAGGGATCAGGAGAGGTTGGCCAATGGGTACAAAGTTACAGTTAGGAAGAATAAGTTCTGGTGTTTTGTTGTACAGTAGGGTGCCTCTGGCAAACAACAATGTAGTGTATACTTTTAAGATAGCTAGAAGAGAAGATTTTGAATGTTATCACCACTAAGAAATGATCAATGTTTAAAGTAGTAAATACAGTAATGACCATGATTTGATCATCATGCAATGTATACACTCATTGAAACATCACACTGTACCCCATAAATGTGTACAATCATTATGTCAATTATAAATATTAAAAATTAATTTTAAGAAGAAACGCAGAAAAAAATGTTAACAGTGTTCTAAAGGAAGGGACAGTTGCATCGGAAAGACTTGGAAATGTGTAAGGTGACAGTCAAGAGAAATGGGAGTTTATGGTGACCGAGTAGGATATGGATCAAGGTAACCACCAGCAATGGGTGTGAAGCATTGCATATGAAAGGCTAGTTAACAGGATGTATTTTAAATAGACCAGGTTCTTGCCCTGTATTTACAAGTGATGATTTTTAAAACATTTAACTTTCCGTATTTTTTGCATAAATGATACATGTTCATGGTTCAAAATTTTAAAGTACAAAATGGTATAGACTGAGTGATAAATCTCCTCCTCACTCCAGCTGACCAAATCCTTTCCCTGAAGGCAGTGAAGTATCTTCATAAAACTTTTTCTGTTATTTACATATATAGAAATATGTTTTATCCTCTTTGATGCAGATGGTTACATGCTCCAAGTCCATAATTGCTATCCAAAACTTTTTGGGTCCAGATATGTTTTAGAATTCAGAACTGGATTTTAGAAAAGCAACATGTTGCATATAATGCAGATTACATAATATCCCCAGGGGGTCTGAGCACACCAAGTAATCAGACACATTAATTCTCCAGGGAAACTGAATAATCACACTAGGTGGGATAAAGAAGAATCATAAATAGCCTCATGTCAGTTGCATTCAGGTGTTACTGTCAAGTTTTGACACTAAATTTATAAAAAGGAAATATTGATTTTTAAAGCTTTCAAGATCTTGGAGTTGCAGATAAAGGATTCTAGCTCAGAAAACACTGCATCCTAGGCTTTTTTTTAATTTAATAATATACTATATATTGGATTTCATTCCATATCATTACATAAAGAGCTTCCTCATTCTAGAAGTAGTACCGGCTCACATGCTAGACTTCTAGAAAATATTTTAAATACATATAGTATTTATATGTAGTATTTATATGGAAAAATTCATAAAGTAGATATAGTATTTATATGGAAAAATTCATGTATATGTGTGTGTATGTGTGTATGTGCAGTTAATAGCAGAATCAGGTCTAGATCAAGTCACTAACTTTGAGTGTAAGGCTCTTTACAACACCATAATGCCTGTTGGTTTAAAAAAAAATCTCCAGTTAGAAATAGTAACCATAGGCTAGGCGCAGTGGCTCACGCCTGTAATCCCAACACTTTGGGAGGCTGAGGTGGGTGGATTACAAGGTCAGGAGTTCGAGACCAGCCTGACCAGCATGGTGAAACCCCATCTCTACTAAAAATACAAAAATCAGCCAGGTGTGGTGGCACCTGCCTGTAATCCCAGCTACTCAGGAGGCTGAGGCAGGAGAATCACTTGAACCCGTGAGGCAGAGGTTGCAGTGAGCCGAGATTGCGCCACTGCATTCCAGCCTGGGTGACAGAGTGAGACTTTGTCTGAAAAAAAAAAAAAGAAAGAAAGAAGAAATAGTAACCATACCAGCACATACCGGTCTATGAAAAAAAAAAAAAATGCAGCTTAGCCAAGCTAGTAGAGTAGTAATATACAATATTATAATTTGTTTAGTGTTGGGGGAAAAAAGCCTTAAGAACTAGAACTCAATTTGTATTATTCCTTATGAGAATTCTTTTGCCAGGTAAACATATTCAGATTTATTTATAATATCATTATCTTTATTCTTTGTAGGAAAGTTGCTAGTCGGAAAGGCTGTTTCAATAATGGAGACGCTTTTTTTAATTGGTGTGTCAGCAGATGACTGAAAGGAGAAAGCCTTGTAATAGCATGCACAGTTGTCACCGTGCACCGGTGTTTCAGCAGAGAAGTCTGACTAAATAAGGCAATGCCCAAGTGAGCCTTATCAGCGTTTGACCGGAATACAGGCTAGCTAGCTGACATACACCACCCAGCCACTCTCTCCACAATTCCTTAACTTCTCAGCAGATGTGCATTCATCACATCAAAAGTTACTACCTACAGTGCTGGAAGATGTTGCACCTGCATTTTATTTTATAAAAATTTGAATAAGAATGACACATAAGTCTCAAGAGAGGATAAAGGAGAGAGTTCAGTTTACTGTTCCAAAAATGTGTTATGCATGTAAGCATACTTATTTTTAGTGATGTGTCAATAGAGAGTTTGTTTAGGAGTTCATTCACCAGCCCTGGCTCCTGAGGGCTTTTTCCCCAACCACCACAGCCCTCCCCAGCTGGCCTGAGGTTAAGAGACAGGAGGACTCCTGGGTCCAAGGGAAGGAAATTTGCAATCACTGCCACCCCTTGAATCTCCTGGGTGGAGGGGAGGAATGTAAGGAAAAGGAGAAAGTCTCAGACTTTAAATCCCATCCAAGCGCTACTTGCCACTGTTCTTTTCATTTCCTCCATCTCTTTGCTCTGTGGTGTTTATATTCTGCCAGTCTATATATTTATAAAAAGAAAAAGGAGCATTTTTTATGGGACTAAATCCAAGAGTTCAATTCTAATGCCAACAAGTACCACTTTCAGTGTATGTTAGTATTCAAGCTGCAATCTGGGCTTCTAATCAGGGCTTGGGGAGGGGGAGCTGTGTGTGCACTCAGCACGCTGTTAAAAGAAGTTTCTGAAACTGATGATTGTATATTATGCCACTATAAGATAAAAATAGAACTAAAAGATTAAAATGAGTGTGTGGAGCCAAAGCTCTGAGTTAGATTCATAACTTGTATTCATCCTCTGCCTACCTGTATTTCTGCCCATCTTTCCTCCTTCTCACCTTCCTTTCCCTTTTCTTAACCTTTCAGTGTAGAAGGTTGATGTCATCACAGCCCTCAGTTTCTGGCTTTCTGTATGCAACCATCAGTGCAAGCCCCTCTCTTGTGCTCCCTTTTTCCCATTCCCCTCTATAAGCACTCAGTAATATGTTTATTATATGTCATTGATTATGTAGACATTGAAAAATGTAGTGTTGTTTTCTATATTTTTAATTTATATAAATGACACTATGCCACACAGGCCATTTTCTTTTATTTATAATTTAAAAATATATATTTAAGATATTAATAACATTTTATATTTTACATGCATTTTAAGTTGTATTTATATGTACTTTCTGCCACTCAGCACAGTTTTAAGATTTATCCATGCAGCCATATGTACCCCTGGTGCATTCTGACTGCTGCATGGTAAAGTCTACATACACGTTTTACTCGCTGCTCCCCTAATAACCCCTAACACCCTACTGTCACAAGCATTGCTACAATAAACACTGTTTAACTGTGTTTTAAAAGTCAAGATGCCCTTCATTAAAATACCTCTAGTAAAATATTATACCCATTTAAATTCATTTATTATGTTTAAATGACACATATAATTGTACATATTTATAGAGAACAGTGTGATATTTTGATACATGTATACAATGTGTAATGATCAAATCAGGGCAATTAGGAAATCCATCACTTCAAACGTTTATCATTTCTTTATGTTGGAAACGTTCCCGGTCCCCTCTTGTAGCTATTCGAAAATGCATAATGAATTGTTAACTATAGTCACCCTGTAGTGCTATAGAACACTAGAATGTATTTCTCCTACCTAGCTGTAATTTTGCCTCAGTTAACCTCCTCTGGCTATCCTCATCTCCCTCCTAACTTTCCTCACCTCTGTTAACCACTATTTTACTCTCTACTTCTATGAGATTAACTTTTTCAGCTTCCGCAAAAGAATGAAACCATGTGGTATTTACCTTTCTGTGCTTGGCTTATTTTCAAATATATACATTCTAAAACTCTTAATTTAAAATGTTTTCCTGCAGTTGAAAAGACTGTTGGTACCCACCTCAGCATGCATATTCGTGACATCTCTATCCTAATGGCACAGAAAAAAACTTAAAGCTTTCCAATAGGGTATGGAATACATTCTGTGGTTGGGCAGATCGCTCCAAGTGTAATATTTTAGAATAAAATATTCACACATCTTTTGAATAACAGCTTTGGGTCTTTGATAGGGAAAACTTGGTGGAAGGTCTAGACTAGTAGGCATGCAAGGGGGACTAATCTTTTTCACACTCAGTGAATATCTCAGTGATTTAAGGTAGTGGAGTGTGGGAAGAACACATGCTTTGGGGTCAGGCAAAGTCTTGACTCCAACTTGGGCAAGTAAATTAACTTCCCTGATCCTTGGTGTCTTCATCAATAACTTTAGGATACTGATAGGGAAATCAAAAGGATTAGGTAGGTTCATGTATGAGCTGGATCTTATGTAATGCCTGATGCATAGTGATCCTTCCAACACAGGGAACTATGGAACATTTGGAAAGTCTCCTAAACTCAGGTTGGATTAGACAGCTTCTTAAGCGTGTTTCCGAGAGCCAGTTTGGTCATTTCTGCGTAGCCTTTCCCCATCTTCCAGTCTGTTATAATGTCAAAGGTGGCTGCCATTCAGCTCTCCTGGGAAGGAAGAGGCTGGCAGTGGGTGGTACCAGTGATTGTAAGAAAAGGGCAGGGTGTGGGAGGGGGAAATCCAAGAAGATTTATCCCATGACCTAAGATCACAGAAGTATGAATGTGAGGGGATAGTTGTGGAATGAGTCAGGTCAGGGTTGGGGTAGCTCCCACTAACCACACAGGACAGATGAGAATGAATCTGGAACACATCACAGTGATCCCCAGGCTTGGAGTTTGGATTCCCTGCAATCAGAACTCTTAGCATCTTTTACAGACTCTCATGAAAATGAAATGTTCATATCAAACATTAGTTAGAAAGTTGTCCATAGTAACTTGTTTCTTAAAAAGTACGAGGCTATTTCAAAATGTGTGTTGGGTACTAAGGCTAGGTCTGTCCAACTGAAATAATTGGGTAGACACATCTGTCCACTTAGTATTTTCATCACTCTTAACCAAACTGGCTCACTGAGGGATCAGTAGGATTTTTGCTCCTACTATATTAAGGCAAGACTTACATGTCCAAGTAACCACTGGTAACATTCTGATCCAGGGAGGATAACAGTAAGCAGAGCTGGTTTAGCAATGCTAGTTAATTTCCAGTTGATTATTAGTTTTATCTGTAGCTTGCAGAATTGATAAAAATCTTCTTTATCTGAAAGATCAATTTAGTGAAAGTTCATTTTAAGACTTTAAATACAAAAGTTTAAGTTGTTTAAGACTTAAACACAAGAACCAGTAAAATAAGCAAACAAGTAGCACAAGTTGGCAGATATTTCCCCATAACATTTTAATTATTTCCAGGTGAAAGACAGAACCACGCGGAGGAAAGAACATGAGCTGAGTCATTGAACACACTCAGGTTTAGTCCTGATTCTGCTGTTTATTGGTGTGTACTTTGGACAAACCATTACCTGCTGGAGCATATTTCCTTATACATAAATTAGAGCGAATAATAACCTTGCAGAACTGTTGTGAGAGTCCAGCATAATGATTTGTTCATAAAGTGCTTAGCAAAGTTCCTAAAATATAGATGCTCCGTAATTGCAAGGCAGGCAGTATGATATGTGTGTATTATTTGAGTGTATATTTTCATGCATGCTATAGTCTTATATAAATATTCAGTTTTTAATTTCCACATTTTTGAGAACTTAAGATAGATTTTTGATGTTAAATTTAACTCTAAAATGTCTTCTGGTTAGTTACCCTCTGGTGTGCTGAATCCACAGTAGACAATGTGTCGCCGTCTTTCCTTTCCTCCTCAGTTTCCCTGTTATCCACTTTTCTCTGTGCTGTTCCTTCCCTTCCTGCCTCCCTTCTTCCTTCCCACCTCCATTCATTTCATCACTAATAAGAAAGGTGAATGTGTCAGTAGAATAATCAAAAATTAAAAACCAATATTATGTGAACCATCTGTCTGCTTTGCTGAAGAGTAGGCCAGTTCTTGGAAGTCAAATTTAAAATGGCCATTTCTGCACATAATGAGTTCTTACCCATGAGGATGGCAAAGTCCCCCAAGTTTTCACCACCTCACAGCTGAGGAGGTGATACCTTTTGCCCAGTCCATTAGGGATATTTGTACTTTGCACCCTGTATGGTTCTATTATGATGCCTCCTACCATGCACTTATAAAAATAATCAACTATTAATCCTCGAGTGTTATGTTAATATACATAAACATCTATTGCTAGACTTTGCAATCTACAGTTACAAATACATATAACTTCATTTTTTACTTACTACAGATTTCATTGCTGTGCATAGTCCATTATTTAAGATTCTTTATCATTCAAATGATAGGAAAGTTTAGTTAGAAGGTATATTTGCCTCTCCTTTGTTGAATCTGATACCTCTATGCTTATTTACCAAAGCAAAAAAATTCAAATTTAATATGAAGACTATCATCACTAAATAACAAGAGGTCTAGTTTTTATTTATACAAATAAATGAATTTATTTAAAAATAAAATGCAGCTACCACAACTATCGAATATTCAAGTTGAAGGGAACTTTAGAACTCTTTAGTTTTCCAGTGGTTTTCAAACTGTGTTCCTCAGAATTCTTAGGTTTTATTGAAGGGCTGTTGTTGGAGGCAGGGGAAAGCCAAGGGGTGAAGATGGGTAACTGTAAGCCAGAACATACACACTTTTATCTGCTTTTATAGCAAGGGGAGAGAATATGTTAGATTTTTGTATAAGAAGTGAATTGGAATTGCGGTATTTCTCACCCCTTAATTTTACAAATGAGGAAACGAATATATCACAGGTAGATAGAAGGCCCTAGGCCTAAGTAGTGAGGAGTCTGCAGTAGAAGGAATCCATTCTCTTAAGCCCCTATGCAGAGCTGCTACTCCACCCATGCTCAGCCCCCTAGGAACCTAAGATCCCAGCTGCTGCCAGTGTCAGGAACACAGAGGGAATAAAGTCTGGCAGCCCTGGTTTTAGGACTAAGCAGGTTGTGTTGCTTCCGAGGAAGTAAAAACTGCTGGGAAGTCTTTGATGTCATCTTCTGCTCCACTTCCCAATTTACCTCTTGTTTATTTTCAAACCTTAAGCCTAGCATTAGGTAAAAATTACTGTTGACAACATTTTAGCTCAGCTCCCAAAGAAATTGGATCCATATGGGAAATGTTGAACAAAGTTGAGCTAAGTCAGAGTCCACCTCACACCAGGTCTTTGTTTCTCAAGGAATGGTAGAGCCTTGGGACCCTAGACAAGAAATGTCCTCTGGCCAGCCAGATACTGAATCAGAAATAGGGACATGGTGTTTCCACAGCCACATACCAGTGTTTCCAGAGTGGAAAGAGTGGCCTTGTGGGTTGTGGCAGCTTCTAACTTAAAATGATGCTGTGTGTGTGTATGCGTGTGTGTGTGTGTGTGCGCGCGTGTGCGTGTGTGTTTCTGTGTGTGTGTGTGTCTGTCTTGCTTCATAATTTACAAAACTTACACATATCCCTAATTATATTCCCATACAAACATGTTGGCAATACCACTTCCACATCTCCAAGACTTTTAAGTGGTCTGCCAGAGTCACACAGCTTACAAATGGCAGAACAGGACCCAAATCCAAGTCTTTGACCAGCACCCCATTAAGTCTCTGCTGTCCTATTTCTCTGTCATCGCTCATGAAGGGAAAAGGAGTTTGGCACAACGTATTACCTTAAGCTTGGTTACTGTTTCTGGTAGCATTTTACAAAGGTACATAAGTGCATTAGTCCGGGTCAATCACCCAAGCCAACACTGTAACTCCCTTAGCCTGTTGACTAAAAGGTAGGAGGAACCCAAAGTGTGCAGGTGGCAATCTTAACTTCCAGTTTAATGGAATTGTTGTGTCTTCTGGTGGCAGCATTCCTCCTTCTGGAACTAAGACCTCTAGGCCAGCAGAATGTAATGTCACGGGAACAGGAAGCAAAAATTTTGCTAGTGGATCACTAAGGGTGATGGTGAGTGGGGCCTCTTCCACTTCCCCTGCTTGATTTCTGGACCAGTGAATCCTGGCTATGGGAAAGACAGTGCCATGTATTAGACTTACAGTTCCACATGGCTGGGGAAGCCTCACAATCATGGTGGAAGGCAAGGAAAAGCAAGTCATGTCTTACATGGATGGCAGCAGACAAAGAGACAGAGCTTGTGCAGGGGAACTCCTCTTTTTAAAACCATCAGATCTCATGAGACTTACTCACTATCACGAGAACAGCATGAGAAAAACCTGCCCCCATGATTCAATTACCTCCCACCAGGTCCCTCCCACAACACATCGGAATTCAAGATGAGATTTGTGTGGGGACACAGCCAAACCATATCAATAAATATCACATATATTGCCTCTTTTTGTTTAGAAATGGGAAATAGGATTTTATATTCATATTTTCTTGTATATACTTAAAACTCTGGGAAAATCCTTTTGCTTAACAACAACAAAAAAAGCAACACTGGTTAGCTATGGCTGGGTTGATATCAGGGTGAATGGGAGACTCTTCCTGTTTTTTTTAATATATCTTTGAGCCATGTGAATATATTACTTATTTAGAAACTTATTTTTAAGTTATTAATCAAATGGATAAATATTCTCTGCATGCCATTGAATGCTCATTCTTTGCCCAGCATTGCCTGTATTTTCTGTTGTTAGGATTTATGTATACATCTGTGAGCCTCGTCTAGCCCTAAGAGGTGGGTTCTACCACTATTCACGTTTCACAGATAAGAAACTCAGGCACAGTGAGGCTAAGTAACTTACCCTGGGTTACAGGCTAGTGAGTGGTGAGAGCTGATTCACATCCAGGCAGTCTGATTCCAGAACCCATGCTTTTAACCACCATAGAAATGGATTGGACAAACAGCAAGAAACTCAACTTTGGCTGTGTTCCAATATGATGTAAGAGGGACTTTGAGTTTGCCACTTCTGAAGTCTGTGAATCCTAAATAATGTGTCTACATCTGTAGTCCAGGGAGACTAAAATTCCATTATGCTTATCTAATCCAAGGATTGCAGGTATGCTGTGGTTGTAACAATATGCTGTAGATTGAGGTAGCCGGCTTTTCAATGCCAAATATTACAGGTGCCAAGACAGCTAAGGACATGCCGAGGGCAGTGGGTGGGAAGGGAACAGTGAGGGCCTCCAGATGGCGGGAGCACAGCGGGGACCAGGATGGGATGGCAAGTGTGGCCTCAGGGTGGCTTTGCAGGCAGAGGGCTTCATATGCCACCCCAAGATCACAAAGTGCTTGCTAGAGCGGGTTTGGCCTGCATCACCTGCTGAAACCTCAGTGAAAGAGAACAAACAACACTGGCAACACTTCAACATCTTACAAGGGCTTAAGGGAGATGTTGAAACTTCGTAAGTTTTTTATCTTTAAGTAAAATAATGTGAAAAACTAGTGTAGCTAACAATCACTTGTTACATGGTATGGTCGATTATACTCTTATTTAAACTAAAAACTTCATCTCTTAAAAGGTCATTATATGCAAGAATCAACTCATACAATAAGGAGAACTGTATATATTGATTTGAGAAAAATTTTAAAAAGTCATTTGGAAGAAAATGTTCATCTTTTATTAATTCAGATGATGTGGAAAACCAAGGATTTACAGACAGAATGGACAGAAAGACCACCATAGGAAAAATCTACAGCTCGACTAGGACAGTGGGGTGGGATGCAGGTGTGCATGTGCAGTTCTTACCTTCAGGTCACCCTTGCTTCCGCCACTCACCAACTGGTGGCCCAAGGTAGATGACAGATGTTATGCAGAAACTTCTCAGATAATGCTAGTTAAACCTGGCATATAATAAGCACTCGGTGTTAACAGTAATTATCATTATTGTCAATACTTATTTGATTGACTTAATATCGTCAGTGTATCCCAGGTATTTATATTTTTGCAATGGTAGTACTTTATAGGTTGCAAATCATTGACTAGGAAGAGTCTGCCACTCTCCTTTATATATTGTCCTGTTACTGCCACATAGAGGCGAGAACCTGGGACTTGACCTCCATGTTACAAAGGGCAGAGTTCACAGGTCATCTCCCTGCTCCTGCCTTCACAGCCTCAGATCAACCTGTTGTTCAGGATGAGTGGAGCACGGTCCTATGGCTAGTGTAGACATCTGGGACCTGTTCCATCTGTCACGACTCTTTTACCTAAAAACCTTGACCTGTGCCCCTTTTTTCCAGCTCCCAACACCTATGGTTTTATGTGTCCATTTAATGTTAGTTTCTCTCCTGGCCTCCTTAAAAGAATATACACTTTCTCTTAACTTCTCCTTTACCCTCTTATTCCTAGAAATAATGACCCATAACCCTTTCATTCATTTAAATCTTAGAGCATGTATGAGCTATATGTGTGCTTCTAGTTGATAATATTACAGGGAAGCATACAATATAATCAAATTCGAACCATAATTAGGAATATTTTTAAAAATATTTTTAAAAGCTCAATAATAACCACTTAGATTGTTTTTTAAGGCCAGAATTGGTCTCTTTCCTGATTTGATTCTGACGTAAGAAAGAGGACTCAGAAACCTTTCTCCCCATTCTCAGAGCAGGGGGTGGGGAAGTGTGTCTGCCTCATATCCTTGTTCTGTGAAGAAAAACTGATGACTGTTACATTAAAGGATTGGAAGTTCCTTTAAGGACGTTATGCTCCCATTGTCTGTTGTGATGTAGCCACAGTGGGCTTCCAAGGCAGGTTCTTGATCCAGATTAGTGAATACACAACCTCTTGCCAAGTGCAGTTCTGCATAGTTACGGTGAAAGAGCCGCTCACATTTTTCGTTGTCATGCTGGCTTTAAGAATGAGCTTAAAGAAACATCTTAGAAAAAGAAAAGAAAAACTAAGAAGACCTTAGGTAATTTTCTTACTTAAAAGAATACCAGAGAGCTTGGGAAGGCATTCAGGAAAGAAGATGACATCTTGTTTATTGAAATCTGGAATTCGCTCTCTGAAAGCTCAGAGCACTAAGGGTAACATGGGATTTATTTGGGGTTGTGTTTTCATGATATTCAAAGCGTAATTATATTCAGTAACATGTGCCCTCCAGTAAAAACAGACATCTCTGTTTTGATCCATTTTCTTCATCTCTGTTTTGCTACTATGTAGATAAGTTTGAAAGTCTGTATCCCTGACTACATGTAACCAAATAGTCTGTGAATGGTCCCTCCTGTGTTAGGGACATTTAAAAGTGGCTTTGAATTAATTCAAGTCTAGGTGGATGAAGACTTTTTTTTAACTTAACATTTCTAAGATGGTTTTCCTGCTTATTCCAGAAAACAAAAGCCCAGTCTGTTATTTACTACTTGCTTGGGTAGTAATGTTTATTCAGCAAAAAATCAAATAAAAATTTGGCTGACAGTAGGAAAATTCTCATAGCCCAGGCAGGCAAAATAAACATCTTAAAAGTAAATAGGCCGAAACCTTGGTTTCTATACTAAAATTCCTCCAGATCTGCTAGGTGAATATGATCATATAATTTAAGCTGGATTTTAATTCCACTGCCAGCAAAGTGAAGATGTTAATATCAGCATCATGTGTGTTAGGTCTTTAGGCAAAAGTCCTAGACATGTAAAATATTTCCTCAAAAGTTAACTGTCTTCTGATTTTTCATGATAGAGGGATAATTCTGGCTTTAGGTCAACTTTGAACTGTGAAAGTTTACAAGCCCTCAACAGCTGTTCTCTAGAAAGGTGTTTTGTACATTTTATGTAATTTTTAATGATTCAGGGCATTTCTGACCTATTTTTCTTCTCGAAGCAACAGTATAACTCCAGGTAAGAGCTTATACCCTCTGTCTAGCACAGACGTGTCTAAACTAATGGCAGTGGAGGAGGCAAAAGGGAGGTGCAGCTTAGAACCAAATGTTCTTAGAACGTCCACATCTAAAAGCTCAGAAACATGAGAAAGCTGGCTTTTTTATGTGCGTGCAGTTTCTTGTAAGCTTCTCTCAGTAAATGTATTATACCTTACAAAATTTATATCTGGAAATTGGTCTTTGAAAAAATTATTCTATAAATATTCCAGCCGTGCTCAGCTGGAGCCAGAAAGCATCTTTACTTTTCCTTTCATTATTGTTCACGTTTCTCAATTCAGTCTCTTAAGTTTTTGGTGACTGCTCTACAGTCCCTGCCATGGCTCATTTCTCCCAGAAAACGCCCACTGCCCCACCTATTGGGTGGTAAACACCTAGGAAGCGGGGAGTGGGAGTCAAGCCAGGGTGTGTGGTACAGAATCTCACAGCTTGATTCAGAGCCAGAGCACAATTGGATTATGTCAAAAAGGGAAAAGGTGCCACATGCATTTGCCGTGTTTCTTCGCAGAGCAGGCCAATTTAAATATAGCCTACTACCACAACTTGTCCAGAATTAAAATAGCCCAGAACAAGTGGCAAATGGCAGGGAGTGGGGCTTCTTGCCAGGAGATGGCTAAGGGACGGGAAAAATGGGCTTTTGAGAGAGGTTGTAGAGGCTCAAGTAACAACAGAAGATAAGACACCTCCTTCATAACTTAAACTTCAGGTCAACATAAGGTCCCAGGGCATAAGAAAGAAGACTGGTTAAATCACTCAAAAGCTTAGAAGGGTATTTCAAAAACTGAATAAAAATGCGCTATATTATTTTTAAAATAAAATCGGGTTACTGAATTCCAGTTTAATGATTTCTTACCAAGAGGCAAGGACAGTACCATTCCAATTAGGTTTTCCAGACATAGGAGACATTTTTAAGCCATGAATTGAATTACATAATAGCCCTGTAATAAAGCCTTATTTGACAGAGGAGCCTGGTACTGTAGGTAATGAAATTATAACTTAAAAATATGAGCGATCCTGACTTGTTGTCAAGGCAGTGCTAGTATAAGAGTTGTATCTAATATTTTGGTTAAATTATTCATTCCCGAAGTTTTTTGTGTGGTTGGGTTTGTCGTCGTTGTTGTTGATTAGTTTTTCTTGTTATTTTTCCTGGGACTCAACCAAAAAACATTAGAGGATAAGAAGAATTCAGTTAAGTATGTGCCCCAAATGAAAACAAAAAACTTTCAGATACTCCTAAGTTGGTGCAGATATATATGTATTTCAATCTAATATAATGTATACATATTTAAAATGTGTGTACATATTTATATATTCTTCTCCCAAAATTCACCATCATATTAAACCCATCGAGCAAACATTCAGTAGTTGAGAGATTTTTCATTATACAAGGGATTCATCACCTTATAACATTTAAGTTGGTAGTTACAAATGATGTGGTTAAATTGATAGTTTCTTCTAAGATTACAAAGAAGATTTTAAAAATAATCTAGGTCTTTCCATTATGTTTAGAGAAGGTAAGGTTTTAGTTTAAACATTAATTTCAGACTTTGAGAGCCAAGATAGACAAACTGTTTTCTGGAATTATGCCAGCACCCTGGAAAATATATTTTAATAAGTAACTTGCAAGAAGGTATATTTGTAGTATCTCAGAACTAAGGGTCCGGCCGGGCGCGGTGGCTCACGCCTGTAATCCCAGCACTTTGGGAGGCCGAGACGGGCGGATCACGAGGTCAGGAGATCGAGACCATCCTGGCTAACACGGTGAAACCCCGTCTCTACTAAAAATAAAAAAAAATTAGCCGGGCATGGTGGCGCGCGCCTGTAGTCCCAGCTACACGGGAGGCTGAGGCAGGAGAATGGCGTGAACCCGGGAGGCGGAGCTTGCAGTGAGTCGAGATCGCGCCACTGCACTCCAGCCTGGGCGACAGAGCGAAACTCCGTCTCAAAAAAAAAAAAAAAAAAAAAGAACTAAGGGTCCAACAGAGGCATCTCTGATCAAATCAGAACCTTTTCATTTCACTCTGCCATACAAGATCATGCTTTGAGCCGTTGTTACTATGACGTCTCGGAAAAGCGTTACAGAGAAACTTCATATTTATAATTTACTGTTGCCAGCAGTGATCTTTTGCCAGTGAGAGATTTAAGGGAGAAGAAGTTTTCTTTTCACCCCTAGCATTACAGAGGGGTTGGAGCAGAATGATGTATGCAATGTATGTAATAAGTAGGGAAAGAAGAGTGAACATGATATTTAGAACTAGGCAGAATTACCTGTGTGCCCAGAGTAGCAAATAATGTAAAAGCATTTCTAGACGTGTAGATCATTAAGTATGTTGAGGTTTTGTTGGAGGTAGAAAATCTAGTTGATCAGGAAATGAGGATTTGGACAGCAATGAAAAAATTTCAGGGGAGACAGCCAGGGTTGATTATTTTAGGGAACACACATTCAAAAGTTATCTGAAACCTGGAGAAGTGTTACTAGGAAGACAAGGACAGCAGGACATGCGTAACGTTAGTAAAAGCTCCTGATGGCATAGCTGCAAGCAGTGAGTAACCGCCCCTCGAGTTTCTGTGCAGTTGCCTGCCCCTTTGTCTTGGATGGGAAGAGGCTTCTTAACTCTCCTTCTTATTCTGTGGAACAAATGCCGTTTTCCAGCTCTTGGAAGAAGCCCTGTCTGCCAGGGCAGTGGGAGCCCCTGCAGGATGTGATTCTTCCAAACAACATGATGGACCCCACAGGCCCCTCCTTGCCCTGACAGCCCTCATGTTTTCAGGGTTACTGGTCAGCCCACAAGACTCCATATGAAACTATAAAAGGGCTTTCTGTGCCCCTGTTTTCTTCATGCCATAACAAAGCATTGCCTGTGAAGTCTCATCTCCCATTGTGTCTGTTGCAGCAACATTTAGGTCCAAAATTTTAAATACATTTTACAAGTTTCCACCAGGATCCTAGAGAGCCTCATGGCTACAGGGTTCTCTGCCTTAAATGGAAGGGGATTTTTCACATTTGTGCTTCAGGTAGGGCAGAGTCAGCCAGTAAGGCGAGGGCACATCCTTTTGTCACCAAATCTGTTGTCATGTCAGAAGACAAGTATGATTGTATTGAAAAGGCAGGAAGAACTATTTCCAGTACTCCTATCGCTGGCCAAGACTTAGCACATTGAACAAGTCTAACTTGGCAAGTACAGCCTGATGTCTAGCGCAATCCTGGAGACCCCACTAAAGTAGCTGTCAGATAGCGGCGAAGCAGCAGGCAAGGCCCTGGACCCCAAAACTAATACTAGACAACTTGCAACAAGGGGGAGGGTGGGCCTGGGGTGTTGGTGGGTAGCTTTCCCTACCCCTACCAATTCAGTCGACTTCCCCACAGTTAGAAGATGGCAGTCCATAGATTCTGAATTCTTGGGCCTCTAGAAATTCCTGCCTCGTGGAAATGACGTCCTAAATCTCCCCCTTGTTTGGGGGATGTGCAACATTCCCGTTGTGCCTAGAGTAATTCTTGAGATTCTTTGGACTCAGTCTGAACCTCGGATTGGTGAGGAGTAGTTCCATTCAAGTTATTGCATCTGTCACTAAGGAATGGAGTCCAGGAGGGCAGACCCTGCATTCCTCAGTGGCTGCAGCAGGAGTCCATCCATCCCACCAACAGCCGTGGCATCCCAGGGCCCAGAATCAATCCCACCACAGAGATAATAAAGGTTAAAAGCTCATCAAAGTGTGTCTAGAGGAGATACCCAGGCAGACAGCAGGCTGCTGGTCAGGAATATCCCAAGTCCTATAAGCTTGGTAAGTATGTAAGCTTTGAAGCAGTCCACTAACAATCTATGAGGACCAGAGGAAAAGATTCCTGTTATTTGAGCCAAGGTTTAACATGATTCTTGTACTTAGTTGGCTTGAATCCTGACTTGCTTTTCTACCACCATTTTTAATGAAGGAAAATTAAATATTTTTATCTTGATGTACATGCATTCATCTTCAAAACTGACTTTGCTCCCCAAATTGCACCAAAGTGTTACTTTTCTTTAAGGGTACTAAACAGAAACGAGTCACCCTGGTTTACATATTTGTTTCTGCTTCCATTTTCTCAGTGTCCTCAGATAAGCTATCATTTTATCTGTTGAGTATTGGGATGAAAAATTTGTTTTTGGTGTAACACAGCAAATGCTAAAAATAGGTAAACTCAACAAATTTGAGACTCCCATGAGGAAAAATAAGAAAACTTCTTAAGAATTCAGGAAGAACTAGATGATGTTCTGATATTTCCTTTTAAACTTGGAGGCGTTAATTACTAATTTGGTGATTTGGGGAAGGCAACTATGAGTTGGATGAATCTGTAGTATTTTTAACACCACCTAAAAATGTTCCTGCTAAAGCCTAACCTTGATGAAAACCAAATCTGTCCTACAGTCTTTAGTAAGATGTTTCCTAAACTGTGTTCTTTCATTTGAAGGTCAGCCGAAACTCGTTAAAAAAAAATACATTGGGAGAAGAAAGCTCAAAATGTGCATTTTTCAATAGGAAGCATAAATGTATTAAAATAAAAGATTGAATAGAGAAGTAAGGAGAGCAGTGACAGATTCACAGAGAAAGCATGAATACAAGAAGATGAACTCTAGATATAAATGAATTCCTATAGTAGAAAGAAAAATGTATAGCTAGATGATAATAAAATGTTTGCTAAAACAAATCTAGAAGATGGTGATAAAGAAACTTCTTTTCACAACATAGTCACCAGTCTTCATCCTAAAGGTTAGGAGACCTGGGCTCTGCCCATTCATTTCTCTGGATAGCCATATGACTTTGCTGTGTGACTTTGAATATGTTCCTTAATCTCTCTGAGTCTCAGGTCTCTATAGAAGGAAAAGTAATTACCTGGTCACCAGGAGGGATCATGTGGACTCTCAGAGCCCCTTTCAGTTCAAACAGTGTTTTATAATAAGTGTGTTAAAGCAGAAGTTTCAAGAGCAAAACCAGAAGTTTAATATAAATCAAAGCAAATACCCTTGTGCTTGTTACATTTTTGTCCTCAATATCTGTTGCAGCAAGAAACTGAAGATTTAAAGTAAAAATATGTATGGGCTTCTTAGTTGAACTGTAGAATGAATGATTCCTTGTCACCAAACAAATGTGAAATAAACAGAGTGACAGAGCAGCAGTTCCTACAAGGAAACATGAAGTGAATAAAACAAGTTCACTGAGAGAATAACTATACCCCTAATGTTTTAACATTCCTTACAAAACAGTTCTCTCATAAATTCTGTAACTTCAAAATGTGTACCTTGGAAAGGATAGACCTTAAGATGCGCAATGGTTTTGGGCACAGTCCCAAGCAAGTTCATGTTCATACTGTTCGGCATCAGAAGCCTGATAGAGGAACAGATCTTTTTGTTCTTCGCTAGTTGGGCATATCTAGACAGAACAAAGTGAGGTAGCAGACTGGTGGATTTGAGATTTCTAGAGAACCATTTTAGATAATATAAAACAGATATCTTTTTACCTTAGAGAATGTTTTTCAACTGTGAGTTCAAGGAGGAGTTCTAGAGGGTGCATGTCACTTTTAAGGAGTGAATGGTGTTTGCTTAATTTTTAAAAATGTATTTATAAGTATTTATAAAATGGAATCATTTGAGCACCACAGTGTGCATTTAATGGGCATTTGCAGCTGCTAAGTGGAGATGAGATCAGTTTATGATCCTATCACTTGGTTAGTGTGTCATTCAGCTGAATAGCCCTAGCTCTCGTCATGTATTTTGCCCATTATACAGTCTTGAATTACTCTAATTCCTAGTCATGCTTAAATTTGTACCCATAGTGGACCATTGGTAAAGGACAAGAAGCATAACAACACTGATATGTGAACAAAAACAGCATTGACATTGGTAATTCTCATTGTTACCCAGAAGGTCTTCTCAGGTTCTGAAGTTCTTATCAAGCACTTTCAGATGTTTGCTCCAGTGCTAAAAAGAACATGGAGTCAGGACTATATCTAGTATCACTTTATAGAATATGCATCCATTTTTAAATAATTTGGCCTGCCTGATTTTTCACTTGTTCCTAACTTCACGCTGTCTATTTCCTCTGGTCCAAAGGCCCCCATTGGCTCTATATACTTCCTTCCTACCCAGAACTCTGTCATGGGTTACACCATCCTCCCCATCCTCCTTGCTCCATGTTTCCAACCCTGCATCAAAGCCACCTTTTCCCTTCTTTTCTCCCAGAAGAGACAGCCCTGCTGGAGAACAATGCAGAATCATATAGATTCTTATGTGCCTTTCTTCCATTCGTTAGAACTTCTGTACAGTGCTGACTCCAAATCTTTACCTCTTTACTTTAAGCCCCAGATTTCCCCTGCCAACTATTTATTTCAACAGAAGACTAATAGTGGGCATTTATCTGTTAAGTACCTCTCTATGTTAGTACTAAGTACTTCATATAAATCCGTCCTCATCCCAGAACAACTCTATGAAGTAGTATTCTCCCTATTTTACAGGTGAGGAAATTGAGACTAAGGTGATTTAGCCAACATGTGATAAAGTGGGGTGTGCACCTGGGTCTGCCTGGTTCCAAAGCCCACAACACTTTAGGTCTTTTTTGAGCTTAGGCTCCTTCAAGTTTTAGGATCCTTAAAACCACTGGATCACCCCTTTCACTGTTCTTATATTCTTTCCTGTTTCCTTTCTTTCGCTCATCCAGCACTTAACTCCAGCAATTGTCACCTTTTCAGAGCTGCTTCATTTTCTCCTGTTCTGTGGGCATCCTTCCCACCTTCCGACAGGATCAGCTCTCATTTTCTTAAAATACAAGTAAAACGTCTTTTTCCTTGACCCAGCTAATCCTTCTGGTTACTATCCAGATTTCCTGCTTCCTTTCTGGGTCAAAAGTCTCCAGCATGTGGCCCACACCTGCTTCCTCGGCTTCTTCTGCCCACTTCCTCGCCAACTCCCTTCAGTCCGGCTTCTGGGGTGGCCTCCTTGTGAGAACTGCTCTCTGAAAGGTTCTTATCAAATTCAGCAAGCTTTCCCTAGCCCTCACCTTCTCCAGGACTGACTCATTTCAGTGACTGCACATGAATCAGCCAGTCAGGCTGAGAAACATGCAGCTGCCCCAGAGATAAGGCAAATTCAGATCTGGCCCACTTACCTCCTAAAAGAAGCCCAGGATTTATGCAAGAACAAGAACTGTGAACAGCTCTATTAGAAGTTCCCCTTCCACCTGTATGTTACTGCTGTTCCATTTACCTTCTTGTTTCCTTCACCCAAGGACACTTTTGTCTCAGTCCCCAGTTCTTTGCTTTTTTGACTCACTTATTTGGTGAGTTCAACCACCTTTCGTTGAACTCATCTTCTGTGACATGACGCTCACAGTTCCGTTTAGAACCTTGACCTTTAATTTGCATAGCAGCCCTGTATCTCCAACTACAGATGCCTATGTCATGTAAAATCCTACTTGTCTAAAACAGAACTTGTCATCACTCTCAGACCATAGTGAGGTCATTTATTTGTATACCAAGTTAGAAATCTTGGGGTTATCTTTTATGTTTCTCTCTTTTTTACCTATTTATTCATCCGCTAATATTTGTTGAAGACAGCCTCCATGCCAGGCTTTATGTTAAAAGCTAGAGAAACACACATAAGTCTGCCTGCATTTTACAAAGTTCTGACACCTCTTTCCTTAAAATGCCCATCAGTTATTGCTATACATTACAGCTGTTTCCTCTATTAGATTCTTAGCATGCCAGGGCTGGGTTGCATGCAGCTACTTCTCAACGGAGAGCCCAGCCTTTGTTTTTTCTCTCCTCACTTCCTCTGGACATATAAGATGCTCTGTAAATAGTAGTACATTAGGTGACTTTCTTTTATTTTTAGGTTTGTAAAATATGTATAACATAAAATTTACCATCTTGACCATTTAAGTATATACATTTCAATAGTAGTAGACCCACATTGCTGTGCAACCAATCTTCAGAACATTTTCATCTTGCAAAACTAACAATCTGTACCCATTAAACAATAATGCTTTATTCTCCCCTCCTCCAACCCCCTGGAAATTACTGTTCTACTTTCTGTCTCTGAATTTGACTACTCTAGGTACCGCGTGTAATATTTGTCTTTTTGTGACTGGCTTATTTCACTTAACTTAATGTCTTCAAGATTCATCCATGTTGGGGCATGTATCAGAATTTCCTTTTTAAGTCTGAATAATATTCCAGTATGTATATAATCACTGCATAGCACTGAATGGGAGATCATCTCTCCCATTTATCAGAGAGATGATTTGCAGATCATCTCTCTGATAAAGAGTATCTAGAATGCATAGAACACATTTTGTTTATTCATTCATTGACATTAGGATTGCTTCCGCCTTTGGACTATTATAAATAATGGTGCTATGAACATGGGTGTATAAATATCACTTTGAGACCCTGCTTTCAGTTTTTTTTTTAGTATATACTGAAAAGTAGGATTGGTGGATTATGTGGTAATTCTATTTTTAATGTTTTTAGGAACCACCATACTGTTTTAACAGTAGCTGCACCATTTTCCATTCCCTCTGGCAGTGGACAGGGCCTTCGGTTTCTCCACATCCTTGCTAACGCTTGTTATTCTCTGTTTTTTTTTTTTTAATAGTAGCCATCCTTATGGGTGTGAAATAGTATCTCATTGTGGTTTTGATATGCATTACTTTATGCTTAATGATGCTGAATGTCTTTTTAAGTGCTTATTGGACATTTGTGTCTCTTTGCAGAAATGTTTATTCAAGTCCTTTGCCCATTTTTCAATCAGGTTGTTTTGTTGTTGTTGAAGTGTGGGAGTTCTTTATGTATTCTAGATACTAACCCCTTATCAGATACATGATTTGCAAACATTTTCTCCCATTCGGTGGGTTGCAGTGATTACGTTTTAAAGAGAAGTTTTCATTTTATTTAATGGTAATGTTTTTGAACTTTTGAATGACCCTCATTATAAAGGACCTTTCTCCAAAAATTATTCCAAGAAGAAAACATCCCTTAAATATTTCTACATCAGATTTTTCTCAACCCATAAATAACATGAGAAGGTAAGTCTTAGATAAGTTTTATAAAGCACAATGAAGTAGAATAACCAATTATTTGGCATATTCCAATCAAGGATTAGAAATGTGCCTTTGATCTGTCCTATCTGGAGAATATAGCCTTTAAGCTTATTAAGTTTTTGATCAAATGTTAAGGAATAAAGTCTATAAAGTACTTAATTAAAAATAAGTACTTATTTTCCAAGCTTAAAAAATGTTCTGGTGATGGACAAAAAGAAATCTTACAAAAGGAGGCTGAATAGTAGACACCGCTATTCCCAAATTATTACATATGTCCCCTGAGCATGAACACACTGCAGGGGGCTAGAGTTCAGAAAACTTAGTATTACAAGAGCTTATTAATCCAGGAATGTTTTGTTTCATTTATTTATTCTGCTTTCCAAAAAGTATTTGCAGGACACTATAATGAGTTACATACATGATAGAATTCCTGATTTTGGGGGTATAAAAATAGAGTCATGTGATTAGAAAGGATTACCGTGTGCATACATTGAGGATAGTTTTACTCCAAGTTTCTAGGTAGCCTTAACAAAAAGAGAAACAATCGATCCCGTAGTTCATGTTGTATGATACAAGGAAGCACAGGAGTTAAGATCAGAGAACACATTTTTCCTGGCACCAGACTGTAAGAAGGAGTGTATCACCTAGATCTTTAGAAACATGACAATGATTCCCCATAATGGATAGCCTTTTACAAAAGGCATGTGAACATTCTTCGTGTGAATCTTGGCTCCTCTCCTCTCCCTACGAATCTGTGGATGCATTTGTATAATGAAGTAATGTGGTTTAACTTTTTATCTCATTGACAAAAATCACTTGTGGCTCAGAGTGGCCTCACCTACTCTGTGGCTATTAATACTTTCAAAGCCTATATCATAACACCTCTGCAAAAGTTTAGGCCCTTGAAATATCAAATACCAGACTTCGTTAGGGATATTATGTCCCTTAGTGTAACACGGGGCATAATAGTTTACATTTTATATTATTTAGAAATAACTAAATAACATAATAGTTTACATTTTATATCTAAATAACTTGATATTGCTTTTAGAGAAAAGGAAGACAGGAACTCCTGCCTTGGCAAAGAGGACAACTTATTCACTGGTGATATAACTTGTTTTAAACCAGGACATAAGAATTCTGTCTTAAAGTTATTATTCCACGTCCTATCTCTTTAAAAAAAAGGAATTTATGGAGAAAATTAACATTCAGTAATGAATAGATGGTGAAGATGGGTTCACATAAGTCATCTTCCCAAATCAAGTTTACTGAGAATGGAGCTTTAGCAGAATTATTGTCTATTCTAGACCAAAGTCTTTATCAGCTTCGTCAGTTAGTAGATGTATAAAAGATTGCAAGTTAGAAGTTGGGACAGACATCTCAGGGCCCTATGTGTACCTGTGCTGAGCCTTGCAGAGGAGTCTGTCTTATCAGAGAACCAAATCAAGATTGAAAGACTCATTTCTTACTAGGTGCAGGTAACTCAGAAATCACACCTCTGATTTTAAACTGACACCTGTGGAGCCAGTTGGTTCTTATCCCTATCAAGAGTATTCCTTGCTTAACAGACTGATTTCTTCTTACGGGCTGCAACTGTCTACACAGGATAATTGGTTTTCTCAAATTTAGGTCTCTCATGAATGAATAATGTCACAGTCCAAAAGAAGGCTCACAGCTCCTATTTTTTGCATTTTCTTACCTATGGTGCCATAACCCAGGAATGTGTTTTTGGTTATTAAGCACTTTCAAGACAATGTGGAAGGAAATAAAATGGCAGAGAGGAGGATCGAAGTAGGGAGGTCAGTTACCTTTGTACTAACTCTGGTGAGGTGACAGTGAACCAGAGCATGTGAAATGGCTGGGTAGGGGGAATATACTCCGAAGGTGGTGCCAGCTGGATTTGCTGACAGTGGATATGGTGTGTGAGAGAACGGGAGTTGTCAAGGATGACTCAAAGGTTTTGGCTTGAGCAACTGCAAGAATGGTGTTGCCATCAACCAAGACTTGGGTTTTTATGTGCCAATTGCTTTTATTTTTAAATTTTTCTAATAATTTTCTTGAAATACTTGTACGTCAAAGCAAATCACAAGGACGGTCCCTGAATCAATTAGGTTATCGCCTCTGCTGTCAAGTTTTAAGAGTCAGATCAGTAAACTAACTTACACTTAATATGTCACAGATTTTTAAAAACATCAAAATCAGCACAATTTTGAAGCAGTTTATTGTTGAGAAAAGACTATATAAAAAGTAGAAATAGCGCTTCACCTTTAGCAGACTTGTTCTCCATTCTAGATGAAAATCTTTATCAGCTATGTGAGTTCACAGATGTATAAGAGATTGAAAGGAGCTTGGAGATGTCTCAGGGACCCACGTGTACCTTAGCAGGAGGAGAGTATGCTCAGCATGTTCCATGTATGATTGAGTATGCTTTTTGTTAAAGCCTTATATGTTTAAGAAAAAGAAACTAGATTATTTTCTCCTAAGCCAACTAGAGAGCTCATAAAACACTATTTCAGTTATTAAAGAAAAGAAAACCTCAGATACTCATCAAATTGCTGGTTAGGAAAATAATTTGTCATTAAGTTTTTAAGTACAGGTGATGCCTAGCATTCAGAAATTCCCCATTTATTGTTGCAGCTGGTCACAGTTGACCTCCGCAGAGCTTATGTCCAGGAGGGAGTTCCATAGCTGCTCAGTGAGCATAACCAGCTCCCCAGGTCTCCCCAGCCAGCATGGCTGTGGTGTCTTCACCCATAAGGTGCAACTCTTCACAAGTTAAAAATTCGGTTTATTTGTTAAAAATATATAGCCCTAAAAGAAAGTCAACAGCTGATGCTTAATTTAAAGAAGTCGCTTTTCAGTTACTTTTTACTGCATTTGATGGGAGAAAGTATTTGTGATAATGGTATTTGGAGATTCTTGAGGGTCTGAAGATTTGTAAAATGTCACAGTCTTTTGATAAATGAAATGCTTTTGGGGCACGTATTCCCCTTTGGTGTATGCATTTTTTGCCTGTGACCAGCAATAGCATCAGGGCATCCAGTTTGAGTGGTTTCAGCTTATCTCTCCAGACTGCCTAACCTGAATCCCACCCCCCAACGCAAGAACAATCGCAATTGACTGATTACAGGGGTCGTGTGTCACTCTGGAACTGAGCCTGGGATGTGATCACATGAATTCACTAACATGAGCCAGAGACAAGTCCAGATTATTCCTGGGCAAAATCTAGACATGCCAGTGGCCTTAGCTGTACAGGCTGGTGTTAACAGCAAACTCAGAGTGGGTTTCTGTTCTTCCTTCTTGTCATCGGTTCCAAAAGCTCTTGAGCAGACTTCAGGATTCAGGTTTGAATGTGGTCTTGACTCATCTGGCCAGCTATACAGTAGCACTGAGCCACAGAGCTGGGCTGGATAGAAAGGTCCTCCTTTGCTGTGTGGTCTTATAGGAAACAGCAAGTAAAAAAGTAAAGGGTTAAGTACTAGCAGGCTTCACTGATGCTGTGCTTCCAAAATATATTTGCAGAAAGGTTAAGCTGTATTTGTCTATTCTCTAGTTTAGCATATTATAAAAAGTGGTAGATATACTACTGCTGTTTTATTTGACTGTATGGTGGTGTGTCGTGATTGAATCCGAATAAGTTACTTGTACTTGAGTTTTGTAAATTTATCATTAAAGGGCTAATAGATAGTATTATAAAGCAGCATAGCTATACTCTTATGGCTTCATTAATTATGACACCTAGACATAATTAGGCTCTGGCTAAGAATAGCGGACAAAATGGAAAATCATTTGGGGGAAAAAAGTTTAGATTCTGAGAAACTGAAAGAACATTAGCGGAGGGCATCTGTTGATTATCAGGCACAACACACAGGACTAAGGCATTACCCATCGTACCTCAGCAATGGCACCCATGAGGGGTTATTCCAACAGCCAGTTGTTTAAGAATATGTCCCTCCCCTCTTGATGTTATTTCCATTTCATATTTCTTGATACCCCATACACAAATAATCTAAAGCATCCTCCATGGTTTAGAAATAGCAGTTTTGATGATTCGAAGTTGATCCACTCATTTTTAATGACTTTATTTTTTAGAGCAGTTTTAAGTTATCAGAAAAATTGAACAGGAACTGCAAAGTTCCCATACACCTCCTCTCCTCATGCACACACACAATATCCCCTATTATTAACATCTTGCATTTTGAGGTGCGTTTGGTGTAATTGATGAACCGGTATTAATATATTAGTATTAAAGTCCATAGTTTACATCAGGCTTCATTCACTGTTTGTGTTGTACAGTCTATAGATTTTGACAAATATGTAATGTCCCCCACTACAGTATCATGCAGAATAATTAAACTCCCCCAGATATGCCCTCCTTTCCACCAATTCATTCTTCCCTACTACACCCCGAACTCTTAGCAACTCTGAATCTTTTTACTGTCTCTATGGTTTTGTCATTCCATTCAGTTTTAAGAACTACCCAGCTTTTCCTAAGGAAGCATCATTCATTCCTTTATTCATAAAGTGGTCCCTCAATAAATAGTATGTGCCAATGTAGCGTTCTGCACTTTGGGATTATGACAGAGGACCAAAAATTAAAAATTCCAATCTTCACAAAGCTTACATTCTAATACATCAAGCCTTCAGGCTTGCTTAGATCCTAAATAGAAGTGAAAGGAGTCCCGTGAGAGCACAGGACAAGAGGAGGTTATTGAAGAGAGTAATGTGAAAAGGGGGCCTCCTACCAGTAGACCCCCTTGTCTCAGGCCAGGCCCGGTGCCTCCGTGTTTTGGTCCCAGGAGCTCCGCCTGCCAGCCTCCTCCAGCTGCTGCCCGTGTGTTCTCCCTGAAGAGCATCCAAAGCCCATGCCTTTTCCCAACTCCTCCTCTCTCCTGCTGTCTCCAACATAAGTGTAAGCACCTTTTTCAGACTTCCATTAAGTTTTCACTGCTAGTTATTTATAGCCCTGCCTAGTGCTAATAAAATATAATAGAAAATTTACAAAGTCATAAGAAATAGGTACCCATAAACATCTAAAGACTAACGGGACAAGGCCTTTCCCTTTGCAGAGCAGATAAACCAGAGTTTTTTTCTTCCCTCCAACCCTCTCTGGGGCCAGTAGACATCATTCCCTGGTGCAGCCATAAGAAGCCCTATTCTTTTTCCTGCCACTTTCCGCATAACCCTAGTCCTCCAGAAAGATGAGAGGTTTCCATGAGTGAGGACAGGCCAGGGAGGCGATGGAAGACTGAAAGATCCATTTCATCCTTGCCAGTTCTGCCTCGCTGTCTCCTTTTTGGTTCATACAAGAAACATGCCTAAAAGTCAGCTAAATGGGCTCCTCAGGAACCCTTCTGAGCATGTTCTTAGAGCGGGCCTTGTGGTTTGCTCCTGCTGGTGAGCACCAATAGTGCACATCTCCCCACTGCACATCCAACGGCATTATGCTGGTAGCCTGAAATTGGCCACGGTGAGAACATTTACACATGGATATGAATAAACACTACCAATCCCCATTTCACTAATTTTTTTCTTCAAAGAGCTACTTCACCAGCATGCCAGTGGGCAGATCTTTCTTAGTCAAATTCTTACATTGATTGTACCGTAGAAATGAATTTGATAAACACTATTAATTTATATGTTCTAATTCTACTTTCCATAATTTTAGGTGGGGGGGAGGAATGCCAACCAAAGTCAACAGGAGATTTGATCCAGTAAGTTTTGAAAACCACACTTAGCATCAAGCTACACAGACCTTGCTCTTACTTTTCATTTCCCTTGAGAGAAGGGCTAAGGCAATTCATGGGTAGTTTAGTTTCATCTATGTCATCTTCATTGAAATTTCACGGCAATAGGACTCTAAAATTTTTGCTCTTGTGGGTGTCGGGCCATAATCATAATTAACATTTCTTTTCCCAGATTACAATTTGCTTGTCCCTGTGTAAGTAACAAGGGGTCACCTATGCTGACTCGTCCTTTTGTGCCCCGTGTAGGACTGCACATGCCAGAGCGAAGGCCGATGCCGCCGACCAGGCCGCGCTGGCCGCTCGCCAGGAGTGCGACATCGCGAGAGCTGTGGCCAGGGAGCTGTCACCTGATTTCTACCAACCAGGTAAAACAGTGCTCCTTTGATGGGTGAGGCAGGAGCACTGGCTTTGGCTTGCTTTTATTTCCTTTTCCTTTCAACATAAAGATGTGTGCTTCCTGAATCCCAGCAGTACTATTATACAAAACAAGCAAGGGCGCCTGCGGTTGAGGATCCTTCATCTGAAGTGCTTGGGACCAGAAGTGTTTCAGATTTCAGATTTGTTGATATTTTTCTGTATTTGCATGTACACAGTGAGATCTCTTGAGCTGGGAACCCAAGTTGAAACACGAAATTCATTTATGTTTCATAGATACCTTATACACATAGCCTGGAGGTAATTTTATAGTATATTTTTAATAATTTTGCACATGGAACAAAGTTTTGACTGCATTTTGACTGTGACCATCGGTCATGTGGAATTTTCCACTTGTAGCATCGTGTCGGTGCCCACAATGTTTTGGATTCTGGAGCATTTCAGATTTTTGGATTAGGAATGTTCAACTTGTAGTAACAAATATCACCCGAGGTCTGAGTGTTAGCCCTGGAGATGGGTTATTCCCCAGAGTCTCACCCTTCCTCCCCTCTACATATGACCAACAAAGTTTGAGCTGATAGCAGTAAACTAGACAAGAATCTAAAATATCTGATTCTAAGAAATTATTTTAGTGACAGCTACAGATTCTATAACAAATACCCCCAAATTCAGAGGCACTTTTAGTAGTAAGAGAAGAGCCAGTCAGTACTGTGACTTTTTTTTAACGTATCTGAACTAAAGTTCAAAGTTCAAAGGACTGTGGTTAGGAAGTATAGCAGCATACCACTTAAAGAGATTAATCTGCACAGAGTAAGAGGAAAATGCATGTCACAATGGAAGAAATAAAAGTGACAACCTCAAAAAAATCGATCTTGGTCATCTGCCTCTCAGATGTTACAAAATAGCAATCAACAAATATTTGCAATAGTTTAAATTCTTAATTCACTTTCTAGTAGTTTCCTAGTAGACTCTTTCTACCCCTCTCTATAATATACTAGTGTTTTTGTTTTGAGTTTCAAAAAGGCAATATTCACCTATTTATATATATTCTCCGTGATTGTTTGAGGCATCAACAGATTTCTAGGTGAAGAAACCAAAATAAATGTTTTCAATTTATGTTAAAAGTTACATTTCTTGGTAAAGGATTTTTCCACACTGGTTTTTATTAAATCAAGCTGTATAACTAGCATCCTGTCCCTAGCCCAGCACCCTGCATGAGGTAGGTGTTCGATTCATGTTTGGCTCTGGTGAGGGGTATACGCTGTCGGAACCCACAGGGTATCACTGAGTCCTAACGAACGATGTAAGTCAAAGTGAACAAAATAGCAAGATTTGTAGAAAAGCTAGAAACTTGGCTATAATCAAGGATGGAGCAATGAGAAATGACCTGGAGAATGGGGGCAGGAGGTTCCTGCAAAGAAAGAAGACAGTAAAAGGCCAGGCAAAGAAGATTCGGTTTTTATAAGAGAAAGGCTGGGGAGGGACCCAAGGTGGTTGTTGAATGATAGATATCATCATCACAGAGTGACTTCTCTAAGAGTTCAAGTCCAAGGCAACCACTGAGAAGGGTATTTTCTTTCACACGCATCTCTTTTAAACCTCTGGTTGAGATTTAAATCATTTTTTATATATATGCAATTTTTAGGAAAAGGAACCTTTCCATTTTTTGCAGCGACCTCTGGTAGGAATAAACTCTCCTCTGGCGTGAAATGAACTCATACTTCCCTGGTACCTACGTATATTGGCAAATTAGCTGTTCCAGGGCGTGAGAGCTGGGAAAAGGGTTCAGCCACCCAGGAGAAATTGTTCTCTCCTCCCTAGCAGTGCTGCCATTGGAAAGAACCTGACTGATCAGGAGGCACTGGGCTTGAGCGGCTTTGAAAGCAAACAAACTTACTGTTGTCTGCAGATGGTAATTTCTTGGTTCTGTTAATTCTGTTGGGGAATGGGGTCCCTTTAGATTTCTATCAGGTGTTAACAAGAGGTAAATGATACGAAAGATCATCTTGGTTTCCCAGACTGAATGGTTTTAAAAGCCTTTTCTGGTGTAAAAGCATTTGAAGGGAAAAAAAATATTGTGGGAAAATGTAATGCCACCCTTTCTTAGCTAAAACAGCTTCATATAAGCAAGTTGTCCGTCAGGAATGAATACATCACAGTAGCATGGACGACAGCGGGTCTATTTGAGACCAGAGCTTGTCGGGGAGGCTGCAGTCCCCTTTGACACACAGCCAGCACTTTCTTCAGCAACTGTATAGAAAGCCTTTTCTGTCGCGGGTATTATTGATCTTCTTAAGGGAGCATAACTCATGCTCTCCACTTTGCATTTACAGGGTGAGCAAATCAGATAGACATTTTCGAAAAGGGCTTTCAAGTACTTCTAAATTAGGCTGGCCATTTAATTTACATATCTCAGATATAAAAGTCTCCATTGTTTGGAATGCATGTGTTCGTGCATAGAAGTTGTTAACCCTGGAATAAAAGATGCCTGTCATAGCTTACATGTTGAACGCTTCCATGGCAAATTACCTATTTTCAGGAGCTGGCAGTATTTTCAGATATTTTCCATCTTAATTAAATCTTATGTTGTTTAGTTTAAAACTGCATTATTCTGTTGTTTCCTGACTTTTTAATGATCGCCATTCTAACTGGTGTGAGATGACATCTCATTGTGGTTTTGATTCGCATTTCTCTAATGAACAGTGATGATGAGCTTTTTTCCATGTGTCTTTTGGCTGCATAAATGTCTTCTTTTGAGAAGTGTCTGTTCATATCCTTCGCCCACTTGTTGATGGGGTTGTTTTTTTCTTGTAAATTTGTTTGAGTTCTTTTTTTTTTTTTTAAGTTTTAGGGTACATGTGCACAACGTGCAGGTTTGTTACATATGTATACATGTGCCATGTTGGTGTGCTGCACCCATTAACTCGTCATTTAGCATTAGGTATATCTCCTAATGCTATCCCTCCCCCTTCCCCCCACCCCATGATAGGCCCCGGTGTGTGATGTTCCCCTTCCTGTGTCCATGTGTTCTCATTGATCAATTCCCACCTATGAGTGAGAACATGCGGTGTTTGGTTTTTTGTCCTTGTGATAGTTTGCTGAGAATGATGGTCTCCAGCTTCATCCATGTCCCTACAAAGGACATGAACTCATCATTTTTTATGGCTGCATAGTATTCCACGGTGTATATGTGCCACATTTTCTTAATCCAGTCTATCATTGTTGGACATTTGGGTTGGTTCCAAGTCTTTGCTATTGTCAATAGTGCTGCAATAAACATACGTGTGCATGTGACTTTATAGCAGCATGATTTATAATCCTTTGCGTATATACCCAGTAATGGAATGGCTGGGTCAAATGGTATTTCTAGTTCTAGATCCCTGAGGAATCGCCACACCCACTTCCACAATGGTTGAACTAGTTTACAGTCCCACCAACAGTGTAAAAGTATTCCTATTTCTCCACATCCTCTCCAGCACCTGTTGTCTCCTGACTTTTTAATGATCGCCATTCTAACTGGTGTGAGATGGTATCTCATTGTGGTTTTGATTTGCATTTCTCTGATGGCCAGTGATGATGAGCATTTTTTCATGTGTTTTTTGGCTGCATAAATATCTTCTTTTGAGAAGTGTCTGTTCATATCCTTCACCCACTTTTTGATGGGGTTGTTTTTTTCTTGTAAATTTGTTTGAGTTCATTGTAGATTCTGGATATTAGCCCTTTGTCAGATGAGTAGGTTGCAAAAATTTTCTCCCATTCTGTAGGTTGCCTAGTCACTCTGATGGTGGTTTATTTTGCTGTGCAGAAGCTCTTGAGTTTAATTAGATCCCATTTGTCAATTTTGGCTTTTGTTGCCATTGCTTTTGGTGTTTTAGACATGAAGTCCTTGCCTATGCCTATGTCCTGAATGGTATTGCCTAGGTTTTCTTCTAGGGTTTTTATGGTTTCAGGTCTAACATGTAAGTCTTTAATCCATCTTGAATTAATTTTTGTATAAGGTGTAAGGAAGGGATCCAGTTTCAGCTTTCTACATATGGCTAGCCAGTTTTCCCAGCACCATTTATTAAATAGGGAATCCTTTCCCCATTTCTTGTTTTTGTCAAGTTTGTCAAAGATCAGATAGTTGTAGATATGCAGCATTATTTCTGAGGGCTCTGTTCTGTTCCATTGGTCTATATCTCTGTTTTGGTACCACTACCATGCTGTTTTGGTTACTGTAGCCTTATAGTATAGTTTGAAGTCAGGTAGCGTGATGCCTCCAGCTTTGTTCTTTTGGCTTAGGATTGACTTGGCAATGCAGGCTCTTTTTTGGTTCCATATGAACTTGAAAGTAGTTTTTTCCAATTCTGTGGAGAAAGTCATTGGTAGCTTGATGGGGACAGCATTGAATCTATAAATTACCTTGGGCAGTATGCCCATTTTCACGATATTGATTCTTCCTACCCATGAGCATGGAATGTTCTCCCATTTGTTTGTGTCCTCTTTTATTTCATTGAGCAGTGGTTTGTAGTTCTCCTTGAAGAGGTCCTTCACATCCCTTGTAAGTTGGATTCCTAGGTATTTTATTCTCTTTGAAGCAATTGTGAATGGGAGTTTACTCATGATTTGGCTCTCTGTTTGTCTGTTATTGGTGTATAAGAATGCTTGTGATTTTTGTACATTGATTTTGTATCCTGAGACTTTGCTGAAGTTGCTTATCAGCTTAAGAAGATTTTGGGCTGAGACAGTGGGGTTTTCTAGATATACAATCATGTCATCTGCAAACAGGGACAATTTGACTTCCTCTTTTCCTAATTGAATGCCCTTTATTTCTTTCTCCTGCCTGATTGCCCTGGCCAGAACTTCCAACACTATGTTGAATAGGAGTGGTGAGAGAGGGCATCCCTGTCTTGTGCCAGTTTTCAAAGGGAATGGTTCCAGTTTTTGCCCATTCAGTATGATATTGGCTGTGGGTTTGTCATACATAGCTCTTACTATTTTGAGATACATCCCATCAATACCTAATTTATTGAGAGTTTTTAGCATGAAGAGTTGTTGAATTTTGTCAAAGGCCTTTTCTGCATCTATTGAGATAATCATGTGGTTTTTGTCTTTGGTTCTGTTTATATGCTGGATTACGTTTATTCATTTTCGTATGTTGAACCAGCCTTGCATCCCAGGGATGAAGCCCACTTGATCATGGTGGATAAGCTTTTTGATGTGTTGCTGGATTCGGTTTGCCAGTATTTTATTGAGGATTTTTGCATCAGTGTTCATCAAGGATATTGGTCTAAAATTCTCTTTTTTGGTTGTTTCTCTACCTGGCTTTGGTATCAGGATGATGCTGGCCTCATAAAATGAGTTAGGGAGGATTCCCTCTTTTTCTATTGATTGGAATGGTTTCAGAAGGAATGGTACCAGCTCCTCCTTGTACCTCTGGTAGAATTCGGCTGTGAATCCATCTGGTCCTGGACTTTTTTTGGTTGGTAAGCTATTAATTATTGCCTCAATTTCAGCTCCTGTTATTGGTCTAGTCAGAGATTCAGCTTCTTCCTGGTTTAGTCTTGGGAGAGTGTTTGTGTCAAGGAATTTATCCATTTCTTCTAGATTTTCTAGTTTATTTGTGTATAGGTGTTTATAGTATTCTCTGATGGTAGTTTGTATTTCTGTGGGATCAGTGGTAATATCCCCTTTGTCATTTTTTATTGCGTCTATTTGATTCTTCTCTCTTTTCTTCTTTATTAGTCTTGTTAGCGGTCTATCAATTGTGTTGATCTTTTCAAAAAACCAGCTCCTGGATTCATTAATTTTTTGAAGGGTTTTTTGTGTCTCTATTTCCTTCAGTTCTGCTCTGATTTTAGTTATTTCTTGCCTTCTGCTAGCTTTTGAATGTGTTTGCTCTTGCTTCTCTAGTTCTTCTAATTGTGATGTTAGGGTGTCAATTTTAGATCTTTCCTGCTTTCTCTTGTGGGCATTTAGTGCTATAAATTTCCCTCTACACACTGCTTTGAATGTGTCCCAGAGATTCTGGTATATTGTGTCTTTGTTCTCACTGGTTTCAAAGAACATCTTTATTTCTGCCTTCATTTCGTTATGTACCTAGTAGTCATTTAGGAGCAGGTTGTTCAGTTTCCATGTAGTTGAGCGGTTTTGAGTGAGTTTCTTAATCCTGAGTTCTAGTTTGATTGCACTGTGGTCTGAGAGATAGTTTGTTATAATTTCTGTTCTTTTACATTTGCTGAGGAGAGCTTTACTTCCAACTATGTGGTCAATTTTGGAATAGGTGTGGTGTGATGCTGAAAAGAATGTATATTCTGTTGATTTGGGGTGGAGAGTTCTGTAGATGTCTATTAGATCTGCTTGGTGCAGAGCTGAGTTCAATTCCTGGGTATCCTTGTTGACTTTCTGTCTCGTTGATCTGTCTAATGTTGACAGTGGGGTGTTAAAGTCTCCCATTATTATTGTGTGGGAGTCTAAGTCTCTTTCTAGGTCACTAAGGACTTGCTTTATGAATCTGGGTGCTCCTGTATTGGGTGCATATATATTTAGGATAGTTAGTTCTTCTTGTTGAATTGATCCCTTTACCATTATGTAATGGCCTTGTCTCTTTTGATCTTTGTTGGTTTATAGTCTGTTTTATCTGAGACTAGGATTGCAACCCCTGCCTTTGTTTTGTTTTCCATTTGCTTGGTAGATCTTCCTCCATCCCTTTATTTTGAGCCTATGTGTGTCTCTGCACGTGAGATGGGTTTCCTGAATACAGCACACTGATGGGTCTTGACTCTTTATCCAATTTGCCAGTCTGTGCCTTTCAATTGGAGCATTTAGCCCATTTCCATTTAAGGTTAGTATTGTTATGTGTGAATTTGATCCTGTCATTATGATGTTAGCTGGTTATTTTGCTCATTAGTTGATGCAGTTTCTTCCTAGCCTTGAGTTCTTTCTAGATTCTGGATATTAGCCCTTTGTCAGATGAGTAGATTGTAAAAATTTTCTCCCATTCGGTAGGTTGCCTGTTCACTCTGATGGTAGTTTCTTTTGCTGTGCAGAAGCTCTTTAGTTTAAATAGATCCCATTTGTCAGTTTTAGCTTTTGTTGCCATTGCTTTTGGTGTTTTAGTCATGAAGTCCTTGCCCATGCCTGTGTCCTGAGTGGTATTCCCTAGGTTTTCTTCTAGGGTTTTTATGGTTTTAGGTCTAACATGTAAGTCTTTAATCCATCTTGAATTAATTTTTGTATAAGGTGTAAGGAAGGGGTCCAGTTTCAGCTTTCTACATATGGCTAGCCAGTTTTCCCAGCACCATTTATTAAATAGGGAATCCTTTCCCCATTTCTTGTTTTTGTCAGGTTTGTCAAAGATCAGATAGTTGTAGATGTGTGGCATTATTTCTGAGGGCTCTGTTCTGTTCCATTGGTCTATGTCTCTGTTTTGGTAGCAGTACCATGCTGTTTTGGTTACTGTAGCCTTGTAGTATAGTTTGAAGTCAGGTAGCGTGATGCCTCCAGCTTTGTTCTTTTGGCTTAGGATTGACTTGGCAATGCAGGCTCTTTTTTGGTTCCATATGAACTTGAAAGTAGTTTTTTCCAATTCTGTGAAGAAAGTCATTGGTAGCTTGATGGGGATGGCATTGAATCTATTTTAAAAAACTGTATTATTCTACAATTCAGTTAGAAACTAAAGAAAAAACATAGCCTCTTGATTATAAAAGCAAGAAGTAGAAAAAAAGGTTGCTAGTAGATTATATGTAGATTAATCAAAAAAATTTTAAATAAAATAATAACTTTTGTCATTAAAGAAAAAAACAAAGCCATGTGGGATGGCTTTCTCCCCCAAAGGGTTAAGCTCTAATAAACCGAAAGCATACAAATGGATGTTTGTGAATGTGTATATAGATAACTGTGTACATGCACAGAAACCTAAATTGCCATTAGTGGGAGTGACACAGTGAGTCATCCCCCAAGAACTTAGAAGATTGCCCTCTGAGAGTTCAGCTTGAAAATGAGTCCCTGAAACTACACAAAGGTAGATCAGGTGATCCTAAGTAATAGGATGGCTTTAAGAACCACAGGATTTCCTTGTAACCTGATTGGGTTATAAAAACATCTAAAGAAAAATTGGTCACCCAAGGAAGTATAGAAAAAAGAGTCACAGAGGCAAAAATTGGCAGTGTTCATCCCAACACTGTCCAGAGGAGGAGAAGCCTGAGCCAGAACCTTGGAAGACTGCTCTCACATTGGCAAGGACGTTTCTATTATGGGGAAGGATGCAGGGAACTATGGCCATGGTATATGGCTTTACTGGCAAGATCACCCTGATTCAGGAAATGGATGTATCAGGCTAGCCCAGCTTGATGCCATTACGTATTTGATTCAGCTCATGCTTCTTGTTCTGATTCCATGTTCACCAGTAACTTTCTAATTTTGGCTGAGCTTTCCATGGAGTTCTGCCAACAAGGAGAGCATGTACTGGTAGTATCAGCATGAGTCCCCTGACCTATGTGACATTTACATTGCTCATTGTAAACTAGTAAATTGGCCTTCTAGGATTGTACGTCAGTCTGGTGAGCTTTGGTAATGTGAGTCTGCCCCAAGGGATGGCTCTGCTTCAAAGTGCTGGTAAAATCAGGTTTCTATGCCAGCAAGGGTGACATAGGCTTTAGAGCAAGGGTGTCCAATCTTTTGGCTTCCCTGGGCCACATAAGAAGAAGAAGAATTGTCTTGGGCCACACATAAAATGCACTAACACTAATGATAGCTGAGGAGCTAAAACAAAATCACCAAAAAAATCTCATAATGTTTTAAGAAAAGTTTATGAATTTGTGTTGGGCCACGGGTTGTACAAGCTTGCTTTAGAGGGTAACCACTGAGGAAGCAGGGGGGACCGGGGCCCTGCCCCTTCCTGGAAAGGAAGATTGGGAGACTAGATTTGTGGCTCTTTCTCCCACTGTTTCAGTTTCTTTTTAGGCTAGGCACAGTGGCTCATGCCTGTAATCCCAGCACTCTGGGAGGCCAAAGCGGGCAGATCATGTGAGGCCAGGAGTTCACGACCAGCCTGACCAACATGGTGAAACCCCATCTCCACTAAAAATACAAAAATTAGCTGGGCCTGGTAGTACATGCCTGTAATCCCAGCTACTTGGGAGGCTGAGGCATGAGAATCATTTGAACTGAGAGGCAGAGGTTGCAGTGAGCCAGGATGGTGCCACTTACTCCAGCCTGGGTGACAGAGCAAGACTCCGTCTCAAAAAAAAAAAAAAAATCCTTTTAGTCGAGAGATTCATTTTGTTTTTAATTTCAAGTGATATTAAGTAGCATGTAAAATTTTTGTATTTATTGATGGAGGCAGGGGCTGAGCATGAGTTAAAGAAATTAAAACACTGCCCTGGAATGTGGTAAATTTAGTACTTGGAGCCCTCTTGGGAGAGAGCCAGCCTGCTTCTCTGGGTATCATCCCCAACGAGCTTTGTCTTCACATGTTTAAGCATAAATGTACTCATACACACAGTGCATCAATTATTTAGAGTGAAGTCTTTAGCACAGGTTATTATGGACCAGTGTTAACTAAGCTTGCATTTCTGGTATGAATTAGAAGACTTCAGAAATCAAAGCATAGCTCCATTACATAATAGTCTAGGCCTATCATTAATATGTCATGGATTTGGTTAAGAAAAGGGAAGCATCCTGGAATAGATGACTTCTAAGCTCACCTTCCAAACCCAAAATTATGAATAAATTTTTTCATTAAAAAGGGAAACTGAATAATCCACTAGTTGACATGAAATTAATAATTCATGAGTTTGCTGGTTACTCATACCACGTATTCATTCCAGTACATTCAGTTTCACAAATGGGTATTGAGTGCCAGCCAAGTGCAGGGTACTAGAAAGGATGTCCCACAGTTTGCAGACCAGAGCACTATGGCTGTGGTCACAGAAATTGCAGGATTGTTATAGACGGGACTGTGAAGTCCTATAGGAAAGGAGTGTTCTTTCTATATTGAACACAAAAAGTGATCCTGCTACCAGTTACACAATTTTTTTAGACTCTTTCAATCTGGTCCTCTTTTCACTGATTGTCAGTCTCCACAGAAAATGTCTAATTTCTACTTAATGACTACTGCTGTTGCTACAAAGCATTTGATATTGGCACTGCCCTCATAGAAATTTGTTTTGGGGAATCTTTATGGTGCTTCTGCCCATAGCCAGCCCACCGAGGCTCACCTCTGAAGAACTAGCTGGATACCCTGCTGCCACCATCTGCCATATCTGTTCAGAGCCTTCGTGCCAACTGTAACGAGTAACCTTTGAGTGTTGGTGGATGGCATGCTGAATGTTGTTTCTTTTTTCACATTGTGTGGCAGCCATGTCCGTGAGCGGGTGACCTGTATCTGACTTCTTCCCAATATGAGTCTCCAGGGGGAGAAAATCCTTTGGGATTCATAGATACTGTCTATAAAAACAGATGAAAATGCTGACTGCAACAACTATCAACATTTGTCATAATTTCCCTCCCTGGCAATATTCTGACTAGTCTTTTTAATGAACCGCTGCATCTCATCAACTTTATGTTGCTGGCTCTGCAATGCTGACACACATTTACTACACAGAACAAGTAGCAGGCACAACATGTGCCTTCCAAGAGAAAATAGTCCAGGAAAAACTTCTGTCTTCTGCATTATATTAAACGTCTTGTTTTAAAAGCATTTAATCTTCCTCTGGAAAATCTAACTGTATATCCTCATTTAGTTGGCTAGGACTTGTATGACTGTGCCACGTTGGAACCATTTCCAACAGGATGTAGTCATGTAAGGCTGGTGCTATGGACATATGAACCAAGCAATATAACCAATCAATGCAAGCAGTATCAACATATTGCTAGCATAGTGTCAAATGCCTATAACCCAGTGCGTTAGAATCACTCGGATCATTTGTTAAACATTAATATTTCTAGGCTTCAATTCATACTTATTAAAATATCTGGCCATAACACCTCAGATGCTCTGATAGGCAGCAAGCATAGGCGCCCCTGCTTAGGAGTGCATTTTTTCCCTTACCCAGATATTTTTTGAATGCATAATAAAGCTAGGAATTTTTTAAATGTGAAAGTTGATGCTAAAATGTACTTCCACCATTCTAGTAAATTCTTTGAGCTCATCATTTTTGAGTATCATCAGAAGCCCTGTAGATCAATTTGAGTGAGTATACCTAAACTCATCTTAGCAGAGTGGGCATGAGTAATCATGTAAGACATGCCTTTCTTACTGCATTTAGGACAAGAAAACTGTGTCCAAAGAGGTGACACATCAGATTTCTAAAGGTTAAAGAAGTGATTAGACCAGTATTTGAGAGTTGATAAATATCATAAGAAATACTTTCAATGGAATCCAAAATTTAGCTTCATAAGTTCATTAATACAAATTATTCCAACGGCCAAATCAGTCTCACCTTGGCCTATCCACCTATACTGATGGTGCTGAAGGTCACTAGGATACATCCTAATGTTTTTAATGTATATATTGATAAGTTATAGTTGTATATATTTATGAAGTACAAAGTGATGTTACAATTTCTTAATACAATATGGAATGATTAAATCAAGCTAATTAACCTATTTATCACCTCAAAAAAATGACATTTTTTTGTGACGAGGGCATCACAAAGATTTAAATCCTAAATTTGTAAGCTACAATCTCATGGTCTTACATCTTCTAAGTGAAATGCATGGGCTTTGTGACAGCTTCATTTCTCAGGGCGCAGTGACTCTTTACCTTTTCCCTCCAACTTTGAGAATGCATAACGAAAAATGTTTGCCAGAGTCTATTTTTTCACTCTTTTCTGTATATTTAAGTTAAACATTAGCTTTTAATGTGCCTTAATCTTAGTAGATATTGGCAATTTTTCTATGCAAAAATAACTTGCATTTATCTTTAGATCAAAGATGTTAAAAGCACTTTGTATTTTATGTAATTGTTTCAGCATTAAGTGGCTTAAATTAAAAGTCCGTTGGCTCCAAGGCCCTTGACTATTTTAATTATCTTTGCAAAGTACATCCACTACCATACCTAGATGGGTATTTTAGTAATGCTATGAAGTTGAATATCAGTAAAGCACAAATAAAACCAACCATAGTGAAATTTTGGGTAGAGAAGTGAGGGAAAAGTATGTAAACATCACACTGCATCAAGATGTATTAGAGAATATACTTTATCACAGAAGAAGAGGGGTTTTGTTAAAATATGCCTGCAGGTGAATCACAAGGGGCTTCTCCATGACAGACTAGTATCAATGACCTGATGAGTTTTAAAGAGCAGGGACAGTTCAGCTGATGAAAGATAACTTTTTTGTGCTCATGCTGCCCTTTTTCCCCTTAATGCTATGTCCAGACACACAGCACCAAGAAAGAATTCAGAAACAGAAGGACATCGCCTTTTGAATGCTTGCAGTTGCTGCTTTTTGTCATTCAAAATAACTTTCACTGGCCTAAGAATTAACATTGCCATTTTTGATGGAGGAATTAAAAGAAAATTGTCAGTTATGTAAAGGGGGAGCTTACCCAGTTTAGAAAGGAAGTCTCAATTGTCCATGTGCGATCTTGACAAATTTGGGAAACTTGAATCCCCAGGAGTGGATGTATCTTCTAGAAGGTGGAAACTGTGATAATACTATTATGTTTTGTGCCCTGAGTATAACTTGCGATGGTGGGTGCTCAGGAATTCTTGTCTCTGGCTTTAAAATATTATGTGTTGCATTATGTTTTTTTCTGAAAAGATAATGGGAGCTATGTGATTTTTTTTTCAGTTGCTATAGCTGTTTCCCTTTCAGTAAAATGGGGATAATAACACCTACTCCCTAAGATTTTGGTGAGGCTTTAAATTTTGGAAAATTCCTTGTATAATTAAATAGCAGCCTCATTACAATAACTTATTACTCAGACCACCATGGGAAGAGCAATTACAAGTGTAAGTGTGCAGTATGTAGTTTCACAATTAAGGATAATTGCTGTTCAGTCCCTCTGTAAATCTTTTAGTGAGTTAGTGAGTTTGTCTGGGGTGAAGGGTTGGGGGTAGAAGGCAGGAAGGAAAATGAACAGATGCAGTGTTGTGGAATTGACAAGAGCCTGTCAACTCTCTATAAGCATGTCGGTGGGGGCAGTGTCTTCCATGTATACTCAAGAGACATTGTCAGCTTCTGCCCATTTGTGAGGAAGAGGGTCAGTTGCACTGCATGTGACCTTGACCTCACCTTATGAGGCGAAAAGTGGCAGATGGGTGGAGTGGTAGCCAAAGTACGCACATGACTTGCTGAGAGCTGAAGGCCCTAGAAGTCTAAGGTCTCTGTCTCAGCCCAGAGATGCCCCTTTCCAGACCACAGCCTCCTCGAGTTCCCAGGGCCTGGACATTTTGTGGCACACACTCTGTTTCTTTATAGCTCACTCCCTGTAAAATAACAATGCAGCAGGGCCACTTTTTTTTTTTTTTTTTCATTTTTTCCTCCTCTGTCAGAAGAATAGCCTCTTTTTTAATGAAAATTTGTTCCCATTTATAAAAAAGTAACAAGATTTTTATAAACAATCCTGAGGTATATAAAAAAGGAAAAAAAAAATCTTGAAGCTACAGAACCAGAGACAACTGCCTTGTCTTGACTTTGATACCTGCAAAACACTGCTTGTGCAAATCCGTGTTTTCCATAGCTGTGAATGGACTACATGGAAGTGACTTTGTGTCGTGCAACCTAAGCCTCAGAAATTGTTTCAAACTAGGAAGTTTTAGTGCATGTTTGATGACAGATCATTAAAAATATGTTATCTACAGGTTCTCCTCTTACAGTATACTTTATTAAATTTTCAGATGCTTACAGTAGTCAGCTTACTTCCTTGTACAAGTATACACTTTCTGTGTCTTAGTTACACCACATAATTTGAACAAGCAGATTAATTATGATATTGCGACCAATGTTCCATCAACATGAATTTTGCCTCTGTATTCTGCAAGTAGGCAGAAAGAATGCAATTATCAGGGAAGCCAGAACTGTTTAGATTCTGTATTATCTTAAAAGCAGCCTTTCCATAATAAATAAACTTTTCCCCAGAGAATGAAATATGTGTTTAGTCAAAGCCTTATGAATATATTATTTTTAAAAGAGAAAAGGTTAATCTGATTTAGCAAAATATATGTATATATACCTCCTTTCTTTTTTTCTTTTTTCTTTTTTTTTTGGCCAGGCCCTGATTACGTCAAACAGAGATTTCAGGAAGGTGTAGATGCTAAAGAAAATCCAGAAGAAAAGGTACCAGAAAAGCCACCTACACCAAAGGAGTCTCCTCATTTTTATCGCAAAGGCACGACACCCCCAAGATCTCCTGAGGCAAGTCCCAAACACAGCCACTCTCCTGCTTCCTCCCCAAAGCCCCTGAAGAAGCAAAACCCCAGCTCAGGGGCGAGACTCAACCAAGACAAAAGGAGTGTGGCTGATGAGCAGGTGACGGCCATTGTCAATAAGCCCTTGATGTCAAAGGCTCCCACGAAGGAGGCAGGAGCGGTTGTGCCCCAGTCCAAGTACTCTGGCCGCCACCACATCCCCAACCCCAGTAACGGGGAGCTGCATTCTCAGTATCACGGCTACTACGTGAAGCTGAACGCCCCCCAGCACCCTCCAGTAGACGTGGAGGACGGCGATGGATCCAGCCAGTCTTCCTCAGCACTGGTGCACAAGCCATCCGCTAACAAGTGGAGTCCCTCCAAATCTGTGACAAAACCAGTTGCCAAAGAAAGCAAAGCTGAGCCAAAAGCTAAGAAGTCTGAACTTGCTATACCAAAGAATCCAGCAAGCAACGATTCATGCCCTGCTTTGGAAAAAGAAGCCAATTCAGTAAGTACTGCAAGTAGCGTTTTCTCTTTCTTTCTTCCCTTTGTTTCTTTCAGCGAGCTGTGTGGGGTGACTGTGCATCTTGATCACAGCCAGGCTAACCAAGGTTCTAGAAGCACAGGGTTGTTTAGAGCAGCACATAACACATTGGTAGCTTGAGACAGCAAAGAGCTCTCTGGGCAGAAATTCCCCCCACCACCCCTATGTTCACCCAGCCCCACTTTAGATGTAATTCAGGTAGGTAAGACCTGACCAGCTTAGCACAGCATCTTAGCACATTTTAGCAAGGCTTTAACAGCGTGTCTTGGTGAGCTTCCTGGTAGCTTGCTCTCTGATTGCTGGAAAGGAATCATGACCCCTGCCAAGGGCCAGCCGCTCTCAGAGCTCTAGGAAAAGGGCACCAACAAGTTCTTAGTTCTCCTGTTTTCACCACAGCGGTCAGCATCTTTACACAAAAGAACGTCTCCTCTAGCCGTTGTGAATTCTTCTCATACATACGTAGTTTGGACTTTAATTAGCCAGGCTTTGCAGCTAGAACATTTTTCTTTCCCAAAAGAGAACTGAAAATTTCCAACAGTTCAAGAGAATTTCTTTGGTCTTCTGTCTTTTCAAAGTGTGAGAACTCTTACAATTTCAGTTTTCTGGTAGATGCAGGTTATTAGTATCAATTAGTCTTAAGCATTTAAGATATTTATTTATTATTCAGCCAGAAAAGCTCTGTGTTATTGAAAAATCTTTATACCTTCTTTAAAAGGAGATTTTTTGAATAATGTATGGAATTAGTGTTTTATCAAATGCTATAGTATTTATAAAATCTGAAGCTAATTATTGATTAAAAAATGACCTCTTGACCTGATCACATCCCTTTAGAACAGAGGTGTTGAAAGTTACACACCTAGTATTCACTAGAAATTATAGAGACATATTTGCATAATGGTGTGGATTAATATCTTGGCCAACAAGAATATAGTACAGCCATCAGTTTCTTATTTTTGTCTGTTTGATTTACTCACAGGATTAAACAATTAAAATTCCTCTGTTAACTTATGCTTAAAATTTCTTGTGTGTTTATTTTGCTAATATCTATAAAACACTGGTTCTCTTCTTTTTTCAAATTTTCAACTTTTTAATTAGCTAAACATAAATTATTCAGATTAACTGGACCAACTTCCTAGGAGTCCACCTGCATGGAGAAAAATTGTTTTCAAAACAGACTAACTTTAAGATTCTGACTCTTCAGTAAGCATTCATTTTAAAGATTTTAAACCTTAATATGACAGTATCTTGACATTACAACTATAATAATCACTATTGAATTTGTTAAATGTAATAGCTTACTTCTCATTTGACTTTCAGCATGTTTATCCCCAGGTTAATAAGGCCTCGCATATATCAGTGTTAGTTTGCCTGATTTACACAGGGAAAAATTCAAACAATGCAAGGCCATACCTTTTATACCTTTGGGTACCCATTTGTGGGCTTTAGTTGACTTCTAGACTTCTACAAGGGGAAGTGTATGCCCCAGCGTCCTATACATTAGGCTGTGATAGGGGGAAAAAAAAGTTGAATTACCCAGCTCTTAGCTGAAAGAGTCTCTCTGTAAAACAGTAGTATACGTATGTTTGGTAAATTCACAGCCTCCTCATTTAGAAAAAACATCTGTTTTACTTATTTGCGGAATTCTCAGATTCTTGGAGTTAGACAAGCATCCTCCATCTCAGTAGTTGGTCCTTAGGGTACCCCTCTACACCCCAAGGGGGAAGGGAAGCCCCAGCAGCTCCGCAGCTACCCTGAGCTTTAGACTGCCTCTGCAAAATTCAAGACCGACTTGACACCTTCACGCGAAGATTCTAATAATTAACATTGTCTTCCCAATAGTAACAGAACGCTGCCGTCCCCACTCCTCAGAGTTAGGAAGTGGCACAGTCATCATAAATGTTGTCAGTGGATGACCTTTAAGATAATGGAGTACTACATAGTTTTGAGAGAAAGACACTGTATAAGTTAGACATTCGTGAATAATTTTAAAATTCACAGAATTGAACTCTGTTGCTGAACTTCCTCGGTTCACATCCCAGCTCTGTTGCTTACCAGCTGTGTGACCCTGGACAGTTTCCTAACTGCTCTGTGCCTTGGTTTCCTCATCTGTACCTATCACAGGGTTGTTGTGAAGATTAAATGAGTCAATACTTTAAAAGTTCTTAGCATAGTGCCTAGCGCAGAATAAATGCTCAAAAAACCTTGGCTATTATGATGTTTGTTTCAACACAATGCTAACTGAAGCATAAGCAGTTCAGAAATATTCAAGTAGATCTGATCCATCCTCAGGATCACCCTGGCTATTGATCTCCTAGAAATACAGAAAATCTCCTGGGATGGAGACTAACACAGGAAATTAGTTAACTCGAGTATGAGAGGTAGGAGAAGGGAGGCTGTGGCATTGATTACTTTCTTGAGGAAGATTTTCCTCAAGAAACTTTTGTGACCCCTGTGGGCAATGGTTGCGTATGGACTCATGTCCTAGGGGCACGCATTCAATGTGATCCCGAAATTTTTGTAGAGTTTTGCAACATGACAACTCTGGTAGGGTCAGAAGAGGCATCTTTAGCGTCTTACCATCAAGTAGACAAGAGGGGAATTTTCCAATTAGGTATCTCAGCCCATTCTGAAAAATGACTACACTTTTTTCTCAGCCATTCCTGTGATTTGCATCCAAGTTTGTTTTGAGGTTCATCTAATCTTTCTTTTGAATTTGTGTAAAATTTAAAGCGTCCCCATCAAATTGGGTTTGAACCTCACCCCCGAAAGAGGTAAATATATATAATTAAACTTTGCTGTTAATACTTAATTAAACTTTGTTCTTCTCTTGTGTTTCTAGCTAGAGAAGCTTTAGATTTCACATAAACCATAGTAACTCTTCTAGCAGAAAATTCCTTACAGTTTTAAATATGAGTGACAATCTCTTAAAGGAAAAAAAGATAATTTTTTGAGTTAGGATTTCTTTCTGTATTTTGATTTCCTGTTTTTTATTTTCTTACCACCTGGAAAATTTCTTCCAATCAAGACTTACCCTGTGCCCTGCTACAGCTTCTTGTATTACACCTGTCCCAGTCAGTCTTGAAAAGCAAGACAGATTTTTTTTTCATTTTGCTATTTTAAGCTACAACTGGCCACCACAGTCGTATTTATGAGACTTTACCTTAAAGCTTTTCACCCCATATCCTGTGCCTAGGTATATAAAGAACACAGAGGCCAGGGCTTGGTATCTGCCACTGAACAGAGCATCCCGGATTTTTATTTTTCCCCTGGTTGCTGTTTGAAGCTTTCATGTCTAGTTTTCCCTCATCTTCACTGAGTCACCTTTAAAAATAGCTTTCTAAGTGGAGCCACCCTGGTAGGATAAATATATATGTGTGTGTATATTAGAACATATACAGGAGAAATATGTGTGTGTGTGTATGCGTGCAAAAGAAAAAAATATATATGTATGTATTTTTCATTTTGGATAAAGCACTCATTCACTATTCATTGAATCTGGATTGCCAGTACAGTGATATGTGGGCTAAAAACTAGAGAAAAGATAGTAATCTAAATTCAAACCAAAAGAATATACAAATTCAAAATACTCACTAATTCAAAGGGGTTAGATAAATTCACAGAATCTTATATGGATTTATGAAATGGGAGTTAAGGTTCAGGCACACCTTGGACTTTAGAAGTTGGCTTCATGGAAGGCACGTTCTCTGCTATTTCACTTTCCTGGGTCCACTGTAAGACACCAAAGTCTATGTTGTATTGTTCTGACCAGGTGTATTTTTCCTCACCTTTCATATCACTAAATTACCTTTGAAAATTATAAAATAAACCCAGTAGCCCAGAATAGTTGAAATGATCCAAAATTCTTAAAACACTCATGAACAAAATCTAATCTAAGTGTGTAGTAGTACAGGTGGAACATCCAGAATGCTCCAACATCTGGTCATGATGTGAAGTGAAAGAAGCCAGGCACAGAAAGACAAACTTTGCATGTTCTCATTTATTTGTGGGAGCTAAAAATTAAAGCGATCACACTCATGGAGATGGAGAGTAGAAGGATGGTTACCAGAGGCTGGATGGAAAGTGAAGACGTAGGGGAGAAGAGGGGATGTTTAATGGATACAAAAAAAAAAATAGAACAAATAAGATCTAGTATTTGATAGCACAACAGGGTGACTGTAGTTAATAATAATTTAATTGTACCTTTTAAAATAACTAAAAGAGAACTGGGCACGGTAGCCCACACCTGTAATCCCAACACTTTGGGAGGCTGAGGCGGATGGATCACTTGAGGTCAGGAGTTCAGGACCAGCCTGGCCAACATGGTGAAACCCCGTCTCTACCAAAAATATAAAAGTTAGCTGGGCATCGTAGTGAACACCTGTAGTCCCAGCTACTCGGGAGGCTGAGGCAGGAGAATCACTTGAAGCCAGGAGGCAGAGGTTACGGTGAGCCAAGATCGCGCCACTGCACTCCAGCCTGGGTGACAGAGCAAGACTCCACCTCAAAAAATAAAATAACTAAAAGAGTATAATTGGATTGTTTGGAACACAAAGAATAAATGCTTTAGGTGTTGGATACCTCATTACCCTGATGTGATTATTACACATTCTATGCTGGTATCAAAATATCACATATATACCATGTTACCCACAAAAATTAAAAATTTTTTAAATCTCCAGAATCTGAAACTTTTAGAGCACCAACATGATGCTCAAAGGAAATTCTCATTGCAGCATTTTAGAATTTTGTATTCGGGATGCTCAACCTGTACATCAGAAGAAAATCTGAAACCCCAAACACTTAGGGTCCCAAGTGTTTCAGATAAGGGATGCTTAGCCTGTAATAATATTTCCTTAATCTCTGTGCTCAGTTGTGACATTGAAAGATCGTCTCCACTATTTTCTGAGTTATAAGAGTTTTCTGCATTATTTCTATGCTCTAAATTAACCATAATTGAGGAGTTGCACAGGTTAGGACTCTCCTATCAATTTAGAATTACAACTATTCTAAAAGAGCAGTTGGTCGTTATCACAATTTGATGTTTTTCTGATACTGTGGAAATTATAGGATATAGAGGAAAATGTCATTTTAAAGGACTGAATGGGAAATTGCCTTTAAACTAAGGCCTGTATCTTTAATAGACATATAGAGAAAAGAGCATGGAGCTCTGAAGTGACCAGACTAAAGCTTAATTCGAGTTCCAATTTGTTCAAACTGGCTGAGGAAACTTGAGCAAGACACCTGTCCTCTTAAGCTCTGTAAAATGGAACTAATAATCACTTGTGAAGAATAAACAAAAAAAAAAATCTCAGAGATGTTTAACCCACTGCCCAGCATTATAAAAACCTGCAAAAAATGTTTATTTTCCTCCCATTTACTTGGGGTTTAGGAACTGATGCTTTTCTTCTGCCTAATAGTCCCCACTTAAAGGGGACTCATGTTTACTTCCTCTCCCTCCCCCATTTTACTCATCACCCTGTTTGTTCTTCATTTAATTCAGTGATTTAATCCATTTCGTTTAACAACCCACATTTGGGTCAGGCACTGTGGTACACGCCTGGAATCCCAGCACTTTGGGAGGCCAAGGTGGCAGGATCGCTTAAGGCCAGGAAGTTGAGACCAGCCTGGGCAACATAGTGAGACCTCATCTCTACAAAAAATACAAAAATTAACCAGGTTTGATAGCACGCACTGTTGGTCTCAGCTACTCAGGAAGCTGAAGTGGTAGGATAGCTTGAACCTGGGAGGTCAAGGCTGCGATGAGCTGAGATCACACCACTGCATTCCAGTCTGGGTGACAGAGCAAGAGCCTGTCTCAAAACAAAACAACCCACATCCACGGCACTTGGAAATGTGCTGGAAGATAGTAGAGTCTCATTAAATATTGGTTGCCTGAATGAATTGGGCAATGTCACGTGTCTGTGCACTGGGTACATAGCAGTGAATAAGACAAGGCCCCTGCCACTGTGGAGCTCAGAGTCTTGTGGGGGAAAATAGCAGTTAAACAACAAAGGATAATCAAGTGTGAAACGCCTTGTGATAGAGAAAGAGCAGGGCACTCTGACCTCTACCACGGAGATGTGGGCTCAGTCAGGGAAAGAGACCTTCTTGAGTCAATGATGTGTGACCCAAACCCTAGACCCGAATTGATTAGTGTTTGACCAATGACAGCTCCAATCTCCATTATTCACTTACCCCACACCCAAAAAACATCAATACTTTTGAGGCCTCTGTAACATTGTTTCAGTGTAGTCTTACCCAGTATCCAAATGGAGTACCACTGTTTCCTCTTCTGTAAAATGAGGACAATAAAACTACCTACCTCATAAAGCCAGTTTAGAATACTTTTAATGCTATATAAGAATTAGACATTATTTTAACAGTAAATACCACAATCATGTCTTTGTAATAAAGGTGGCTTCTTCATGGAGCAGATCTGAAAAGATGGGTTATATGAGGTTGGTTTGTTTAAACAAGTAAAAATTTGGGGCCCTTGGACAACTATCTGGTATTTATTATAATGATATTTATCAAAATAGGATCCCATAGTTTGTAAAATATAACTTCATTTCTGAAATGTTGTGGTTGTGATTAGAGAAATTTGAAAAGCTGGGCCTGTAAGATAACTTCTGAAAGTATCCAACTTCTCACTTACAGCTTTTACTTAACGGAAAGGGTGGTGTCCAAACAGAGGACCAGGGAAAAAGCAAGAGGTAGAGAACCTCGTTTTGAGTTTTCCCTGAATTGTTCCTTGGAGGTGGCTTTGTCCTACAGATTTTGCTCTCGTGTTCTAACTGCCCTGTGGAGGAAGCAGCTCTTCCTCATCTGAACTGCATTCTAACAACAAATGCACGTCTAACTCCCAGCCGTTCGTAGGCCCTGTTAGGGTGAGCTGTGTCTCAGCACACGCTGTTGTCCATTGTTTTGAGGTGAATGAAGTGGATCAGTTGTTTAAAACGTTTTTAAACTAATTCAAGCCTGGATTCATTTTTAAGTGAAGGTTCTGAAATGTCTCCATCTAAACATAGCATTGCCGTTTTTAGTCTACACCTTTCCGAACTGCTGTCATCTTTTATGCCTTATTTACTGCAATCATGTTAACTTTCTCATTTTTTCAGTAATTGGCTTTGGTAATATCTTGATATTAACATGGAGAAGTTATAGTTACTTTGTTCTCTTTCATTTTCAGGGCCCTAATTCAATCATGATTGTCCTTGTCATGCTGTTGAATATCGGGTTGGCCATTCTTTTTGTTCACTTTCTAACTTGATTGGAATTAGGAAAGGTAAGAATCGCCTTAATTTCTATCTAAAATCATAGTAAATAACATTCTTTTCTCATATGCAAATTTGCTATTTTTTTTAACAATGACGTATTGTCCTTCACTTTAATTTTGGCTATGCCTGAATGTGATTCAACATAGTTACTTAATTGCTATAACTGTTTTGACCCTTCAGTGAAGTCCTGACAACTAGTGGTGTGTTAGCCCACAGTTCTCTGCAGTGGTGCCGTCAGCCCTTTAAATGGCCCACCCCAGGCAGACTCAGACACAGGGAAGGAGGCTTGGAATTAGGATGGGATCGCGAGAGAGATGAAACTTGGAAAATTCAGCCAGAGGACCTGTTCGGTTCCCCTGGGAGTGCTTTGTGGCTTTGGGGTCCTCTGGGAGCTGAAGCACACGGCCATGTTGGAGAGCAAAACTTAATAATAATTCTTTTTTAAAATCTGCTGAAGCAGCCCCATCCGGCGAAGTTCTTGGCATTGGCTACTCCATCTGTCCTAGCAGAGTGTGACTAAACTGGAAATGTATGGAGCTGCATTTTTTTTTTTTTTTTGATGGAAGTCAACAGCTGCCTTACTATTTTACCATCTGACGTTTTTAGTAGGGAGCTGGGGAAACGACTGCCCGAGGAATGCGGTCGGAGGATTGTGTTGCTGTGGACGTGGTTCCAACATTCACTCCTATCTCATTAGAAGAAATAGGTAGCAGCATCACTCACCAGTCTTATGCCATGACCTGCTGCTTTAACATCTCCTGGAATGTTCTGGGAGAGAACGTTTCGTTTGCTTGTGCACGACTCTGTTCATTTTTGCTGTTTATTTAAATCTGACGTATAGTCATCTACCACCTGCGGTCCTGGCCGGACGAAACACACGTGTTGCATCTCAAGGAAAAGAAACAACAAAATGCTAGTGAAAATGTGCTTATTTTGATAGCAATATACCATCTTTTATGTCATTTATTCTTCCTATACTTGTAAAAGGTTATTTATCTTTAAAATTTAGCAATTTGAAGACACTATGCCTTCCTAAGAACTAATTTAATTCTAAATATTTTTAACATTACTGAGGTGAATTATTTATGCACTTAGGAAGTGCTAAATTTTAAAAGCTGAAACACAACAGAATTCTAAGAAATATAGTCCAAACGTTGCATGGATTGCAGTAATCAGTGTTTAAAGGATTCAGTTTCTTTGCTGACGTACTTTACAACCAAATAAAATCTTGTCGGTGGCTGTGTTAATTCCCATGAAAGTTAAGCAAGATGCTATTAATAAACTGCTCTGCTCTTTCTTGTTTTCTTTTTCCAACTTAAATTTCTGTTGAATACATTCAGGTAGAACATAAAGCCTTGTTCAATCACTGCCTCTCAGTTTTCTGCCTTTCCTGTTTTTCAAAGTCCTTTTGTAATTTCATTTCACATTTTAAAGGCTTAGACATTTTTATTTTAAATATGTGTCTTTTACAGTCTTTTGTCATTCTGACATTTCTGGATTTTTGCTGTTTTATAATTTACCCTTTGTTATTCAGAAGCATGCTTACTTATAGAAACTAAATGGTCTTTATAAAAGTAATTACTTAAAAAGAAATCAGGGGAAGAAAGATATCTATCTAATCTATTAAATCTTTATAAAACATTACATTGCAGAGGGGGAGCTACTCCTAAATATTTTCATGATTTGCATGGTTTAATCAGATTTTTTTTTTTTTTTACACCATATTAGCTACCTTTTCAATGGAGAAGAGACAGTTCACACAATTCCCTGGTTAGCACAGATGTGGACTGAGTGCTTTGTCACCTGCAGGGTAGTAACCCAGTGATGTTTCTTACAGAAGCACAATATGTTGAAAATCCTGGGTGTGACCAATATGGAATAAAGAAGAAGGCAGAAAGAGAGCAAATGAAAAATTTCAACTTGTATATTCATTTTTTACATTTTGCTTTGACTTTTAAATTTAGGAAGTCCGTTTTTACCTGAGAACAAATGTTTAAAGTTCCTGCGTCACTCTCAGTACTCTCACTGCCCCTCCCAAACCCTATAGCTCCTTACGCTGGGAAAGCTGGTTTTTTAAAAAAATAATAATAAAATATTTAATCTTATTAAGTGTTCATTTAAAATGCGTAATGCTTTGGAAATAATGGGTAACAGATAGCGAGAGGATATGTTTATAAAGTGAGCATGTTGGTCCCATTTATAAATATATGTATGATTTATAAGCTTTTTTAAAACAAAGCTCAAATTGTTGGTATTTTTCTAAAATGTGCACAGCTGTATTTTACATGAAGGCTCTTTCTAATGGGTTGTTATACTGTACTCAACATTTTGGACAGCACATGAAGTCTGCCAATGTACTTAATAAAACATGACTTTGTTTATTTAAAGTTTCTTGCTGTGAAAAAGAACTCCCTACCTGTGAGTTCCTTTATTTATAATTCTTGAAACCAAAATGTATAATGTACAGTTTTCACAACTGTATCTGCTCTAATAAAAAAAAGTTGGTTATTAATGAAGTTGGAGGTGTGTTTTCTTTGTGAGTAAATTACTGTCTTGAGTTATGTGGAATACTTTGGTGGTGGTGTTGAAAGAGATCTGCTGAAAAATTAACAGCAGAAATAGAAGGAAAAAATGCTCAAAGAAGCCATGTGCCAGAAGGTAGTTATACTGCTCCACCAATTGGTTTCTTTCATCCTGGGCCTTTCAAATAATTTTGCAAAATAAGGTTCATTGCTCTGCTTAATGCCTTCATTAATTGGATTAGTGCCTTATCCAGAGTTTAAAGACTGCTCTTATTTTTAAAGAAAACTTGAAGTAAATCTCCTTCCTACATGGGCACTTTTCAATTAATTAGAATTTTTTTACCATTGTGCCCCAAATAAATTAATATGTTGCTATGACCCCTGCTGCTTAGGTGCACTCCTGGAAGGTTAAGCACAACATGGGTTGAATAAACCTGCCACCACCGGGACTTCCAGCCACTGTGCTCCCTTTGAAGCCATCCAAGGTGCCGGCCTAAGCTGCTGGCTCGACACGTAGGCAAGCCACCTGTGCACTATGATAAAAGGACCATCTCCAAAACAGCTTCCCAGGGAGCTGCCATGGTGCTTTTAAATTCCCAAATTCATCACACCTGTTGAGGGCTAAGATATTAGAGCCCCTCATATAAATAATGCACAGAGTTATCGCCTGTAGGGCTAAACAGATTACTCAACTTCAGTAATTAGTCTCCTAGCAAATCCTAAAGGAAGAGAATACAGAACAGACTTTTGAAGCAGGGAAGGGAAGCACAAGGTGCTAGAGAGATTATTGATTTCAGATTCGTGTCCAAGCCACACATTTTGAGCGCTGATGCCAAAGCTAGGGTGAAGCTTGTGTGGTTGAGAAGTCTGGAAAATATTCTACATGCCCTTTTAATGCAATAACTGTTTCTCAAGAGCTGTGGCTAGCAAGCTCCCCAGGCGTACCCTCCCTGCCATTTGCAGCTCTCCTGCCATGCTTTGGAAAGTTACATAGCCTCATCTTCCCAACTTAATAGGTGGCTGTTGACGTGGCATATTCTGCCAGTACAGTGTAACGGTTCATCAGACTGCGTTTGATTGTTCCAGGTTTAAGAGTTATCTGTTCTGACATTTGCTGTCACCCCAAAGGTGCTAAAATGCAATGGCCTCTATAGGGGTCTGGTTTATAGGAATAGGAGAAAATAGCAAAGATAGAGAAGACAGTGAATACTGATGAAGGTAGTCAATATAGATGAAATTCTGGCTTTGGTCATGATTGACCGTGGATCCTTCTCTAATCCATGCCCCTGGTTTCCTCATTGGTAAAATGGGTGTAGTCATAGTCTAGCCTCACAGGGTGATGGTGAGAATGAAATGACATTATTGATGTTAAATGCTTACCATAGTGTCTGGCACATAGTAACTGCTTTGTATATGTTAGTTTTTTACTGACTGAAAGAAATAGGGATAAAATAATTCAATTCCTATTAGTGTCTCAGACACATTGAAAAATACAGTGAGACTCCATTCTAAGGGTCTTTTTATAGTGGTTAATTAGGTCATGGGTCATGGGATGTCCTTGCTTCAGTGGTGATGAGTGAGTCTTTCTCACTGGGAAAATTAAAGGCCCCACCTACACAGTTCCTGTCTATGCTAACAAGTGTTTCCCAGTATAGGAGAATATGAGACCTTTACTTTACAAAGAGCTTTCACATCAGTGTCTCATTGGATTCTTACAATCTCCCTGTGAAAGTTTTCCTGCAGTTAAATGACTTGCACAAGATCACATAGTCATAAAGTCATAAAAATCTGTATCAGAGTCCCAGATCTGACACTAAATCTTGTGCTTTTTCATTTCACATATTGGCTAGCACTATTGCACATTGCCACTCATCAGCCATGAAGATGTGATGGCGAATACCATGAAATCCAAGGTAGCAGTGCAGGTTGAATGAGCCCATTTCTATCCGTCATAAGCTCCTTAATGCCACTGAGTTAATAATAACTACAGCAGAGCCTTTTAAAAGTTCTGAATAGCATGTATTTACAATCCCGTTTCATCACTTTTAGCAAGATATTTGTATAGTAATATATTTAAACCTTATACTCAATATTACTAAAATTTAACATTTAATGGTGTTTTTGAAGAGGCATGTTATACATGAACTTGGTGTCTGTGTTTGAACTTGAGCTCAATAATTAACACAGAAGTTGCACATAATACCTAGAAGATGTAAAAAGGTTTGGACCAATGCTGTGGTATTCTTTTGATACCTTATGTCAATATTCCATAAAAGTTCCTTGGTATTCTCTTGAATCTGAAGTCTGATTTAGATAAGCCATAATGGAATTAACACGAAAGTGAGGCCCTGAAATTTGTTCAGCAGGTGGTTGATAAAGCTGTTTGCATACTTTGGTAAAGAGCATATCAATCCTTGAATGGAGGCAGAGATGAACGGAAGATCATCCCACTGATATACACATTCTTCCTTGTCCGCTGCCTCAGCCCAAGCGAACTTGTTCATAAAATGTGAAGAATGATATTGAACATGTGCAGTGGAATTCATGATGATATTTGCTTATGGGAAAACAGTGGAGGTCTTCAGTTTCAGGAATGTATATGCCACATCCTTGCCACTTACAACATCTACTTGGACGAAAAGAGTCATAAATATCACGTCATCTACACAATAAAAGCAGAAGCAAAGGTGAGGATAAGCCCAAGATTATCTAATTATTCTCTGGACATGATTATCTAATTATTTTCTGGACATATTTTAACAACTGCTTCCGACCAGTAGAGTGAGTACCTATCTAGAGTGCACATAGCTGCTTTGGAAGTTGATAAAGCCCAAGGAGGTGCTTAGACATAGAATTGCTGTAAAGCCAGCAGGTGGTGGAATCCATGACCTAAGAATTTCTACAGATGCATCATAAAAGCAGTTTTACATCAGATAATTGGGCCACATAAAAAGTCAAGATTGGAAACATTCTAATTCATACATTATCCAAAAGAATAAATATTATGTAAGTGTGCTATTATTCACTGAAACAAAGCAAGAATTTACAAAATCACACAATAGAGCACCAAAGAATGAGATATTTATGTGCTCAAAATAAGGTTTGATGTTATCTACATTCAATTTGTCATGATACAGCAAGTAATGTGAGGAATTCAGCATAATTTTCATGTCTCGGTGTCAGCTTTATTCCATTCAAATTTTGTGTATAGAAATAGTTTTCCATTTTTACTAATAATAATCGTGTTAATTTTTTTCTTCAAAAAATAGTATTACTAATCTAAAATGCCATGGCAGGCTATATTTGGGGGTTTTCGTTGGTTCACTGAAACTATCAACAATTCCCCTGGATTTGTTTTGACATTCTAAAGACTACCTGAGTAAGTTATAAAGGAAGCACTCCAAACCTTTCTGCTCCCCTGCTACTAGCTTTCAGGAATGTTAACACTGCCTGTGTGTTCAGTACACTTTGGTCCCTAAGTCCCCTGCAAAACCTGAGCTCTCCTTTTCACCTGACCATAGCTCCTTGTCAGCATCGCCACACCAGTAGCATGCTCAGAGTTCACCAGTGAAGTTTGACAAGCAGATCAGATTAGTTGGGGATATTAATTTGAATAGAGAAGTGTAAGAAGAACTGAATTTGGGCATCCTGGTCTTCCTTTCTCAGATGCCATTTTCTGAAACCAAGTATACCCTTCCTTTTGAGTCTTCCCCATATTCCTTGAGTATGCCAGCACCAAACATCACATGTCCAATCCTGGTAAACTCTAAGGATTGTTTTGGTGTCTATAAAATGGGAACAATAACATCTGCTTCCTAATGTTTTTTTATAAGAATCAAATTAGGTAACTTTAGTAAACTCCCTGGCACATAGTAGACTGTCAACATAGAATAGATACATTAATAGTCTCAGTTTTATTAGCAAATTTTTTTTTTTTTTGAGACAGAGTTTCACTTTTGTCGCCCAGGCTGGAGTGCAGTGGCAGGATCTCAGCTCACTGCAACCTCCGCCTCCCGGGTTCAAGCGATTCTCCTGCCTCAGCCTCCTGCGTAGCTGGGATTACAGGCGTCCATCACCACACCCAGCTAATTTTTTGTATTTTTAGTAGAGACGGGGTTTCACCATGTTGGCCAGGCTGGTCTCCAACTCCTGACCTCAGGTGATTCACCCATCTTGGCCTCCCAAAGTGCTGAGATTACAGGTGTGAGCCACCACGCCCAGCCTTATTAGCAATGTTTACTTATTCCTCCATCAAACGTTTATTATATGCTTAATTGATACTTCGTTAAATTCATTGAAATAAAAAATTCTACCAGCCTTAGGTCATTAAGCATCAGGTCCTGCCCTAAGAAATGTACTCTTCATACAGAATCAATTGTAGTTTATACAATTAAATGGGTTTCTTCTCTAAAGCAAAGGGCAGATAAAATTCAAAGCTTTTTGGCCAGGTGCTGTGGCTCACGCCTGTAATCCCAGCACTTTGGGAGGCCTAGGCGGGCAGATCACGAGGTCAGGAGATCGAGACCATCCTGGCTAACGCGGTGAAACCCCGTCTCTACTAAAACACAAAAAAATTAGCCAGGCGTGTTGGCAGGCGCCTGTAGTCCCAGCTACGCGGGAGGCTGAGGCAGGAGAATGGCATGAATCCAGGAGGTGGAGCTTGCAGTGAGCCGCGATCGCGCCACTGCACTCCCGCCTGGGCGACAGAGCGAGACTCCGTCTGAAAAAAAAAAAAAATTCAAAGCTTTTTCACAGTCATCAGAAGGTACAGTGGTGATTACATCTCTCGTAAGAGGCTTAGGAATATTCAGTAACAGAGCACTCATATGCACTAGGTACAACTGTGCATTAATGTCTATTACAAGGACTGCATGATAAAAAGATACAATTAAAGTGTATAAGAAATGATCCAGACAAAGGCTTGCCACGATGATTATACTCTTCGTTGTAGGAGCGAACTTCCTGGTGCGTGTAGAGCCTCAGGATTTTCACTGATAATGCAGAAATGTGTTAATGGGCCTAGCTATTATGTTTAATCACTATGGTTATGAACACAGGCAAATGGTTTTGGCTTTAAATAACATTAATATAGTTAATCAGAAATAATAGCATGGCAAATTATCATGTCAGATCTTCCATAACTGAGTAGTCAGGGTAGCAACCATTAGTTTATAAGTTCAGTGATTCTTTTGAATAAAGAACAGAAAAGATAAAAACATATCTATTCCATTTCAGTGTAGACATCCAGATAGCTTATCTCAAATCCGGTGTTAAGCTAAACTCTTGTGCTTTTCTTCAATAAGTAACAAGAAACAATTCTACTTTAAACATGTCATTTATATTTTAAGGAAAATATGACATTAGATGAAAGTCACTTCCTGGGACTTTAAATATTAGCCGTTATGTCATTAAAACTTTTTTTTTTTTTTGAGACAGAGTTTCGCTCTGTCACCCAGGCTGAAGTGCAATAGCACACTCTCGGCTCGCTGCACCTCAGCCTCCTGAGTTCAAGCAATTCTTCTGCCTCAGCCTCCCGAGTAGCTGGGTTTACAGGCGCCCGCCACCACACCCGGCTAATTTTTGTATTTTTAGTAGAGACAGGGTTTCACCATGTTGGACAGGCTGGTCTCCAACTCCTGACCTCAGGTGATCCGCCTGCCTTGGCCTCCCAAAGTGCTGGGACCACGCCTGGCCCATTAAAACATTCTTTCACTGGCCGGGTGCGGTGGCTCAAGCCTGTAATCCCAGCAAAGAAAAGAAATCCCTTTACTGGGATTTACTGTAATCCCAGTAAAGAAAAGAAAGAGTGGAAAAGAATATGTACACACATTTAACATCTGTATAACAATTTATTATCATGTTATTTAATCCTTATAATAACCCAGGAAGCTAAGAGGTATTTCCTTTACTTTGCATATGAGAAAACCAAGGCACAGAGAGGTAGAGAGAATTGCTTAACAGAACACAGCTGATAAGTAACAGAACCAAGAGTCCTACCCAGGTACTTCTGGCTCTAAGTCCTGAGTGTTGCTTCCCCTACATTTCAGGCAGCTTTAATTCTGTCCTCTGGCCACCAGGCATTTAAAACACAAAGCCCAGTTGGAGAGTCCTTCTGCCTGCCATCAGGCAAGAGAGCAGGAATGTTGAGTCCTTGTGTTAATTGGGACATTGGTAACTGTGGTTGAAGGCATTGCATTTTCTGTTACATGAATGAGAGTCATTCTCAAATCCATGTAGTAGTTTATAGACATTTCTCTCATACCAGATATGAAATTGCACCTCATTCTTTAAGATTTGCACACTCAAATACTTCGATTTATCAGACAGTTCTCACATTTGCAAACCTACACATAACTCCCTCTGTCCATCTGGGTAGACTTTCTCGCTTACTTTTGAAAGAAAAAAACTGTTAAAGATGACGATGGAGTCTGCACGTACAGATTCCATCATGTCCTGCTGACCTCCCTTAGGAAGCCAGATTACTGGCAAGAAGGCACAGACTGGCAGGAAGCAAGGGGGCTTTTAGAAAAACATCCTGATTCTTATTTTGTCCGTAGATGTGTGTAGGACTTAGGAAATCAATCCTTCAAAGAGCAAAAGACAAGCTCCCTATCTGCCTCAGAGAGTTTATTCTCAATACTAAGATTTTCCACAAATGATAAAACTAGATGATACACAGAAGAGAAAATGCAGAGGGTCAATAAACATGAGAAGATGCTCAGCCTGACTGGTAGGCAGGAAGTACAAAGTGAAATAATTCTGAGACTATTAAAGTCCAGGGCCTTGTCACATTGATTACATTCTTAGCTGAAATGGGAAAAGGGCCAGATGTGAGATCAGGACTGGATCTTAAATTCAGATCTTCTTTACTTTCCAGCTCTGGAAAGCTTTCCCTGATCATCCCTGGCTGTGAGAAATGCCCTTCCCCATGACTCCAGACCAACTGACTCTATTCTCAGCACTCCACCCTGCAAAGCAATCAACTGCTTTTCCATCCGTCTCCACCCCTAGGCTGTGTGCTTTCTGCAGGTAGAGACTGTCCCATCTCTCTATTCCTAACAGTGCCCCATATACACAGATATTGAATAAATGTTAACTAACTGATGAGTGAATTGATGAAACCAAAATAACCTTGTCCTTGGACAACTCACACATTAATGTAAGATAGCCATTTTCCATAACACTCCCTGAGCACCTGATCCCGCAATTCTTTTGTCTCACACTGTCAGTGTTACTATGCTAAGCGGGGAGTGGGGGTTGAATATTTTGTGGAAGGGTAAGAAGTTTTAAGCATATGCAAAAGTCCTGCTGAAAGATCAGTAATTTCTATTTTTAAAAAATTATGGCCGAGTCCCTTTGTAAAATTGGTTTGCTAAGCAACTTGATAGTATCTCCAAGAAGGCCAGCAGATCATCTACCTTGGCTAAGAAAATGATTTCTTACTTCCTTAGAAAGACTCATATTAAGATCAGTGCATGGCAGAATGGATGCTAGGAGCTTATTTTAGAGATAAGAGTTCCTGATTCCTTATTTACCTTAGCATGGCAACTGTGAAGATAAGAGAAGTGGACAGATTAGAGCAACGTTGAGGAGACATAGTTAACCCTACATGGTGATCAGTTGGTGTGGAGGATAAAGGAAAAGTTGGATTCAAGAATGGCATCCAGATTTCTGGCTTGGGCAGTTGGCTGCATGGATAGAGAACGAAAGAGGAGGAGCAGGTGTCTGCAGGTGAACCAAAGACACTGAATTCACTTTTAGACATGGTGGACCTGAGAAGTCTATGAGATGTGCCAAGTAGATAGAATGTACAGGTCCAAGGTTCAAGAGAATACTGTGACCAAGATATGTACTGAGTATAGAGAGACAAGAAAACACTTAAATGCAATTGTTTGTTCTTCTCTTTACAAATTATTTACCCATTCATTGAAGCAGGCCTCTCAGCTTAACAAGGCTACATTCAGTAAAATTTTTTTAGTATGGTAAAATACACATGACATAAAATTTACCAGTTGTTGTGGTTTGGCTGTGTCCCCACCCAAATCTCAACTTGAATTGTATCTCCCAGAATTCCCACATGTTGTGGGAGGGACCCAGGGGGAGGTAATTGAATCATGGGGGCCCATCTTCCCCATGCTTATTCTTGTGATAGTGAATAAGTCTCACAAGATCTGATGGGTTTATCAGGGGTTTCCACTTTTGCTTCTTTCTCATTTTATCTTGCTGCCACCATGTAAGAAGTATCTTTCGCCTCCTGCCATGATTCTGAGGCCTCCCCAGACATGTGGAAATGTAAGTCCAATTAAACCTCTTTTTCTTCCCTGTCTTGGGTATGTCTTTATCAGCAGCATGAAAACAAACTAATACAGTAAATTGATACCAGCAGAGTGGGGCATTGCTTAAAACATACCTGAAAATGTGCAAGCAACTTTGGAACTGGGAAACAGGGAGAGATTGGAACAGTTTGAAGGGCTCAGAAGAAGACAGGAAATTGTGGGAAACTTTGGAACTTCCTAGAGACTTGTTAAATGGCTTTTCCCAAAATGCTGATAGTAATATGGACAATGAAATCCAGGCTGAGGTGGTCTCAGATGGAGATGAGAAACTTTTTGGTAACTGGAGTAAAGGTGACTCATTATATTTTAGCAAAGAGACTGGTGGCATTTTGCCCCTGCCCTAGAGATTTGTGGAACTTTGAACTTGAGAGAGATGATTTATGGTATCTGACAGAAGAAATTTCTAAGCAAACAGCAAAGCATTCAAGGGGTGACTTGGGTACTGTTAAAGGCATTCAGTTTTATAAAGGAAGCAGAGCATAAAAGTTCAGAAAAATTGCAGCCTGACAATGTGATAGAAAAGAAAAACCCATTTTCTGGGAAGAAATTCATGCTGGCTGCAGAAATTTGCATAATTACCAAGGAGCCTAATATTAATCCCCAAGACCATGAGGAAAATGTCTCCAGGCCATGTCAAAGACCTTCACAGCAGCGCCTCCCACCACAGGCCCAGAGGCCCAGGAGGAAAAAGTGGTTTGGCGGGCCAGGCTCAGGGTCCCCGTGTTGTGTGCATCCTAGGGACTTGGTGCCCTGTGCCCCAGCCACTCCAGCTGTGGCAGAAAGGGGCCAACATACAGCTCAGGCTGGGGCTTCAGAGAGTGGAAGCCCCAAGACTTGGCAGCTTCCACCTGGTGTTGAGCCTGCAGGTGCACAGAAATCAAGAATTGAAGGTTGGGAATCTCCACCTAGATTTCAGAAGATGTTGAAAACGCCTGCATGCCCAGGCAAAAGTTTGCTGCAGGGGTAGAGCATTCATGGAAAACCTATGCTAGGGCAGTGCGGAAGAGAAATGTGGGGTCAGAGCCCCCACAAAGAGTCCCTACTGGGGCACTGCCTAGTGGAGCTGTGAGAGGAGTGCCACCATCCTCCAGACTCCAGAATGGTAGATCCACCGACAGCTTGCACCGCACACCTGGAAAAGCCGCAAACACTCAACGCCAGCCCATGAAAGCAGCCAGGAGGGAGGCTGTACCCTGCAAAGCCACAGGGGTGGAGCTGTCCAAGACCATGGGAACCTACCTCTTGCAGCTGGATATGAGACCTGGAGTCAAAGGAGATCATTTTGGAGCTTTAAGATTTGACTGCCCCACTGGATTTCAGACTGGCATGGGTCCTATAACCCCTTGGTTTTGGCTGATTTCTCCCATTTGGAATGGCTGTATTTACCCAATACCTGTACCTCCATTGTATCTAGGAAGTAACTAGCTTGCTTTTGATTTTACAGGCTCATAGGCGGAAGGGACTTGCCTTGTCTCAGATGAGACTTTGGACTGTGGACTTTTAGGTTAGTGCTGAAATGAGTTAAGACTTTGGGTAACTGTTGGGAAGGCATGATTGGTTTTGAAATGTGAGGACATGAGATTTGGAGGGGCCAGGGGCGGAATGATATGGTTTGGCTGTGTCCCCACCCAAATCTCAACTTGAATTTTTTCTCCCAGAATTCCCACGTGTTGTGGGAGGAATCCAGAGGGAGGTAATTGAATCATGGGGGCAGGTCTTTCCTGTGCTATTCTTATGATAGTGAATAACTCTCACAAGATCTGATGGGTTTATCAGGAGTTTCCACTTTTGCTTCTTTCTCATCGTGTCTTGCCACCACCATGTAAGAAGTGCCTTTCACCTCCCACTATGATTTTGAGGCCTCCCCAGCCATGTGGAACTATAAGTCCAATTACACCTCTTTTTCTTCCCAGTGTCAGGTATGTCTTTATCGGCAGCATGAAAATGGTCTAATACACCATTCTAATGATTTTTAAGTTTACAGTTTAGTGGTATTAAGCACTTTCACATTTTTGTGCAGCCATCACCACTACCTATCTTCAGTAGATTTTTTAAATTAAGATTTATTAAAATTGCCTTTTAAAAAACGACTTTGTAATTAATTTCACTATTAGAAGCTCTTTTTTACTACAGAGGTGTTTGAAGTTATTACATAACTTGTTGAAGTTATTGAATATCAAATTAAATATACAATTTTTCTAATTCATTTTAGAACAAGGAATTTGATAATTAAACTACTGTTAAGTATCTGTGGATGCTTAAGCTGTCTTCAGCTTAATCATGAAGGGCGAGGAGGGTTTTTCCTTACCAGAAGGAACCTGGGCCTTGCCATCAGGCCTGAGGGCACAAGAGGAGCAGCTGCTGATCACTACTGCACAGGCCCCTTCCTGCATGAGGGGACACAGGCATCTTTTTCCTCCTTCCTGTTGTTTCAGCTCCCAGTGCAACTGAGTCTACTGCTGAACTCAGAAATAAATTTGAAAACCAACCACAAAGTTTAATCTTGAAGTCCACCAATATTTTTTAGTTATCTAATTGGAGAGGTCTTCTATTTACTTATTGAAATATGAAAAGAAAAGAAAAAAAAAGAATGAAAAAAAAAAAGGAAGCAGAATTAAAGCATCTGTAGGCCCTGGAAAACCAAAAAGGCAAAAACATCTCTTCTTCTCAAATGCCCTTTCAGTTCTCTTATCCTCTGGAAAACAGTAGTCATCTATTAAAATGTTCATTGATCTACAGTTAAATGGTAAATCACTGGATAAACCAAAATTCTAAGTTGCCAAAATCTCAGCTGCTTAAAAATCTTTCACTAGCATACAGAATTATTATCAGGCAATCTTATTCCTCTTTGCCAGATATTTGCTTTCCCAGACATTTTTAATCCTTGGTCATGACGATGTGACCTAATTCTGACCAATGAAACTCTTCTAGAAAATGTTTGCTTTGCTAAGAGGGCTAGGTATCAGAGAGCTCAATGGTGTTGCACCTTCCTTTTTTTTTTTTTTTTTTTTGTCTGTCTTGAACATAAATGTGATCCCTTCTGCTATGGCAGCCATCTTGCAACCATGAAGCAACAAGTATAAGATGAAAAACCAAACAAGAATTGGGAAAGAGCCTGGATCCTTAACAACATTGTTGTATGTTTCATGTTAAGGAAACAATAAATGTCATTATGGTTTAATTCTCTTTTTAAAAAATCTCAGCTGCTATTAAAATTGCAAAAAGAGGAAGAAAATTATTTGTACCTTATGTATGAAAGAGATTATCAACAGTATTCATGCTTGTCATTTGCATCTAACTGAAAAATAAGAGACCATTTTATAAATTGATTCATTTCTGTGCTTAGAAGAGTTGGCCTTCTAAGACCTCAAAGACCCTGAATAGACACTAGCACAACCTCTGGCTCCTCCATGAGCGTTCCCTGCACCACTCAGCTGGAATCTTTCACTGTCCTCTGAGGGTCTGACTTCCTCTACAACCTCATAAATTGCACTAATCAAACTCTACTTCAGTCACTTCCATTTATTGAGTGCCAATTTTATGCTGTCCTCTTGAAAATGTTTTGTGATGTTTTCTTTTATTCTTTGCAATAAATAACTATGAAATCATCGTCATCATCATGCCCAATTTTACAAATTAAAAAAACAACAAGGGCCAGGAGCGGTGGTTCACGCCTGTAATCCCAGCACTTTGGGAGGCTGAGGTAGGTGGATCACAAGGTCAGGAGTTCGAGACCAGCCTGGTCAATATGGTGAAACCTCGTCTTTAATAAAAATACAAAAATTAGCCAGGCATAGTGGCATGCACCTGTAATCTCAGCTACTTGGGAGGCTGAAGCAGAATTGCTTGAACCCAGGAGGCAGAGGTTGCAGTGAGCCAAGATCACACCATTGCACTCCAGCCTGGGTGACAAAGCGAGACGTCGTCTCAAAAAAAAAAAAAAAAAACACGCACACAATTGGACTCCCTAAGGTGACTTGTATATCCAGTGGCACCCACACAGCTGGTAGTAATAGGGCTAGAATTTGAAACCAGATTTATTTTTGAAGCCTGTCTCACAGGGTTTGTGAGAATTGACTTCCCAGTTTCTTTTAATGGCGTTATCAGCCACCATTCCCTTGGGCCTGAAACGGGACTTCTCTGTTTCTGAGCCATTATTGCTGCCCACACATTCTGCCTCCAGTGTGCCTCAGATGATCCCCTTTTCCATTCCCACAGCCACCATTCCAGTGCAGCTCCTCCTTATCGCCAGCTGGAGGGTGACAAGCACATCCAAACTGGTCTCCCTGCCCCCGATCTGCCCTCTCTACCGCTGCAGCTAGGACTTTCCAGAGATACAAAGCCAAATCTTTCCAAAACGCCACTCTGAGCCTCATGCTTCCTTATTCAAAAATGTGTACCAACTTCTTTGCTGTCACACACATTGGAAGAAAGAGGGAAACGGGCCTCCGTGTATTCCCAGGATCAAGTCTAACTCTTTCTGATTAAGAGTCTCAGTGTCTGAAGAATGTCAGAGGCTACCCCCACCATGGGGTCCAGGCCCCCTGCTGGGTCTCGGCTTTTCAATGGCCAGCCCTTGGACATGAGAAATCAGCGGGGGAAGGGGCAAAGAGCAGGCTCTGGTCGCTCGGAAAACTCACTGGAAACTTGAGGGCTGCATCTGTGCACCCACACGCAAGCCAGGCAGGCCTGAGACACTTTGTCAGGCCTATGCCCTCCTGTCATTGGAGTGCAAGAGGGCTTCTGAAGGACCCCCAAGTTCCCCCAAGGAGCTGCTCAACACTAAGGGGACCCCCACAGACTGGGCCAGCCAGATTTTCCAGCTTCACATACACACAGCCTCAAGCTGCTGTGCTTCCAGTGGGGAGTCTCTGCTTTACAAATGATAATTTTACATTCACTAAGTAGAATGAAGAATAACTTGCTTCTTGATCCAAACTACAGGAAATAAATCCCAATGGAACCATCTCTCCTGAGGGGATTTGCAGAAGTTGGGCTCTCCACTCTGCACATCTGTGATCCTTTCAAGCATGACTGTTTTTTCCTTATGATGTGCTATTTATTTACACCTGTGTAATTATTTTAACTCAATGAATATGTTCTTTTATTTTACTATAGTAACCATTTTATTATACTATATATACATTTCATAACATCGTGTTATATGTATATAGACAATATAACATAATATATAGTGTGTTTGTGTATTTAGAGTATGTAACACAATGTTATGAAATATATATATATTAAAGTGTGTGTGTGTGTGTGTGTGTGTGTGTGTGTGTCTCACTATGTTGCCCAAACTCCCGTCCTCAAATAATCCTCCTGCCTCAGATGTGATTACAGGCACGAACTACCAAAGTGCTGGGATTACAGGCAAGAGCCACCATGTTCAGACCAAAATATATTTAAAATATATATACCTTAGGGGGAAAAACCACTTAAGTGAAAGTACTCTTATATTAATATTTATAACTGAGAATGATATTTTCATATCCATCGAAAGTGAGCCCAGGTTTTTATAAGATTGAGACCGCCTAGGGGTCCTTCTTGGACTCTGATTCTCTTTCCTTCTCAGTGCTGGGCCTCATTCTCAGCCAGTCCCTCCCAGGTCTCCTTTCCCACATTCTGCTCCTCTCTCCACTGAGTGTGGGCTACAGACTCCTGTGGAAGACAGCGCCTCCACTTTGGAGTCCTCCCTCACCCTGACCACCACCCTACCCCACCACACACATACCCTCAGCTCTGACCCATCAGGCGTAAAAGAATGTGTCCCTCCCAGAAAAGAATGTTAAGGGGGTGGGTGGGAGGTGGGGGATGGTAGGCCCCAGGTCCTGTGTGAAAACACACTAGCAGGCTCTGGGGTATCCATCAGCCATCTATGTTGATCCCCCTCTCTCACCACCCAGCACCCAGGAGTGGGCTGCATCCTACAGACTCAGCTGCAGTCCAAAGCTACAAGCTATGATCCAGATCTGGATGTCACAGGTTGGGTTCCCTGGGAAGATAAAACAGAGATTGGCAGACATGCAGATGCCTATTAGTGCTCTTGGCCAGCACCTGTGGTGGGGACAGAGCAGGAGAGGGAGAGGTTGCCCCAGGCGCAGCCCCAAAGAGGACCTCAGCTGACTCCATGGGGACCTTGAGCTCTGAGAGAGCCTTCAGAGTTGGCACAAGTTGGGCAAAAGACCCAAGCCTCAGTTCCTGGGTGTGGAAGGAGGTGAGACTGTGGGCGAGGTAGTCCCCAAAGGACTGGCAGCTGAGGGCCATCTTCCTGCAGCACGTCTGACAGCCAGGGGAGTAAGTTCCTCATTCCTTAGACACTGGGTCCTTAGAGCAGCCAACACTCAGGGGTTCCCTCTCTGCTTGCTGTCTTCAGCAACTCCAGGGGTCCAGCTCCAGGAAGTCCCCACCACCACTTCCCCTCACTGGGACTATGCCTCCTCTAAGCCCCTCTAGCACTGCCACTGTGTGGCCCCTTCTGTTTTGCAGTCCAACCTTCATGTTTAACAAGCCAGACTGCACACTCTGAAGGCAGTGACACACGTTGTTTATACTGCCCCTCCGCACATTGTGCCTTCTCCCCACGGAGCAGTGTATTTCACGGGGCAGAAGGTGGGCTCACATCTGGACAGGAATTCTTACTTGTTGAAACAGCTTAAACAAGCTATTTCAACTCTTTCCATCTCGAATAGCCCAACTATAAAAATGGAGATAACGCATGCCTCTCTCTGGGTTGTTTATTCAGACAGCAAACCTACCCCAAGAGACCACGGTGTACCTTACACCCTGTGCATATATTATTCCTAGTTCTTACAGCATTTCTCTTTTCATGGTAACAATGCCATTGCAGAAGGTCACACAGCTGTGAGTGATAGAATGAGCCTTGAAAACTACGTGTGCCTGATGCCAGTCTTAGGTCCCTGATGCTGATTCTGTACCTGTGGAATGAATCCTCTTTCCAGCTGCATCTCCTGTGACTTCTCTCCAGCCTCACAGGACTGCACACACGGTTCCCCAAGCCCAGCACTCCTCACAGCCCTGCCTGTCCTTCCCCTCATCCTCCCACTGCTGAGACCTTTCTCATCCCTCAGAACTGAGCTGCAACAACACTTCCTCGGCAAACGTTCCGTTATCTGCCATTTAGAACTAATAGCTCCTGCTTCTATACGCAAAACACTTTCTTCCTACTTTACATAAGTTCTGATGTCATCTTCCTTTGTACCATGTCTAGTTATCCATAAGTCTGTCTTCTTCAATAGATTGTAAACTCCTCGAGAGAAGAGACAATCCCAGTCATCACTGTATTCGTTGCACTTAGCATAAGGTTTTTTTTAATACTAAGTGTTCAAAATGCATCTGCTGAATTTCTTTAAAAATTATAGTTCTTTTGTTTCAGAAAGCCTTTTTAATGCTGTGATTTCAATGCCTTAGGACTTTTTGTGATGTATTTTGTTCAAGTTCCTTTTTACCTTGTTTATGGAAAGAGCTTAGCTTTGGAGAGAGTCACCTGGGCCAGATGTCCCACTTGGCTTTCATATCCAGGGACTGTGGTTTTTGTTCATGCTTTTGTGTCCACCCCAGCCCTGCAAGCAACCAAGTTAGGCTGTTGGGGGCTTTGGCACATTGGCAAACCAGTGATGGGTGGAAGTGGACCATCATGAGCAGATGGACCCCCAAGCCAGCCAGCACACCAGGACAACACGACTGAGGCTCAGGGAGGGGGCCATCAGGATCACCAGATGAAAGTAATATAGGCAGCAGTTCTTCAGCTTCAGCCTCCATGGGAAACCAGGAAAGTCAGTGTTGCCTAGACCTCAAGGTGAGGCAAGTTCTCCTCTTCTGCTGGTCCCTCAGCCCTCTCCAGATACCAGGGAGAAGGAAATCCTGTGCCTGCTCTCTCTAGACATCTGGTGTCATAGCTCAAATGCCCACTTCAAGCCCCATTAACTCACCTGAGAATGAGCCAAGAAAGAGAGGGAATCAAAGATGAAGCCAATCTGCCACCTTCTCAGAGCAAGGCTACTTAGGTGAATCAAAGTAAACTAACTTTTCTCCTGGAAGAACACCATGCTAGGTGCTATGGGAAATACAGAAATAAATTCTACTCCCCTGTCCTCAAGCAGCTTACACTCTAGTGAAGGAGACACATACACACTGCCTCTCTGGCTCCCTTTGGATCTCCTGGCCCCGTCATAAGGATGCTCACTACCTTGCCATTGAAATGCTGCGTCACGGCAAAGGAGAAACAGAAGCAAAGAGCTGGCTCACTCACCACCCAGACAGCACCACTGACCGAACAGTGCATTCATTAGTTACAGCCTCTTAGATGACTTATGCAATTGAACTGTCTTTAGCCATCAGCTTTTACAGCTCAGATCAATGTGTTTCTAATCCCCAAAGAACAGACACTGAGTGCTGGGAGCCACAGCTGCACTGAGGAAAAGCTGCACTCAATGATGGCTTGTTTTCAGGCCAGTGTTGGCAGACAGGAAAGGAAGCATGCCAATTATCTGCATTTCCTATTCTAACAAGCAGTATTTTCTCCTTGTGAGGCATCTGCTAGTTCCATGCAATGCTTTTACGAAGGGAACAAATAGAAAAGCAAATTCTTTTGCATCCATTGGAATCTGGCAAGTTCTTCAACATGGAGACAAAACTCCACAAAGGGAAGCAGTGGGGAAAAGCAGTGCTGGGAGTCAGAACTTCTCTGTTCTTTCTTTCCCCAGCCTGTGATAGGCTAGTTCAACACAAATTTTTAAAAGAGTATTGAAAAGGGAAAAAAAAAATTTTAAGGCAGAACAGAGGTAGGGAAAGGACTATGAGCCTGATTCAGACATGTGTTAGCAATAAGAAACTCTTCTGTTTTAATAATTCAAATATAAAAGAACTGAATTCGACTTTGAAGAGTAAAGCACTTAAATGACATTATTTGGAACTCTTGAAAGCTTTGGATCTGGTTCAGGGTTACTTAAAATGTGGTAGATAAGTTTAGAAACCATAGTTAGGTCCCAAACTGAATTCATCATCTCAGTGAACTGTGCTCCAATCCCCCCATACTCCAAAGCTGTGTCCTAGGCATCTCCTTTTCACTGTCCAAATCTAATCAATTACCAGCTCCCATCAATTCAACTTTTCTAAGTATTCCTTGAATCTACATCCCCCCTTCATTTTCACTAACTCAGATTCAGTTAAGCCTTTAATAACTTCTAAACTACATTGTAGCAAAGGACTTCCTGAACAAGGTCTGTTCACTTGTGTTTTTCTTGTTTGTTTTTGTTTTGTTTTGTTTTGCTTTTGTTACCAGAACTGTACTACAACTTCCCAGTATGATGCCCTGAAAAATAACAACCCCATGTTCATGTCTGCAAATGCACCATGCTTCCTCATGGGCTCTGTGACTTTCTTACATGTGCTTTCACTTTCCTGGAATATCGTCTTTCTCCCACCACACTCATGCACCTGATAAATTTTACTCCATTCTCCAATACTTAAGTCAGTCATTATCTCTCCAGAGAAACACTCTCCCTTGACCTCCTCAAGCAGAATTAAGCACCCCTCCTATTGCTGTAGCATGCAGTAATTGTTGATTTCCTTCTCTTTTTTTCTCTTCCAATGTTAGCTCACTGGAAATAAACACTACACCTTATTCTCCTTCACACAGTATGCTTGAGCCAGGCACTAAACAGTTGCTCAACAAATCATTGCTGAATAAATGAATGAACAAATCTTTACTGAAGGAAAATGAGCTAAACCTAAGGGAGGAAGTATACTGCTTAGGTATAATAAAAACCTTCTTGTTTTATAAAAATGGTTTTATAAATGTTTCACCTTAAGCTCATACCATATACAAAAACTAACTCAAAATGAATCACAGGCCTAAATGTAAGAGCTAAGACTACAAAACTCTTACCAAAAAAATATAGGAATAAATTTTCATGATCTTGGATTAGGCAATGGTTTCTTAGACATGACACCAAAAGAAAAATAGAAACAAAAACAAAAACCAAACCCTAAATAACTTGGACTTTATCGGAATTTAAAACTGTTGTGCTCAAAGAACACCATCAAGGAATCAAAAAGAGCCCAAATAAACAAAGCAATCCTAAGCAAAAAGAACAAAGCCAGAAGCATCACTTTACCTGACTCCAAGCAAAGCTATAGTAACCAAAAGAGCATGGTACTGGTACAAAAACACTTAGATCAATGGAACAAATAGAGAACCCAGAAATAAAGCCACATACCTAAAACCAACTGACCTTTGACAAAGTTGACAAAAATAACAATGGGGAAAGGACATCCTATCAAATAACTGGTTTTGGGATAACCAGCTAGACATATGCAGAGAAATGAAACTGGACCTCTACCTCTCAATATATACAAAAATCAATTCAAGATGGATTAAAGACTTAAATGCAAGACCTCAAATTTAAAAATGCTAGAAGGAAACCTAGGACAAACTCTTCTGGACATAGGCAAATAATTTGTGACTAAGACCGCAGAGGCAAATGCAACAAAAACAAACATTGACAAATGGGACTTAATTAAAGAGCTTCTGTACGGCAAAAGAAACAATTAACAGAGTAAACAGACAACTTACAGAATGGGAGAAAATGTGCAAACTATGCATCCGACAAAGGCCTAGTATCTAGAATCTGTAAGAAACTTAAACCAACAACAACAAAAAACAAATAATCCCATTAAAAAGTGGGTAAAAGACATGAACAGACACTTATCAAAAGAAGACATACATGCGGCCAACAAACATATGAAAAAATGCTCATCATCGCTAATCATCAGAGAAATGCAAATTAAAACCACAATGAAATACCATCTCACACCAGTCAGAACAGCTATGATTAAAACATAAAGAGTAACATATTGGTGAGGATGCAGAAAAAAGGGAATGCTTATACACTGTTGATGGAGATGAAAATTAGTTCAACTCCTATGCAAAACAGGATAGAGATTTCTTAAAGAACTAAAAATAGAACTACCATTTAATCCAGCAATCCCACTACTGGGTATACACCCAAAGGAAAAGAAATAATTCTATTAAAAAGACACCTGCACTCCTATATTTATCATAGCACTATTCACAATAACAAATTCATGGGATCGACATAAGTGACCATCAATGGTGGATTAGATAAAGAAAATGTGGAACATATACACCATGAAATACTACTTAGCCATAAATAAGAATGAAATCATATACTTTCCAACAACATGGATGAAGCTGGAGGTCATTATCCTTAGTGAATTAATGCAGAAACAGAAAATCAAATGCCACATGTTCTCACTTGTAAGTGGGAGCTAAACAATAAGTACACATGGACATAAAAATGGGAACGATAGGCAATGGGGGGAGGGGAGGAAGGGGTGAAAAAATACCTATTGGGTACTATGTTCACTATTTGAGTGATGAGTTCAACAGAAGCCCAAACCCCAGCATTATGCAATATACCCATGTAACAAACCTGAATATGAACTCCCTGAATCTACAATTTTAAAAAAGAAAAAGAATACCATCAAGAAAGTGAATAGATGGCCTATAGAATGACAGAAAATATTTGCAAATCATATATCTTATAAAGGACTTGTATTTAGAACATATAAAGAACATTTATACTCAAAAATATAAGGACAAATAACCCAATTTAAAAATAGGCAACAGATTTGAATAGGCATTTCTCCGAAGAAGATATACAAATAAGCACACAAAAAGATGTTCAGCATCATCTGTTATTAGGAGAATGCAAATCAAAACCATATTGAAATACCAATTCACATCTACCAAGATAACTAATTGAAAATGACAAACAAAAAAAATGAAAATCAGTGTTCCAGTGGCCATTCATTTGGGTTTTATGCCCCTTTAACCAGCACACAACTGGTTAAGAGGGAACAGGACAAAGACAATGTGAAAAAAATGATCATATACATTAATTTTAGATGCATCAAGTTGACTACAAATTTAACATCAGGGCACATATTAATTCGGGATTACCTTACATAAAAAGTAAGTCCTGAGGTCATAAAAGTTTGAAAATTAAATGATAAGAGTAACCTGGAATGATTAGGGTATACGGAGAATAACAATAAGACAGTGGAGAGCTATGCATGACTCTGATCAAGGGATCTTCTATAAAGAGCAGACATATCTAAGAGGTGGATGATCACAGAGCATCAAAGCAAGGTGCTAGAATCTAAACATGTTGAGGAAACTCATATGTTGAAACTTGATCACCAACATGATGATATTAAGAAGTGGGGGGCCTTGGCCAGGCACGGTAGCTCACACCTGTAATCCCAGCATTTTGGGGGGCCGAGGCAGGCGGATCACCTGAGGTCGGGAGTTTGAGACCAGCATGACCAACATGGAGAAACCCCATCTCTACTAAAAATACAAAATTAGCCTGGCGTGGTGGTGCATGCCTGTAATCCCATTTACTCGGGAGACTGAGGCAGGAGAACGGCTTGAACCCAGGAGCTGGAGGTTCTGGTGAGCCGAGATTGCGCCATTGCACTCTAGCCTGGGCAACAAGAGCAAAACTCCATCACAAAAAAAGAAAGAAAGAAAGAAGTGCAGCCTTTAGGAGGTGATTAAGCTATGCAGGCAGAGCCCTCATGAATGGGTTTAGTGACCTTACAAAAGAAGTACAAGGGAAATGTTCACCTCTTCCATCATGAGAGGACTCAGCAACAAGGCACCATCTTAAACCCGAGAGGAAGCCTTCACCAGACACCAAATCTTGGACTTCCCAGACTCCAGAACTGTAAGTAATAAATTTTCATTGCTTATAAAGTTCCCAGTCTATGGTATTTTATGGTACCACAGCTGCATGAACTAAGACACAGGAGGATAATAGGAGAAAAAGGAAACTGACAAATAAGTAGTCAGGAGAAGACACTGAACAATATGGAAATACAGATTGTTTAAAGTATTGTTTTAACTCAACAATAAAAAACAAGTCGATTTTAAAAATGGGCAAAGGACTTGAGTAGACATTTCTCTGAAGAAAAAAATATGCAAATAGTCAATAATTACATGAAAAGATGCTTAACATCATTTGTCATTAGGGAAATGCAAATCAAAACCACAGTGAGATGTGGTTTTTTATATAACTTCATATATAAGCTTATATATGCTTATATAAGCTTATATAAAACTTATATAAGCTTTTTTATATAACTTCATGCCCGTTAAGTTATATAAAAAAGAATTGAAAGCAATGACTCAAACAGATATCTGTACACCACTGTTCATAGCAATATTATTCACAATAGCCAAAAGGTAGAAGCAACCCAAGTGTCCATCAACATATTAATGGATAAACAAAATGTGGTATACACTACTGAGCCACTAAAAGGAAGGAAATTTGGATATGTGCTGCAATATGAATGGTCTAGAAGACATTATGCCATTATGTTAAGTGAAATAAGCCAGACACATAAGGACAAATATTGTATGATTCCATTTATATGAGGTACAGAGAGTAGTCAAATTCATACACACAGAGAGGAGAATGGGGAGTTAGTGTTTAATGGGTACAAAGCTTCAGTTTGGAAAGATGAAAAAGATTGGAGTTGGATGGTGGTAATAGGTACACAACACTGTCAATGTATTTAATGCTACTAAACTGTATATTTATTGCTTGAGATAATAAATATTACTTTATATACATTTTACCACAATGAAAAATGAAATAAAATAAAAGAATGAAGTGTTAGTACATCCTACAACATGGATGAACCTTGACAAACATTATCCTAAGTGAAAGAAGTTAGACACTAAAGGTCACATATTGTATAATTCCATTTATATTTAAATGTTCAGAATAGGCAGATCCATAGAAAGAGGAAGTCGATTAGTAATTTCCAAGGAACATAAGGAGGGGAGAAGAATGGGAGTGACTGTTAATGGATACAGGATTTATTTTACAAGGATGAAAATGTCCTGAATTTATATAATGGCAGTGGTTGCACAACTCTATGAATATACTAAAAACCTCTGAATTGTACACTAAATTGTACACTTTATGATATGTAAATTACACCTCAATAAAGCTGTTCTTTTTAAAAAATGTTTCATGACTAGAACGGATTACACATCGAAAATCTAAATCTCCCTTTCTATAAAATTGTGGAGTAATATAAACACCCATTGATCCAAACTGGTTTGGGCTAGGAAATAGGTGGAATTGACCACTTCTATGATCATTTAGAAGGTTAATGAGACAATTCATGAAAACCAAATTGATAAGATGTAATTTTTGCTTATCATATTGGAAAATGCCGTAACGTCCAATAACTCACATTGCTATCTGCAGTGGAAGACAATAGGTACTTTTATATACTGTTGGTGAGAATGCAAATTAATGCGAGCACTTTGGAGGGCTGTTTGATAATATATAGTAAAATTCAAAATGCAGTTGCCCCTTCAATCTAGTGATTCCTCATCTGTAAATTTATCCTAGAAATACATATTCAAATGAGTAAATATATATGTCTAACAATGTTAATTGTAGTGCTGTTTATAATAGCCAAAATATCAGAAATAATTTAAATATCTACCCATAGAGAACATGTTAATTTTAGTATTTTCACACAATAGAATACAATGAATGTATTCAAATAAATGAAGTACATCTACATGCATTACTCTTGAACAATATCCAAGTACATTACATTATAAAAAAGCAAGGTGTTGAATTTGGGTAAAATGAACCTGCTAGTTGTCTACCCAATATTCATCCTTTCCTTCATTTTTACTAAATAAACTCTGATTTTATTTGGCTGCAAAATACCTGTCTAAAAGGTTCTATTTCTCACCTCCGAGCCTCCCTTGCTGCTAGGGCTGGCCAGTGAAATTGAAGTGAAAATTGTTGTGTAGGGCCTTTGAGAAAACTGCTTAAATGAGACTAACACAGCTAGAAGACACAGTATTTTGCCCTTTTTTTTTTCTCTGATAAAGTAGCTTTGAGGATAGAAACATGCTAAACATGATGAAGCAGAATGATCACCAGGGAGTTGCCATTAGTCTGCCTTCCTGCCTTCCTCGGACTTTTACATGACAAAGAACAACAAATTTCTCTCTTGTTTTAGCCACGTATGTGGGGTTTCTGTTACAAGCAGCAAAATCTTGTAACATATGATCTTATAAACATAGATGAATATTTGGTATACACAAGATGTTAGGGCAGACTACTGACAGTGACTTGGTGGTCTGAGCTGGAAGGAAAATGTATTTATTGTATACTCTTTAGTATTGCTGAAAGTTTTACTATGTCTGTAGGGAACCCAGCTTATAGGCTACCTCAGATTCTCTAGCTTCAGCCCTCTCCTTGACCTCTTTCACTTGCCCCACCCATCTGGTCCACTCCAGTGAGATCAATGGTCAAAGTCTCTGGTTCTTCCCACTGCTTCAGATGAAGTGACATCCTGTGGAGTCTGACTTCTACAACAGCTGCCAAGCGGTCAGGGGATGCAACCTGAGGGCACAGGGCCAATAACACCCCATACGGTGAACTTTAACTTATGGAAGGACAGAAAATGGGAAAGAACCAACAAATAAATGTCTTTGTCATTCATCCCTCCATGGACCGCTGCAGGATATGGTGTTTCTGCATATCTTGTCCAGAGCCATTCCAAGGGGCTGACACACTTGTGAACAGCAGTCACCTTGTATGTATATGTGCAGTAACACACCACCTGGTGTTTGCTTCCCATCCTTCCCTGCCACAACACCCCTTCCCTTGCTCCCGCTGCCTTGGCATTGTACCTCCCAAGTAAGCAGTAGCACTTCAGCTTTTCCTCAGGTGGCTTCCCAGACTAAGGCATGTATCTCTTTTTCAATTAAAAACACTAGTTAATTTTTTTTTTAGAAACCTAGTGAGCAGAGCACAAATGAGGGCACTAGACCCCAGCCAGTGGATTGGGAGGTACTCCATTCCATAAACTCTTTTATTTCTGCAGTTAACCAAAACATGAAACATAAGTCCTTTGTTTTTCTAGCACAGCCCAACATCCTTACTTTTCTTAGTATATCTCATTAGGCCTTTTACATAGCCTAACAAGCAGTAAACAATCAAAAATATTTTAAACCACAATACATAAAAGGATATGAATTTGTACCGAATGACTGAAACTCAAAGGGACAGAGCTAAAACCAGGGATGTATGAGAACACCTGCCTGTGGTGTCCTCATCTGACTTTGCCTGAAATTTAGAGACAGTCAAAATCCCATCATCCCGGAATCTGATCTGTCAGACTGTAGGATCAACATCAGAGACTCCAAGGCCACGCAGTGCTTTCTATGTTGACACCAATTCTAAAATTGACTGGCAGCCAGTATAAAAACTGCAGGCCTAGGGAGCCATGTCTTTGGAGCTAAACGACCTAAGTGAGAATCCTCATGATTGCATTTTCCAGAAGCTAGAGTAATGGTCACATTCTTCAGGCAATCTTCTGCTATAATGCAGCTTCAAAGTCATCAGCTTCTGCCTGTACAACAGGGAGCCAACACTGAGAGATGGAAGGATTATCGGCCAAACACATACACAGCATTTACAGTACCGGGTATGGAAGGCCGGACCTCCAGCTCCCATCTCCAACTCTGACTCTGTTCAGTAAACTGAAGCACCCCTGCATCCAGTCTGCAAGTATCAGTGTGACACATTATACCCAGGAACAGAGAGAAATTCATTTGCACAATTCATGTTGTGCCTGTATACCTTGGTGTCACCCTCTCCATGTTCTCTTTGTGACTTAGAATCCTTCTGTGCAAAGTGAGATGGCCTCACACTGTGAACATTCTCACAGCTCTGCCAGGGATAGCTTTTGTGTCTAGGCACCAGTGAAATACTCAATATTCCAAGCATCGTGCTAACCACAGGGGTGCCCGATCTTTTGATGTCCCTGGGCCATAACGGAAGAAGAAGAATTGTCTTGGGCCACACATAAAATACACTAACACTAACGACAACTGATGAGAAAAAAAAAAAAAAAAAACCTCAGAAAAAGCTCCAATGTTTAAGAAAGTTTGCGAATTTGTGTTGGGCCACATTCAAACCCATCCTGGGTCACATGTAGCCCGTGGGCCATGGGTTGGACAAGCTCGCGCTAACAGAAACAGAAACAGAAACAGAAACAGAGCAAGCAGGTTCCAGTGTGCTGCACCACCCCAGAGAAACATCAATGTCAACTCCTGATATGAAGTCAAAATTGCTGCTTTAACAACAAATCAAGAACATGTACACCCTTTTTCATAGCTGCGTTGTTCAATGGCCAAAAGGTAGAAACAATCCGAGTCCATTGATGGATAAATAGATAAACAAGATATGGCATACACCTATAATAAAATATTATTGAACTTTAAAAATGAAAGAAATTCTAATGATGGGTTGATAGGTGCAGCAAATCACCATGGCACATGTATACCTATGTAGCAAACCTGCACATTCTGCACAGGTATCCCAGAACATGAAGTAAAATAAATTTTAAAACAAATGAAATTCTAACATGTGCTGTGCTATAACATGATGAACCTTGAAAACATTATTTCAAGTGAAATAAGTCAAACACAAAAAGGCCAATAGTGAATGAATCCACTTATATGGGGTGCCTAGAATAGGCAAATTCATAGAGAAAGAAAGTAGAAAAGAGTTTACCAAGGGCCAAGGGAAGGAAGAATGGAGAGTTATTATTTAATGAATATGGAGTTTCTATTTGGAATGATGAAAAATTCTGGAAATGGATAGTGGTGATGGTTCAGAGCAATGTAAATGTATTTAATGCCACTGAATTGTACACTTAAAATGGTTAAAATAGTGAATTTTATGTTATGTATATAATGCAATTAATTTTTTTAATCAAGAGAAAAACATTCTGTGAATAGAGGTACCTACTTAAAAATAAGCTATGCCCTCATTAAATATTTATTGTGTGCTAAATTTTGGACCAGAACTTTTAGGGAGTATGGATGCAAAATCTCAGGAGTGGTCAATGCCTAGAATCAGTTAAGTAAATAAGAAGTCAGTATGAGAAGCTCAAATAATAATATTCACATATGTAATAAAGTTTAAAAATAATTTACATTTGGGTTATATTTACTCAGGACTCTCTTATTCTACTTAATTCAAATAATGTGTGGCGCTGAACCAAGCTACATGTTCAGTAAAACGTTAGACACTAGTACGATTGTCTGTTATTGTTATTCTACCAGTGAGGAAACTGAGACACAGGTTAATAACTTGCCCAACAATTACTATGTGGCAATGCCAAACTAGTCATTTGACATTAATATTTGATATTATTCTACTAAATTACAATTACCTCATCAAATTGTTCTCATAACATATAGAAGTATCCATCTTTACCAGGGCACAAAATATTCTTTCTCATTAGTTACTTAGTATACAACTGCTACAACACATGCTAAAATAACAGAGGCTTAAACATAGTAGGGTATATTTCTTTCTTATGTAACAGTCATGTCTATTTCCATAGGGACAGTTCTGTGGTGCTGGGAACACAGGTTCTTTTGATCTTGTCTTCTGTCATTTGTAGCATGCAGCTTCCATTTTGTAGTCGAAGATGGCTGTTACAGCTTCAACCATCACGCCAACATTCCAGCCTACAGAAAGAAAAGAAGACTGAGTAAAAATGCCTTCCCCTGAGGACACAGCCCAAGGGTTGCACGTATCACTCATGTTCACATCACAGAACTTAGCCTCCCAAGCACACATAGGTGTCATGGAGCGTGGCAGTCACATACATACCCAGCTTAAACTGGGGGATATCTGACTAAAGGAAGAAAGGAGGTTGTTATGAGTGGACAGTGGCAGCCTCTGCAATACTCACCCTTTACATCTGGACAAAGTTAGTCAAGGTCCCTGGTTCCCAATCGCTGGGCCAGGTCACTCTGGCTGGCTTCTCCTCCTTACCCCATGCCAGCAATCCAGTCTGCATGGAGCTTCTTTGCTGTGCTATCAGTCACTGACAAACGAATGCAGGTGTTAGGAAAGCAATCTGACAGGAAGATCTAAGGTAGAAGATTGGAGGTTTGCATGGGAGGAAATGAGATATTCCCTTAAATCAACTCAGTTTTTTCCATGGGTAACATAAATCAAAGGAGTGAGAGGACTAGGAAACTATATGACCTGCAGCAACTAGAACACACAAGTCAAAGGCAGTCCTGCCCACAAGGGCCTCAAGAAAACAGCATTTAAAGGTCATCAAAAAGCCAAATACTTGAGGAATGTCTCTAGATACCCTGGCTTGTTAAGAGGGCTGTGTCCTCTTCATTTTTATATCCCCAGCAGCTAGGATAGCACAAGACCTAGCACAAAATAAAAATGAACATTTGTTTGGCACTTTACAAATTGTTTTCATGACATTATCTAGTCTTTACCAAAGCCCTCCAAAATAGTTACTATTGTTGTCCCCATTTTCTAGATGATGAAACTACACATCAGTGGGCGCAGTGAACCACTGCCAAGAATACACGATCAGGTAAGGCCAGAGCTGGGACTCAAATCATTTAAGGGAAAAGTTGAATGTGAAGAATTTTCTATCTTAGCCAAGACATTTATTCTAAAACTAACAGCACTCAGCTTAACTTTTAAAATCTAATACTTATCGTACTTACATAAACTACTATTTATTCTTGAAAACTGTAGAATATAATAGCTATTGTGCACATCATTGGACATGCATCTGGTTAGCCTCTAACACTAAATTCTGTGCATTTTTGCCCAGCGCCTTATCTGGGGCTCTCCCTCCCAGCGATGCTACTGCCTCACTGCCCCAGCATGGATGAACACGTGGAGACAGGGATTTAAAGCAGGTTGGCAGTAGGAGTGCCATAGCCAATCCAGATGGGATTCCCCCATTTCTTTTCTGACTCCCCTCAAATCCACCTTGCACTCCCTGTCAGTCGCAGGCACTGGAGTGAAGTGAGAAGCAGATGTGATGATGGAGCAAATAGCACTAAACGTGAGTTCAGGTCTAATGGGTCTAATCCTGACTCTGACACTGACTTGCTAAGTGGCCGTGGGAAGGTAACTCAGTGTCTCTAGTGTCAGTTTCCTCATCTATAAATCAAGGAGGACAGCAGCTCCACTGATAATTCAATGAGAAAATGGAATCTCATGAGATACCACAAAGGTGCCCAGCACATAGTAGACCCACAGTAAATGTTTTCCTGGAATTCGGCAAATGGAGAATATTTATTCCAACACTTTTGTTTTATAAATGAAGACACTCGGGCTCAGAGACGCATGGTATAGTTTTTAATGTGACCCAGCTGGTTAATATAGAGCCAAGAATGGAGCCTTTTTACTCCTGGCCTAGTGCTCTGTTTCATGTATCAAGCTGCCCTGATGTGTGGAAGGAGAGGCTATGGAAATCCAGAGGAGTATGCATGTTGCAGGAGCAGATTTAGATAGCTGCAAATCTCAGGATTGGATTTGTACATGAATACACACATGCACGCACACACACATACACACACACTCTGGAATTCTCCTTGAAGGATGAGACCTTGTCGTCTCATTGTCTCCTATATTCCCAGTGCCTAGAACACAGCTTGGCAAATAGTAGACCCCAGACAATATTTTTGACTGACTAATTAAAACACACACAAAGCTGGGTGCGGTGGCTCATGCCTGTAATCCCAGCACTTTGGGAGGCCGAGGCGGGAAGATCACCTGAGGTCGGGAGTTCGAAGAGTAGCCTGACCAATGTAGAGAAACCCCCTCTCAACTAAAAATACAAAAAATTAGCCAGGCATGATGGTGCATGCCTGTAATCCCAGCTACTCAGGAAGGCTGAGGCAGGAGAATCGCTTGAACCCGGGAGGTGGAGGTTGTGGTGAGCTGAGATGGCGCCATTGCGCTCCAGCCTGGGCAACAAGAGCGAAACTCCATCTCAGAAAAACAAAACAAAACAAAACAAAAAACAAAAACAAAACAAACAAAAAAAACACACATGCACATATTTTGTCAAGGCAGAGCACAATTGGAACTCCACTGCTTAATCCAATAGAGTCATTCCTAGAATGTAAGCCAGACTACTTGTGCCCCAGAACCTTCTATCACTCATTAGAACACTCTCTCTACCCAATGCCCAGTATCCTAAACATTCTAAAAGCATTTATGTTCCAAACAGCTTCTCGACCATCAACACTTAGCCTTCTCTCGTCTCATTGCTTCTGGGCTTTGACCCTTCAACAATCTGTATGAAAACAGGTGGGATTTGGCTGATTTAATGAGCCAATAGATAGATTAGCAAGAATGAATACAAAATCCTCAGCACTCTAAATAGTATAAAGCAGGGTAGTGGGATACAGCAAAAGGTCAATGGAAAGTTAGCCACAAAAATCTCCAGGAGAAGAAAAATGACTGTAATTCACCACTGTTTCCCCTGACACCCAGAAAGGGACATTGAAAGAACATGAAAGAATCTTATCTAAAGGATATATGCTGTTTCTTTTTCCTTGAGGTCCTTAGGAATTATGAGTTGTTACAAAGGCAGGCTGAGCCCCATTCTTGAGAACAAGCATTTGATAAATGTCTCTAGACACCCTGGCTTGTTAACAACCAGGATATAGGATTCCTAGACAGGATGGAAAATGTAATTCAAGGAAGCCAGAAAGGAAAAGATTCTGTAAGACAGAAGAGAATTGAAAACATCCAAAAGCTGATAAGTAGAAAAGGAGATATGGACATAAAAGAGACTGTTATCGTCTATAAGAGAAAGTAGGCTTCAATCATTTATCTGTTGATCTATTTATTCACTCAACTAGTCCTTTCTGAACGCCAACTATCTACAAGCCCTGTGCTTGGCACTGTGGAAACCGTACAAGCGAAGACATTGACTGGCTCAATGACTGTGGGAAAATAACTCGACAAGACTCAGGTTCTGGCCACAAGGAGATTATGCTCCAATGGAAAGGTCAGGTTTCAATCAAATAACCATGCGCATAAATGTAAAAATCTTACTTGGGCAAGTTCCATGAAGGAGAGGCTGTGATTATAGCACACACTGCTGGTGCCCCACTCAGACCTCTGGGATGCCCTTCGCTTGTTTAGTGAGCAAGCCCATGCCTGGCTGCTGCAGCTGCTGCCAGTCTTTACCTAATGGCTGATGCCTGCAGCCTTTCCAGAGCATTGCCCATGACATTTCCTGCAGGAAGTGCTTGGAAATTCACCCACCCATGGCAGCGCACGGCCAACCACTGACTGGGGTGGGAATGCAAGAGCCCCCCACATTTGCCTCAAGGCAGGACAGATTCAGTTTACCCTCCTGCGCTCCTTTCCAAATCAGGCTGAACCAAACTCACCTGAAACCTCATTCTTGTGTGGCTCTTTCTCCTTCCCTATCTTGGTTCCTTTACTACCTTTCAGTTTTTTTGGCGGGGAGCACTCCCTCAATAAATCATGAGAACACACAACCCCTGCCCCAGGTTCTGCTTTTAGAGAACATGATCTAAGACAATGATATTCTGAAAGTATATAATTAAGAGATTTGACCAAGTCAGGGAGGCCAGGGAAAGCTTTCTGAGGAAATGACTATGTTGAAGTGAAAGGCCAAGTCAAAATTAACAAAATGGGTTGGAAGGGAGGAGCTAGCCTTCCAGGCAGAGGAAATAGCATGAGCAGAGGTCTTGTGGCATCAGAGAACACAGCTTTCTCGATTGCCTGAGAGGGACCTGATTCATTTAGCCTCTGGAGGGTAGAAATGGAAGTTCCAGGAGGAGAGATTACAGTTCAATAATTTGACCACCATAGCGAGCTGTAACAAAGGAATGGTTGCCTTGAGAAAGACAAGTTCTTGTAAATGAGAATGCTGGTACCTGTCAGGGAGATTACATGTGGCATTGGGTGGGATGTTGAAATAGAAGCTCCTTAACGTTTTTGGTTTTAAAGTTCAGTGATAGAATGTTAGACCTGGTGGGTAAGGCTTTAGTAAATAAAGCTATATCTTCAAATTCTGAGCTGGACAGTGGGCAGAGTCAGCCCCAGATGGAATTGAGGGGTGAAAAGGGTTATTTCCATGTGTCCCAAGTCCTGTTTTCCCCAGGAGTGCCACAGAGCCCTTGGACTGACCTTCCCCACAAGGCCTGCTTTCCCACTGACAAACTGGGCATGACAGCTCACAAATGTCTGGTCTCACCCAATTGTACATCACAAGCGAAGGTAGCCATTGGATGTGTGGATTTTGGAGTTAAACTGCCTGATTTCAAATCCTGTTTCCCTATTTCCCGCTTATATGACCTCAGGTTAATTCTTTTTCTGCCCCAAGTTTTATTTTTCTCATCTGTAAAATGCTAATAATAGTACCTACTCTATAGGTTTTATTAACAATAAATTAAATAATAAACACCACTTTGTGTGCCAGGCACACCATAAATGCTCATTAAATATTAGCTGCTGTAGTTTAAACTAAGGAACTAATTGCTAATAAGTCTCAATGCTGCTCTTTCTAGAAAAGCGTAGTGTTTAATAGCATGAATTTGGAGCCAGTCTGCCTGGATTCAAATCTCGCCTCTACTACTTCCTTGTGTGACCTGCTTTGGAAAAGTTCCTTCATAGCATTTCCATTTCCTCATGTGTAAAATGGGGATAATGATAATACCTGCCTCAGGCTGTTGTGGGAATTAAATGACTTAATAGCTGTAAAGCACTTAGAGACTATCATAAAGGAAATATCAGTAGGTACTAAGTATCATTAGTATTTGTAGAATTATTCCTATTTTTAATGGTCATTCATTGATAGTTTGAAACAATGAATCTGCATTAGTGAAAGGTCAGGCAGTACAGGCCTCTGGGGAAGTTATTTCTAAGTGGGAGGGCTTTTTGTGCCTACCAAATAGAACCATGTGTGTGAGCGATAGCTCTGCCTGTCTGCTCACAACCCAAACCACACCTGCGGTTCTGCATCTGAACCTTTGGGAGGTCCCCTGACCACCATGGTATAGAGATGGGAGAACAGGGACCTGTCACTCATGCAGTTATTGGGAGGGGGCTGCACAAGTGGGGACCAGGCTGGGCTTCCTCCCATACCCTTGGTCCCTGTGTCCCTGAGGCACTCTGGTAGTCAGTCATTGTGGGAAGGGCCACATCTCCTTGTGACAACCCTTTCCTCCAGACCCTGATGATACCAAACCCCTTCTGTAACTTCTACTATAGCCACAAACCATTTCTTATTCATCTTTGCCTTCCCAGAGCTTGACAGTGGACCTGACTCATACCAGTTGCTCACTAAGTCTTATCGAATGAACTGGTCTATCTACAGATGGCCTCCATCCCTGGCTGTGGTCTCCTGACCAGGACTTTTTGTAGTCATGATGCCAGCTAGCTTCTGGGGCTCTGCATTTGAAATATTCTTCAAGGATTTCCTGGATTTCTAAATCACAGCAGTGACATCTTTATCCATGATTGTCAGTGGTCTCAGAGGAACACTTCAGCAGAACATTCCAGGGCACCACCCTGGATAGAGCTGAGAGATCCAGCAAGGTGGACATCACCCCAGTCTTCATAGCTTCACCCCAGGGGATTCCATTTCAGCTCATCTAGGTTTCAGAAGAGAGGTTCTTAGACCACTTCTCTAAGACAGTCTTCTAGTATGTTCTGAATGCTCTGAGTTATTTGAAGACTGCATTATTTCCTCACAACTTCACCCAAAGTTCTTGATATGGCCTCTCCTGATCCAAAATATCATGACCAGAGTGCTATGTGATATTTGTCCCTCTTTATTTCAAGATGCATAAAGTGTAGAAATATGGGGTATAACACCCTGAAAATATTGCCTTGCATTTGATGCTTTCACATACTTTAAGTTAATCCCCACAAACATTTAGAAGAATATTCCTTCCATTTTATAAAGAGGAAGTCGAAGCTCAAGAAGGCTAAGTGACTTGTGCAAGGTCCTTCAGCTGTTTGATGACAGGGCTGGGACATGCCTTTGGGGCTGTTAGTTTCTATTCTCACTAGAAGTCATCATGGTATATCAGAGTGGGAAGGGAGCCTACAGATGAACTAGTCCAATGTACTCCTTCAGATTTGATGGAGGAGGAAAACTGAACTCTTTCTAAAAAGAAAAAAAAAGAAGCTGAAGGCAAGTCTCCAATGAATTCACATGCAATATATGATGGGGAACAATGGTGGAAGGAGGCAAAGCTGAATTTATCAACAGCTTCAATGCCCTACAGGGTGATCTAGGCCATTATCAGTTTGTTCTACTAAAACAAACACTAACCCCACTCTTCATTCAGCCAACCATTATCTATTGAGGGCCAGATGTGCTAAATGCTGGGGAATCAGAGGTGAGTGGCTCCGTGACATTCCACCCTGTGGGACTGCACATGAAACAGGAAAATCAGTAGGTTACAGTGGAGTGAGGTAAGTCATATAATGGGAATACAAGGGATGGGGAAGGACTTCCAAGGCAGGCACTTGCCCCAGCTTAGAAAGTGCAGCAAAGATTCAAAGAGGAGGTGATGCAACTGAGTACTGCAAGGCTTAAGCAGAGATTGCCAAATAGACAAGGGGAAGAGGAGGGTGTTCCACGCAACAGGAACAGCTTGGGCAAAGTTGGGGGGCTTGTAATAGCTCAGCATGTTGGGGGAACTGCAAGTGTAGCTGGGAATGGGGTCAGTTCATGAAAAGTCTTGTTTGTTAGGCTAAAGAGTTTTAACTCAATCCCAAAGATAACAGACAACCATTGAATTATCTTGTTTTTTAAGTGGAAGTGATATAATCATAGGAAGGTTATTTAAGAGAGAACACATTGAATGGGGAGCATAGTTAAAAACAACGGCAGTCACATAGGTGAGAAAAGATTAGAGATTGAATTAAGGAAGCAGCAAATAAGGTGAAAATGTTTAAAGTATATTTGGCAATTAGAAATTATTGGGCTTTGTGATATGAAACACAGGAGAGAGAACAGTAAAAACTGACTCAAATTTCCAATGAGCAACTGGGAAGATGGGACCATGCTCTAGGACAGAGGAGAGGTTGGAGGGAAGTGAATGAGTAGAGTCGGGACACACTGAAGTGGAGAAGCCCATGGGACATGTGCATGGAGATGTCAGCACTAGGAAGTATGAGCTGGAAGCCCAGGAGAGAGGCCTGGGATGGGCCTGCGGTCTTTGGAATCATTGATAGATGCTAATTGGAGTCACAGGTGTGGACGAGCTAACCCAGGGAGCACACATTAGCAGAAAAAGAGCAAGGCTGAGGACAGATTTGGGGAAACATAATAGTTCAGAAGGTGGGGAGAAGGAAAAAAGAAAAGTGTGCAAGGGACACAAAGAAGTGACGAGAGAGGTAACATAATAGAGAAGAAAGTGGAGTCACAATAAAGTGGAATAGAAAAGGGAAGAAAGCAACGGAGCTAACATTTATTGAACTCTGATTATGTACTCAGTCTTGTACCCGGAGTTTTACACATGTCCCTTACTTCATGTTCCTGGGAAAATCTCATGAATGAGATATTAATATTCTGATGTAACTAACATGGAAATGGTAACCAAGAAAGGTGAAATAACATGCCCAGAATCACATAGCTACTAAGGGGTGAAACAGAATTCAAGGCCAGACCTTTCTGGCTCCAAAGCCCACAATACTGTTTCCATAGCATAAATTGCTTCAGAAAGGTGAAGTCGAATAGGAACTAAAAAGAACTGTAAGAGTGTAAGAGGACATGGTCCTGCCAAGGGTGAAGCTTCATTGCCATGAATTACAAAATGAATAAAAGGTAAACAAGCAGAGACAGTGAAGGTTAGAGGAAGAGGACTTTTTTAGGAAAATTGCCCTTACCCACTCAGCAAACATTCCGAAATACCTTTGACTGTACTCATCAGGTGCCACGTACTGTTCCAGGCATTGGAAATACCACGTCGCTGCTCTCAAGGAGCTTGCATTTGGGTGATGGGAGACGTACACTCAGCATGTCACATCAAACACACAACATAAGTCAGTTGGTGGGAAGTGCTAAGAAAAGAAACAAAGCCAGGAAAGGGGTAGAGACTCAGCTGGGGAGGAAGGGGAGGCAGGAAGGTAGTATTTTAAATAGAGTGGTCTCTGATAAGGCAACAGTTGAGCAGATACTTGCAAGAAGCCCTTGAATGGGCAAGGCATGAAAACAACCCCAGGCAGAGGGAAAAGCAGGCACAAATGCCTACAGGCAGGATTCCACCTGTGTGTTCTAGGATCAGCCCAGGGACCAGCAGGGCTGGCATGAATTAAGCAAAGAGAAGAGGGATCAGCAGGGAATACAGTGTGTTGGACCTCAGAGAAGTCAGCAGGAGACACAGTGTGTAGACAAGAAATCTGGGTTTTGTTGTCAAGAATCCTCTGGAGGCAAGAGGTGCTGTCCTCCATTATTCATCCCAAAGAAAGAGATGACTGGGTCAGGGATCTCCAGCAAATGCGCCCATCCTCACCTCCCTTCTGGCTGGAGCAGTCCAGAGGGGGCCTGGAATGGCAGCATAGCAGTGGTTAACAGAACAGCTGGTGAGCCAGGGTCAAGCTCACAACAGGACACTAAGTGGCCTCCCCAGCCACTGTCTCAGCCATCATGCCCCTCCCTGGCCTTGGTTGGGTGTGACATTCATCATAACCACCAGGTGGAGAATAACCTTGAATATTCCTACTTGCAAGTCTGTATCTGCCCAACCCATCACCAAGACCACCCACCTCCAAGTACATCTACTTAATTAGACAACAGGAACCACAAAAGGAATGGAACTCCTCAATAGCCAGAAACTTGAACAACCTCAGAGAGATGCTATGTGCCAATGTGGCTTCAGGGAATTAAAGGCTGGTCCTCTGCTCAGAGAAGGTTTACTGGGTGTATGAGTATCAGCCCTGCCCAGTCCCATCTGCTCCTAATGCGAAGAGTTAATTATAGACATGGACTCCACGGTACAGGGATTCCCAAGGGCATCCTGCCCCGGGCCTCTGCAGCTGACCACATTCAGCCTTCTCCACATCCCAGGAAGATTCCATGTGAGAGCAACAACAGACACAGGTGGCCTCAGCCCGAAGGGCGTATTAACCCTATAAAAAAGTTTTAGCTTTTGTTTAGTTTTTGTTTTTGTTTTTGTGACAGGGTCTTGCTCTGTTGCCTAGGCTGGAGTACAGTGGCTCAATCACAGCTTACTGCAGCCTTGACTTCCTGGGCTCAAGTGATCCTCCCACCTCAGCCTCCTGAGTAGCTGGGAATACAGGTGCACACCACCATGCCGGGCTAACCTAGAAGAAAGTTTCGGAGCCGGTCATCCAGCAAAGGACCATTTATCATGACTTTGCTGTCACCTTGATATTCTTTCTTCTAAGCCTATTGGTAGTATGGGAATATCAATTGATGTCATTAATAGTGGATGCAGCCTCCCTTCCATTTCCTTAAGGGTGGTAGAGGCACAGCTGAACAGGAAGCTCCTCCCTCTGGGGGATTTTCATAGCAACCGGCTCATGGGGAAGGGCTTTGGCACACAATGAAAAACTACCATCCACGAGGAGCAGCAGAAGCCCTTGTAACTGTGTGAGTGTGATTAGCAGACATTGCCATGCACCTCTTCCCTCCCTAATTACGTCTTAAGCTGAGCATCTGATTTTTTTCACCCCAGTCTAAGGGTTTCACCCGAATCAGAAGGAACTATTTCAGAGACTGTGTTTCTTTGCTTGGTTTTCTACCACCTAGGGTACTATTTTGCCTTATCTAATGTGCAATTCTGGAGCACGTCCTCAAAGCACAGGTCCATGTAGGTAACATGATCTGCAGCAGGGCTATTTAATAATTTAGGCCATCAGCTATCTTGTCTTGTCAAAAATCTTCAAATGATTTTAGTTTTAAATAGAAATTTTAAAATATAACCATTATGTATGATAAATATTTTAAATTTTCATTTTCTTCATTCTGCTAAGTTTGAATTAATTCCATCTTAGCCAAATAGCTATTATAGTATGCTCCCAGAGCACTACAACATTGGTGACTCTGGTCTGCTTACTTGTTGGTATCTCTTATTAAACTATTTAGACCCCATAAAGCACATAATATAAATGAATGAATGGATGGATGGATGGACAGATGCATACTTCACATTGAAGATATCATATTAGCAAAATATAGTATCTAACATTATGGGTCTAATATTATCCTAAGACCTACAGATGTCCTGTGTTTGATGGGGGAATGTTTTAAAAAAGAATGCAGTTAGCCCAGCAATAGTGTCTGTCAATCATTCTAGGAATGGAAAAGTGTTAAAGGAGCGGAAAGCCCTAAAATGTTCTCAGCCTTAAAACTGAGGGGAAATGGATTCTGACCCAACAATTAGAAAAGTCAGGGAGCAGATGAAAAACTCACATTTTCTCATGAAACAGAAACAGGACTGTCTGTAATATCTTTATAAAAATCAATGCAGTATCACTTATTACACAAGCAGATACTCACTTTTTTTTTGCATCTTTATTCTTTTTATAATTATTAAGGCAACAAAGTGTGCAAAATTAAAACATACAGAAATAGATTATTAAAATATAAACATCTCCAGGTATCAAGAAGTAACCATGGTTATCTTTTAATTACTGTATGTCCAATTCATATTTCCTATGCAGTTTTAGTAAGGGAGCTCTAAAAGAAATTGAACTCTTTCTGGATGTCCATGTCCATTCACTCGTTTAAATTTTATTTTCTAATTGAATATTGACCATCTATAATTGTATATATTTATGGGGTACAAGGTGATGTTATGATTTATGAATACAACTAAATCAAGATAGTTAACATATTCATCACTTCAAATACTTAAAACATTTTTTGGTGAGAACATTCGAAATGTAATCTTTTAGCAATTTTGAAATGTGCAATACTCTATTATTAACTGTATTCACCATGCTGTGCCCCATCCATTCCTTTTAAATATTTTTTTATATGTTTAGGGGGTATAAGTGCATTTTTGTTACCTGGATATATGGTGTAGTTGAAGTCTGGGCGTTTGGGGTAACCATTACCTGAATTAATTGTACCTCATAAGTACCCATTCATTCTTTAAACAAGAGTGTTAGCTCGGCCAGTTGTGATGGCTCACGCCTATAATCCCAACACTTTGGGAGGCCAAGGTGGGAGTACTGCCTGAGCCCAGCAGTTCAAGATCAGCAAGGGCAACATAGGGAGACCACATCTCTACAAAAAATAAAAAAAAATTTTAAATAGTTGGGCATGGTGACACATGCCTGTAGTCCCATCTGCTCAGGAGGCTGAGGTGGGAGGATCATTTGAGCCTGGGAGGTGGAGGCTGCAGTAAGCCATGACCATGCCACTGCACTCCAGCCTAAACAATAGATCAAGACCCTGTCTCAAAAAAAAAAAAAAAATGGCATCAGCTCCATGAGGGGAGGAATCAGGGCGTGTCATGTTCACTGCAGTATCCCTAGCACATAACAGGTGATCTATGAATACTTATCACCTATATGCAGAAATATTGCTATCCAGGGTGTACCACACTCTATCCTCAGTAAGATCCAGCAGTGGAAACTCTGGGTAAGGTCCGCTTTCATGGAACTAGAGGATAGACATGATTACCCCACCCTCCCCTGTTTGTGAGAAGCCCTGAGACCCATGCTCTGGACTCTGTTCCTCTCTTCCCCCCCTTACCTGTCCTCCATCCCTCCAGGAAGATCACCTGGATGTACTCCAACCATACTCCAACCTGGGTTGGGCCCCCATCTCTTGTAGTCTTGCACTTATTGGAATTTATCCCCATCAAAGCACCTGTCACACTAAAATGTCATTTATTTTCCTCTCTCTACTCTAACAGACTATAAACTCACTGAGACAGGAACTATAGCTTTTTCTTATGTTTCTGTTTTATCTTTGTATTTGTAGCCCAATCCGTTATTCATAGATGTTTAATCAAGGAGTGAAAGACTAAGTCAATGAATACGTAGTCACACACAGGAATGGGATCATTCCACCGAAAGGGATTTAACCAGAATGTGTGGCTCTCATGGTGGGAATTTCAGGAATGGGGCAAGTGAGAATCTCTGGGCTCCTCATATCCCGGGAAGGCAGCTGCTCCTTTGGCTATGCCGGGGTGAGCCCTAAAAATACTGGTTCTCCTTTCTACTCCTCTCTTCACTCTCTCTTAACTAGGCCTTAAACTGAGCACCTGGTTTATGCTTCACCCAAATCTGTGGGCTCACAAAATTTTCTCCATGTAGACATGTCATTTTCTTGTTTACTTTTCTACTCTGGGCTTTATTCTTTCTATACCTGATACGCAGTTTTGAAAAAAAGCCACCAAATACTCAGATCTTGCAGGCAAAGATCACTTGTTATAAAATGATTTGGGGCAACATAGGGTTTCCTTATTAAAACTTTCTTCAAATTGTCTAAGCTTTTGCAGGCAGAAACTCCAAATTCCATGATATAGAAAACCCTGTTTTCTCCATTCACTTAAAGCTAGGTGAAATCTACATCTCTAAGTCAGTTAGAAATTTTGTTTTCTTTTGTCCTCTACATTTTGTTTCCACAAGAGAAACTTCACTCACTTTTTTAGCCACCTTGTAGAGTCATACTGGAAACCGAGATGAATCATCGAGTTTCCACGGCAGCTATAGGAAACCTGAGCTGGGCAGCTGGACACCAGTATATAGAGGACATAGAACACCCATTTTACCCAGACAGTGCTCATTTATTTTCCATAGCATTTTAAAACTGGGCCTGGTACCACTATTCATCCTATTTATAGTTTTACATGCAACATAATATTTACTCCGGACTCTAATAGGAATGCTTCTTATAAATGTCAGTGGATTATTTACTATGGAACACTAATTAGTTACATAAATGCTTTCCTTTTCAGGGTGGATAAGGAGGAGACTGTTAATGCTTCTTGGATTAACCTCACATTATTGTTGTTTGAAGTTCTTTTACATTTAAGACAGTTATCACAAGACTGCACAACTTTGCATGTATTGTACATCTGTTACTTAAGTAATGTGAAGCTTTTTCATTTTAACTCACACGGTGCAATAAAACAGAATGTGAAGGCCATATACCGTGAGTTAAGAGAAAATCACTGCGACTTGACCATGAAAAAAAAAATCAGCTTGGTGGTTTTAATTCATACCATTTTTATAGCAATTAGATCAACTATGCAAAATAGTTATAAATGAAAAAGCATTGAAAAGTCAGTGGTCTCAAAGGAATTATTACAGTGCTTGAAGTCTTGGACTTTCAGGAATTCAGACCAACAGCAACAGTAAATAGAAAATGAGATCTATGTTTGGAGAGCTGTCATACATGGGCATGTTTCAACTTGGGGAGTGGAAGAACATGTTTTCCCCAGTTCTGATCACAAAGAGATTACCAATATGAAAAAAATGTAATGACTTCTTAAAAGATTATAAGTTTTAAAAAGATTATATTGCATTCTTGACAAAGGAAGTAGCATAAAATTAAATCCTGTATGTGAACAATACTCTATCATGGACAGAAATTGTCATAATCAACTTCTGTGCTTGTTTAAACATTATACTGATGACTGTGGAGTTTTCTCTGTACTAGGTTCAGCTCTAAATGCCTCACACGAATTGTCCTTTGATCCTCACATGAACCCTAGGAGTTAAGCCCTGTTTTTCTCCCCATTTTAAAGAGGAAGAAGTTAAGACACAGAAGATTAAATAACGTCCCCGAGGTGGCACAATGAAGCTGGAATCCACAGGGCCAGGTTCTCAAACTGTGCTTCAGGGATCCCTGGAGCTACCCAAGACCCTTGAGGTCAAGACTGAGGTCAAGTCCTGGAGGTCAAAACTATTTTTGTAATAACACTAAACTCTTACTTGCCCTTTTTGCTGTCATGCTTTCACAAGTATATCAGAGTTTTCCAGATGCTGCATGACAATGCAAGAGATTGAGTGCAGAAGCAGATATGGGAGTCCAGCCGGCTTCTGTTAAGGCAGGCATCAAAGAGATGTGCCAAAATGCAACAATGCCATTCTTTTCACTAAATTTTGTTTTTGTTTTGAAAAATAGACTTATTTCCATAAAAACTGTGCTGTTTATATTAATATATAATAACTTTCTTTTTTAATGAATTAACAAATAAATGCTTAAATTTTCTTAGTTTTAATTTCTATGTACTAAATATCTATAGATGTAACCCACATAAACAAAAGTTCTTTGGGGCCCTCAATAATTTTTAAGGGTGTAAAAGGGTCTTGAGATAAAAAAAATCTTGAGAATGACTATAATACAGTCTTTTATATCCTATAAAGTAAGCACCACTACATAACATACGTTGATGACAAAAGTGGTTGCAATAACATATCAGGATCTATATCTTGTCAAAAATCTAGATGGGGGAAAAACAAAATATCAGTCCAGGATCCAAAAGGCTTTGACACCTGGATATTTGGACACCTGGCTTTGGAGCTGAGATTTAAAATTTTAATCAAAATGTGTTTCTTTGGCTTTGAAGAGAACCATTGGTATAGTGTCCCCTCTGCCTGGAATGTTTCCAGATAAGGATAGGCTTCACGTGTTCACTTTATTCAGATCCATTCTTAGATGACCTAATCAAACAGGCCCTCGCTTGCCATCCTACCTAAATCATCAACCTACCCCCAACCCCTCCATTACTCTCTACCCCTTGACCTGCCTTATTTTTTTACAACAGTCATCACATCTAACATACACATATTTTTTCTGTGCCCACACCCATATGAATTGTAAACTCTGTGAAGGTAGGAATGTTTATCGTTGTGTTCACCTGTTGCATCCCCAGTACTCAGAATGGTGCCAGAAACACAGCAGTGACTTGACAAATGATATGGTTTGGTTCTGTGTCCCCAACCAAATCTCATCTTGAATTGTAATCCCCACATGTCAAGGGAGGGATCTGTAATCCCCACAAGGAATGAAGATGATTGGATCATGGGGGCAGTTTACCCCATGTTATTCTCATGATAACGAGTGACTTCTCACAAGATCTGGTTGTTTGATAAGTGTGGGGCTCTTCCCCCTTCATGCACTTTCTTTCTCTCTCTCCGGCCACTTTGTGAAGAAGGTGCCTGCTTCCCCTTCTCCCATGATTGTAAGTTTCCTGAGGCCTCCCCATTCATGTGGAACTGTGAGTCAATTAAACCTCTTTCCTTTATAAATTACCCAGTCTCAGACAAGTCCTTGATAGCAGTGTGAAAACAGACTAATACAATGAATAATTATTTGAATAAATGAATGAATATTTTATGTAAAAAATAATATAATGAAAGAGCAGGAACAAAAATAAAACAGTTGCTTTAAGCATAAGTTATCTAAACAAATCGGCAATTGTCAGCAAATACTCGAGGGCATAGATGTGGCAGAGACAACATCGTATGCCCTCCGCATTATTTCCTCTTTCTGAGCACACATTTCTAGCTTCCCTAGTAATTGGGGGACTAAGTTCCAGTCAGTGCTTCTCAAATTTGAATGTCCATGCAAATCACCTGGAAATTTTGTTAAAATGTAGATCTTAATCCAGTAGGTCTGGGGCCAAAAAGTATATATTTGTAACAGTCTCTCAAATGAGGTTGATGCTTTTGAGGGTTTGGTGTAGAAATAGCTTCAAAGTGTGGTAAACTTTGAAGTCCCAAAAATGTCCCAGATAGAACCAATAATACCCCAGTAGCAATGAGCACGCCTAACACCCAAATCTGGGTTTCTAATACCATTCTCCAATAGAAGGAACCAGGGCTCTTTGGAGAAATGGCTGATTCTAAAGCTGGAGCAGAAAATATGAACTTGAAGTATCCTCTTGTGCCAAAAAGTAAGGAAGGGCTTACTTATGTCAAAGAAGCATAGGAGCCAGCTAAAAGAGTCCCAGTGGCCAAAGCTAAACAACTCAACCACAAAATAAGGTACTGAATTATAATCCAAAGTATAAAATAAATATCCAAGAGCCCATACTAATATAAATAAATTAATAAATGGGATATTTTCAAACCATACATCAGATAAAGGGGCTAATGTCCAAAATATATAAGGAATTCATACTGCCTTCATAATAGGAAAATAAATAACCCTATTTAAAAATGGGCAAAGGACTTGAAGAGACATTTCTCAAAAGAAGACATAGATAATATAAAAAATGCTCAAGATTTGTAATAATCAGATAAATGCAAATTAAAACTATAGTGAGACTTGTGAGAATGGCTATTATCAAAAAGTTGAAAGATAAGTGTAGCAGAGGCTGTGCAGAAAAGGGATCCCTTAAACACTTTTGGTGGGAATATAAATTAGTATAGCAATTTTGGAAAACAGTATGGATGTTCCTCAAAAAATTAAAAGTAGAACCACTATATGATTCAGCAATTCCACTGTGGGGTACATACCCAAAGGAATTGAAGTCAGTGTGCCAAAGAGATGTCTGCATGCCCATGTTCACTGCAGCATTATTCACAATGGCCAAGAAGTGGAAACAAACTCAGTGCCCATCAACAGATGAATTTTTTAATGTGATATCTATACACAATGAAATACTATTCAGCCTTAAAATACACAGACAAGTTTGTCATTTGTGACAACATGAATGCACCTAGAGGATATTACATTGAGTAAAATAAGCCCAGTATAGAGGGACAAATATCATATGGTCTCGCTTATACATGGAATCTACAAAAGTCATACTTATAGAAGTAGAGAGTAGAATGGTGGTTACCAGAGTCCGGTGAGTGCAGAGGTGTACAGGGAAAGGGAAGACATTGATCAACGGGTACAAAGTTACAGTTAGATAGGAGGAATCAGTTCTGCTGTTCTGTTGCACAGGGAGACGATTATAGTTAATAAGAATGTATTGTATATTTCTAAATAGCTGAAAGAGGATTTTAATTGTTCTCACAACAAAGAAATGATAGTTGAGGTAATGGATATGCTAATTACCCAGATTTAATCATTTTACAATGTATCCATGTATTGAAACATCACATTGTACTTCATAAATATATATCATTATTATTTATCAATTTAAAATAAAATAAGAAAATAAATGGGAAACAAGAATCAGGCCTCCCATTCAAAAGAATTTCAAATAACTTATGTAGCTATTGCCTACTACCTAGGTACAAGTTATGCTTAATTATTCTTTCCAAAGAGTCCAGTATGGGAAGACGGGAAGAGGGTAATGAATACTACTTCAGCTCAGGGATCAAGGTCAACATCAACAGCAATAAATCATGTTGATGATGTGCACCTTTGATATGACGTGAGGAAAATGGCACCTCACCTCTGTGGTCTTCCTCCCCAAAACACACAAAAATGGCTGAACTGTAAGAAAAACACAAGACAAGTTCCAAGAGAAGGGGATCCTGCAAAATGCCTGACCAGTACTCCTCAAAACTGTCAAGGTCATCTAACATGAGGAAACTCTGAGAAACTGTCACAGCCAAGAGGAGGTTAAGGAAACGAGGCAGCTAAATGTTATGTGGTGTCCCAGATGCGACCCTGAAATTTTTTTTTTTAAAAAAGGACACCTTGTAGAAACTAAGGAAATCTGAAAAAGTATAGACTTTGGCTAATGTTAATGTAGCGATATTCATTCATTAATGGTAATAAATGCACCAAACCTATATAAGATGTTAATAATAGGGGAACCTAGGTGCAGATTTATGGGGATTCTCTGTACTGTCTCCTCAACTTTTCTGTAATTCTAAGACTATTCTAAAAAATATTTTTCAAAGAATGCCTTGTGATCCCCCAGCTCTTTCTTCCCCTTCAGAGGCAGACCCTGCTGAACCTGAGTCAGGACCTCCTTGGATTCCGTGCCCTAAAGAGCTCACTTGCCTCACCCTGGTGCCAGCCCTGTTCTGCAGGAAGTTCGAGGACAGCTGATAAGGATCTAGTAGGTCTGTAAGATGAAGGAGGGCCACCTGAACTGCATACGTGTAAAATAAATAATAAACATATTAAGCCACAGAGACTTCAGAGTTTTAGAGTTGTTATTGTTGTCACCCTACTCTGGCTAATATAATAATCTACCTCAGGGGTCAGCAAACTATGCCCTGTAGACCAGATTCAGTCTGCAGATTGTTTTTCTATACAAAGAATTGGTTTGTTCCTTTTTAATGGACTGAAGGAGGAAAAAGAAGAAGAAAGAAGGGGGGATGCAGGGAGGGAGAGGGAAGTGGGAGAAGAAGGAAAGGGAAAGAAAGGAGGAGGAGGATGGGGAGGAGGAGGACAGGGAGGAGAAGGAAGAGGAACAGAGACCATAGGTGTCTGCAAAGCCTAAAATATTTATTATCTAGCCCTTTGTAGAAAAAATTTGCCAACTCCTCATCTACATCAAATAGATCATCTACTTCAACAAAGGTTATATCTACACAAATGAACTCTTCAAAGTTTCAGTTATAACACAGACCCTACCATGAGAGCTCCCAACTCCACTATGAAATGGCTTCTTTCATTTCTGAAATTTATTCAGAAAGTAGACCTTAAGAGGTTTCCAGTGAAAACAAATTAGTATCAGTTATACCTCTGTAGAAGATATGCCTTAAAAAATGAAACACGTGCACTTTGGGAGGCCAAGGTGGGCGGATCACGAGGTCAGGAGATCGAGACCATCCTGGCTAACATGGTGAAACCCGGTCTCTACTAAAAAAAAAAACAAAAAATTAGCTGGGCATGGTGGCGGGTGCCTGTAGTCCCAGCTCCTTGGGAGGCTGAGGCAGGACAATGGCGTGAACCTGGGAGGCAGAGCTTGCAGTGAGCCGAGATGGCACCACTGCACTCCGGCCTGGGTGAGAGAGCAAGACTCCATCTCAAAAAAAAAAAAAAAAGAAACACATTATTAAGCACCCAAAAACACATTTGTTCATCAAACCACATGTACCTAATTCTATTTTTGTAGCAGTAAAAGGTATTTCATTTCCCTTGTTATGTAGAAATGGGCCCTCTAAAAAATGATACACCATACTAATTTCAAAAGATAAAATTTCAGGCTGGCTGTGGTGGCTCACACCTGTAATCCTAGCATTTTAGGAGGCCAAGGTGGGAGGATCTTGTGAGACCAGAAGTTTGAGACTGGTCTGGGCAACCCCATCTCTGCAAAAAAAAAAAAAAAAAAGAAGAAGAAGAAGAAGAAGAAGAAAATTAGCCGGGCATGGTGGCATCTGTAGTCCCAGCTACCTGGGAGGCTGAGGTGGTAGGATGGCTTTAGCCTAAGAGTTCAAGGCTGCAATGACCTATGACAGTGCCACTGCACTCCAGTTTGGGAGACAGAGCAATGCCTCATCTTTAAAAATAAAAAATAAAAAGTTTAAAAAGATAAAATTTTAGCTCTATAAGCCCAAGAAAGAAGGCATTTCATAGGTGAGTGTGGCCAGTTATCTTCCTTTAGTTAAGCATTCCTTCAAAAGAGTATAACGTTTATGAGAGACGCAACAATTTAAACATGTTTTCATTTTTCTTCACCATGGGATACTTTTTTCTGTGATATAAACTCTTGACAAGTTTGGAGTCAAATCAAGTTAGGAAGAAATTCAATCCATGAGGAAAATAAAATATGTTCCATTTTGAATCTGAGGAATCGGAGATTATTAGTGCCTATGTTTTCATTCAGCAAATTATTGATAATAAAATTACTGGTTAAAGGCTTACAATGCATCTTACACTATGCTAAGTAGACATGTGCACTTGAGTTAAAAGATATTTATACAAAGTAAAAAGCAAAGCTCAATGAGTTTACACATGCAACTATTTGCGTGCATGTTTGTGTGTGTACGCATGCACCCACACACAGTCAGGAACAAACAGCCTATGTTTCAAAGCTGTGTTTGTAAATGATTTGGGGGAGGTTTAGGACGCATTTACTAATGAAAAAATAATATTGACGTTGCTTGGCAGATGCTCAGCTGGTTCACAAAAGACAAATATTGTGGTGTTGGTAGAATCTCAGGTGTTGTAATAGAAATTCTTAACTAATCAATGGCATGATTTTGTCTAAGATACAGCGCTGGCTGTGCTGAGCCATGAGCTCTGCTCACCATTCTAGTTGTCTGTGCTTCTGATTATACCGGCCAGAGAGCATCTTCTTGTCCTGAGCCCCACTCAAAGCTGGCAGCTATTTTACTGATAAGTTAGGTTGAGGGGGTGAAGGTGGCAGATGGCTAAGACCTGAGAAGAACTGGCTTCACATAGCAAGGGAGTTGCAGGGACAAAAGTAAGTCCTCTTCCCCCAAGACTTAGGAAACAGCCAAAGGCTGAATTGATATATTTGGGCCTATCATTTTCTTTCTTCAGATTTTCTAGTGCCATTAAAAGAATCCACCTTACCCACTACTCTATGATTTCTCATACTATTATTAACTTAAAAATTTCTCATACTACTCTTTCATTTCTTCATACAATTCTGTGTCAGCAGTAAAGTGGTCCCTGACATCTTGCCTTCAATGAGTGCTTCATTACAAGTGACCATGGGCAGTCATTGAATTAGTGTTCACCACTTCATGTCATGGTTGCCAGAATCCCATAACCAATACTAATGCAAATTTCATGGACCCCCTCCCAATTTTAGTTTTTCCCATCCCTAAGGATCTGTTGTCTGGATTGCACTCCCCATTATTAATTTCTGTATCAAAGTTCTTGATTTCAAGCAAGAAAAACAACGCACACACATACCTCTGAATAATTTAAGAAGAAAATAAATATATTGGAAGACACGGAGTGCCTGGAAGTCCAGAGTACATTGGTAAATGCACAGAAAGCAAATGTAGTTTCTGGACTCAGTGCTGGGGCCACAATCTTTAAAACATTTCTCTGCTGGGCGCAGTGGCTCACGCCTGTAAGCCCAGCACTTTGGGAGGCTGAGGCCGTACAGATCGTGAGGTCAAGAGATCGAGACTATCCTGGCCAACATGATGAAACCCCATCTCTAAAAATACAAAATTTAGCTAGGTGTGGCGGCACACACTTGTAGTCCCAACTACTTGGGAAGCTGAGGCAGGAGAATCACTTGAACCTGAGAGGCGGAGGCTGCAGTGAGCCAAGATCGTGCCACTGCACTCCAGCCTGGTGACAGAGTGAGACTCCATCTCAAAAAATGAAAAATTAAAAAATAAATAAAACATTTCTCAATAGTAGTCCCTGTATCTTTATTTCTCCCCGTCTGGATTCAAAATCCTTGGCAGAGCCAGGTGCGGTGGTTCGTGCCTGTAATCTTAACACTTTGGGAGGACGAGGTGGGCAGATTGCCTGAGCTCAGGAGTTTGAGACCAGCCTGGGCAACAGGGCGAAACCGCATCTCTACTAAAAATATAAAAAACTAGCCGGGCATGGTGGTACACGCCTGTAATCTTAGCTACTCAGGAGGCTAAGGCATGAGAATTGCTTAAACCCAGGAGGCGGAGGTTGCAGTGAGCTGAGACAGCACCACTGCACTCCAGCCTGGGTGACAGAGTGAAACTCTGTCTCAAAAAATAAATAAATAAATAAAAATCCTTGGAAAGAGCATGAAATTAGCTGAGCATGGTCACATCCTGGTATGTTTATTGCTGGAGATATGAAAGAACATATTCCTACAGTTTGTACGAAGTGAAAGAAAGCCCGGCCTAGCACAAATCAGCAATCTCTGCCAGCTCCTCAAGAATAGAAAGGAGGCCTGGGTGTTGGGTACTCAAAAAAATTCCAATGTCTACCAAAGTTTTGGCCCCATTCTACTGCAATTATATGGGTATTGTCCCTCTTTCTCATAAGCTCTGAACTACTCCACCCAGACACTTGCTTTTCTTTGTATTCTCCATATCATATGGCACATTGCCTGACTCAAAATAGGTGATCAAGAAATGTGTTGGATTGTTGTTGTTTGTTTTGTTTTTAATACAAGAGCTCATAGAGCTCTTGAGAGCCATAGACCAGAGGGTTAAACTAAGTAACTAAACATATTATATATATATATAAACAAGATCAATAATAGTTAAAACACCCTGGACCCAGCAGCAGGGTCATCCTGAATTCACAGGGGATGAAAGGCCAGGTAGCTAAGAATAGCAGTCATTCTGACCTGGGTTGCACAAAGGAAAGGGATCCAGGAAGAGGTACCCAGAAACTGCTGACCAAGAAAACCTGTGAATAAGTTGGGATCAAAATCTAGACTCTATAAATTAAAGAATTTTTTAAAACCTCATCCTATTTTTTTAAATAAAAATGCCCACTAAAATACTGCATTTTTCAAATGCGCCCAAAGGAGTCTAGGCTTAGTGTAGTTGGGAGGCAAGGCGAAGCTGAGTTGACAGGTTGGCTGTTTGAAGGGCTCATGGTAAGGGTAATAGTAGGTGGAGATCCCAGGATGGGACAGATCAAGAGCACAGATGGGGTTTGGAGAAGCTCAGGGCAAGAAACTAGGGAATTCCTTTCTCCTTGATCACTCGCCTAAAGGAGGAAGGAGAAAAAAGAGCCAGGGAGGGAGGCAAAGAAAGTGAAGTTCGTGTGTGTGTGTATTAGGGGTGGGGTGCAGGGGGTCGAGGAGAACTGGAAGGACAGATGCCAGGACAGCCATCTCCAGGAGAAAGACAGCAGCACTCAGTGAAGGCTCTCTGTTCCAAATTGCACTGAGGGAAATGGACCAAATATGTACAGCAGAGTGAAAGACCACCCATAACTGGGATTCCACAACTGAAAGACAAACATCTGCAAATTCCCTTCATATAGTTAAACATTTATGGTCCCTTTTAAATATGTAGGAATTGGACTTACTAATAATTAGAACACTTCCTCTGTCCCACCACCTCTCAGTTCTCAATGCTCCCATGAAGTAGATAATATTAGTATAATTATTGCAGACAGAGTGATTTGGGATATGAGAAGGTGTCACTTGCAGTCACTCCTGGGCCTTGAAGTTCAGAACTCAGGCTGCTGTGGCTGCTTCCTGGTTTGATTAAGATACATAAGTTATAGTTTTTTTTTTTTTAGATTTTCTGATTCCTTTGTTAAGTACCAGTCATTTTGTTGATTAAGATACATAAATAAGGCTAGTCGTGGTGGCTCCTGCCTATAATCCCAACACTTTGGGAGGCCGAGGCGGGTGGATCAAGAGGTCAGGAATTCGAGACCAGCCTGACCAACATGGTGAAACCCCATCTCTACTAAAAATACAAAAATTAGCCGAGCATGGTGTTGCACGCTTGTAATCCCAGCTACTCAGGAGGCTGAGGCAGAAGAATTGCTTGAACCCAGGAGGCGGAGGTTGCAGTGAGCCAAGATCGCACCATTGCACTCCAGCCTGGGCAACAGAGCTAGACGTTGTCTAAAATAAATAAATAAATGATAGCTTTTTTTTTTTTTTTTTAGATTTTATGATTCCTTTGTTAAGTACCAGTCATTTTAAATTCAAAGGACCTTTCTAATCTCAGTGTTCAACTGGGTGCCTTGGACATTCTTGCCAGGTAAGTAGTATCTTTTGGTTCAGGCATCTATTTATATTCATTCATGGACCTTTTTCTGGCCCGAAGCAAGTAAATGCTCCAGGTTTAATTTGCAATATGGAGAAATGGGTGTTGGGTGTCTGTTCATCTTGACACTAAAATATTTTTGGTATTTTATGTCTTACACTTTTACCCAAATAAGACAATTTAGAAGTTTTCCAGTGATCACTATTTCTTATGCTTTAGATTTCATTATATACAATTTCATTTATTCCTAGAAAAGAGCCCCTAAATAAGCTAGATGATTAAAAATATCAGAGTATGAGTTAGCATCAAAGAAATTTTGACTTGCAGTATGATTTTTCACTGAGTTCTTCAGAGAAGCTTAGAAACTTCTGAGAATTGAGGCATATTTTGAAGAGAAGTGGCTTAAATCAATGTACATGGCATCTCTTAGTGTGTGTTAATTTAATCCTCTGAACTACCAATATTTTGTAGCAAGGCTGTTCTTCATGATTATATTATATGCTCAATGTTGTTTTATATAATTGACATTTCCCATGCCTATTTCAACCTGAAACATCTCTCCCAAAGAGATTACAAATATCTAAAGGGCAGAGCCTGTGACTGAAACTTCTTTTTGTTTCTCTACAATATCTAGTTTGATGCCTTGCCTCAAGTACATGCTCAATAAATATCTGATCATTGACTGAACCAGCATAACCTGGAAATGATTAAGATGGTGACCAATCTAAAAGAATTGCAAGAGGAGCTTTGAGCCCAGCACCCACCCAGAGGCTTCCTGCACATCAGTCACAGCAGAGGGTGACCCCACCTGCCCACTTGAAGAGTGACTTAGGCCTCACTGTTTGGGGCTTGTCTCCCATCCCTTTTACTTTCATCTGAGAGATCTGATCGGCCATAATACTGAAATAAAAGTTCAAAAGAAATTATTTAGGCAGATAGTGAGGGTAACGAAGTCCTCAGTAAGGTTTCCCTTTTAACGAAAACCAGCCCCCAAATCATTTCTTTTCTAACAAAAGCAGCCTGTAAAATTGAGCTGCAAACATAGATAAGCAAGCTTTCCAAAGCTTGCACAGGGGAATGCTGGTAGCTGTGTCAATAGGAAGAGGCTATCTGGGGGCTAGGCATGTTCAAAATGGAGCATCCATCTTCCCTTTTCTTTGTCAACCATGTGTACAGTAAGGATCAGACAACATGGAGCTGGCCAAGTAGAAAATCCATTTGCATAATGAAAGATTAGGGTGAAATGGCCAGCTTCTTCCTGCACTATGTTAATGTCACACCTGGTCCAAACAATCTTTGGGCCCTATGTAAATCAGACACTGCCTACTCAAGCTCATCAATAAAACCCTGTGCATTTCACCACAGAAACAGAAGACCCACTGGGGTGTCCCTCTCTTTCTGCAGGAGGGAGAGCTATCCTCTTTTCTCTTTCTTCTGCCTATTAAACCTCCGCTCTTAACCTCACTCCACATGTGCCCATGTCCTTAATTTCCTTGACATGAGACAACGAACCTTGGGTATTACCCTAGATGAATGAGGCCACTTCAATACTACATGTGCTACTGTACCCACTCCTGCCTCTTTGGTCCCAGTCCTGGACTAACAGGGTGGCAAAGTCACATAAAAGAAATACTCCAAACACAGTAGTCATGCATGCAAAAGGCATTACTATCAGAAAGGATTTGCTGAATCAAAAGGGGCGCTCACCTGAGAGCACAGACTGACTCGAGTCATTGAGGCTACTTTCTGAATTTGAGCTTAGACAAGTAAAACCTGAGGGAGTCCCGTCCTTTCAAGGATGTCCTAAGAGCTATCAAGTCTGGTCCCACATTTGGCCTGATTTGTAAAAGATCTGAACAATAAATTAGTTGAAGACCAAGCCTAGGTTTAATTCCATCAAAGAGTTGACGCAGTGAACTCAACTTGATCAAATATTCCCGATTGAACCTAGCAGAATTAACTGACTTAAATAAAATATGTATTCAGAAGCAACACCGGACAAGACATGAATGAGACGGATACAAAGATGACAGCCACAGGTATAGACACCCTTGGCATACTGTCTATTAGAAGAGATAAAACCCATTTTTTGTAAATTTAAAAACAACATAAAATGTTGTAGGTGCCATAACAGAGGGGCATGAGGAAAGTGCTATAAGAATTCGGAAGTGTGCCAGGCACAGTTGCTCATGCCTGTAATCCCAGCACTTTGGGAGGACAAGGCGGGTGGATCATCCGAGGTCAGGAGTTTGAGACCAGCCTGGCCAACATGGTGAAACCCCATCTCTACTAAAAATACAAAAATTAGTTGTAATTCTAGCTACTCGGGAGGCTGAGGCAGGAGAATCGCCTGAACCCAGGAGGCGGAGGTTGCAATGAGCTGAGATTGTGCCATTGCCCTCCAGCCTGGGCAACAAGAGCAAAACTTTGGCACAAAAAAAAAAAAAAAAAAAAAAAAAAGAATTCAGAAGTGGGATTTTCTTCTACCTGTCAACAATCAGGTAATGTTTCAAGCCAACATAGCATTGATAATAGTTGGGTTGGGCCAGAGCTAGCATGTGCGAAGGGGACTAGTGGGAGATGAGTTGAAAGGGGAACTTATGGGACTTTAAATTCTTAAAGGGACCTTAGGGGACCTTATTTTTGATCAAGGAGTTTGGATCGCCTTCAGTGGACAGAAGGAGCTACTCTAGATTTAGAAGCAGAGGAGAGTTAAACAAATTTATAGAAGTCCCTTGATTTGGACTGAGCTCCAGCAGTAGGCCCCAACAGACCAAACCAAAATGGAGTCACTCATGCTAAAGTTCCAAGTTCGAAGTTATTTATCTGACCTTTTGAGAAATCAAGAGGGCAAGATATAGCCAACTCCCCACACAGGCCAGTTTTAGCTGGCAGGATAAGGAAGTCCCCTCGGCTGTAACCCTTACAGGGTGAGTAACCTAAGTAGCCTAATACTAACTGATCCACTTTTTGTTCCCTGTTCCTGCTTTCTTCAGCCTTTTCCTGCCTAAAAAGCCAAACTCCTCTGCTCAGCAACTTGGGGCGCCTTTCCTAAATGTTTCAAGGAGATGCCACCCTCATTCATGAATCAGAAATAAAAGCCAATTTGATCATTTAACAAAATTTGTTGTAATTTTGACTCTTGACAGGAGTGTCATGAATTGTTCCTGAGGATGGAGATTCATGTCTCAACGTGGAAAACAATGAATTGCAGCGGAGAGAAAGTAGAGCTGAGATAGAGCAAAAGCCAAGGTGTTGCTGGTGTGGCAAGAGGAAGCAAACCACAGGAGAGAGGAGCAGACACTGCACTTAGACAACCAGAGAAATAAATGACTTCGAAGGAACACCATGAACAACATCAGTGTGGGCTTGTCTAAGGTATTTCTAAGACCCTCATTAAGCAGGGAAAGGTATAGAAAAATGTACTTTTTAAATAAAATATCTTTCTTAATTCAAATTTTATCTCCCAAATAAACTTTTAATTTACTTTTTTGTAATGCCAAATTAGGCACTTCAGATTTGAAGTTAATCTTTAAATCTGGGTTTTTCCCCCCTCTGCCATCTTCTTAAGCACATACCAATGGACAAATCCAAAGTTTTTTCTCAGAATGATTCAAAACCAGTACTTTGTATTTCATTTACTTCTATTTAAACTTTATTTTAAAAAATCTACTGTGTTTTTCTCAGTATAGCTGAAGAAATTGTAAACATGAAGAAGGTTTTTGGCATATGTCTAAGTGTCACCATCCTGCCTCTCAGAATTCTAAGCTACTTTATTTTTTATATTTATTTATTTATTTTGAGACAGTGTCTCACTCTGTCACCCAGGCTGGAACACAGTGGCATTGAGAGGTGACAGCGTGCTGGCAGCCCTCACAGCCCTCGCTCGTTCTCAGTGCCTCCTCGGCCTCGGTGCCCACTCTGGCTGCACTTGAGGAGCCCTTCAGCCCGCCGCTGCACTGTGGGAGCCCCTCTCTGGGCTGGCTGAGGCCGGAGCCGACTCCCTCTGCTTGCAGGGAGGTGTGGAGAGAGAGGCGCGGGCAGGAACCAGGGCTGCGCACAGCGCTCACGGGCCACTGCAAGTTCTGGGTGGGCGTGGGCTCCGCGGGCCCCGCACTCGGAGCCGCTGGCCCCGGGCAGTGAGGGGCTTATCACCCGGGCCAGCAGCTGTGGAGGGTACGCCAGGTCCCCCAGCAGTGCCGGCTTGCCAGCACTGCACTCGAATTCTCACCGGGCCTCAGCTGCCTCCCCGCAGGGCAGGGCTTGGGACCTGTAGCCCGCCATGCCTGAGCCTCCCCTCCACCATGGGCTCCTGTGCAGCCCGAGCCTCCCCGATGAGGGCCACACCCTGCTCCACAGCGCCCGGTCCCATCGGCCGCCCAAGGGATGAAGGGTGCGGGCGCATGGCACGGGACTGGCAGGCAGCTCCGCCTCCGGCCCCTGTGCGGGATCCACTAGGTGAAGCCGGCTGGGCTCCTGAGTCTAGTGGTGACTTGGAGAAACTTTATATCTAGCTAAGGGATTGTAAATACATCAATCAGCACTCTGTGTCTAGCTCAAGGTTTGTAAACACACCAATCAGCACTCTGTATCTAGCTAATCTGGTGGGGACTTAGAGAACCTTTAGGTCTAGCTAAAGGATTGTAAACACACCAATCAGCACCCTGTGTCTAGCTCAAGGTTTGTAAACACACCAATCAGTGCTCTGTGTCTAGTTAATCTGGTGAGGACTTGGAGAACTTTTATGTCTAGCTAAAGAATTGTAAATGCACCAATTAGCACTCTGTGTCTAGCTCAGGAATTGTAAACACATCAATAAGCACCCTGTCAAAATGGACCAATCAGCTCTCTGTAAAATGGACCAATCAGCAGGATGAGGATGGGGCCAGATAAAGGAATAAAAGCAGGCTGCCCAAGCCAGCAGTGGCAACCTGGTTGGGTTTCCTTCCATGTTGTGGGAGCTTTGTTCTTTAGCTCTTTGCAGTAAATCTTGCTGTTGCTCACTTCTTGGGTTTGCTCTGCTTTTATGAGCTGTAACACTCACCGCGAAGGTCTGCAGCTTAACTTCTGAGGCTAGCAAGACCACGAACCCACCGGGAGGAATGAACAACTCCGGATGGGAGAAAGGAACAACGCCAGACGCGCCGCCTTAAGAGCTGTAACACTCACTATGAAGGTCTGCAGCTTCACTCCTGAAGCCAGCGAGACCACAAGCCCACCAGAAGGAAGAAACTCCGAACACATCCAAACATCAGAAGGAACAAACTCCGGACACACTGCCTTTAAGAACTGTAACACTCACCGCGAGGGTTCGCGGCTTCATTCTTGAAGTCAGTGAGACCAAGAACCCACCAATTCCGGACACAGCGTGATCTCAACTCACTGCAATCTCCACCTCCCAGGTTCGAGCGATTCTCTTGCTTCAGCTTCCCAAGCAGCTAGGACTACAGGCGTGCACCACCAGGCCAGCTAATCTTTGTATTTTTTTTTTTTTAGTAGAGATGGGGTTTTGCCATGTTCTCCTGGCCAGTCTCTAACTTCTGACCTCAGGTGATCCACCCACCTCAGCCTCCCAAAGTGCTGGGATTACAGGCGTGAGCCACTGTGCCCAGCCTTAAGCTACTTTAAATTTGCATTTTCAGCCCAGCATGGTGGCTCACACCTATAATCCCAACATTTTGGGAAGCTGAGGCAGGAGGATCGTTCTAGGCCAGGAGTTTAGGACTACCCCAGGCAATATAGTGAGACCCCATCTCTAAAGTTTTTTTAATTAGCCAAGCATGGCAGTCCTAGCTACTCGGGAGGCTGAGGTGGGAGGATCACTTGAGTCCAGGAATTTCAGGCTGCTGTGAGTTATAATTACACCACTGCATTCCAGCCTGGGCAACAGAGACTCCATCTCCTAATAAATAAGCATTTTTGTCACTGCTGTCACGAAGCAGATTCCTCCTCCTTACTCGTTACTGACTCCATATCATTTCTCCCAAATTCCTCAGATACTACGTAATGGCATTTACAAAATTCTCCAGTATTTTTTTAATGGAAATCTCTTGTATTTACTACTGATTGGATCGCTGTGAGCCAAAATAAACTCCAAGCTGAGAACATGAAGTTCTTGCAGGTATTCCCCATAGCAATTAAGAGGATATTACAAAGCTAGGAATCCTGGTTTTATTGCACTGCTTTCATTGTTAAAGTTTACCAAGTCAAATGCACAAAGCCGGGTGAAAAACGGGTTTGTCTGTTGACTTGAGGCCTTAAGAAAGTATGTGTTACAGAAAAGTTGCCAATGATTTCATCCAGGAGTAGTTGTTACAACCATAGAAAATGTTTAGATGTTGAAGTTGAATTTCTACCAAGAGTTGTCACCATATGACTCCATTGCCTATTGGACTATTTATGTGTACAAATCTCTAGGGTGTCTCCTTTCAGAAATTCTCGCCATCTATCTCATCCTCTCTCCTCTTCTGTAAATTTTAAGCATAGATATTACCAGAAAGGGGTCCTGATCCAGACCCCAAGAGAGGGTTCTTTGATCTCGTGCAAGAAAGAACTCAAGACAAGTCCGTAGAGTAAAGTGAAAGCAAGTTTACTAAGAAAGTAAAGGAATGAGGCTGGGTGCAGTGGCTCACACCTGTAATCCCAGCACTTTGGGAGGCTGAGGCGGGTGGATCATGAGATCAGGAGATCCAGACCAGCCTGGCCAACATGATGAAACCCCATCTCTACTGAAAATACTAAAATTAGCCGGGCGTGGTTGTATGTGCCCGTAGTCGCAGCTACTCAGGAGGCTAAGGTAGTAGAATCGCTTGAACCCAGGAGGCAGAGGTTGCTGTGAGCCAAGATCACACCACTGCACTCCAGCCTGGGCAACAGAGCAAGACTCCATCTCAAAGAAAAGAAAGAAAGTAAAGGATTGAAAAATGGCTACTCCATAGAGCAGCCCCCAGGGCTGCTGATTGCCCATTTTTGTGGTTATTTCTTGATTTTTATGCTAAACAAGGGGTGGACTATTTATGTCTCCCTTTTTAGACCATATAGGTTAGCTTCCTGACATTGCCATGGCATTTGTAAACTGTCATGGCCCTGGTGGGAGTGTTGCAGTGAGGATGACCAGAGGTCACTGTGGTCACCATCTTGGTTTTGATGGGTTTTGGCCAGCTTCCTTACTGCAACCTGTTTTAGCAGTAAGGTCTTTATGGCCTGTAGCTTGTGCCAACCTCCTGTCTCATCCTGTGACTTAGAATGCCTTAACCATTGTGAATGCAGCCCAGGAGGTCTCAGCCTCATTTTGCCCAGCTCCTATTCGAGATGGAGTTGCTCTGGTTCAAATACCTCTGACATAGATATATGAACATATAGATAAGCTAAATACCCATTCTCATCATGTGCTGAGGGGACCACCATTATCTGTAAATGGGACCCCTTAACCCAACTACACTCTGATTCCTGAAAAGTTTCTCCTCCCTACAATTATTTCTGGGTCTTCGAGTTGTCAAGCACAACTCATGGTCATTTCCCACATCTCTGCCCTGGCAGCACTGGTGCTGTCTGCCTGTGAGGTGTGAGTGTGAGCCTCCATTCAGCCATGAGATGGTCCCTTGGTGGGTGACCCACTGGCCAGGCACCCATGCTGGCGGGGTAAACCTAAGCCATTGTATCGTGCCAGAACATCAATATAGCTGACACTGGATGCTACTTCGGCTCCAACCTGAGAGAAAGGGTGCTGGTATCCAGGCCAAGGGTACCATTTCCCACTGCTTCCAAATTTTTCAGCCCCACTCCTTGCCACTGGCAAGACCTTCTTCTCCTCTCCCCTCACCTCACCTCCTCTCCCCTCCCTTTTCCTCTTGCCACTACAGAATAAATCAGCTGTGTTGGCAGCTGTCACTGGAACTGGTGCGCCACTGATGTGCAGGAAACACCAAAGTGCCAAAGCCCCTGACATTCAAATCACTGCACTCTGTGCCCAGGTGCAGAGGACCTCTCTCTCCCCATTTTGTGTTTTTCTGTTGTATGCCTCTCAAAACAATGCTGCTTTGTACTCCCAGCGTTTCAAAGAGAGTTTGTGTAAAAACAGCTCTTCTTTCTTTTTTTATTCAAATAGCTCTCCCCACCCCCACCCACAGATGGAGACACAAATCCTTTAGGGGTTGGGGGAGGGACAAGAGAGAAACCCTGCTATACTCAAAATCTTCGTTTCTTTTTGGTGCCTAGGGCACCATTTGACCAATGGCCTGGGGCCTCTTTGAATCTCTTCTCCTTCAGATGATTTATTTCTGATGAGTTTCTTCAGTTCCTCAATGAGACAGACACCTTCAAACACGCCCTGACATTTCTGAATCCTGAGGAAAGATTCTCCTCCCCACTTCCAACCCTCTCCATCCCAAGGCAAGGGAAGAGGACCCAGGGAAATTATCTGTAAAGATGGGGTGCCTTCCAGAAGGGGAAAGTGATTTTTCATTCTCTAGGTGGACATCAGCTGAGCTGAGAAGTCAGTAGAACCACCTCATGCTTCCATCAGAGCAAAGCAAAGCATGATAAATTTGGGGGAGCACTTCCTATAAGATCTCTAGCATTTGCAGGCACACCCAACATAGAGCACAAAGCCTGCTTTTTATCTAGAGATTTCTGAAGCTGGGAGGGTTGGAGACGTTATAACAGTGAAGTTCATAAGCCCGGAAAGAATACGAGGGCGGCCCTTCACCTCATCCCAAATCCTTGTAGCCTTCAAAGGTGTGGGAGGGAACTTCAGCAGTTCCTGTGGCTCCACAGGAAGGAGCACAGCGTAGAAAAGGAGCAGAAGCCAACAAGATGCACAAAAGGACACAAATGGAGATGACCCATCCAGAAAGATGCTTAGGAACGTGAACCACTGTCAACAAACCAAAGAGAGGCATAGCTGGACCCTCGCCATTAGAAGGGGCTGAGATGAAACTGAACTTTACAGAGACCACACTCATGAAAGAAGCCATTGAAACTGCTTTTGCAAGGATTATGATAGCAAAAGAAGTCTAGCATGGCTGACTCCATCCTGCTTCTAGCCTCACAGGCTGGCTATCCTCACTCACTCCTGAGCCTAGGCCAAGCTAATGATGGGAGGTATTTCATTTATAGTTTAACTGTGAAGCAAGGTTGATAATAGTCCCTCACTAAAACTGACCCCCTCCTTGCTCAGGGACTGAAATGACCTTTGTGAGGCTAATGAAAGGCCATAGGCCAGGCATGATGGGTCACGCCTGTAATCCCAGCACTTTGGGAGGCCAAGGCAGGCGGATCACAAGGTCAAGAGATCGAGACCATCTTGGCCAACATGGTGAAACCCCGTCTCTACTAAAAATACAAAAATTAGCTGGGTGTGGTGGCATGCACCTGTACTCCCAGCTACTTGGGAGGCTGAGACAGGAGAATCACTTGAACCCAGGAGGCGGAGGTTGCAGTGAGCCGAGATCACACCACTGCACTCCAGCCTGGCAACAAAGTGAGACTTCATCTCAGACAAAAAAAAAAAAAAAAAAAAAAGGATAAGATTAGCATTGTGGGAGGGTCCTGAATTTTGCTAAGATGTATGTATATTTCAATGACAACCAGCCATTGTTCCCTAGCTTGCTTTTCTATCATCACTTACTGCTCAGGAGCCACATAGCCAAAAGTCACAAGATTTATGACTTCCCCAGAGCTTCTACAAATGACATCACTACTCTATAAACTAAGATTGGTCTTTTGCAATGTTTTTCAGACGTTTGCATTCTGGCAACTCACTAACTCTACTTGGACCTGTGACTCATGACTCAGCAGGTCCTATGGCCCCACCCAGAGACTAACTCAGCACATGATGACCGTTTCCCTCACCCTTATGACTTCATCCCCAACCAATCAGAGGCACCCATTCCTCTAGGCCCCACCCACCAAGTTATCCATGAAAACCCTAACCTGAGCTCTATGGGAGACAGATTTGAGAATTAACTTCCATCCTCCCACTTGGCCAGCCCTGCAATTATTAAACTTTCTTTGCTTCAAAACCCTGCCATTCTTGGTAGACTGGCTTACTTACTCAGTGAGCCAGAGTAACACTGGGACTGCCTCCCTCCTAAGAAGAGTTTCTACTGGTGAAAGGCAAATCGAGTCATCACTCTTTTCCTCCTCACCAATCAATGGATATAGCTAGAGCCTAGAAGACAGCAGGGAAGAAAGAGGTCCTAGAACCAGAACAGTGCCCCTCCCTGACCACCCAACCCCAAACTACAGCATTCAGGAGAAGAATTAAAAGATAGTGGAGGGGAGGAAAAATATTTTTTCCTCACCCATCCTAGACTCATGGTGGAGGCCCCTATAACAAAAGACAGACTAACAAGAGAAAAGCATACACATTTATTTATGTTTTATGTGACATGGGAGCCTCCATAAAGTAATGGAGATCTGAAAAAACCTGAATGTTTTATATAGTAGGTTTGATGAAAAGTGGATATTTGTGAAGAAATAGGATAGGGCAAAAAGGGTGTATGATGGTAATACAATACAATAAATAATGGTAATAAATAAATGCTAAATAAATAAATTAGCAAGGCCTGTTTTTTCAGATTTGTCTCTGTGTGTCCCTGGGTCCTTAGAGATAAAGATGCTCCTTTCCTCTGTGTGTAGGGAGGGCACCTCTCACCTGAGGGTCTTATGACCTGCTTCAGGGAAAGATCAGAACATCTTTCCTAGGTTTTATGGGCTGTTTCAGGACAGAAAGGTAGGAGAAGATCAGAGAGACTTTGTTGCTTCTTAAGTTTGCTCAAATTCCTCCAGCTTAAAATTTGTGGGGAAATAAGCCCCAACAGTATACCAAGACCTCTTCCCTAAACTCAAACCTGGCTGGGGTGAGCAAAGTTTCAAATTGACTATAAGTTGGAGCTTTAAACTGGATTAGGCTGTCCTGGGTTTAAATAACTAGAAATGACTGGGAAGTTATCAAATCTGCCCAAGAGGCTTTTACGATTCTGCTATTAGGGAGAAGCAGAGATCCAACATAGCAACTGGAAAGAAGGAAAACTGTTACCCATCAAGTTCATACTGATCAATAAACAAGTTACATTTGTGATACTTTTCTCTTAAACACAGCTCTAAACACCCTTCTTCAAATCTCCCTTCCAGGTTTAAAGTTGATGTTCCAGACTGAGATTAGAAGGAAGTCTAGTAAAATGTCATGGAATTCCTTTTCACTTTGTGAATTAAAATTATTCAAACTTAAACCTGTTGGAACATAAAATGTTCTTGGCCATGAGAGGAATGTGGCTATGCAGCCTGAGTCACATGGCATGCAGTTACAAATTCTACTTTTTTTCTCTGTAAATACTTAGGAAGACCAAGCAACACCAAAGATAAGACTCCCTCAGATCACTGCCCCACCTCAGGGAGGAATAAAGTAATCTTCCTTGGAATGTAGCAATTGGTAACCAATCAAATCGCTATGGCATACACACTGATCTTGTAGGGAAAATGGGTTTTGAGGGTTTTTTTATTTTGTTTCAGCAGGTTTTTGGAGAACAGGTTGTGTTTGGTTATATGAATGAGTTCTTTAGTGGTGATTTTGGAGATTTTGGTGCACCCATCATCCAAGCAGCTTACACTGTTGAATGGAAAATGTTGTAATCTTGCTGGAACTTCTTTGTCTCTGCTGACATAAGCAAAACCTTAACTCCTCCACTTTGGAATGCTGACCTCATTTGTCTAGAGTTGGTGTGTCCTGGGTGGCTATCCTCAAGTTTTGCATTTGAATAAACTTCATACTTAATCATATTTTCTGAATCTCATCATTTAAGGTTGGAAACTTTTTCTTTACAAGTCCGAAATTGGTTTGGTAAACTTTGATAGCCCCAAGTTACCCCAGGAGGGCATTTGCCTATGCCCTCATCTCTTCTCTGTATCTCTAAGTTGAAGCTGGGGTGGTGTTGGGATGAAAGCTGTGAATACGGAGGACGTGTAAGCAGTGCAATTCTAAGACACATTATTTTTATTCCTTCTTCCTCCCACTGCAACCACTGCTTCTGCCTCTGCCTTAAAAAGGCACTTGGAACATCTAGTCAGCAATGAACAAACCTCTGTTCATGTTTTGCAGCAAATATGATCTACTTCACCAATTTAATGCACGTGTCAAATAACATCTCATTTATTACTCTGATTAATTCCTCAAAGCTGCATCTGTCTTCATCATCAAGTACTCTATGATCGCCCTCTTGAGGACACTTTCTTCGAGTATCCAAGAACCCCACAAATTTACTTAATCCAAAGGAAATGAGTCCAGATGAAAAGTGAGAAACGTAGTTGCCACTAGCAGCAAGCTTCATCCCCACCACATGGTGTCACTGTTGAACACTGGTCCTGCACAGTCTAGCAACCACGGTGTTTTACTCTTTGCCAGATCCCTATATAACCCTGGAGGCCAGCTCTCTTGCTTCAGACTCACAGCTAAAGTACCTTTCTCCAGAGCCGGAATCAAGCCAGTAGGCTTCTAACCTTGGCCACGTGTTATGCCCCAGCCTTCTCCCAAAACCCTTTGGACTTTGTGACAAGTCCAGGGTACCTAATCCCCCATACTCCAAGAGCAGAGTTGCCTTGTTCAGCCAAACAGAAGATTCTGTTACGCCCTTTAAGAATACCTTTAAAAATACCTTACATTGGCCGGGCATGGTGGCTCATGCCTGTAATCCCAGCACGTTGGGAGGCTGAGGCGGGCAGATCACAAGGTCCGGAGATTGAGACCATCCTGGCTAATACGGTGAAACCCTGTCTCTACTAAAAAAATGCAAAAAATTAGCCGGGTGTGGTGGTGGGCACCTGTAGTCCCAGCTACTCGGGAGGCTGAGGCAGGAGAATGGTGTGAACCCGGGAGGCGGAGCTTGTAGTGAGCCGAGATCGTGCCACTGCAGTCCAGCCTGGATGACAGAGCAAGACTCTGTCTCAAATAAAAAACAAACAAACAAACAAACAAAAACCTTACATTATGCACACGAGGGAGTGTCATGCAAATGACTTTTCTGAACAAAGATCTACTCCAAAATTGTTTATTGTATCCACCTGCACAGTGAATTACTGACAATTCCTCTTGCTAAAAAGAATTTTCTTGGGAACCCTGTTACACATTTCAGTCCTTAATTGATAAATTTGGAAGGATGCTGATTTTTTAAGTCTGAAATGACAACCATATTCTTCCTTGAGGAAACACAATGGTAATTTGGTGCCATGTTATTTAATCATAACCTGATATAGTGAATGTCCTCAAGATCTACTTTCTTGTGACAGGAAATCATTTTCCTTAGTTTACAGCTGGGCTTGGCCAATGAAAGGCACCTGTGGACCCCTCCTCCAGTACAATGGCCCTGTCAGTAGAGCCACCCCCTGCCTAGATTCCAGAGGCAATGGCTTCCTGCTTTTGCTACCTCCAGAGACTGCGCTATCCCTTGTTGGTTTTCTGAATCCTACCTGGGCCTTGAAAAAAGCCCCCTCTCTAGACAATCCTCACATTTCCAAGTTTTCACGTGCCATCTATTTTCTGCTGGAACCACAACTGACACATCAGGAATAAGATTAGCCAGGTGTGGTGGTGGGTGCCTATAATTCCAGCTACTTGGGAGGTTGAGGCAGGAGAATCGCTTGAACCTGGGAGGCGGAGGTTGCAGTGAGCCAAGATCATGCCATTGCACTCCAGCCTGGGTGACAAGAGTGAAATCATCTCAGAAAAAAAATTTTTTTAATAAAAAATATAATAATCTTTATTATTTAAGCAAACTATGCTTCTGCTTACAGTGACTGTGTATACAAAATGCTCCTCCGTGGCCAAATCGAAGAGGATTCTCAACCATAGATATATCCCTGGGCCGGAACTTAAAAGTGGTCCCTCTTTTAATACTGAGGTTGTCCCTGTTGAAACTCAGGTGAATTCTTTCTATAGCAACACCTGGCAGCTCTGGGCCAATTGCAAATTGATTTTCAGTCAATTGGTCTTTCAGTATATTGGTCATTTGGTGAAATGATTTTGGGAAATTGACTTTTAGGCAACTGGCCTGCTTCCACACACAAATACCACTCCTCCTCCCACCCCCAGCCCACACATTCATTCCCTTGTTGTTTTGATCTTGAACTTATGTCTCTTCCACTACTTTGTAGGATTCTTTAAGAGTAAACACCATGTGCTATTCATCTTTGTATTTTCCCCACTCCTCTCCAAGGGCCAGATACAGTGTTTTGTACTAATAGCTGCTCAGTAAATGTTTGTGAAAGAGGGTGAACAAAGTACACAGTGAAAGGCCAGAGCAGACAGGCTCCAGCAGAGACAGACAAACTTCCACACACCGGGAGGGCCTCTGTCTCAGCATGAAACTGTCACTGAGAAAGAAAAGAAAGAGGGAGTGAAAAAAAATGGACAGAAGGAAGTTTTCAGAAGAGAAAGATGGAAAAAAAGAGGGAAAGAAAGTTAAGGAATGGGAAAGAAAGAGGAAAATATCTTTATATAAATCTACCTTAAGTAAATATTTATGTGTGTGTGTGTGTGTGTGTGTGTGTGTATAAAATCAATGACATGGGCAAATAAACAGCTGGAAGGATTTTGTCACATGACATTTTGATTGTCTTTAATAAAGCCTTTTCAAAAATTGCGGCCAGGCCTGGTGGTTCACACCTGTAATCCTGGCACTTTGGGAAACTGAGGAAGGAAGATCACTTGAACCCAGGAGCTTGAGACCAGCCTAGGCAACATAGTGAGACACCATCACTACAAAAAATAAAAAAGTTAACTGGGCAAGGTAGTATGTACCTGTAGTCCCAACTACTGGGGAGGCCAAGGTGGGAGGATCACTTGAGCCTGGGAGGTTGAGGCTACAGTGAGTTGTGTGATGGCATCATTGCACTCCAGCCTGGACAACAGAGCAAGACTCTGTCTCAAAATAATAATAATAATTGCTAGTAATTACATAATGCCCAAAACATATCTTCCTTAACAGTGTTTTCAAATTTTGCTTCTCAAACTCTGCAGACTGTTTTAACTGCCCTACCCCCCACCAAAAAAAAAATATCTTGAAATTTAAAACTCAAACCAGAAGGCTGACCAGGATCCAAACATGAATATGGTGGATCTGTCTCTGATTTCTAAAATAGGACCAGAGAAATTACTTTCCCAGCAGTATTTTTAGCAGCGTGAGGGAAGGAGCTCCCTGTGCTGTTTCTTGGCAGGCTTGCAGTCTGTCACTCCTGAGCCTGTCCCCTGAATCCTCCCAGCTTCGGCACCAGTCAGCATCTTCACTCCTGCCTGGGTGCCACTCAAGTGGCGCTTACCGGTGTTCTTTTGTCTGAAGTGAGGACATTTAAGACAGCAAGAGATCAATCCCTGACAACCATGTTGAGAAAAGCAAACAAAATTCCAAATAACGAAACAGTTACAAAATTCCAGGAAAAGCCCAATTTAAAAAGAAGCTAATTCACATTTGTGTAGAGCAGGTGCTCTATATATTTAATCAGCCCCTTGGAGAAGCAGATATATGCTCCTCTTCCTATGGATAAGGAAAAGGAAGGCTTAGAAAGGTGACATAACTTGCCCAGTGTTCCTCTGCTAGTTAACAGTGAAAGCAGTGCTTCATTAAGAGCCAACATTTGGATAGTGCTCTACTGTTTATCACACGCTTCTGCTCCCTGACCCTTACAATGAACCACAAAGATAGACTGGATAGGTATTAATCATCAACCCCATTCCACAGAATGGAGAACTGCGTTTCAAAGAAAAGAAAGTAAATTCTCTAAGTTTGCACGGAGGGAAAGAAGCAGCACCAAGGTTCAAACCCATGATTTCTGACTTAGCGGAGCCAGTGCAGCCTGCTATCCATCACATCTTGCTTCTTAGGCAAGAGGGGCAGAGTGATTGGTATTTCTTAGGCAAGGAAGTAAACTGCCCAAGACAGGATGGCCTGGAGAGGATATCAGAGTAGTAAAACAGTGCATGACATTTCTATATCAAGATAATCCCTAGATACCTCTATGGCTCATCCTAGAAGAAAGGAGGGTGATGGGTGTACATAATTGACAACACCTGGCATTGGGTTTAGAGAAACCCCTTCCTTGCAAACTAAGACTCAGGAAAGCAGGGTGAGCATATGTCCCATTTCTCTGGGACAGTTGTGATCTAGGGTATTGTCTGGTATAATGAGGCAAAGTGCCCTCTTTCACTTCCAAAAGCATCCCGACTTGCACAATAATCATGTACTCACCTTCCATACAGGAATTTGTATTTCACAATTTGCTAAAGCAAAATGCTTCTCCTACCTTCTTTTACCCTCCAAAACATAACTGCAACACCAATTTTGATCAAACAGGTGTGTTACAACATACCAATGTCAGGAATCCACAAAAGCAGAGGCCAGACTGAGCCAACTCATGGGAAATTCGCACTTTCTCAAGATTTTCAAGTTAGTGAACAAAACAGTAAATCATGTTTTCTTCCGCAGGTGCATTGTAATTATGGCTCCCTAGAACTTTCCCAAAGCAAGTGTCATTACTAAGAGACTGCAAGAAAATATCTTACTGCTGGAGTTCTTTGTTGCTATAATAATGAGACTAGATCTGGAGCAAAAGATGCAACTTCACTTTTTCAAAATCACACATACTCAAGGTATAATCCAAGATGGCACCTTAAATTTTTACATGCTAAAATAAACAAAAAAACCACTAAGTGTCATTGTCCCTAGCATTACCACTACAAGAAGAATTCGCTAACCAAAGGTGTTGAATTACTTTCAGACATGGTAGCTTGTCCTTGGATGTTTTAAAATCAGCTCATGAGCTTATAGTTTCCTAAGCAGCCTTTCTGTCTTCTAATTGCCTTTAAAAGGACAAACGGTAAAAGCTGGAAGTCTTTCCAAGCCCCTGGGCTTCACCCCAGGACAACACACCACATACTTTCCTGCATCAGCATATCAGGTTGCCTGTGAGCAAGAGAGCCCTGCCTGCCATGAGTTCTTTAAGGATCCATTACTGTGTTTTCCAGGCACCTATGGGACTTCTCCCTCCAATTTCTCACTTACTGGCTTCAAAGACGACTCTCAATGTCATCGAGATTAAACCAGCTCTTAGGGAGGCAACATAATGCCGTAATTAAGAGCAGAGCATCAGAGCACAAGACTGGCATCCAAATCCCAATTCTGCCACTTACAAGCCATGTGACTTCGGTCAAGGTACTTACCTCCTCATCTGTAAAATGGGGATGACGGTGCATAACTCATAGAGTTTGTGTGGGGACTCGAGGATATAAAGTAGGAAAACCACACAATGCAATGCCTGGCACATAGTGTGTGCTCAAAAAATATTTTTTATCTCTTCTTAGAAATTGAACATGGCTTAAAATTTTAGTTTACTTGAAATCATCAGGGTAAGGGAGAGGGTGTTTTTCATAGAAAAAACATAGAATTTGGAACCAGAAAACCTAAATTCAAGTTCTGTTTTTCCCACCTACTGGCTTTCATGGCTTTGGATTAATTTCTTTGAACCTCAGTTCTCTTCCCCTATCCGGTAAAAAGATGATAAATATATTCCAGGTTGTTGAGAAGGCCCAATAAAATAACACAAGGAAAAGTGTTTTGTAAACTGAGCGAATGTTAATTATTAATCAAAATGGGACTAAGAACACATCACCTGCACAAATGAAAGGGCTAACAGGTAACTAAAATGCCCAGTTTCTTTTCTGGAGCACCACTTACTCAGGTCTCAGGACCAGGCTGGATGGCTATGGCGGGCCCCTCGCGTGTCCTGGGCCACCCTCGCTCCACTGCTCCGTCTTCCCACTCTGTTTCCTATTCTGGCAGCTTCCGTGCTGTGAACAAGGAGACTGCACCATGGGAGGTCTCTTCTGGCAACATGCAATATTCTGCTAACTCCCCTAAAAGGAAAACAGCGAGGAGAAGGGAAGGCTGGTGTATCATGCGTTTCTGTGCCCATAAACTCAAGTAAAAGGCAATATATTAAACTATAGGTAATCATCCTCCAAGAAAGCTTTGGCCATGTAAAGGAATAAGGCTAGAATGGGGCTCCTGTAGCTCACTGAGGAGTTGCTAGCCACGTGTTGTCATGTATATTTTGGGAGAGTGAAGACATTATTCAAGAGAAAAATGTGGAGGAGGAGGACAATTGTGACTATCCTTACGTGGAGCCTAAAAGCAGGGCCTAGGTAAGATGTCACATCTACGGTAATAAGCAAGCTATGACACATAAAAAGAAAAGTCATGCCAATGAAATGTTTAAAGCCAAATGCTTTTACATTTGTATTTAGAATTTACAAAGTCTTCTCGTGTTACTTATAGAAGCCTCAAGTAAAAGTATTTTCCTTCTTCTAAGCAACATCAGGTGCTTGTAGAGACTCACTCTTACATTTTTATATAAAAAAATACCAGGACATTTCTTAAACAGGAATCCAAAGCACAGAGAGATTAAGGCTGTGACAGGACCGTTAATGTGGCACTCACCAGAAGCATTCTAAGTTCTTCTCTGTGTCAAAGACAAATGAATACATAAATCTCTGTTTATTTCATAAAGAACTGTGTCAATTTCAGTTTACCTGCATTCTCCAGATAACTGGTATCATGGGATATGTTGATTCTCACCACTACCTCCTCTGAATCACCTTAAGAATAGCTAAAATATCCACCAATAACCTTACCAAGGGTTTTGGAAAATAAACATTATAAAAGTTTAGTAATAACAATTAGAAAAGCCACAGGAATTCTCAAATTTTCACAGGAAGTCCCAAATTCCCCAGGTTTCCCATTCATGTCTGTCCTCTACCTCATGCACAAGGCAGAAGAATTAATGCATCTTCTTGGGGCATCTTCTTCAGGATCTTGCTCTGTCACCCAGACTGGAATGCAGTAGTGTGTATCATGGCTCACTGCAGCCTCAACCTCCCAGGCTCAAGTGATCCTCCCACCTCAGTCTCCTACTAGCCAGGACTATAGACACACACCATCATGCTTGCATAATATATTTTACGTAAAGACAGGGTCCCCCTTTATTGGCCAGGCTGATCTCAAACTCCTGGCTTCAAGTGATCCTCCTGCCTCCACCTTCCAAAGTGCTGGGATTACAGGCATGAGCCACTGCATCCAGCTTATTTTTTAATGTCTCGTCTTCCACTGTATAATTGGTTGTCTTATTTTAAAATCTTCTACTTGTACCTCTACAGTTTCCAATAATTGGAAAGGAAGAACAAATGTAATATTTTCTTGTAGCAAAGCAATAGTTTTGGACCATTGCACCTTCTTCCTGTCTATTGCCATAACTTTCCATGGAATGCTCAGAGGGTCCCTGCAGGATCTCCTTAGGGCCTCTACTCCTCCCCTACTTACCAGCCCACACTGGACATCAAAAAGCCTCTCTGCCCTGTTAGCCTCCCAATGTGTGTTTCTGTCTTGTGTATTTCTGTGTTGGTAAAAGGAAAACTTTAGACAAAGTTTAATTGAGCAAAAAACAATTTGTAAATAGAGCAACACCCAGAACCAGAATAGGGCCAGAGCGACCTGGGGGCTATCTCGTGGTTGGATCACATTTATGGTCAGAAAAAGGAAAATGACATACAGAAAACAGAAGTAAGGTGCAGAAACAGCCAGACTGGCTACAGCTTGGAGTTTACCTTATTTGAACACGGCTTGAACAGTCTACTGCCTGTGATTGGTCTAAACTTGTCTGCTGTGATTAGCTCTTGTTACAAGAGTAGGTTGCTTGCACTTCTGTTTGCACATTGGGTTACAGTTCACTATGTATGGAGAAACCTCTTCAAACTTAAAATATGTAAGGAAGTGGCTTTAGGCTAAACTTAATTTAGCAGTGTTATAGTCTCATTATGATGGTAATCAGATTCCTACTGTTCTACTGCAGTTACCATATACAATACAAAACAACCTGGAGTTAGTGAAGGTTGCCATGTGTTCCCACTCCTCATCTCCTTATGTTTCTAGAGAGAAGAATATCAACTAGACTAACACAGCTGGTCACTTGTCCCACTCCTCAGTCCCCTTCCCATCCCCTGAAGAAGTGAATTGTCTGACGGACGAGCTCGGAAAAATGATCTGGGCATGCTCCTCTCAGCCCCTGGTTGGTTTCTCTGACAGCCAGCCTGGCTGCAGAGAGGTATGTTCCGGGCACTTTCCTAGGAGATGAGGGGTGTGTCCATGCAAGGAAGCCAGCTATCGCCCTCCTGTTCCACGTCTGGTGAAAATGCCTGTCTAAAGCAAGGGTGGCTCTTAGCATTAACCTTTCTCTTGCTTCCATCCTTCAGTTTTGAACTTAGGCAGGAAAAACAGAGGAGTTTATAATAAATTATAATCCCTTAAAACTCTAATACCAGAAATTTTATTTGCCCCTTCATACCATTATTTTCTCCATCTAAGCCAATGGGGCAGAACTTCTCTCAAATAGAAATTGCCATTTGTGTCACGTGGCTGTCTTGTCTCACATCGCACCCTTTATGATTCCTGCCTCTTCCCATTAAATGGAAGGAAATGAGCTGAAGAGTCCTCATTTGAATGTTCAATTTGGGAATTAGTAAATCTGTACAAAGATAAAGTTAATCCTACTGACTCTCATTGAGCACACAATTGGTGTTGTTTTTCCATTAATGGGATTGGAGTCATACTGAACCGTCCTACCCTCTCACTTTGGCTCCTAATGGTAAGCAGAGAGCCAGCCTTAACAGTGCAATGTAAGCAGTGGGAAAGAATGACACTAACACACGTGGAGTGGGGTGGGTGCACCCACCATCTTGCTGTCTTGAGCTCAGTGCCATAACAGTATGAGCAAATCATTTCAGGCAAAATAGTGAGTAAAAGGGATTGCTATCAACCAGGACGTAGAAATGATGAAGTACGTGAGCTCCGGAGCTGGCTGCTTTTGTTCAAATCCCGGCTCTCCACTTTGTGATTGCTAGGCTTCAGTCTTATTATTTTACCACTCTAACTCAATTTCTCATCTGTGAAATGAAGATAATAACAGTATCTAATTCACAGGTTTGATATAGAGCATAGAATTAAATCAATTAATACTTGTAAAGCATTAGAAAGTGCCAAGTGTCTACTAAACATTCAGTAGGATGTTGGCTGTCATTATTTGTGTTTGAATGTAATGGTACATACAAATATAGCAACAGGTAAGATTTCATGTAGTCATCGATGATAACAAAGAGCAAAATATTTGGTGTCTCCTAACAGCCTAATGTGGCTCTGTCCATAACAGAGCACTTTTTGAGATTAGCTATGCATTCAGCCTGCTTTTTTTTTTTTTTCATATACTTTAAGTTCTAGGATACATGTGCAGAACATGCAAGTTTGTTGCATAGGTAGACATGTGCCATGGTGGTTTGCTGCACCCAACAACCCATCATCTACATTAAGTATTTCTCCTAACCCTATCCCTCCCGCAGCCCCCCACCACCTGACAGAACCCAGTGTGTGAGTTCCCCTCCCAGCGTCCATGTGTTCTCATTGTTGAACTCCCACTTATGAATAAGAACATGCAGTGTGTGGTTTTTTGTTCCTGTGTTAGTTTGCTGAGAATGATGGTTTCCAGCTTCATCCATGTCACTGCAAAGGACATGAACTCATCCTTTTTTATGGCTGCATAGTATTCTATGGTGTATATGTGCCACATTTTCTTTATCCAGTCTATCATTGATGGACATTTGGGCTGGTTCCAAGCCATTGCTATTGTGAATAGTGCTGCAATAAACATACATGTGCATGTGTCTTTATAGTAGAATGATTTATAATCCTTTGGGTATATACTCAGTAATGGGATTGCTGGGTCAAATGGTATTTCTGGTTCTAAATCCTTGAAGAATCACCACACTGTCTTCCACAATGGTTGAACTAATTTACACTCCCACCAACAGTGTAAAAGCATTCCTATTTCTCCACATCCTCTCCAGCATCTGTTGCTTCCTGACTTTTTAATGATCGCCATTTTAACTGGCATGAGATGGTATCTCATTGTGGTTTTGATTTGCATTTCTCTAATGCCCAGTGATGATGAGCTATTTTTCTTATGTTTGTTGGCCACATAAATGTCTTCTTTTGAGAAGTGTCTGTTCATATCCTTTGCCCACTTTTTGATGGGTTTGTTTGTGTTTTTCCTGTAAATTTGTTTAAGTTCCTTGTAGATTCTGGATATTAGCCCTTTGTCAGATGAATAGACTGCAAAAATTTTCTCCCATTCTGTAAGTTGCCTGTTTCCTCTGATGATCGTTTCTTTTGCTGTGCAGAAGCTCTTTAGTTTAATTAATCCCATTTGTCAATTTTGACTTTTGTTGCAATTCCTTTTGCTGTTTTAGTCATGAAGTCTTTGTCCATGCCTATTTCCTGAATGGTGTTGCCTAGGTTTTCCTGTAGGGTTTTTATGGTTTTTAGGTCTAACATTTAAGTCTTTAATCCATCTTGAATTAATTTTTGTATAAGGTGTAGGGAAGTTTCAGCTTTATACATACGGCTAGCCAGTTTTCCCAGCACCATTTATTAAATAGGGAGTCCTTTCCCTACTGCTTGTTTTTGTCAGCTTTGTCAAAGATCAGATGGTTGTAGATGTGTGGTGTTATTTCTGAGACCTCTGTTCTGCTCCATTGGTCTATGTATCTGTTTTGGTACCAGTACCATGCTGTTTTGGTTACTGTAGCCTTGTAGTATAGTTTGAAGTCAGGCAGCGTGATGCCTCCAGCTTTGTTCTTTCTGCTTAGGATTGTCTTGGCTATCCAGGCTCTTTTTTGGTTCCATATGAGATGTAAAGTAATTTTTTCTAATTCTGTGAAGAAAGTCAGTGGTAGCTTGATGGAGATAGCATTGAATCTATTTGGGCAGTATGGCCATTTCACGATATTGATTCTTCCTATCCATGAGCATGGAATGTTTTTCCATTTGTTTGTGTCCTCTCTTATTTTCTTGGGCGGTGGTTTGTAGTTCTCCTTGAAGAGGTCCTTCACATCCCTTGTAAGTTGGATTCCTAGGTATTTTATTCTCTTTGAAGCAATTGTGAATGGGAGTTCACTCATGATTTGGCTCTCTGTCTATTATTGGTGTATAGGAATGCTTGTAATTTTTGCTCATTGATTTTGTATCCTGAGACTTTGCTGAAGTTGCTTATCAGCTTAAGGAGATTTTGGGCTGAGATGTTGGGGTTTTCTAAATATACAATCTTGTCATCTGCAAACAGAGACAATTTGACTTTCTCTCTTCCTATTTGAATACACTTTATTTCTTTCTTTTGCCTAATTGCCCTGGCCAGAACTTCCAATACTATGTTGAATAGGAGTGGTGAGAGAGGGCATTCTTGCCTTGTGTCAGTTTTCAAATGGAATGCTTCTAGCCTTTTCCCATTCAGTATGATATTGGCTAAGGGTTTGTCATAAATAGCTCTTATTATTTTGAGATATGTTCCATCAATACCTAGTTTATTGAGTGTTTTTAGCATGAAGGGTGTTGAATTTTATCAAGGTCCTCTTCTGCATCAGTTGAGATAATCATGTGTTTTTTGTCATTGGTTCTGTTTATGTGATGGGTTATGTTTTTTGATTTGCGTATGTTGAATCAGCCTTGCATCCCAGTGACGAAACAGACTTGATTGTGGTGGATAAGCTTTTTGATGTACTGCTGGATTGGTTTGCCAGTATTTTATTGAAGATTTTTGCATAGATGTTCATCAGGGATATTGGTGTGAAATTTCCTTTTTTTGTTGTGTATCTGCCAGGTTTTGGTATCAGGATGATGCTAGCCTCCTAAAATGAGTTAGGGAGGAGTCCTTCTTTTTTTATTGTTTGGAATAATTTCAGAAGGAATGGCACCAGCTCCTCTTTACACCTCTGGTAGAATTTGGCTGTGAATCCGTCTGGTCCTGGGTTTTTTTTTTTTTTTTGGTTGGTAGGCTATTAATTACTGCCTCAATTTCAGAACTTGTTATTGGTCTATTCAGGGATTCAACTTCTTCCTGGTTTAGTCTTGGGAGGGTGTATGTGTCCAGGAATTTATCCATTTCTTCTAGGTTTTTTAGTTTATTTGCGTAGAGGTGTTTATAGTATTCTCTGATGGTAGTTTGTATTTCTGTGGAATCAGTGGTGATATTCCATTTATCATATTTTATTGTGTCTATTTAATTCTTCTCTCTTTTCTTATTAGTCTGGCTAGCAGTCTATCTATTTTGTCAATCTTTTCAAAAAACCAGCTCTTGGGTTCACTGATTTTTAGACGGGTTTTTCATGTCTCTATCTCCTTCAGTTCTGCTTTGATCTTAGTTATTTCTTGTCTTCTGCTAGCTTTTGAATTTGTTTGCTCTTGCTTCTCTAGTTCTTTTAATTGTGATGTTACGTGTCAATTTTAGATCTTTCCCACTATCTGATGTGGGCATTTAGTGCTATAAATTTGCCTCTTAACACTGCTTTAGCTGTGTCCCAGAAATTCTGGTATGCTGTGTTTTTGTTCTCATTAGTTTCAAAGAACTTATTTATTTCTGCCTTAATTTCTTTATTTACCCAATAGTCATTCAGGAGCCGGTTGTTCAGTTTCCATGTAGTTGTGTGGTTTTGAGTGAGTTTCTTAACCCTGAGTTCTAATTTGATCACACTGTAGTCTGAGAGACTGTTTGTTATGATTTCTGTTCTTTTGCCTTTGCTGAGGAGTGTTTTACTTCCAATTATGTGGTCAATTTTATAATAAGTGCTATGTGGTGCTGAGAATAATGTATATTCTGTTGATTTGGCGTGGAGGGTTCTGTAGATGTCTATTAGGTCCACTTGGTCCAGAGCTGAGTTCAACTCCTGAATATCCTTATTAATTTTCTGTCTCACTGATCTGTCTAATATTGACAGTGAGGTGTTAAAGTCTCCCACTATTATTGTGTGGGAGTTTAAGTCTCTTTGTAGGTCTCTAAGAAATTGCTTTATGAATCTGGGTGCTCCTGTATTGAGTGCATATATATTTAGGATAGTTAGCTCTTCTTGTTGCATTGATCCCTTTACCATTATGTAATGCTCTTGTTTGCCTTTTTTGATCTTTGTTGGTTTAAAGTCTGTTTTATCAGAGACTAGGATTACAACTCCTGCTCTTGTTTTCCATTTGCTTGGTAAATATTCCTCCATCCCTCTATTTTGAGCCTATCTGTGTCTTTGCTTGTGAGATGGGTCTCCTGAATACAGCACACCTGTGGGTCTTGACTCTATCCAGTTTGCCAGTCTGTGTCTTTTAATTGGGGCATTTAGCTTATTTACATTTAAGGTTAATATTGTTATGTGTAAATTTGATCCTGGCATGATGCCAGCTGGTTATTGTGCAGATTAGTTGATGCAGTTTATTCATAGTTTCATTGGTCTTTATATTTTGGTATGTTTTTGCAGTGGCTGGTACTGGGTTTTCCTTTCCATATTTAGTGCTTCCTTCAGGAGCTCTTGTAAGGCAGGCCTAGTGGTGACAAAATCTCTCAGCATTTGCTTGTGTGTAAAGGATTTTATTTCTCCTTCACTTATGAAGCTTAGTTTGGCTGGATACGAAATTCTGGGTTGAAAATTTGTTCCTTTAAGAGTGTCAAATATTGGCCCCCACCCTCTTCTGGCTGAGAGGGTTTCTGCAGAGAGACCTGCTGTTAGTCTGATGGGCTTCCCTTTTGGGTAACCTGGCCTTTCTCTCTGGCTGCCCTTAACATTTTTCCTTCATTTCAACCTTGGTGAATCTGATGATTATGTGTCTTGGAGGTGTTCTTCTCGAGGAGTATCTTTGTGGTGTTCTCTGTATTTCCTGAATTTGAATGTTGGTCTGCCTTGCTAGGTTGGGGAAGTTCTCCTGGATAATATCCTGAAGAGTGTTTTCCAGCTTGGTTCCATTCTCCCCATCACTTTCACGTACACCAGTCAAATGTAGGTTTGGCCTTTTCACATAGCCCCATATTTCTTGGAGGCTCTGTTTGTTCCTTTTCATTGTTTTTTCTCTAATCTTGTCTTCACACTTTATTTCATTAAGTTGATCTTCAATCTTGGATATCCTTTCTTCTGCTTGATCGATTCAGCTATTGATACTGTGTATGCTTCACCTAGTTCTCATGCTGTGTTTTTCAGCTCCACCAGGTCATTTATGTTCTTCTCTAAACTGGTTATTCTAGTTAGCAATTCCTCTAACCTTTTTTCAAGTTTCTTAGCTTCCTTGCATTGGGTTAGAACCTACTCCTTTAGCTCAGAAGAGTTTGTTATTACCCACATTCTGAAGGCTACTTCTGTCAATTCATCAAACTCGTTCTCCGTCTAGTTTTGTTCCCCTGCTGGCAAAGAGTTGTGATCCTTTGGAGGAGAAGAGCCATTCTGGTTTTTGGAATATTCAGCCTTTTTGCGCTAGTTTTTCCTCATCTTCATGGATTTATCTACTTTTGGTCTTTGATGTTGGTGACCTTCAGATGGGGTTTTTGTGTGGATGTCCTTTTTGTTAATGTTGATGCTATTTGTTTCTTTTTGTTAGTTTTCCTTCTAACAGTCAGGCCCCTGTGCTGCAGGTCTGCTGGAGTTTGCTGGAGGTCCACTCCAGACCCTGTTTGCCTGGGTATCACCAGTGGAGGCTGCAGAACAGCAAAGATTGATGCCTGTTCCTTCCTCTGAAAGCTTTGTCCCAGATAGCCACTCACCAGATGACAGCCAGAGCTCTCCTGTGTGAAGTGTCTGTCGATCCCTGCTTGGAAATGTCTCCCCGTTAGGAGGAATGGGGGTCAGGGACCCACTTGAGGGGGCAGTCTGTCCTTTAGCAGAGCTCAAGCCCTGTGCTGGGAGATTCACTGCTCTCTTCAGAGCCAGCAGGCGGGAATATTTAAGTCTGCTGAAGCTGCGACCACAGCCGCCCTTTCCCCCAGGTGTTCTGTCCCAGGGAAATGGGAGTTTTATCTATAAGCCCCTGACTAGGGCTGCTGCCTTTCTTTCGGAGATGCCCTGCCCAGAGAGGAGGAATCTAGAGAGGCAGTTTGGCTTCAGCAGCTTTGCCAAGCTGTGGTGGGCTCCACCCAGTTCAAACTTCCATGCAGCTTTGTTTACACTGTGAGGGGAAAACAGTCTATTCAAGCCTCAGTTGTGGTGGACGCTCCTCCCACTACCAAGCTCGATAGTCCTAGATCAAGCTCAGGCTGCTGTGCTGGCAGCGAGAATGGCAAGCCAGTGGATCTTAGCTTGCTGGGTTCTGTGGGGATGGGATCTGCTGAGCTAGACCACTTGACTCCCTGGCTTCAGCCCCCTTTCCAGGGGAGTGAATGGTTCTGTCTCACTGGCATTCCAAGAGCCACTAGGGTATGAAAAAAAAACTCCTGCAGCTAGCTCAGTGTCTGTCCAAACAGCCACCAGTTTTGTGCTTGAAACCCAGGGCCCTGGTGGTGTAGGCACCTGAAGGAATCTCCTGGTCTATGGGTTGTGAAGACTGTGAGAAAACGTAGTATCTGGGCTGGAGTGCACTGTTCCTCACGGCACAGTCCCTCACAGCTTCCCTTGGCTAGGGGAGGAAGTTCCTTGACCCCTTGCACTTCCTGGATGAGGTGATGCCCCACCCTGCTTCAGCTTGCCCTCCATGGGCTGCACCCACTGTCTAACCAGTCCCAATGAGATCAGCCAGGTACCTCAGTAGGAAATGCAGAAATCACCTGCCTTCTGCATTGATCTCGCTAAGAGCTGCAGACTGGAGCTGTTCCTATTTGGCCATCTCACTCAGCCTGCTTCTTTTTAATCTAAACTATGTGCATCTAATATAAATTGTAGGTGATTGGTGAATTATGTGCTACATGCTAGTTGAGCCCAGATGATGACTTAGAAACACTTGGAATTTGCTGTTGTTGTCAGTCTCTCCATGCATTGCCTGCTGCATAATCTGCTCATCCACCTCCACATCATGCCAGATCTGTAGGCAACATCTTGCCTGTAGCTTTGGTTAGCAGCCTCCAGGTGGGATATCTCAGAGGCTAGCCAAAAATAGGTGTGGCAAGTAGAACAAGGGAGAATTTGGCAAGAGGATGTCAGGGCCAAAGTCATCACCTCAAATTCCGTAAGTGGCACAGAAAAGCAGCAAGGTAAGCTCTGATCAGTTTTCACAAGAAGGATTCTGGTAAGAAAATGAACTGAATTTCCACAGACTCAGTCAGAATTTGGGTTTCATCTTTTTTGGGGGGGGGGGGTTCTATACACAATAGATTCCATCCCTTAATTGTTATGTATTGCTTCAACTGCAAGAAACATGCTATGTTCTGTTTTTATGGTAATTGATGGTCTTGTTCAGAAAATGTAAAAGTCCACCAGTTGCAGAACCAATTGTTCAATTAAGTTGTCACTGTATTTCCCAGGCCAGGTGGCTCAGTTGTAATACAGGCAGCATCTTTCTTGCTCTCACAGTAGGAGCTTGTTTTTGCTTCCACAACTACCCACCTCACATACTGTAACTGAAGATTCCATGTCACCGTTGAAAGGAAGAATATAATTTCAGTTCATTTATTCCTGCAGAATTCTGCAGTGAGTTACAAATCCAATATTTAATAGAGATCAGAATATAACTAAGTTTTTAATAAATGCATCTGCATATGTGGTGAAAGCTAAGCAGCTGCTTTCAACTCAAGGTTTAGGAGGAAGATAAAAGGCATTAGAAAATGCAGGGAAACTTGTGTACATGGAAAATGAAATTCATGGCTGTAAGCCCAAGGAGCTGACCACTTGATTTACCAGGCAGCTTCTGCCAAAGAGTCTCCCCTGAGAATCCGTGGTACACAAGTGGATATATCTCTCTGGATCCCAAGGTAGTAGCTAAGAGAGAACTTCTTAAACTTCAGGTGATAAGGCAGCTAAAGAACTTTGCAAAACTCCTGACTCCAAGCCTTCTAGAAACAGTTAGAGAATTTCAGTGTTATGACATAGACTCCACCAATAAGAGCAGACAGGGCAGAAGGTAGTTGCTCTACTTCGATAAGTAGAGTTTTAAATACGTACAGCTTTAATTATAATTTGTATTGGACATTGATTCTAACTCTTTGCAATAATGAATTGAAGAAAGTTTTAGTGAAATAAAGAGAAATGTCTGTGATCAATTCTAACCAGATTGTTTTATTCTTTAATTATCAAGGTCTATGTCCACATCACAGTTCTGATTCTAACAGAACCAGCTTTCTAAGCCTTTGACCCCTTTCTTTAAAATCTGCCAAGGCAATTCTAGCATGTCTACCTCATTCACTGGATGCCACTGTTGTTTCCAAGCTTCAAGGGGCCATCCCATCAGCATATGAGGAATGGCTCTGAGTGTCCTTGCCAATATATAAAATTCTGCCCCATATCAAACACTATCCTATTATTTTTATATTCTGCCTTCCTTGATCCAAATTCTCAAGATCAATTTCCAGTATTACTCTTCCTGTTCTTGCTGGTTATATGAGCCCTATCCTGTAGTTCTTTTGATGAATAATCCTTTTCTTTTCATGATAGGGAAAGTGTCCCCCCTTGGGCCATGCTGGAACATGATCCTAGTCATTGGTTTAGAAAAAATGACAGGGGGCAGATCTTGAGAAAGATGAATACCATATTGTGGAGCCTCCATTTACATGGTCTCCAGATGGTGTAGGTTGAATCGTATCCCCTCGAAAGTATAAAGCCCTAACTACCAATATCTGTGAATGTGACCTTTTTTGGAAATAAGGTTTTTGTAGAGGTGATCAACTTAAATGAGGTCATACTGGACTAGAGTGAGCCTTAATCCGATAGGACTAGTGTCCTTAGAAGAAGTGTAGAAGACACATGGACACAGGGGAAAACGCCATGTGAAGACAGAAGCAAAGAATGGAGTGAGGCACCTACAAGCCAAGGGATGCCAAGGGGTACTGGCACCAGAAGCTGGGAGAGAGAGAGGCAAGGAACATATTCTCCCTCAGAGCCTCCAAGAAGGAACCAACACTGCCAACACCTTAATTTCAGACTTCTTGCTTCCAGAACTATGAAAGAATACATTTCTGTTGTTTTAAGCCATGCACTTTGTGATAACTTGTGACAGCAGCTCTAGGAAATGAATACATTGATCAATAGGAGGCTGCTCTTTTCCATTTCTGCAAGCCCAGAGCAGTTAGGGGGACCTTGGGGCTTATATCCAAATACCCTCATCCCATATCTTAGTGATTGACCCTTTCCTTACCAGGGCCTTTATTTTAGCACAGGAGACTTTCTAGGATTGTTGGTTCAGCCTCCTTTGTTACTTTATCACACTTACAACCAAAACTTTTGCCTGATTTTCAGCACAGCCTGCCCTCTTGCTTCAGGACATCAGGACACACCAAAACTGCTGCCTTAAAGGCCTTCTAGTTTTTACGCTGTGCCCTGAGTTGATAGTTGGCTAGTCTCGGCATGTCATTTTCTTCCTTCAGGGTTTCTACGGCCATTAACACCAGCCAACTGTTCTACAGCCCATTAATCACCATGGACCACATCTTTCAAGCACTAGAACTATTAGATAAGCCTATGCCTCCCCTTCTCTCTGCACTCTACCCAATCCACCCCAGGTAACAGTTTTAATACGTTTGAGCTATAAGACACCAAGGGCTATCAGTACTGTTGCAGGTGTGACTGGCTAGGGCTGGTGACACAAGTGGTAAAAGAATTTACCAAGACAGTTGTAGGTAAAGAAAGGCAGATTTATTAGAGAAAGTACAAAGATACATTGCAAGAATGCAATGGGCAGCACAGCAGAGAAGATGCTATCTGCAAAGAGACAGGGGCTGGAGGGAAGTTTTATATGGCTATGCTGGAGGGGCTACATGTGGAAAGAGGTATGTGGGAACAGAATGTTGTGCAGCCAGGTTGTTTATAGTTAGCCATTTTTCACAATAATTTTTCTCCACCACCTGGGGCTTCTCCCTGGTTGTCGCTTACTTATCTTATCAGGACTCCACAAGTGCCACATGAACCCCAGCAATGAAGCCCTTGTTGCCCACTGGCCAGCCAGAGGATGACCCAACATTAGGATCTGATCCTAAGGATCTGCCCACTAGGACCTCTCCTGATACCAGCTGCCTTACATTACGGTCTCCTGGAAGGATAGCCTGATACATGGATTGGGTAGAAGAACCTTATTTGGGAAGTGATCCCAGAAAGCCTCATAAGGGAGGAAGAAACTAGACTGAGCTTATCCAACCTGCAGCCCGGAACAGCTTTGAATGTGGCCCAATGCAAATTTGTAAACTGTCTTAAAACATTATTAGATTTTTTTGTGATTTTTTTCTTTTTTTAGTTCATCAGCTATCATTAACATTAGTGTATTTTATGTGTGGCCCAAGACAATTCTTCTTGCAATGTGGCTCAGGGAAGCCAAGAGATTGGGACACCCCTCATACTAGACAGAGAAAGAAAGGAAACTAAAATAAGTGTGTCAGTGAGCTGACTATCACTGTGAACAAGTGGGGCTCAATCCCACTGGGGAACTCTGGGAAACTTCATAGAACTGGGTGTTCCCAGCTGTGGCTCAGGAAAGCTGGGCTATTTATCCACCAGTTCCCATCTATCCCTGATCCAGGACTGCTCCTAGGAGTGTTAACTCTCCAGCACTACTTGCCTGCCCTGTGCATGGGCCAAGTATGTTCCTGTAGCCATCCACAGAGAGCTGCAGGTACTTGCAGTAAGAAGCAGTTGCCTTTTCAGGAACAGTGAGGCCAGTGGAACATGGATCACAATTGCTACACCCCCGATATAACAAACACAGGGACAATGAAACAACACACTCTGGCTCTTAGAATGAGAACCAGAATGATAGAATGCTAGCCAAAAAAAATCAAACAATCACATAGAAGTCATCTACTGTATTATTATTTCTTGGATAACACCATGAAAAGTCTACCTGTCACTCCCAGACTCAAACGCAGTATTCTAGGGTTTGTTATTTAACTATTTCTAGTAAGGATTACATTCTCATGTAGGGAATGCTGCCGTTTGGAAGCAAATAATTTACATGCTCTCTATACAATATGTTATGGTTGGTCTTGAAATAAAGAAAATACAAACTATAGTATCAATTTAGTTGCTTAGCATTTAAAAAAAAAACAGAATTTTTACCCTACTCTGTGCTTCATGCCAAAGAGAGCCAGGTCTAGACTTTCAAATATGAGGCCATAATGCCAGTCAGAATGTCATGCATCAGTGTGCCTGGGCCCCTCATGGCATAGTACCAAGGCGAGACAGAGAGGGCTGTGGTCAACAGCAACTGTCAGAAGAAGTTCCCATGCCTTCGTATTTAGCAGAAAATGCACTAAGTGTTTTCCACGATGAACAGACTCTTAGCATATTCATTTGGGCCACATGAAATTGCTGATCTTCTAGGATTTTTTAACTGCAAAAATTGCAAATTTCATATTTTGCAAAAATTGCACATTTCATAGACTAGTAACTCCCGAATCAAGTTACATTAGCTTTCCTGGACTTAGCATAGGTTTAAAAATAATGAGTGACAACTGAGAATTTTTTAAGTTAGAGGAAATTTCTGATTTTAAAATGACATAATAAAGCTGGCACTACCCCCTTCTTCTCTTAGAAACCACCCCAAAACAAAGATAAAAGAAAACACAAATAAAACCACATCTTTGATGAAACTAGAAGACATATGTGAGCCCCAACATACAAAATATGAGGAGGAGCAGCCAAAGGCAGTGAGTGTCAAAGAGGGTGCAGGAAGATGCTGCAAGAGAATGCCTGTGTGGCAAATCTCAGCAAAAGTGGCAAAGCACAGACTGCAAAGTAGGCGATATATACTAGTGGGAAAAACCAATAATTCCTGATTTAGAATAAGCTCTGATGATCAGAATAGCACCAAGGAGAAGCAAGGAAGGCAAAGCTAAATGATAAACTAATAATCATGCCATATTTGTAGGAAGCAGTGTGCCCATGAGGCAGGGTAGATACAGTCGCTCATTCTTTTTGGCTGAAAGGAAGTAAGGATTATGTTACTTCCATCTCATGGAAGTAATACTACATACTATTCCATCTCATAAGAAATGTTACTGTGAAAGAAAGAATTCTTGGCAGCCTAAACATGACCTGACCACAACCTCTTTCCAAATACATACATACATACACACACACACACACACACACTCACATACACACATTCCAGCAAATAGTGGATCCAAGAAGATCTCATCTCATTCAAAGAAGAAGGATCAAAAAGGATCCAGCTCTAACAATATAATTTACAAAGGTATTTACTGCAGCATTGTTTGTAAAGGCAAAATATTAGGAAAAAACTAAATATCCATCAATAGGCAGCTAGCCAAATAAACCATATTACAACCAAACAATAGATTTCTATTTATATTTTTAAAAGAATGAGGTAGCTGTATACATACTAATATAGAACAATCTCTATATTACCCAGAATAGCTTAGGTTATACTGCAATAACAAACAATCTGAATACTTTAGTAGCTTAAGCCAACAAAACTATTTTTCTATTGTGGAATAGGAGGATGCCCTGCACCATGTTATCCTCACTCAGGAACCTGGATTCATCCTCCAGAAATTCATAACCATAGTGCAGGTGCATCTATGAGGGAAAAAGAAAATTATGCACCTACTCTTAAATTCTTCTACCTAGAAGTGCCACGTGTCACTTCTGGGTACATTTCATTCATTCAAAGAACTCATATGGCCACCTAACTGCAATGGGTTAGAAGTGCTTTCCTACTGAATTAGGCAAGAGGAGAAGTGGAAATATGGGTGAGCAGCAATGATGTTTACCACCATCATCTCCAAGAGATATTATTAAGTGAAGGGGAAAAGCAGGCCTTATTTTTCATGTTAAAAACATATTATATATATTTTCTATTTCTGATATGCATTGAATAATTCTGGAGGAATAAACTGATAACAAGGAAATAACCCCAAGTAAGCATAGAAAGACTGGGTAGTTTAATTTTCTGGAAGGCTTAATAATTGTATGTGATTTTGTATGTTAAATATTTCATACTATGATGCATGTATCATTCAAACATATATTTTAAAACAAAAATGAAAGGCATATGCCCTTTGATCTTAAACATAAAGGGTAACATAAGGAGTATATGTAAATTTGCCTCCCCTTGAATAAAAAGATATAACAGTTTTGTAGAAGAAATATTTGCACCCAGAAGAGATTTTATTTAACTATTTAAATTTGTAAAAACTTGGTATGGCTTATAAATGAAATTTTCAAATTTTAAACTCAGAGACAAAGACAATAGATCTTAGTCTGAAACGACTTGATAGTGATCACCGTCTGTGAACAAGACTAGATCACCACACAATACAGCTATCCATTTTCAGCCAGAACAAGGAGAGCCTTGGATTCTTGATTACAGCATTCTGGATAGGACATAAATCCATCATCTGTCCATCAAAGAAAGCTTAACTATTTTCTAAAAGCAGCAGGGACTATATCAGGGAGAGAGGGATGTTCTTTCCTTATATAAACTGCATGTCTAGTACATTTCCCCAGCTGGGGATCATTTTTAATGTAAACGTCATCTTGTTATGGAACTCCTTGTTCTTTCAAAGTTCCTTAAATCACTAATTAGTTACGCTACATTAATAGCAACTTTTAGGCTCTGTATCTTTCCACACTGATAGTCCTTTTACAGGGGGAAAAAGACCAGCTGGAAGTCAAGGAAGACAGATACTTTTCCAGGCACTTGCATACCACCCACTACCCAACGTGATGGCCTCATGCCACACTTCCAATTCCAGAAGTACAAGAGCTCACAGTTCAAATAAACCACTCCCAAGTGCCTCAGTCTGGAACTATCACCACTGAGAAGTTGAAATAAAGCACTCCTAAGTGACTGTAGGCAGGACCCACGATGATCTCTCTGTGTACTGAGGCTGGGCTGGAGAGCTACTAAATGTTAACAAAGCTCCTCTCCAGCCACTATGTGCCTCCCTCAAAAGGCTACCAGTTTATGTGTGCCACAGCAAGCCTAGGATGAAGGTAGATCTTATAATTGCCTGCACATAAAAAAGAAAATTCAAAGACAGAAGGAATGAAAGGCGAAATGAGAAGAAGGAAAATGTTTTCTTCTTGTAGAATTGGCCTACAATAAAATGGTGCAAAATAATTGTGGATTCCTGGGAAGCTATATGTGAGATCAGCATCTCTACTACCAGGTCTCCTGCTTCCAGACCAGGATGGATTTTAGTCCTTCAAAGGAATAGGACACTAATGAGGAAAGGGCCTAACTCTCATAAACCCCCAGAAAACCAAGGTTCAAGGGGACCTCCAACTAAGCCCAAAGAAAGTAACCCCCTAATCAGAGTAACCAGTTTTGGAAACTTGTTCAATTCTGTGTCCTTTTATTGTTTTTCGCATAGCCAGGAGAATAATTAAAAATTAATTAATTTTATAAGATTCTACATAAATGCATTCATTAATATTAAAAAAGTGTTTGGTCAGATCATCTGTCCAGATTACTATTTAGGCAACAGGCACTTTATCTTCATTTATACAGACAGTATTTTTGACTACCTACTACATGCCAGGCACTATGCTAGATACTAGGAATACAAAATTAAGAAAGCCACTGTCCTTGTGGCTCAGAGATTTGCAGTTAGACATATGACAAATAACTCAATAGCTGCATTGATCAGATTGCTTGACATATCATGAGAACTCAGTAAGTGTTTGTTGAAAAAATAAGTTTCAAATAAATGAATGACGGAGATTTGTAAAAAAGAGAATGCCAAAGTCTGAACTAGGTCAGGGAGACATCCCAGAGGAGATGATGTATGAACTAAGAGTTCATGGATAAATAAGAATTCTCCAGGAAGATGGGCAAGTGGGGAGGTAAGCCTGCCAGACAGAAGCAACTGTGCATGGGAAAGCACAGAATTATAGAACACGGCACATTCATGGAACTGCAGGCAGATCGGCGCGGTAGCAAGGGCTCCTGTGGGGAGTGATAAAAGATGAACCTTGAAAGGTAGGTAGAGCCCAGATCACAAAACAGTCTGAGGAGCTTAGCACTTCTGCTGGAAGCAATGAGGTAGGAAGGATGTAAGCTGAGGAATAACATGATCATGGTTGTGGTTTGGAAAAAAAATCTCCTTAGCAGCCATCTGGAGAATGAAATGCAGTTCATCAAAAGTAGACACAGGGATGAGAGGTGAAGTAAGGCAAGGGAAAGAGGAAAAGGTAAGAAACTCTTTAAAAGATGGAATCAACAGGGCAGCCTTGGTGAGTAACGGAATCTGGAAAGAAAGGCAGAGGAAGGAGGTAGAAAAGACACCTCTAAAGATTCCAGTTTGGGTGACTCTGAAATACATGGAGAGTGTCTGATCTGGGAGGCAGTAAGTGTGGAGAAACAGATCAGGAAGGAGATATAGCTCATAAGGGGTTGGGTGGCAGGGTGGTAATTGACCTTGAGTTAGTCAGAACCAGATAGAAAAATCCAGTAGGCAATGGGAACAGGTTATGAAGCCAGGAGAGATAGCCCAGAAGATCAACTTTGAGAATCATAAATACCAAGAACTTCTGGTAATCCGAAGGTACAAGCCAATGTCGGCCAGGCGCTCACGCCTGTAATCTCAGCACTTTGGGAGGCCAAGGCAAGCACATCACTTGAGGGCAAGAGTTTGAGACCAACCTGGCCAACATGGTGAAACCTTGTCTCTACTAAAAATAATATAAATATTAGCCAGGCATGGTGGCACATGCCTGTAGTACCAGCTACTCACGAGGCTGAGGCAGGAGAATTGCTTAAACCTGGGAGGCGGAGGTCACAGTGACTCAAGATTGCACCACTGCACTCCAGGCTGGGTGACAAAGCAAGACTCTTTCTCAAAAAAAAAAAAAGAAAAAACAAAACCAATGTCATAATTACTCTAAGAGCATATCACATTGACTGAGTACTAACAATGTGTTTGGTGCTGTGCTTAGTGCTTTCCATGGATTACTTCATTTAATTTGCATAGCAGCTCTTCACAGCAGATATAACTATGATTCCCTTCCTTTTTTTTGATGAGCCACTGAGACATGCAGAGATTACATCATCTGGCCCAGGTCTTACAGCGAGTAAGCCACGGCTGGAGCTGAGACACTGCCTTCTCCCTAGAGCACAGAGGATCTAAATAGGAGGCCACATACAGAGGCTAATCCAAAATGTGTTTTGCTTGGCCAGCACGGTATTTTCATAAATTAGATGTCAATGATTTAGACCACAGCCTGCATCCCACCCCCCAAGTTCACCACTCTCCTCAGCATGCCAGACTGTCTCATGCCCACCTACTGTGGCGCAGGGATGAACGCGTGTCATGAATGTGTCTTGTTTCTCCTTCGCGACTCTTCCCAAACAGCTGTGAGCTCCTTCAGGGTTTGCCTCAGCTGCAGAGAGCTGCCTCCCCAAGTCACACCCTTCCGGGCAGCCCACATCCAGTGACCAATGAAGCAGGAAAAGAGAATAAAGGCCAGGCCATCTGGGCCCAACACAGGGCGACTCTGATGGGCCATTCCAATGTCAAAGCCCTGGTGAGATCAGCGGAAGCTGGCAGGCACGCATTGCAACTCATTTTCTCCTTCTGCCCAAGCCTGTTTTCCTCCACAGGTGCTATTCTCCAGGGCACTTCCCAATAAACTCTCTGCTCACGAAACTTCATCCCAGAGCCTGCTTCCTGGAAAACCAGCCCGTGACACATAACTTGGCTGTTCCTGGAACACGGTGAATTTTGACGTCTACAAAAGAATCAAGTATTGCCCTACAAGTTTCCAAATCTTTAAGACTTGGTGCACCTTAATATATAAACCAAAAAAGCTGAGTGTGTCCCAGCTGCCAGTGACCAAAATTGACTCAGATTCCTGTCCAGACAAAAAAACCCACTGGGAACTCCATCTGGGATTGCTCCAAACATGACTCCCACCTGCTTTTCCTAAGTCTTTATATTTGAATGCCTGCTGTCCGAGTCTGCAAGCCTGCCACCTCACCAGCCCCAGGCCAGTTGAACAAAGGGTAGGTATCTCGGGCTGTTCACTGGACTCACTCCTGCCCCTGCTCACTACAGAGTCCATGTAAGCAGAGGGGACAACGCAAATCTCACTGGGACATATTCATTTCTTTGGCTGAGAACTTTGGCCATCTCCTCAAGAATTCTCTGCTAAAATGCAAATAAACTTAGCATATACATGTACATGTTTTCCATATATATGCGTTGACTGAAAGGTAAGAAGGACTCACACCACAATGTAAACAATGGCTTCCTCTGGGCTGTGTTATGGAATTATTGCCATCTTTTTCCTTTCTTTTTCTACATAAATATTTTCTGAAATGAGGTGTTTTCATAAGAAAGAAAATGATAAAATTATTTTTCAAAGACGAAAGGATTGTACCCTTCTCCCTTGCAAATAACCTTGGAAAAGGAAGCACATTATACTGTGAGCATGAGAGGAAGGTATTAACGCCTTGATGTTAATTAGAAAGCCGGCCAGCTGATACCAGAGCGCTGAGGAAATGAGATGTTTGATAGGCTCGGACAGGATGAAACAGTTCTACATTAGGTGAAGCCAGCCTGGGAAAGGGGCCACAGCATTATGATGAAGGCGTCCAAGGTCACTAAAGGAGGAAGGCTTTGCAAAAATGGGCCTGGGAGACATTGAGACTCACCTGCATCTCACCTTATCCACAGTCTTGCCTGTCTCGTCCCTCACCCTCCTGTGCCCATCTCTCCCTGCCGGCTTCCCAAGGCAGGCAGAAGAAGGGGGCCTACAGCTAGATGTGCTTTTGCTCGGGGCCCAGGTGAGGCTTTTGTCAGGACCCCCGGGCTGCCTCCCTTCCTCCTCCAGTGATTTCCGAGGTCCCTTTATCTCTCACCCTTGAATTTAAAGTCTAGAACTAGGCCAAAGCTCTCAATTCTTGACTCCCCTCCTCCAAGCTCTACCCTGGCCCTTCTCATTCTCCAGAAGAGAAAGGAACCCAGGGAGGAAAATGGGACTGACAGCTCCAGCTCATCTTTTTATGCTCCACTGACACCTTCCACCAAAGACCCACTTCACCTGCGTTGCCATGCCCCCAACCTTATGACCTTGCAGCCCTCCCTGGCTGATTGACTTGTGTTTGTTTCACCTTGGTGCTCACTGGCGCAAAGATGTACACCTGGGATCCACTGACTCCCAGTCGGCATCTAACCCAGTGCAGTCCACCTGCGTGAGGGAATCCCTGCACATCTTTGCTGCTGCAAGGAGACGAAGGAGACTGAACCCCAGCTCCGTCTCTACCTGATAACTCTCCCCACCCTAACAGTGCCAGACTACCCTCAATAAAAGCTTGGCGTACACCCATGCTGTATGGTTCCCTCACATCCAGATACTCCTAGAGGCACCCTTTCCCTCTCCTTCCATTAAAGCTTGGCCTCAGGCAGTGGGGAGGCAGGGGGGAATTAAAGGAGCCCTGGCCTCTGCCTTCCTGCTCCTGGTCTGTCTCTTCCTCTCTGTAGTGGACAAGGTCAGTGCTCTCCCCATGTCCCCTTGGGTCCTTTTTTACCATTTTGTGCACGTCCACGGCTTTCATCTTTCCATATATATGCATTGACTAAAAGGTGAGAAGGACTCACACCACAATGTAAACAATGGTTTCCTCTGGGTTGTGTTATAGCATTATCGCTACTTATTTTCTTTCTTTTTCTACATAAATATTTTCTGAAATGTCCATGGCGTTCATCTTCAACAGCCAACACCTGAGAATCAACACTGGAGCCTGCTTGCCTTCATCTGTGCAAACTGGGAGTGTCTGAGAATTTGTCCCCAAAGCCCTCCCCACTCTCCCCATGGTTCTTAATCATTGGCTAATGGGGGCAGGAATATAAAAGCCTCTGCTCCCTTGCACAATCTGTACCCCTGAGTTCTTTGGTGGGGTCAGGATGAAGCTACCCACTGTGCTCTGGCTCTCCTTCCCTGTGCCGCTTGCCCCACTATCTCACTGGTCTCCCTGGCTACTATCTTTAATAGGTCACTTACATGTGAATCTTCTCTCAGGGTCTGCTGCTGGGGAATGCATGTGACATAAATCACTCTCGTTTTTCTTCTTCCTAGAAGGTATGAGCTTGAAACCTTTCTATATTCTACATTCCTTCTACCATAGTTCAACAAACCTCACCTGTTACGGTAGAGAGACCACTGGCTTTTTTTTTTATGTCTTTCTAAATAAATACCAAGAGTGATTCAGCAGAATCTTCTTTTTACAAGGCAGAAACAAAAACGCAGGTACTCTCTTGGACTTGGTGATAATGGACAACAGACAAGAGCCTTTCTTGTCTGAACAAATTTGTCTCAGAATTTTAAACCTAGAATAGCCCTGACCCCTTTATTGAATTTCATGTTAAACTTGTTCAATTATTTTCGACCAAATTACAAGTTATCCTCCAGATGCCGAATTTGACCTGCTTTTTAAAAATGGGTTAAAGACATTCAGTGGGCTCCCCATGACATCGTTCTGTAATTAACATTCACTTAAAAACCTGAGCCATCCCTTTTTGCAACAAACTGCCAATCAAATGTGTTCTGGGGAGACCTAACTGGGTTTGTTTCAGGTTGGTTCTGAAAGTTTCATATGACACAGGAAGTCCCCAACATTTAGCTAATTCCTTCTTCAAATTAATGCTGCTGATTATGCGGTGAGTAAGGAAGCCACATGAAACCTGGGCTTGGTGTAACAAGGCAAAAAGCCTGAAGTTAAACCAAGTAAAAATAAAAGATAACCCACAATATGGATCAGAGATGTCGAGTCCAAATCTCAAGGAGGGAAAGGCATGGTGCTTGTATTCCCACCAACATTCCAGGTTGACTCTAGGTAGATCATTTTAATAATCTCTAAGTGGAAATGTTCCAAAGACTGCTAAGTAACATGAAACTGACTCCAGCAAATTAATTTGCTTCCTCCTGTGAATTCCATCACATTCTGCCAAATAGAACATAGTAAAGCAGAGAACTATTACTGAAGCTATGGGTGATTTTGGAATTCAGGAACAAAATTACACCTGAAACAAGCATGACTACTAGATTACTAGCACATTTCCACCACTATTCTTCCTCTTTGTAGCCAAATGAAGAGTAATAACTAGACAGCAAATACCAAGCAACTCTCGGAAAGTAGGAAATTGCATATGTTATAGAAAGCACCAAGTGAATAATATTAGCTAAGGGTTTGGAGTGCTTATTATATGCCAAATACTATTTCAGAAGCTTTTCCACTTTAAACCATTAAATCCTCACAATGCAGTGAAAGAGGTACTATTATCCCCATTTTGCAGAACGGTAAACCGGCACAGCAGCAGGCCATTTGTTCCTTTTATACAGCTTGTAAGTGGCAAGAGTCAGAATTTAAAGTCACAGCTTTGCTCCAAAGCCCATAGTCTTGCCAACACCCAGCCCCAGTGGCCTCCGTGCTGCAGAGCTGTGTAGAGTGGGCACTATTCAGATATTACAGTGTGGATGGTGCCCCCTGGAGGTGTGCCACTCTGAAGCAGAACTAAAGCGATAAATCAGTGAGGCACTAGAGATATTTTGGGTGACAGTGAGGTCAAAAAGAGAAAAGGTAGAAGCCTGGTGGGATTCCTGGGCCAGCAAGCAGTAGCATTAAGGCCACGGCACCTGGTATAAAAATAAAACCCCAACAAAATGAAAGCTAGGAGATGGTTAAAGAAATCCTTGGGCTGTGCAGAACTTCAATAGAGTGGAGATCAGCATTTAAATTTGCTCTGATTCCCTTGCTCCTCATTGATCTCCTCTCAAATTAACCCCAATAGGGACTGGGTTAAATTATAAAACACCATCTTCCCAGACTCCCCGCCCCGCTTGCCTCTCGCTCCAATGACAGCCACCACTTGCTCTTCCCCAGGTAGTCTAGGCTGTCATACTTCTCTGCTTTTGTACATGCTGTTCTCTTAGACTTTTTCTTCTCACCTGAAAAATTCCTACATGTCTTTCAGGACAGTTACTAGATCATCTCAATTTTGATGGCTTCTCTAAGGCCCTAAATAATTCCATCTGGTTCAGCAGATGAGGACTGGTTATCTACAATGGACCAGGTGCTGTGCTGAGGATTTAGAGGTAGACAAAAAAGTGGTCCCTTGTTAATTTCTCCCTCATCAAAGTCCCCCTAATATAGAGGCTTCTAACTTGCAGTGTGCATCAGACTCACTTCAGACACTTTAAACCATACTTTTGCTCTGGGCTACATCCTCTAGAGATTCTGATTTACTGTATTTCATCAAATCTAAGATGTCATTGGCCCTCTGAAGTGCATTTTCTGTGCAACTAAAAAAGAAAAATGTTTTCAATCAAATTATGAGACAATACCTTTCTTAACACATTGAGTGTAAGAAGCATCACTTGAACCCCGGAGGCAGAGGTTGCAGTGAGCCAAGATCATGCTACTGCACTCCAGCCTGGGTGACAGAGTGAGATCCTGTCTCTAAAATAAAAAATAAAATGTAGGGGGAAATTGCATCTTAGAATCAACTAATGGTACTTGTCCTGGTTTGGGCACCTAGGCATCAATGTCTTCTAAATGAGCGTTTTGTTATTCTACTAAAAACCACTGCCCTAACACCTTTGCCACACCTCTGATTATTTGAGTCATTCTTTTATTCATTCGAGAAGCATACTTTGAACACTTAATCAGTTCCAGGTGCTATGCAATGAATACTGTGTATATATGTTGTGTATATAATGTAAAATGTATATGTATAATGACAGCAGACATTAATATGGCATGGTTCCCACTCTTAAAAAGCTTATACTCTAGTATAGAAGAGATAGGGAGATTGGAGATTACAATCTTTTTTTTTTTTTGTCTCCCACACTAGGCCATTCATGCAATGACTTTTCTTTGAATAAAATGTTCTATTTCTTTTCATTCTGTTTTGTTTTTAAATTGAGACGAGGTGTCACTCTGTCACCCAAGCTAGAATGCAGAGGTGTGATCATAGCTTACTTCAGCCTCGAACTCCTGAGCTCAAGCAATCCTCCCATCTCAGGCTCTGAAGTAGCTGGGATTACAGGTACGCACCACTGCACCTGGCTCATTTTGTTGTGTTTTTTTGTTTTGTTTTGTTTTGTTTTGTTTTGTTTTGTTTTTGTGGAGATGGGGTATTGCTATGTTGGCCAGGCTGGTCTCGAACTCCTGGCCTCAGGCAATCCTCCCTCCTTGGCCTCCCGAAGTCCTGGGATTAAACACATGGAGCCACTGTGCCTGGCCAAAAATGCTCTAACAGAATGGGGAGAGAATATGCAAACCCTCTGTCTATGAGTGAGGAGCCTCATCATTTTATGCTCTAGCACCTTGCTGCTCCCTACATCACATCTCCATACATCAGAAGAGCATGGGCAATATTGCTGTTCCAGCTAATAGGCAGCCAGACCATTCGCACTTATAGAAACAGGAAAAAGAGGTGGCATTGGCTAATGACAGCTGAAAAGGCTAAGCTCCATGATCAACAGAATTGGAAAAAAGAAAGACCACAAAATTAAAATAAAAAGTGGGACACAGAAGGAAAGGAATGGCACGCTGCAGAAGTGGCAGGCAGAAGATATGGCATTAGATGTTAGAAGTAGTAAAGATGACAAAAATTACCAGCAGCAAGAGGGGACAGTGGACAAGAGAGCTGTTAGCGAAGAGACAGGGAAGAAAGACTAGAGCAGTCTGGCAGCTTAATAGCAAATAGAATCTCAGCTGCTCTTGCTGGCACCATGTGAGGAATTTAGAGATGGACTGAACTTACTCCTACCCCAAAAGTCATTTTATTACAAAGTAGAAGAGCAATTGATATCTGAACCATTAAGATAAATGACTGTTTTCTATTGTTAAAATTGCCAACCAACCCCATTTAAAAGCTTTAGGACTTACAGGGCTAAGATTGACTCATACACAATATTTTCACTGGTGCTCTTCTATACCAGCGTTCGATGTAACAGCTTTGTTCATGGATAGATGTGATCTGTCTGATGACGTGCCTTGCTGTATGTTAATCATCACTAGAAAAATAGAACTCGCCACTTAGACTTTCCCTGGAAACCTTTTACTGAGTCTGCCTCACATATTTACACTTAATATACTTACATTCTACCTCCACCCAAAGTGTGGACTTTAAAATATATTAGTGGATAATCCAAAAGAGAGTTCATGGTAAGGTTTCATCTCTTAATTATGTTCTAAGTTATGTGTATCTTTCTTATTCCTTTGAATAACCTATTATTTGGGTGATCTATTATAGGATAAATTTAAGGGGACTTCACACTATACCACCAGAAGGTATCAGCAAACATCTGCCTCAGCATACTCAGAATTCTACCCATCAAGGGACCAACGGATATGCAAACCCATGTATCAGTGCCAAAAACCTAGTCAACAATGCATTCCATAAAGCTAAAGACATGGACGGATCCTAAGGTTACTTTTTGCTAAAAATTGGTAGACACGGCAGAATCCTCAGCTTGAGCACTGACAAACTATCCATCAAATGGCAAGTATGTTTTGAATGCCTGTGTGGGTCTAATACTACACGTCATCTGTGAGAGATTTGAAGTTATGATAGGTAGTCCTGTGTCACACCAAGTTTACATCATCATGACATCATTCATCTATCATTTATTGAGTCCCTAGTTTGTACTAGGCATTGAGAGAAAAATCACTTGAACCCTGGAGGTGGAGGTTGCAGTGAGCTAAGATTGCGCCACTGCACTCCAGCCTGGAGACAGAGCGAGACTCTGTCTCAAAAAACAAAACAAAATAAAAAAACAAATAAACAAAAACTCACAGTCCAATGGAGGAAAGAAACACATAAAGGTATAATTAAGGTTCTATTGGGCACTTAGCATAGCACCTGGGAATTCCAGATGCAGAATCCATGTCTGCTGAACGGAATGAACATAGATGTTCATGTGACCACCAGGAACTCAATTTGCCTGGAGTCAAGGACTTGTTGTCAGGAAATATAAAACACCAGGCTGGAAAGCACTGCAGGTAGCTGTAACTGGATCATTGACGACTTTCTAAGCTATGTTAAGAGGTCTGAATTGTTTTTTTCTGGCAAACAAGTAGAAATGACTGAAGGTTCTCAAGTAAAGGAGTGGCATAACCTATGATCTCTGAGCAACAGTAAAGATGATGGATTGAAAGACGTGAACCTGGAGCAAGGGTGATCTGTTGAAAGGTCATTGCAATAGTCCTAGTGAAGTATGACAAAGGCTTTCATGAGGTCAGTGGTGCCGGGAATGGAGAAGAGGATTCCCAGGTATGTTTAGGAACAGAATTGACAGAACTTGGTGACTAGATGAGTGCATTTCTGAAAGAAAGGGAAGGCATAATCAAGAGTGCCTCTGAGGAGTCTAGCTTGGGCAACTGCATAGGAGTTTATTTGTAGAAATTGATTACAGGAACAGGAGTAGGTTGGAGTAGGAAGGAGAGGTAGGTAACAGGTACCTCCTCAGACACGCTGGAGTTGTGATGCCTCTAAGACATCCAAGTTCAGGTCTCCAGTGGCCATTTGGTGCAAAGAGAAATATCTGAGCAGGAGATACCTGTTATATCTCCAAGAGATGTTACTAAGGAGACAAGACAGGATGTGCACATGGAAACAACTAATGAACAAAGCACCATGGACTGTTTTTATATGCTAAATTGCTTTAAATGGAGAAATCATGAATTAAGAGTTCAGACAGCAGGGCAAACTACATCAGCTGGCAGAATACAGGAAAAAGAGCCTGGCCTTTAGGGATGCAAAGAATTCGGACAATCAGATGAAGGACATTTCGGGGGTCAGAGCACACACAACCCAAGTCAGGAGGTTAGGAGGTGCCCAGGCCAGAGAAGGGACCTGCCTGATGGAGTGGGAAGCTTAGGTGGGAGAGTGCAGCATTATGACTGAAAGCAAAGGGGAAGCCAATTATTAACAGTCCTGAATATAAGGTCTTAAATCAGTAGAGAACAAGAGCTCTTATGCATTTTGAAGAGAATGTCATGATGGAAATGTTGTTTAACCACTCAATCAAAATGGAGTTTATAAAACTCATCCCACAGGTATTTATGTCTGTGCCCAATTCCAAGGTATCATCTCTTCACTAAAGCCCTAAGGTCACCTACATTTATATAGAGGATTCTTTTGTTGTTGCTGTTTGGTTTGGTTTTGAGACAGGGTCTCGCTCTGTCACCCATGCTGGAGTGCAGTGGCAGAATCATGACTCACTGAAGTGGCAACCTCCTAGGTTCAGGCAATCCTCCCACCTCAGCCTCCCGAGCAGCTGGGACCACAGGCATGCACCACCACGCCTAATTTATTTCCTTTCTTTCCTTTCTTTCTTTTCTTTCTTTTCTTTCTTTTCTTTCCTTCCTTCCTTCCCTCCTTCCTTCCTTCCTTTCTTTCTTTCTATCTCTCTTTCCTTCCTTCCTTGCTCCCCCCCCTCCCCCCCTCTCTCTTTCTTTCTTTTTTCTTTTTTTTTTTTGAGATGGAGTCTCACTCCCGTCACATAGGCTGGAGTGCAGTAGCACAAACTTGGATCACTGCAACCTCCACCTCCCAGGTTAAAGCAATTCTCCTTCCTCAGCCTCCTGAGTAGCTGGGATTACAGGCATGTGCCACCATGCCCTGCTAATTTTTGTATTTTTAGTAGAGACGGGGTTTCATCATGTTGGCCAGGCTGGTCTCAAACTCCTGACCTCAGGTGTTCCACCCACCTCAGCCTCCTAAAATGCTGGGATTATAGTCATGAGCCACCACACTCGGCCTCTTTATTTTTGTAAAGATGAAGTGTCACTATATTGCCCAGGCTGGTCTCGAACTCCTGGCCTCAAGCGATCCTACCACCTCAGCCTCCCAAACTGCTGGGATTGTAGGTTGATATGGTTTGGATCTGTGTCCCCACTCGAATGTCATGTTCAACTGTAATCCCCAATATTGGAGGTGGGGTGTGGTGGGAGGTGATTTGAACAGGGGGTGGATACTTCGTGGATGGTTTAATACCACCCTTTTGGTGCTGTTCTCCTGTTAGAGTTCTTATACGATCTGGTTGTATAAAAGTGTGTAGCACCTCCCCACAACCCTGCCGCACCCCACTTGCTCCTGCTCCAGCCATTTATGACAGTCAAGATGTTCCTGCTTCCCCTTCACCTTCTGCCGTGATTCACAGTTTCTTGAAGCCTCCCCAGAAGGTGAACAGAAGACTCTTTGCTTCCTGTACAGCCTGCGGAACCATGAGCCAATTAAACCTCTTTTCTTTATAAATTACCCAGCCTCAGGTATTTCTTTATAGCTATTTGAGAACGGACTAATACACAGGTATGAGCCAACGCACCCAGCCTATAGAGGATTATTAAAAGGAAACTTCGCGAAAGATATATCAAAGCAAAGAAGCAGAATAACAGTGAAATTTCACAACACCAAGTATCATTAAAATAAGTGACTCTAACAGATATTTCCATTTTCATGCAGATGGTCCATAATAACAGCGTTTTGTTGAGCAGCTTATAACATGTCTTCTGTAATGAGGGATCCTATTTAACATACGCTTTCCTTTATTCTTGACCACCTAACGCACTTTCTATGGGGACGCTAAAATGTTTATGAGCTACCCAAAATCTTGGAGTAAGATTAAATGACAGAAACAGGATCCCCCTTTTTTAAAACTAAAAATTGGGTCAAGGATCTAACAAAACAAAACTATGCTTCTTCTGGGTATGACAGTTAGCCTAGGAGACATAGAATAACAAGAGATCCAATCTCTTCTGCTCTCAGTTTATGTGACTTGGGCAGAACTGACATAATACCTCTACCTAACACAATGACCACCATTTCCACAGCTCCACAGGGAGGCATGTGAGTACGAGTGGTCATCGTGATAGGTTCAGGAATGAATACATAACCGAGTTAATCCAGTGAGACACTGGGATATGGCTGGGTACTTACCTACAAACCACGTTCCAGTTCACCCCTTCTTCTTTGCTAACTGAACTCTGATTTTCTTTAGTTCTTAAGCAACATCCATGGACACAAGAGATAAATGTTAATAAGCTTAAAATTATCGAGGTATGGGAATACCGCAGAGATATCATAAGTTCAATTTCAGACCACTACAATAAAGCTAATGCCACAATTAAGCAAGTCACACAATTTTTAAATGTTTCCAGTGCATATAACAGTTATATTTACACTAAACTGTAGTATACTGTGTACAATAGCATTATGTCTAAAAAACGTACAAACCTTGATTTAAAATTACTTTATTGCTAAAAAATCGTAATGATTATTTGAGCTATCAGTGAGTGGTAATCTTTTTTTACTGGTGAAAGGTCTTGCCTCAGTGTTGATGGCTGCTAAGTAATCAAGGTGGTGGTTGATCAAGGTTGGGGTGGCTGTAGCAATTTTGTAAAATAAGACAACATTGAAGATTACTGCACAATTGATTCTTTCTTTCATAAAAGATTTCTCTGTAGCATGTGTTTCTGCTTGATAGTATTTTACCCACCTTAGAATCTCTTTAAAAATTGTAGTCAGTCTTCCCCCAAGTTCTACTGCTACTTTACCAATTAAGCTTACGGAATATTCCAAACACTTTGTTGTCATTTCAACAGTGTTCACACCCTCTTCACCAGGAATAAATTTCATCTCAAGAAACCACTTTCTTTGTTCATTCTTAAGAAGTAACTCTTCATGCATTAAAATTTTATCAAGAAATTGCAGCAATTAAGTCACATCTTCAGGCTCTACTTCTTTTTTAAAAAAATTAACTTAGTGGGTAGAAAGGCAGTTTTGTTACATGGATACATTGCATAGTGCTGAAGTCTGGGCTTTCAGTGTATCCATCACCTGAATAGTGTACACTGTACCCATTAAGTAATTTCTCATCCCTCACTCCCTTCCTCACTCCCACCCTTCCACTTCTCTAGGGTCTATTATTCCACACTCTGTTCATGTGTACCCATGATTTAGCACCCACTTATGTGAGATTATACAGTATATGACTTTCTTCTCTTGAGTTCTTTCACTTAAGATAATGGCCTCCAGTTCCATCCATGTTGCTGCAAAAGACATGATTTCACTCTTTTTTATGGCTAAGTATTATTCCATGATAGATATATGATATAGATAGATAGATAGATAGATAGATAGATAGATAGATGATAGATAGATAGATAGATGCCATATATAATCATCCATTAATGGATACTTAGGTCAATTCCATATCTCTGCTATTGTGAATAATGCTATGATAAACATATGAGTGCAGGTATCTTTTTGATATAATTATTTCTTTTTGCAGTAGTGGGATTGCTGGATAGAATGTAGTAGTTCTATTTTTAGTTCTTTGATAAATCTCCATACTGTTACCCATAAAGGTTGTACCAATTTAACATTCCCATCAACAGTGTATAAGTGTTCCCTTTTCTCTGCTTCCTAGCCGACATCTGTTGTTTGTTGTTGTTGTTTTGGCTTTTTTGTTTTGTTTTGTTTTTTACTTTTTAATAATTGCTATCCTAACTGTTGTAAGATGCTATTCATTGCAGTTATAATTTGCATTCTCTGGTGATTAGTGATATTGAGCATTTTTCATGTTTTTTGGCCATTTGTATGTCTTCTTTTGAAAAATGTCTGTTCATCTCCTTTGACTACTTTTTAGTGGGGTTATACATGGGTTTTTTTGTTTGTTTGTTTTGGTTTTTTTTCAGATAGAGTCTTGCTCTGTCACCAGGCAGGAGTGCAGTGGTGTGATCTCAACTCACTGCAACCTCTGCCTCCCAGGTTCAAGCAATTCTCCTGCCTCAACCTCCCAAGTAGCTGGGACTACAGGCGTGCACCACCATGCCTGGCTAATTTTTGTATTTTTAGTAGAGACAGGGTTTCACCATATTGGCCAGGCTGGTCTCAAACTCCTGACCTCGTGATCTGCCCGCCTTGGCCTCCCAAAGTGCTGGGATTACAGGCATGAGCCACTGCAGCTGGCCTTGAGGATTTTTTTATTGTGTTGTTTGAGTTCCTTATAGATTCTGGATATCAGTCCTTTGTCAGATGCTTAGTTTGCAAATATTTTCTCCCATTCTGTTGGTTGTCTGTTCACTCTGTTGATTATTTCTTTTGCTATGCAAAAGCTTTTTAGTTTAATTAAGTCCCATTTGTCTATTTTTGTTTTTTGTTGCATTTGCCTTTGAAGCCTTAGTCATAAAATCTGTCAGCCTTCACTTCTAATTCTAGTTCTCTTGCTATTTTCAGCACATCTGCAGTTACTTTCTCCAATGAAGTCTTGAACCCCTCAAAGTCATCCATGAGGGTTGGCATCAACTTCTTTCAAACTCCTGTTAATGTTGATATTTTGACCTCCTCTCATGAATCACAAATCTTCTTAATAGTGCCTAGAATGGTGAATCCTTTCCAGAAGTTTTTCAATTTACTTTGCCCAGATCCATCCAAGGAATCACTATTTATGGCAGCTGTAGCTTTATGAAATGTAGTTCTTAAATAATAAGACTTCAAAGAGAAAATTACTCCTTGATCCATGGGCTGTAGAATGGATGTTGTGTTAACAAGCATGAAAATAGCATTAATCTCCTTCTACATCTCCATAAGATTTTGGGTGACCAGGTGCATTGTCAATGAGCAGTACTATTTTCAAAGAAATCTTTTCTTTAGGTCTTAACAGTGGGCTTAAAATATTCAGTAAACCATGCTGTAAACAGATGAGCTGTCATCCAGGCTTTGCTCTTCCATTTCTAGGGCACAGGCAGAGTAGATTTAGCATAATTCTTAAGTGCAATATGATTTTCTGAATGGGAAATGAGCACTGGCTTCAACTTAAAGTAAACGCTGCATTTGCCCCTAACAAGAGAGTCAGCCTGTCCTTTGAAGCTTTGAAGCCAGGCATTGACTTTTCTTCTCTAGCTATGAAGTCCTATATGGCACCTTCTTCCAATATAAGGGTGTTTTGTCTACATTAGAAATTTATTTAGTGTAGCCACCTCCATCAATGATCTTTGCCAGATGTTCTAGCTAACTTGCTAACTTGCTGCAGCTTCTACATCAGCACTTGCTGCTTCATCTTGCACTTTTATGTTATAGACATGGCTTCTTTTCTCAAACCTCATGAACCAACCTCTTCTAGCTTCCAAGTTTTCTTCTGCATTTTCCTCATCTCTCTCAGCCTTCACAGAATTGAAGACACAATTTGTAAAAAGTTCACCATCTTTTGGCTGGGCGCAGTATTCCCAGCACTTTGGAAGGTCGAGGCAGGTGGATCACCTAAGGTCAGGAGTTCAAGACCAGTCTGGCCAACATGGTGAAACCCCATCTCTACTAAAAACACAAAATTAGCTGGGCATGATGGTGGGCGCCTGTGATTCCAGCTACTTGGAAGGCTGAGGCAGGAGAATCACTTGAACAGGCAGAGGTTGCAGTGAGCCAAGATCGTGCCATTGCACTCCAGCCTGGGCAAAAAAAAAAAAAAAGAAGAATGAAACTCCATCTCAAAAAAAAAAATTATTTTAGGCAGATAGAGAGGAAAAGGGGTCCTTGGGAAGTTTTCATTTTTTAAAGCATCTCCAGTAAAGTTTCTTGTAAAGCTCCACTTAGAGCCAGGCCATTAGAAACTGGGTCCACCCAACATGGCAATTCCTGCGGCCTTCTTGCCCTTGCCCCACGTTTCTGCTGACATGGCGGCCCCCACATATCCCCATGTGTGTAGAACATCATGGTACCCTGAATTTGCATATCTTTAAAACGCTAGGGTGGGAGGGCCATTTTTTTCAAAGGTTACATAAATGACATGCCTGGTCAAACCAATTCCCTGAGCTCTATGCAAATCAAACACTGCCTCCTCCAGCCTCTTCATATACCTGGCTGGTATCCATGGCAGGTGGAGTTGGTTACCTCTCTCGGCTTTGGAGCCCCTCTCCCTCTGTCGCTGTACAGGACAGCTTCTTCCTTCTTTCTTCCCCTTTCTATCTTGCCTATTAAACTCTCTCCTCCTTAAAATAAAAAAATTTTAAAAAGTTCACCATATGCAAAGTGCAGTAAAATGAAATATACTTGTAATTGTATTCCCCTTGGAAAGGATTGGCAAAGAGTGAGCATGTGATGTAACTCTGACCCAGGAGACATAGGAGAGGTCTGTTCAGTGACTTCCGGAGAGTTTTTCCACACTCTCAAGAGAAAACACAAAGCAGGGACTTATTCCTTCCTGCCTTTGGGCATTGTCATGTGAAGATGTTATGCTGGGTGCTATAGTCTGATAGTATGAAACTATAAGGGGAAGATCAAGAAATTCATAGAGAACCTAACCAAATGCTCTAACATCCTTGGTCTCCTGAGTTAACTAACTCTGGAACTGCCCCTACCTCTGAGTTTCTTGCTATATAAGAAAAGTAAGGCCCTTTAATCCAACATCTGAATTACTTGTGGCCAAAACCATCCTAACAGATTCAGGCCCAAACCTGAGGCTTTTGTTGCCGCTCTTGGAAAGAACTTCCTCTGCTATTAGCGTGACTACTCTGGTAGAACATGACCCCAGAGATCTCACCAGCCTCCATAAGGAGGCAGCAATGAGAAAATAAAACCAACAGAGAGGAAAACAGTGCCAAGAGATGGAAAAATACAAATTGCCAATGACATCATTTGAGAACCTAGATCTGGTTGTGCAAGAAGCTACTCCCAACTCCTTTAGTTACATAAACCAAAACATTCCCTGTTTTGCTCTTGCTAGTTTGAGCTGCATCTCTTCCATTTGTGATTTAAAGAGAACTACACGTGCACTGGGAGGGAGGAAAGGAAAAAGAAAAACTGATTGAGATAGCATTTGGAAAACTCCTAGCACACAGGCCTGACACTCAGTATGATGGTGAAACCTACATTTAAGTTTTCTGTACCTCTTTTATCCTTCAGTAAAGTCATCATCAAGAGTAATACTAAATGAGTGTCAATATTCTCCCAACTCTCTCCATCTCCCCAGTCTGAAATGGTCCACAAGCTTGAAATGGAACTTATCCAAGCATCCATATTAGTCTCCAAAGCAAGTTAGAACAAAAAATGTAAGTAAGGCAGTCAATGAATATGAGCTTTTCTTACTTCCCTTCCTACTTTAAAGGAAGTTCTTTTAACATATTAGGTTATTATAATATAACTTATCTCCTGGGAGTGACTCCCAGCATTTTGTCAATTATAATCACATTCAGAGGTCACATCTGATTGAGTCCTCAGACATAGCACATTTGGTTTATATGCTAATATTTATCTAACCTACAAGATTTGGAGTCCCTGGAGACTAAGAATAGTTTTCATTGAACGCTCAGTACCTAACGCAGTATTTTACACACTGAAGACAGCCAATAATGTTTGCTGATTGAACAGGTGAATGAATTCAACCTTAAAGTCTCCCTTAATTTATTTGAAGAAATAGGATGTTATTTAAAGATGAGCCATACCAGAGAGCCCAACACACTAGATTATTTATCTATCAAGAGTAGATCTCAGTTGTAAGCAGCAGAAGCTAACTCTGACTGATGAACTGGAAAATTAGTTGATTTAAAACATACTGGGCCAGGCACGGTTGCTCATTCCTGTAATCTCAGCACTTTGGAAGATCGAGGCAGGAGCATCACTTGAACCCAGTAGTTCAAGACCAGCCTGGGCAACATGGCGAAACCCTGACTCTACAAAAAATACAAAAATTAGCCAGGTGTGGTGGTGCATGTTAGTAATCCCAGCTACTGAGGAGGCTGAGATGGGAGGATTGCTTGAGCCGAGAAGGTGGAGGTGGCAGTGAGCTGAGATCATACCACTGCACTTCAGCCTGGGCAACAGAGCAAGAGCCTGTCTCAAAAAAATAAAATTTTATATATATATGGTAGCACATAAGTTGCCCAGAAGACCAGAGAGCCAGACACATGTCTTACCTTCTAAATATAAAACTAAATTTCAAACCACAGAACTGGCCAAATGAGGAAATCCCCACCCCACTGAGCAGTGGAGGCATGGCCAAAAACGGAAGCTCACTTCCCAGCATGCTTTCTCATGTTCTTGACATCTGAATTGCAGCCCTACAAACATGCATATGATTGGCAGAGTCTGGGTCCCATACTTGCATCCTAGCTGCATAAGATCCTGGAATTTGAGTCTACATCTATACTGGGGAGGAAAAATTCATCATATGAAGACTTTTCCTAAATACATAAAGGTAATCCAAAAGATGATGAACAGTCATGAATATGACACATGTTCACAACTTTGGAACTTAGAATGTTAGAGACAAAATCATCTGCATGAATGATTCTCCTATCGTCTGGACCAAGGCCCCCAAAGGAGGCAACTACTGACTCCAGGTCCCTCAGCTGGCTCTGCAGGATCTTCTCTAATCTGCTGTCTGGCATTGGACACCTACGCTGAACCCTGGTGGGGTGGAGCAGAAACTAGAAGAAAATGTGATAAAGTGTCTAGATTTGGTGTAAAGAACTTGCCTCAAGTAGTGATCAGTAAAAATGAATCCTAAGCAATTTGCATCTATTATGTCACAACCTTGTGAGGAAGGTAGTGTATTACTTCACTCTACATCAAAGAAACTGAAGAGTAGAGAAGGTTTTTCAACCTGTAAAGCACAGTACTAGTATTCGACACCACAACTGCAGAAAACCCATGCTGCCTGCCTTCTCTGACCAACCCCATTGCACTCTGGCATTTTTATTTTCAAGTCCTCTGGCACTGATGTATTTAAAACTTCTCAATTTAAATACAAAGGATTTTTATTTCTGTATCCGTCTTTCAATTTTCCAAGTGTTTATATTAGATTTTCCAAAAATGCTTCTTGATCAAAACAACATAGATTTTACACAAGCTGAAATCATCTACACTCTCTGCCTTTATTGACCTTGAGTCCCATATATCACAATTGCTGGGAAAAATTTCTGTGAAATAACTCAAACAAATAATTATAGCATGCCATATAATACATGTAAATGCTCTTTAACTAGCATAGCAACATTTACCCTTAGAGGCTCTCGTTTTCTGTAATTACCGCTTATATGAAAATAAACCTCAGCTGAAAGCTATGAGAAAAATCAATTCAAAATAGAACCTCCAACTTGCCAACACTGCGGAGATGTTTACCAATATGTACATGCCATTTATGTGTGCTGCCCACTGAAAAAGCACCAACAGTTCACAAATTGCTCCAAGAATAAATCTTATTGACAAGGCAACAAAATGGAATTGAAAAATACAGTCAGCTCAGTGATTTGTTGACAAATTATTCATGATAATCAGTAATTACTGATTTCATGACTTCTAACAGCATCCACTTTAGTGAGTGCTAAGTGTATTTTGTTGATTTCTTACAGTGAAGACATTGTTCATTATTGTTACCTTATGTCTTTTAATGGAAGGTAGCTGTTGTCATGGCAAGACATAGGTACGAATCCTGGCTCTGTTTCGTGTTATCTGTTGGACTTTGGGTAAATTATTTTACCTCTCTAAGCCTCTGTTTTCCCATCTTAGAACTGGTATATCTCAGGATTTTGAGAGGGCCAAACTAAAGGTGTTAATAAGCAAGAATTTAATGAATATTAATATATATTAACATATTCACAGTATACATTTCTACTAGAATTCTATGATAGGAATAAATATTACTTGACAGATAAACTGATATGCTTCCTTTAATTTGGGCTAACATGTTTTATAACAGATCACAAGGAGATTGGATGAAGATTGTAAACTAAGAACATGCTAAAACCTCTCCGCCATCTCAAATTCCCATAAATAACAAGAAAAGAAATGTAATTGAAAACAGCACTTGGCTGGGCGTGGTGGCTCATGCCTGTAATCTCAGCACTTTGGGAGGCCAAGGTGGGCAGATCACTTGAGGTCAGGAGTTCAAGACCAGCCTAGCCAACATGGCAAAACCCTGTCTCTACTAAAAACACAAAAATTAGTGGGGTGTGGTGGCAGGTGCCTACAACCCCAGCTATTCAGGAGGCTGAGGCAGGAGAATCGCTTGAACCTAGGAGGCAGAGGTTGCAGTGAGCCGAGATCGTGCTACGGCACTCCAGCCTGGCCGACAGAGTGAGACTCCATCAAAACAAGGGAGGAAGCAAAGAAGGAAGGAAGGAAGGAAGGAAGGAAGGAAGGAAGGAAGGAAGGAAGGAAGGAAGGATGGAAGGGAGGGAGGGAGGGGGAGGGGAGGGGAGGGGAGAGGAGAGAGAGAAAGAATGAGAGAGAGATGAAAGAAAGAAAGAGAGGAAGGAAGGAAGGAAATGAAACAGCACTTAAAAAAGACTTGATGCTCTCAGTGGATCAGAAATTATAGAAATTCCTAAAAAAATTAAAGACACTATGTACCCCATGAATATATACAATTATTTTGTGTCAATTTTAAAAACAAGATTATTTTTAAGTATTAAAAAAAATAAAGGTAGATGAATTTATAGTGAAGGAAGAAATAATAGCCAAAACAGACATAAAAGAGAACTGATAAAGAGGATAAAAGTGTCTTTAGGCTCCAAGCTGAGAGGCAATAAATGAAAGGAGCAAAAGAGGATCCAGGGTCAATCAGAAGGGTGGTTGGTGGAAGTAGAGGAATCCAGGAACTTTGAACCCTTTGTTCCTCTCCTTCTGGTGCCACGTACATTCAGCAGAGGCTTCTGCTCCGAGACAGGAGTAGTGCATATCCACGAACATGTCAGTCCTGGTCATCAGGACGGGGCTCACTGCCATCCGGAAGGAAGCAGAAGCCTCCATTGCCCAGGAAGCCACAGGCACACCCCTGTGTGGAATCCTGGAGCGAGGCCAGGTAATCAGATAGAGCAGAGGCCGGATAACTTAGGAGCTCAGATTCCAGAGGGGCATGCAACCAAACCCAGCAAATATTTAAGGAAAAGTAATCCTCTGGAAGAAAGCACTATGCTCATTATATAGATAAACTCACATCCACAGAACCAAAGTTCATGGAACAAACTGAGGATTTTGATTTTTTTTTTTTTATGGCAAAACGCTGTCTCTACTAAAACTACAAAAATTAGCAGGGTGTGGTGGCAGGCACCTGTAATCCCAGCTACTCAGGAGGCTAAGGCAGGAGAATTGTTTGAAGCCGAAAGGCAGAGGTTGCAGCGAGCCGAGATCGCACCACTGCACTCCAGCCTAAGTGACAGAGTGAGACTCCATCGCAAAAAAAAATAAAAAAATTAAAAAAGACATTCAGACACGCAAAAATTTAGGAAGTTTCCACCCATGCTTTACTCTCTGGAAAAAACATAATAAAATCAGCTCTGACCTAAAACAAATAGATTTGAAAACCTAGTACAAGGGAAAAGAGTAACATATTCAAAATGGTGGTAAGGAGCTAAAAATTATTACTAAGTCTAAATAAGTGCTGATTATAAACAAACAAAAGTAGTGACAATTCCAAATGATCTTGACGTGGAAGATGGTGGCAGGGAACACACAGGAGGGTGGGGTTGTGGCAGGAAGGCTTAAAACAGTAGGAAGAAGTAAAAATGGGCTCTAGTTCTAGTTCTTCCCCCAGTATGGGCTAGAGGAAGAATGAAAACATTAATTCTACATGTTGATACAAAAATATGTTTATCTATAAGTGATAAAAATTTAAAGCAAATTACAGAAAACAGAAAATAGTTCACTTCTAAACCAATGGGGGTAGGAGAATAGAACCTTGAAAAAGCAATCTTCACCCAAAATCAGGAATGGGGTTCAAGGGTGGAGGTCAGGGGAGAGGAGAGAAATAAAAGAGAAATAAAAACTGGCCGGGCACGGTGGCTCACGCCTGTAATCCCAGGACTTTGGGAGCCAAGGCGGAGGGATCACGAGGTCAGGAGATCGAGACCATCCTGGCTAACAACAGTGAAACCCCGTCTCTACTAAAAAATACAAAAAATTAGCCGGGTGCGGTGGCGGGCGCCTGTAGTCCCAGCTGCTAGGGGGGCTGAGGCAGGAGAATGGCGTGAACCCAGGGGGCGGATCTTGCAGTGAGCCGAGATCACAGCCACTGCACTCCAGCCTGGGCGACAAAGCAAGACTCCATCTGAAAAAAAAAAAAAAATTAAGAGTGCCAGAATAAGTCCAATGTATAAGTAATCACAGTAAATGGGAAAGGGTAAAATGGTCTATTAAAAGACAGAGACTTTTTTTTTAATCTAGTCAAATGCTGTTCATAATAAAGGGGCCTAAAATAACATGTCTCAGGACTGAAAATAAAGAGATAGAAAATGACAGACATGGCAAATGTTAACATAAGTAAAGCAAAAGTAACAATATTAATCTCCAACAAAAGAAAGTTCAAGAAATAAAACTCTTTTCAAAAGAGAAGAAACATGGAAGGAAGTTTCATTTTTCATTCAACAAATATCTATTGCACACCTGAAATGTGCAGGCACCCTTCTAGGCTTGGGGGAGGTAGCAGTGAGCTAGACAGACAAGACCCAGCTCTCGTGGAATCCAGTGGGATATAGACATTCACTTCTATCCCTTACATTTACAGAACTCAGGGCAAAAATATAAATTCAAGCCAGCATTCTTTATGTCTAAATGACTAAAAGTCATAATTCAAACCAATGATAACAATTGACAAATTGTTAGATGAAATATTTTCTAGCCTCCTACTTTGATAGACACTCCTTCATAACAACTAAGCAGGCTTGGTTCAAATTCAGAATTCTTTGATTCCTCAATTGTAGAAATCCAGCCCTTAGTTGATACCCCCCTTTTTCTTTCACCCCCCAGTTCTGGCCACATCACAAGCGGCCTTGAGCACACATGTGTGGATTCCCCAGATTGTGTGTCTAAGTCCTATTGACATTTCCTGCAAACACCTCTTGGCTGGCTGTCCCTCAGGCCTTGGAATATACACGCTGACAGCACAGTCTACCCTTGGAAGATGGACCTAGAAATGAGCTCCATACAGGTCCTAGAAGCTAGCTTGGGATAATATGCACAGGGAATTCTGGAGTATCAGTTTCCCCTACGATGGTCTATAACTTGGGAGAAGGTAGTGCAGGCTCCAGGAAGGCATGTCCTTTTACTCTGGTGGATCCCTGGATGTGTGGAATGGGTCGGAGTGTAATCCTCAAAACAAAGGGCCCGGGGTAAGGGCCCCTCCTGCCAGGTTTAAGGCAGCACTGCTGACAATACACAGAAAAACCAATAAATAAACAAACATGAAAAGTACTATGTAAAGATTGAATACAGGATGACAGAAAAACAAGAGACTAGGTGGCGTTTTTAATAAAATAGCCAAAAACAATCTGAGGCAGGGGCAGATCACTTCAGCCAATATTAGAATTTTTAAAAAGAAAGCTGGACATTCGAATCAGAGGGAAGAATATTCTAAACAGAAGGCTAGTCGTTCACACAAAGTCCCTGGGCAGAAATGAGCTTGATGTGTTTCAGGAACTGAAAAGAGGTCCGAGTACAGCAGGGAGGGAGAAGAGTGGCAGATGAGTTCAATAAGGTAGGCACACACCAGATCATGTGGAGTTTTGTACATGAAAGTAAGGAGTTTGGGTTTTGTTCTCAGTGGGTTAGGATATTATAAGAGGATTTTAAGCAGATGGCTGGGCCCGGTGGCTTTCGCCTGTAATCTCAGCTCTTTGGGAGGCTGAGGCAGGTGGATCACCTGAGGTCAGGAGTTCAAGACCAGCTTGGCCAACATGATGAAACCCCATCTCTACTAAAAATACAAAAATTAGCCAGGTGTGGTGGCACATGCCTGTAGTCCCAGCTACTGAGGAGGCTGAGGTTGGAGAATCGCTTGAACCCAGGAGGCGGAAGTTGCAGTGAGCCGAGATCACACTACTGCACTCCAGCTTGGATGACAGAGTGAGACTCTGTCTCAAAAAAAAGAAGATTTTAAGCTAGAGAGAGCTAACATAATTGAACTTAACATATCTTGGAGCTGACTCTGGCTGCTGGGCAATATGGGGTAAAGCAAGAATGAAGGGAGAAACCAGTTAGGAGGCCACGGCAGTAGCCCAGGTATAACATGATAATGGATAGGGAGGTAGTAGCAATGAGAGCAAGAAAATAGACACATTTTGGATATGTTTTGAAAGTAGAGTTAATATGACTGGAGAATGAATGGGGGAGGGGTAGGGGGAGAGGTTTAGATAAAAGAAAGAAATCAAGGAAACTCTTGGCCATCTGGCTTAAGAGACTGGATGGATAGTGGTGCTATTTACTGAGATAAAAAAAACTGAGGGCAGAAATCCAGAGTACTGATTAGAAATATGGTCATGCGTCACTTAACGATGGGGATACTTTCTGAGAAATGCATTGTTAAGCTCTATTTTTCCTTGTGCCAACATCATAGAGTGTACTTACACAAACCTAGATGGTACAGCCTACCTCAAACCTAGGCTACAAACCTGTACAGCATGTTACTGGACTGAATACTGTAGGCAATTGTAACACAATGGTATTTGTGTATCTAAACATGTCTAAACATAGAAAAAGTTCAGTAAAAATATGGCACCTTTTCTATGTTTAGATAATCTTATGGGACCACCATCGTATATGCGATCCATTGTTGATAGAAATGTTATGCAGCGCATGACTGTATAAGCAGATTTCCACCCTGCTTAAGATATAGAAAGGGGCAGAGAGCATCACTCCTATCCTAACACTAAGAGAAATGCATTAAATCTACAAAATAATAACTTTCATAAGTGTGTCAGCAAGCTGAGAACACAAAACAACCAAGTTAACCAAATGCTAAAGAGGGGCAGGTCCCTCCAAGGAAAGGCAGTATCCATTAACTGCCTCACGTCCGGCCAAGCAGAGGAGATAGAGGGGACCACCACGCAAACAGATGAGAAAACAAACCAGCTAAACCTTTAATGAATTTTTAAAGGCCATATGTGGGCTAGTGTAGCATTTTGGAATAGCTCAGCCCCAAAACACAAGGGAATTTTGCACTCACTCCCAAGCGCTTCTCCATGGGCCTCTACTAAGAGCTCATAAGAAAGATTAGAGGCTTGGCAGGAGACCACAGAGAGCCCCCTACAGGTGAGGAGAGCCCCCTACAGATAGGCCGCTTCTGGGGGGACCCACACCTAAGTCCACACATCGACAAACACACATGCACCCACATCTCAATAAGTCACCATCAACTGCTGACACCAAAGGAGTAAGAGAAAAACCTTGAATGTAGCCAGAGAAAAAAGAAATTATAATTAGAGGAACAAAGGTAAAAATTGTAGCAGACTTCTCATCAGAAATGATGCAAGCTAGAAGACAGTGCAGAGCCATCCTTAAAGAACTAAAAGAAAAAACTGTGAATGCAGAATTTTATATCCAGTGATAATGTTATTTTTTTAGAAAAGGAAATATAAGCAAGGAAGATGTTTTTGTATGAAAAGACATACTGTCAGGAATTTATTTTAAAATACTACAAAAAAATTAGAAAAGTTTTTTTAAAAATTGGTAAAATATTGGTAATTGTTGAAGCTAGATGATGAATACATGATGGGGATTCATTATAGTCTTTCCTCTACTTTTGTGTACAAAATCCTTCTATAATTTAAAAAAAAAAAATCTGGCTAGGTGCAGTGGCTCACACCTGTAATCCCAGCACTTTGGGAGGCCAAAGCAGGCAGATCACTTGAGCTCAGGAGTTAGAGACCAGCCTGGGCAAGATAGCAAGACCCCATCTCTACAAAAAAGAGAAAAGGAATAAAAAAATTTCTAAGAGAAAAGGTGGGGAAAACTGATACATTATACAAAATTTAGGCCAGGCACGGTGCATTACACCTGTAATCCCAGCACTTTGAGAGGCCAAGGCAGGATGATCGCTTGAGGCCAGAAGTTTGAGACCAGAATGGTTAACATGGTGAGTCCCCATCTTCACAAAAAAGTAAAAAAATAGACAGACGTGGTGGCAGATGTCTGTAGTCTCATTTAGGAAGCTGAGGCGGGAAGACTGCTTGAGCCAAGAGTTCAAGGTTGTAGTGGGCTATGATCATGGCACTGCACTCCAGCCTGGGTGACAGAGAGAGAACCTGTCTCAAAAAAAAAAAAAAAGAAGAAAGGAAGGAAGAAGGAAGGAAGGAAGGGAAGGGAAGGGAAGGAAGGAAAGAAAGAAAAAAGAAAATTTGAAAGCCAGAGAAAATATTTTTGACAAGCTGGGACAATTCTTTATATTATCTTATTCTTTCTAAGATACAAATGCATCCATTTGTTTTTACAAAATTAAGAATATAAAGTGTCATACAGTCATCTAAAATTTTCACTTAGTAATAGGGCATGTTTCTTTTCCCCATATCCTTAAGAGTCCCCTAGAACATCATTTTCCATGGCTAAATTATGGCCCATCTTAGGCTGAACTATAGTTTATTTAAATTATGCAATTCCAGAAGTTTTCAACTAATCATTAATTAATATTAATGGGTTAATCATCAATTTATTGGTTTTAAGAATTTCTAGCCAGTGGGTCACGCCTATAATCCCAGCACTTTGGGAGGCCAAGGCAGGAGGATTGCTTCAGCCTAGAAGTTCCAGACCAGCCTGGGCAACAATGTGAGACCCCATCTCAAACACAACAAAAAAATGTTTTTTGTTAATTAGCCAGGTATAGTGGCACATGTCTGTAGTCTCAGCTACTCAGGAGGATGAAGTGGGAAGATGGCTTGAGCTTGAGAGTGAAGCTATACTAAGCCGTGATTGTGCCACTGCACCACTGCACTCCAGCCTGGGTGACAGAGCAAGACCGTCTCAAAAAAAAAAAAAAAAAAGAATTTCTGGAATTGTATCAGTTAATCAATCAATATGTACAAGACATTGCTGATTGCTGCAATGAAAATAAAGAAACATCAGTTTATTATTTACTTGCTATATTTGCTATGTTTAAGAGAGCAAATCTTTCATGTTATAAGAAATTGATTTCTTTACAGCAGGGAGATAAATTTTCAGGGAAAATAAAATAAAATAGGGGATAATAACATACCCAGAAAGGTTTCTAATTCCTCTGGAGACAGGATCCCACAGAATAATTTCTTTTTTCTTTTTTTGAAGTTAATTCTGAGAATACGGATCATACACTATACATACATGATTAATGTAAACATAAAAGGTAAATAAAGTCTCATAAAAAGTTTTAAATTGTTTTACATTTTTTTACTTCTCTAGGTCTCTGGTAAAGTCCAATAGTAAATAATTGACAGCAATCTACTCTCAATGTGCACACAGAGCATTCAACTATAAACTCTTTAAAAGTTGCATTTATTGCTCCGTAAAAATGGGACAAAAGGAAGAGAAAAATTTCACCAGTATTAGTACCTACATGCACATCCGGAGTCAGCTTAAACATTCATGGGTCTGAAGGATCTTTTCCCAGTTCAGGAACACATCCATTATTTCATAAACTCCAGGAGGCAAATGATCTAAAATAAATCTTTTTGCAATCTATAAATATAATTTTAAGTATTGACAAGCTCCAGAGACTTTGGTTGAATTTGCCTCAAAGATAAATGTATTATTCTTTTCCTGTGAAAAATCAATCAGAAATCTTGGGAGATTTAAATTTTGATTTCTTAATTACCCACTGACTCCGATATTAAATATTTGGCATCTAAATTGCTGGAAAGCAGGCCGGGCAGGATGGCTCATGCCTGTAATCCCAGCACTATGGGAGGCCAAGGCAGGTGGATCACCTGAGGTCAGGAGTTTGAGACCAGCCTGGCCAACATGGTGAAACCCTCTCTCTACTAAAAATACAAGAAATTAGCCAGGCATGGTGGCAGGCACTTGTAATCCCAGCTACTTGGGAGGCTGAGGCACAAAAATTGTTTGAACCCAGGAAGCGGAGGTTGCAGTGAGCCGAGATGGTGCCACTACACTCCAGCCCAGGTGACAGAGTAAGACACTGTGTCAAAAAAAAAAAAAGAAAAAGAAATTCAGAAATTGCTGGAAAGCTGAAGTGAGCTCAAAAACATTTCCTTTAATTCAAGCAACAAAGAAAGATTTACTTTCCTGGAGATCTGGGCTGTAACGGTGTGTATTCCAGTTTACATTGTCATTGTTGGATAGAAGTGCAATGAAGCAATCTTTAGCAAATCCTGCCACAAACAACACATCAGGAACATTCTAACTGTTTATCCCATAAACCCTTAGAGACACTGGAGTTGTTCAAGAAGTTTAAAAAAAAAAAAACTTCAAAAAATGTTTATTTTCAGTATATGGAAGCTACAAATAACAATCACATTCCTTTTGCTCATTCTTGCCCAAAGTTCTCCCAATTTTCACCCTGTAATTTAACCTTGCTTTCCATCCTGAAAGCTTAAAAGTTGACTTTTAAACACCTTAATGTAAAATTAAGTTGTTTATTTAGTTATAGCTATATGCAGTTCTATAGAGCTCCAAGCATATCCTTGGAAAACAATTTAAAGTTAAAAGTAAAGAGATCATTGATACAGTAACAAAAACTGCCATTCTATTTAGTAAAATAAAAATAAAAGCAGTGCAATGGCATAAATGACAGTGATGAATTCTGTTGTTGTCTTTGACAAGGGTATTAAGGATAGCCACCTTTGACTGGAGATTATTCTTATTTTCTTTCCCTTCCTATCCTGTAACTAAGTATTTATGTCAAGGCTGGTGGTTTTATAAGACACTAGATAGATGGACTGACTCTGTGGCCATGTCTTTGCATAGCACCTATTAAAGCTATTTGTAATTTTAGGCTTACTAAATATTTATAGATGATGACTGAAGAAGGCGATACATGTTTGACCATTGTCCCCCATAATGCACATTTGATCATTATCTGTTTTAGTTTTGAAAACAGAAATTCTGATTTAGGTCAGGCGCAGTGGCTCACACCTGTAATCCCAACACTTTGGGAGGCCGTGGCAGGTGGTTCTCTTGAGTCCAGGAGTTTGAGACCAGCCTGGGCATAATGGTGAAACCCCGTCTCTACAAAAAATATAGGCGCCCATGGCTCCACCTACTGGGGATTGTGGCGGGGGCGGGGGTGCTGAGGTGGGGGGGGGGTCACTTGAGTCTGGAAGGTGGAGGTTGCAGTGAGCCAAGACTGCACCACTGCACTCCAGCCTGGGTGACAGAGGGAGACCCTGTCTCAAAAAAAAAAAAAAAGAAAAGAAAAAAGAAAGGGAGATGAAAGAAAGGAAAAAAGAAGAAGAAGAAGGAGAAGGAGAAGGAGGAGGGAAAGGAGAGGAGAGGAGGAAATTCTGATTTATGTTCATGGTGAAATTTTTTTACTTCTAAACTAACATCTTGTTTGGAACGTAAAAGGGTGGTTATGGCCAGGCGCGGTGGCTCACGCCTGTACTCCCAGCACTTTGGGGGGGCTGAAGCGGGCAGATCACCTGAGGTCAGGAGTTCAAGACCAGCCTGGCCAACACAGTGAAACCCCATCTCTACTAAAAATACAAAATTAGCCGGGCATGGTGGCACGTGCCTGTAGTCCCAGCTACTCAGGAGACTGAGGCAGGAGAATCACTTGAACCCAGGAGGTGGAGGTTGCAGTGAGCCAAGATTGCGCCACTGGAGGGAGGGAGGTGGGGAGAGAGGGAAGAAGGAAGGAGGGAAGGAAGGAAGGAAGGAAGGAGGGAGGGAGGGAGGGAGAGAGGGAAGGAAGGAAGGAAGGAAGGAAGGAAGGAAGGAAGGAAGGAAGGAAGGAAGGAAGGGCAGCAGAGTGAATCTTTGTCACACACACACAAAAATCATCATTATACTGATTTTTTCAGGAATAGTACTAAAGTTTGGACAACCTTAACAGAGCTGAACATCTTTGCATTTTAGAACTATGTGATTCTCTAGAGGGTAAAGGGATACAATATGGTTGATTGGCAAAATAATTCAATCTCTGCTTCTCTCTTATTGACAGACAATATAACCAACTTTAACCCTCAAGGAACTCAATCCCAATCCCACAGAATTTGAAGCCCTGCTCAATGGTTAAACAGCATCTGCATTTTCTCAGAATGCTTGCTGAAAGAAGCTCAAATCCTGTTTTACTGGTCAATATCTCCTTCACACTTCCTTTGCAAACTTAATCATCTTTACCTTCTCTGCTGGTAACCCAGTGTTCCTCTGTGTGCCCCTAGGGCCAGTTACTTTTGTGTTCTCCAGTCCACAAAACTTATCCAGGCATGGAGTAGTCTTTGAAATCAAAGGCACGCCATGCTCAGACCTGCTGTAAACACTGCATGAGTTTCTGATCCTAACTTTTGATCTGCCATTTGTTCTCCAGTCCCTTCTCTCCCGGGATCCTGGCCCAGATGGCACATTTTGTTGGTGGTATGCCCTGCTCCTGTCACAGAACAACAAAAGTTTTAATTTCTAAATATGGGAGCAATGTTTCAGAACTGATGGTATTTCTCTAAGTAAGGTAATACATTTCTCAACGTATTTCCAAGATATGGATATCTGGTACTATCACTTTGACCATTCTTCAAGATTATGTATATTGATTAAACTATAAAAATTTTAGCAATTGACCGGGTGCGGTGGCTCACGCCTGTAATCCCAGCACTTTGGGAGGCCGAGACGGGTGGATCACGAGGTCAGGAGTTCAAGACCAACCTGGCCAACATGGTGAAACCGAGTCTCTACTAAAAATACAAAAATTAGCTGGGCATGGTGGTGCATGCCTGTAATCCCAGCTACGCAGGAGGCTGAGGCAGGAGAATTGCTTGAACCGGGACCCAGGAGGCGGAGGTAGCAGTGAGTGAGATCATGCCACTGCACTCCAGCCTGGGCTACAGAGTGAGACTATTTCTCAAACAAAAAAAAAATTTAGCAATGATTCATTCATGTTTTAAATGCTCCATGCGACAGGGCGTGGTGGTTCATGCCTGTAATCCCAGCACTTTGGGAGGCTGAGGTGGGCGGATCACGAGGTCAGGAGTTCGAGACTAGCCTGGACAACTTGGTGAAACCCAGTCTCTAGTAAAAATACAAAAATTAGCCAGGCATGGAGGCGCACGCCTGTAGTCCTAGCTACTCAGGAGGCTGAGGCAGAAGAATCGCTTGAACCCGGGAGGCAGAGGTTGCACTGAGCCAAGATCGTGCCACTGCACTCCAGCCTGGGTGACAGAGTAAGACTCAGTCTCAAAGAAAAAAAAAAAAGACGCCATTCACTTACAAAAACACAACGCTCATTATCTGTAGAATATTTTATATAGTTTAGGCAAGATACTTTTACATGTACCACAAAGGGAATACAAAAAAGTTAACAAATGGGATATATTTGCATTAGTATCTTACAGAAGTGAGGAGGTGAAATCTTTTTTCTTAGGAAGTTACTTGGCAAAGAACCCAAATAGATTAGAAATTTGAATAATGAGACTCAAATAGCAGCCAATTTTCATTTAGGTGCCCCCATGCAATCTCCTTACATGGACTCTATGCTGTACCAGAGAGATGGAGAAAGAGAGATGAGGATCTAAACAAGTCACATGTGAAATTTATTGAGGAGGATGCCTGATTTAAAAAAAAAAAAAAAGTAATTTAGCAGCCTAGTAGAAAAATGCTGTGAACCTACATGATAAACAACACAATATATAACATTTCCAATTAAAATTCTAAAACAAAAAATGCATATAATCTGCTATTGTAAGAGGCTGTGAAGGCACCAGAAGGAATACAAACATGAGTCTCTTTATTTAAAGAGATAAGACAATTCCTCTGTCTTACCTTATTCCTCTGCCTAGGAATTCAGTAACTTCCTCTACAAGGTTTGAGGCCCCCCTGATTAGGACCCCAGGGGTCCTTTTTTTTGAGATAGAGTCTCTCTCTTGTCGCCTAGGCTGGAGTGCAGTGGTGCAATCTCGGCTCACTGTGACCTCTGCCTCCCGGGTTAAAGCCATTCTTCTGCCTCAGCCTCCAGAGTAGCTGGGACTACAGGCGTGAGCCATCACGCCCAGCTAGTTTTTGGATTTTTAGTAGTGGCAGGGTTTCACCATGTTGGCCAGGCTGGTCTCAAACTCCTGATCTCAGGTGATCTGCCCGCCTTGGCCTCCCAAAGTGCTAGGATTACAGGCGTGAGCCACCGTGCCCAGCCGCTATTTTACTTTTTTTTTTTTTAGACGGAGTCTCGCTCTGTCACCAGGCTGGAGTGCAGTGACACGATCTCAGCTCACTGCAACCTGCAACTACCTGGTTCAAGCGATTCTCCTGCCTCAGCCTCCTGAGTAGCTGGGATTACAGGCATACACCACCATACCCAGCTAATTTTTGTATTTTTAGTAAAGACGGCGTTTCACCATGTTGGCCAGGATGGTCTCAATCTCCTGACCTCGTGATCCACCCACCTCGGCCTCCCAAAGTACTGGGATCACAGGAGTGAGCCACTGCGCCCGGCTGATTTTACTTTTTTTAAATTTTTGCACATGCTGTTCCATGGCTTGTCCACCCAGTTATGTATTTCTCATCCTTCAAAACCTGACTCAATGATCTCTTCTTCTGTAAGAGAATTTTCAGGAGTTATCTTCCATTGGCACTGCAAATGAGACTTCAGCAAGCCATGCACTCTTATGCCAACAATGATTCTCCATTTGAAATGCAGTTTCTGGCTTGTTTCCAAGTCCTGGTAGGTAGGGACTGAATGCCAGACATGAGGCATCAAGTAACCTGAGCTGCTTATCATGAACTGGGTTTTGATCATAAAAGGTGGTCATTACCTTGATATTTTCAGGAATAATACTAAAGTATTAAAAGATGCTAGCCTACAGGTTGCAGTATAATGTATTAAAAGTATAAAGTATCTGATCCACCAACTCACAATATTGTGCACTGTAAGTTATGAACAGCATAATAGAGAGGCGCCAGAGCATGCTGGGAAGGCACAAGCAGGAAGCTCGAATTTTCACAGTGCCTGCTCCAGTGTTTTGCTCTCTCTCCCTCAATCTACGTGTGCTGTCCTAGGGAGCTCCCTGTGGCCAGCTAAGGGAGGAGGAAAATGCCTGGGTTTGGTAACAGATGGATCTGCATGGTATGTCTTCCAGGCCATCCCTGAAAGATAGTGGTTAATGTAAATCCTCCCCCAGGCAGAACTTTGGGAGGTACATCTGGTTGTCCACCTCATGAGAAAGGCAAAATGGTTGATCTACACTAACTCATGGGCAGAGACTAACAGTGTTGGCTGGATGGTCATGGACTTGATGAGAACAAAATTGGAAAATTGATGACAAGAGTGAGTGGGGAAGAGATTTGTGGATGAATTCTTCGAATGGACCAGGTATAAAAATATTCATTAGAAAGATGGCTTTTGGGGAGGCTCTCCACAATCAGGTGGGTAAAATGACCGATTCTGTCTCCTTAGCCTCTTTCCTCAGCCTCCCCAGTGTTTGCTCCATGGGCCATGTAAAAGGGGGCCATGGTAGCGGGGATGAAGGATGCACCTAGCTACCACACCTGCTGAGTGCCCAACCTGCCAACAGTAGAGGCCAACACTGAACCCCTGACATGACACAATTTCTCAGGGGCCCAGGTACCTGGAGGCAGATAAGTTACAGTGGACTTCTTCCATGATAGAAAGTGTGTCAATTTGTCCTCACATATTTGATTTATTTTCTGGGGGACAGACTTGTCTCCTCTGCCTGAAGTGCTTTCCTTAATTGGAGTTGCAGAAAGCTTTACTTTTGCCATTGGTGTCCTACACAAGTTCTCCATCCAGGGGAAAATTTTTTTTTTCTTTTTTGAGGCAGAGTCTCGTTCTGTTGCCAGGCTGGAGTGCAATGGTGCGATCTCGGCTCACTGCAACCTCCGCCCCCCGGATTCAAGCAATTCTCCTGCCTCAGCCTCCCTAGTAGCTGGGACTACAGGCGTGTGCCACCACGCCCAGCTGATTTTTGTATTTTTAGTAGAGACAGGGTTTCACCATGTTGGCCAGGATGGTCTTGATCTCTTGACCTTGTGATCTGCCCATCTCGGCCTCCCAAAGTGCTGGGATTACAGGCATGAGCCACCATGCCCAGCCTCAGGGGAAATATTTTAAGTCAAAAGAAGAATGGCAATGAGCTTGTATCCATGTCATTCATTGATCTTCTCCTAGCTTGATGTAAAGCTAGAATGGCCTCCTGAAATATCAGCTGCTGTACCAGTTGGGGGATTGCACACTGGAGATTAGGGTGCTATCCTACAGGGTGCAGTACATGTCTTAAGCCAGTTTCCACTATGTGGTCCTGTCTCCCCCAGAGCTAGAATGCATGGGTCCAGAAACCAGAGCAAGAAGGTAGAAGTACTCCCTCTCACTATTATATCTAGTGAATTTTCTCATCTTGTTCCCACAATTCAAAGAAATGTTGTTTACTCTCAACGTGACTTTGAGCTCAGTGGGTTTAGAGGTCTTCATGCCCAAAGGAAGCATGCTTCTACCAGGAAACACAGTCACTATTCTGATGAATCCTGAGGCTGCCCTCTTGCCTTTTTGAAGTTCTCATGGCTATGAATTAACAGACAGAGGAAAAAGGTCATTCTACTGGCCAGGGTGATTGATCTGAATTACCAGGAGGAAACTAGATTGCTGCTGCATAATGGAAGCATGAAGGACTATGTTTGAAACACAGGAATTCACTAGGGCACCTCTTAGTAGATGTGCACAGTAACTCATGGTCAATGGAAAACTACAGCAACACAAAATGGAATCCAAGGACTCAGATCCCATAGGAATGAAGGTTTGGGTCACCTCACCAGGTAAAGCACTCTTAACTCAGCTGCTATAACAGAATACTATAAACTGGGTGTCTTATAAACAATGGACATTTATTTCTCATAGTTTTGGAGGCTGGAAGTCTGAGATCAGGTGAGGACCCTCTTTCAGATAGACTTCCAATTTCTCATTGTATCGTCAGGTGGCAGAAAGCAGGGAGCTGAAGTAAGCTCTCTCATTGCTCATAAAGGCACTAATCCCACTGAGGAAGGTCCACCCTCATGACTCATCTAATTTTAATAATTTCCCAAAGATCCCACTGAATACCATAGCATTTGGGGTAGAGTTTCAACATGTGAATTTGAGGGGGGACACAAACATTCAGTCCATAGCACCAGACAGGATGTGAACACAGAACGAGGGAAACAGCGGCAGGACAAAGACAACTATCATTACCAGTTAAGCCCTGTGACGAGCTGTCGAGGTAGACAAGGTAGCAGCTATATTTTATATTAATAAGTTGTCCCTCACACCCGCATTACTTTATATGAAGGACACTGGTGATTGTTGACATTTTAGTTTTCAGCTGGGAGTATGACCAGATTGATGATATCAATGTCAGTGATGTGGAAACTGATGGGATTTTGTATGTTTCCTGTATTGGAACACAACCTTTTAGCTATGTAAAGGACAGAAGTGGATAGAGAGAGGCAAGAGGAATGGACCATGCTGGATATCTTCTGTTTTCTCCTCTAGACCCACTCTCCACCCTCCTCTACCCTCCTTAACATCTGTTCTCTGCACCCCAAAGGCTGAACTCTAAAGAATATATCAATCAGCATCCTAGTCTCCTGACTTCTGCTCAGGTTCAGCCAATGAAGAACACCATTAAATAATGAGGAGATGAGAGGACAGTAGAGTGAGAATGGGGTGTTTATTCCCTCCACCCACCTCTCTCATTGCAGAGTCCCCCCAGTCCCTGCTGTAACCCTCCTCCTAAGTTTAGCTCTGGCCAGGGACCCTCTCCAGCCAGCACTCTCTCTCTCTGGGTTCCAGTAACTGCTTCCCCCACTCCACCATTTTAACCATGCCTTGCTAGCCCCTAGATCCTACACTATCCCTTGTAAGTTCCCTACACCCTGTCCTGTGAATAATCCCCTTTATTACATTCTCTTTAACTTATCCTATGACTGTGCCATCTGTTTGCTGCTGGGATACTGATTGACAGTATCCTTCACCCTGACTAAAACATGAGTTCCTTGAGGGCAGAGTCCAGGTCTTATTTATAAATCATTGGATTCTCCAGAGCTTAATGAATACCTGGTATGTAATGAGTGCTCATTAAACATTCAAGTGAATAAATTAGTAAGTGATAAAATACAAATATCTGTGAGACAGGACAAACTATAAGTAGCATAAGAACAGGTCACCACACACAAGGAAAAACAAGCAGGGCTGAAATCCAGTCTGCACAGAGCTGGCACAGAGCTACCTTAACCCAGACCCAGAGCAAGGGGTACTTTTTTGTAATTGGTCCAATCAGCAGGGTTCCTTTTTGTAATATGCACAAAGAAATGGTATATTCTAGCAGACGGCCTTGCATAACAAAAAGATATGACCTAAGTACTTTAGGCAGCAAAATTTAAAAGAGAAAGTCCATATTAGCTTGGAGATGTTAAAGAAAGACTTCAGCTAGTAGAGGTCTTCTGATTACATTTATCATGAGATAAATGCATTGCTATTCAGTTGTTTACTTACATCATCTTTACCGTTTTTTAATTTTCTGTAAGGATGTAGCAGGGTATTTTTAGCCAAGCCTACATAACCTCAGACGGATCACAATAGGATTATTTTCAACCCTGGTCCAATTCATTGAGGACTAACTTAGTCTACACAAGCAGTAATGGGAGATGCTTTCAAATTCTTAATACATGACTCAGCTGTGTAAATAAGTGGTGGCAAATGAAGCCGACCAAATTTTTCAGGTGTTCTGATTTGGTCACCTGAAGTGTACAAGGACTCATACAAAGCTTGAGCCCTTTCTATTTAAAAAAAAAAAAAAAAAGTACAAGACCAATAAATAATTGGTTTAGGTTGCTAAACCGAGATCTAAATACTCTGAGATAAACAATTAAATACATAAATAGCAATGCCATGTATGCTTTAATCCCATCTTAAACCTTAAAAAACAGTGCAGAAAAATAATGCCAAAAGCTTAAGTAAAAATTGCTGTCAATAAGACAAATCAAGGATTAACTCCACTAAAATACTTTCCTTTATTTGGGAAATCCAGTTTCATTTCAATTACTTATAGGAAATGCTGAATCTGATTTTTTTTCAACGGTAATTTAAAACAAAATCTTTGTGATAGACTAAAATGCTCTGGTATTAGCATTTGTGAGACTCTCGGATACTTAGTAAAAATTACAGGGTTTGAGGTTTAGTGAAAGGAGAATTAGTGAGCCTTCACATTCATAAAGAAGAGTTTATTTTAAGATTTCCATAGCAAAAGTGGATTACTCAATAGAGAACTCACACACTTTAATGATTGTATCTGACCAGGCCTTTCAGCAACAAATAAGGCAGCTTTTCTTACTGTGCTTGTCTGGGTTAATTTAAACCACACCTGTTAAGAAGAGTGCCTAGAGAATTTCTGCAAGTTTTGACCCGCATCTCCTCATTTAGAGCTAATTAGAGTGTTTCTATATCATATTTATGTCTGGGGTTCCAGAACCCTCTAATGGGGAGCAAAGCACATTTGCCATCTTATGGGTCACTCCCTGGAGAAAATGTCTCCTATTACCTTCTCTCTGATACTCAACCTTTTTTTTTTTCCCTTGCATAATGGAAAGAACATTGTTTTGAGTCAGGCTGTTTTGGATTCAGATTCCAATATTTCCATTTTTTTAAGCTGTGCAAACTCTAAGATCCTGTTTCCCCATTTATAAAATGGGCTAATAATAACTTTTATGGGACTGTTATCAGGTATATCAAAAATGCATATAAAGTGTCTATTTTAGTACCAGGCATTTAGTAAGTAGTAGTAACAATAAAAATAGTAGTCATCAATATCCTTGCCATTATTATTATAATTACTCCTATCCGGACTTCTAAGATACCAATTTGATTTCAAGAACCTGCAGTGGTTAGGAAGTTAAATTATTCAAAGTTATTCAGGAAGGCAGGGTGAATCACTAGTGAGTCAGTAGTATTTTATTCAATGATATGTAGACTAGTGATGGTAAGAGAGGCTTTTTGAAGCCATTTTACTATATAAAACATATGTATAATTAAACAGGATTCTTTCCCAACTGCAGTCAGAGAACTGCTACAGATCAGAATTTAAATAAGATCTGTGAAACCTAAATAACCCTCAGAGCACTGCAGAAATGAGGTTTTCATTTGTTAATGTTGATCCAAGTCTTAACATACTCTGTGAGCAATGGACAGCTTTCAATATTGCCTAAAAAATAAAATCTCCAGAAAATGATTTTTGCCACTTTGGTTGCTGTCATTGTTGCCATTATTCATTTAAATATCAATTATATCTTTTCTGTCACATAAACAAAATGTCCAAATCACTTGAAACAGCTATATCCACGCACATCTTGGGTAAACATTGCAATAACAGATGGTTTAAGGGGCCTATCCTATAGAACCATAAATCCCAACATTCCGGCCATATTATAATATCCGTGTTGGAATGAAGTCACATGAAGAATTAGAAAAGCTTTCACACAGTGATTAATACATTGTATTTTCTAACATTTCCTACCTTTCTTCTTCCCATGACTTTCTGAAACTGTTATCTAACAGCAAATAATTTGCCCCATTCTTTCAAGATGTCAGATGCCATGTTTTTTTATTTGAATGATTTGATCTAAGAAAAGTGGCTTGGAAAAGCATTAGTAATGTCAGGTTTTATAACAAACCATGTGGGTGGAAGGTTTTGTTGGGTTGGATTTTTTTTTTTTTTTTTTTGGCTGACAGCAAACAAGTCTATCTGAAAACATACTAAGCTCCAGCAGGTGCCCAGAGCTAATTTGGTTTGGAACTATTTTTAAAAACCACCAGCTAAGTTTTATAACAAGTCATACCAAATGGCTATATTGTTTTTTGTTTTCCTGCAATCCAGGGGCCAGTTTTTCAAACATGACTCTAAACCTGAGGCCGCAAATTATTCCTGTACTAAGCAGATCTAAAATGCCCAGATTTTAGATCCTTAAGCCTTCTCATCGATCCCTAGAAACAAAACATTTAGAGCTTTGCACTTAAGTTTCTACCGAACACATTCCTTCATGAGTTCTCTGCATTTCCTATCAGTAGTTTTCATTTAAATCTAGTGAGTTTGAGCTCTTGCCGGCAAAGATGATGTGAAATGCTTCCCAGCAGCCAGATGCAGCTGGATTTGTGGATTCAGCTGCCTGCTGATGGCATGTGTTTTGGCTTCAGGCTATCACAATGGATGTTTACTGTCCCTATGGAATCTCATGGCAGTCCTGTCAATTGGCATTCTTCTCCTAACGCTTCTGGATTAAACACCCACTTAGGTGTGGTGTCTGCAAAACCTTCAGCTTTGAATCTCTCTGAGACATCCATTTAGCCTGGACTTTCCTTTCTCAAATACAGAAGTGTTGTTTGGATTAAGATATAAGTATTGAATTTTCGAATCTGCTTTTTTGTTTTATCTCTACATACAGGTAGAGAAATCACTAATGTACTGCCTAGAGTCAAAGTATATATTTGTTTTAGGCCGGATGCGGTGGCTCACACCTGTAATTCCAGCACTTTGGCAGGCCACAGTAGATGGATCGTTTGAGCTCAGGAGTTCGAGATCAGCCTGGGCTACACAGCGAAACCCCATCACTACAAAAATACAAAAAAAAAAAAAAGAATTAGCCGTGTGTTGGTGGCCTGTAGTCCTAGCTACTTGGGAGGCAGAGACTGCAGTGAGCTGAGATCACACAACTGCACTCTAGCCTGGGTGACAGAGTAAGACCCCCATCTCAAAAAAAAAGAATATATATATGTATATAAATTATATACACAAATATATATGATTTGTTCTTCTATTGAGACAGCAGATGTCATACCAAGAACAAGAGTTTTGGAATCAGCCTGACCTGGATTTGAATTCCAGCCAGGTCAGTTGGCAGCGTGTAATCTTGGGTAAGTTACTTAACCTCTCTGAGAAAAAGGAGGATGATAATACCCACTTCACAGGATTCTTGTGAAAAGTGAATGTGATTATATATGAAACATGAAGTCAGGTTCATAACAAACCTCAATAAATTCTAGTTTCTTTCTGATTGCCTTTAACAACGAATCACCCCAAATCTACTTTGTGTTCTTTGTACCATAGGGAGCTCGTCAGTTGATGACACACCAAATACATCCTTCCATCCGACTCTCATAGCAGCCCTGTAACTTCATAGCGGCAGTGATTCTTAACCCCCTTTTTCAAATGAGGAAACTGAGGTGCAAACAGGTGAAGTAACTTTTCCAAAGCCAAACAAAAAATAAGTAGAGAGTCCAGAGTAGAGCCTGGATGATTGAATCCTAAGTCTAGTTCTTTCTCTCCAATTTTATCATTTGCCATTTGACTTTGTTCAATGCCACGCTGAATTATTTAAGTGAAAACCTTCTCTAGGTAGTCTCCGTTCTTGGCAGCCTTACTAAACAAGATTCTGAGCATACAATGGGGGGAATCATAAGACATCAGAGCCACATCCACTCTGGCCCAGTGTCTGGTCCTCACAGTGCAGCCAAGAATCACACTGTGGGTGGACACGGTTGCCTTCCGTGCTATTAACTTCAAAAGGCCAGGGTATTAGGGCCAGAGAGCGCCATGAAGGGGAAGTGGTGGCCTAAAGCCAAGGTCAAGAAGTGATGAGTTCAATTTTGACATTTTGAGGTTGAAGAAACAATAGGATGGCTCACTTGTTCTCTTGCCCACTCCGCCCTCATTCAAAGGGTTTGCTCCGGAACATGCAGCCCTCTCAGCTTCCCTGGGAGGCACAGAGTGGATGTACTTTCAGGCTTGTACCCCAGACTCCTGAAACTTAATTCCCATCTATGTGGTCTCAAAAAAGCTGCTTTGTGCTGTTGTAAATGCTTGTGGGGTTTTTTTCTTTAACTCATCCTTGGAGTTTTCTTGTTTCACTTGATTCTCACAATCATACTGAGCTGTAGACAAAACTGGGGTTTTTATAAGGAGTCTGAGGTTCAGACATGCTAACTGCTAGGAGGTAACAACAGAAATGGGGACCCAGGCCATCTACTTCCTCACCCTGAATTCTTTGTCCCACCTGGCGGCCTCCTGTGGTAGCCATGGGAACTCAGTCACTCTCCTTGTGGCCTCCTGCTATGAGGCATAAAGTGAATTTGGTAAACATTCACTGCATGGATGGTACAACAAAGGCATAATGAGGAGCTGCATGTTCCAGTTTTCTACTTGTTCTGCCTCTCCTTTATTGTGAATGAAACTCCCAGGAAGTTCAGCTGAAATAATCAACTCATTTTTGTCCTGTTGTGCCAGTTTTCATGTTGCCACAAACCAAAGCAGTAACTGATCCAGGTCAAAGCATCCAGAATACTCCTGAGAAAGATTCTAGATGGGAGAAGGCCTCATGAAACAGTCTGAAAGAACAAAGAGAAAGCCACAAAATTAATGTAGCCCATCTGTGCTTGGTAGGCACTCCCAGTTTCCAGTATCTCTGCTGCTGACCTATGAGAATTTGTAAATGTGATTTTAAAGCATGACTGTAATGAAATCATTTGCTCAGTTCAGTTAGAAGTCAGATTCATCATGCCTAAAAAGTTGGAACATGAAAGCATTAAAGAAAGCAAAATTATGGGAGGCCTGAGGAAGCAAAACAGAGAGAAAAATGGAGAACCAGAGGGGAAATTGACTCCAGGAATACTCCAATGATGACAAACAAAAATACCACATGTTTTAGTTATTAATAATATGTCTGTCCAAACTCAGTCAACAGAAACCTCTCAGCTCAAATACAATTATCCTTCCTTAAAATTCCTTTGACTTGTTCACATTATTATTGTTTAAAACAGATTTAAATCAAGTAGGCCAGGCTCTTCTTGGTCAAAACATTCTTAATGACTTAGAAGATCAAGTAATAGGCTGATTCTCCACAATTGCATTGCTGGTCACTCAAGCACTTGTTTATAATACTTCTTATTTCAATGTGGCAAGATAGCCTTTCAAAACCAGACTTTCCTGTTATCTGATCACATTTCTGCTCCAGATTTTGATCTAAATTCAGGGACACCAAGGAGCAAAACCTTTGATGGAACGTTAAAGACATCTCCAAATGTTGGGGGAGAAGTATATGGAAGAATTAGAGCCTTGGTTTGAGTCCTTGAAAATGTCCCTTGTCTTCCTAGTCTTAACTGAAGGAGATATTAATCTTCGTATTCATCCCCATGAAGGGGTAAATATGGTGGATCAGGCCATTTGCCACTGTTCTCTTAAACCTCAAATCAACATATTATGCATCCGTGGAAATTAAAAAGTCTCTCATGCCCAAGACCTACAAGACGCAATAGAGAGGGCTAAAGCAAACAGGTGAAGGACTAGAATATTAGGAACACCAAGGAAAAACCAACATATGTGCTTTTTGTGTTCTTGTTGTTGTTGGCAAAGGGGAGGGGCACCAGTGGTCAGGAATCTGAGCTTATGAGAGAGCTCAGAATATTGCTTCTCAACCAGTATTACCACCTCCAGAGGACATTTTGGACATTTGTGGGAGTTATTTTATTGTCTGGATGATTAGAGTATGCAAAAGACTTCTAGTGGGTTCAAACCAGAGGTATCAGATATCCTGAAATGAGCAGATTGGTGCCACACTCCAAAGAATTATCCACATCCCATACAATTTGTCAAATGTCCCGCCCAGCATCCATGTAGATAAAAAAACTATAGTTATCTAAATTTTATAGACATCTTAGATTTAAACTCAAATAATTTTTGCACTATTTTAATGTATACCAAATTCGGTGGGATTGTGAATATGGGGTAATTGAAGGAATATTTTGCACACTTTGTTTCAAATTTTACCAAAAGTTGTTCATTGGTTTCAAAAATCACATTACCAACACAATACCACTGGCTGATTCTGAGACATCAGCAGGCCACCTCTGCACATGTAGCTGTCCCCGCACCATGATTTCTCACATAGGGGCACACACCTGACTCCCAATGTATCCTCTTGTACAGAAGTGCCAAAGAATTTACATACTGAAATACACATTATTTTTATTATACATTATCAACCTTTTGTTTCTCCTTTATATTACAGTTGAAGTTATTTGTAGATAGATTATACCACCTATAAAATACATTCCAGAATAGTAAAGGAATGTTGCAGATTCTTTTTATAAAAATAGATTTTTGATTTTCTAACTTAATCATTCCTTCCACATTTATTTCTTGGCATGATGGAGTTGGGAAATTATCAGTGGATGCTAACAAGTACAGGAAAATTTGATGACAAATAGGATGTTTACATAATTGTAAAGCGTCTCCTCACAAATTTTTTACTATTTGCAAAGAGAAAAACAATTTTACAGTGGAGAAGGCTGGCAAACACCAACTCAATCAAATGATCAAGATTTAGAAAAATATTGTATATATTACATATAAGTATATTAATGTATGTGGAGAGAGTGAGAAAAGCAAAATAAATATGGAATTAAAGATTGAAAGACCTGACGTAGCGATTTTTAAATCATGATCTGACTATTATATGTGTAAGTCTTTTGGGAGTCCATGCTGTATAAATAACTTTTTTTTCTTATTGTTATTCTCTAAACCATGCAGTGTGACAACTACTTACATAGCATTTACATTGTATTAGATATTATAAGCAATCTAGAGACAATTTAAAGTATACAGGAGAATGTGAATAGATTATATGCAAATACTACACCATTTTTAGATCAAGGGACTTGAGCATTCGCAGGTTTTGGTATCCTCGGGGGCCCTGGAACCAGTCTCCCTTAGACATTCAGAGACGACTACACAGTAATATATGTTCACATCCACATTTGCTTTAAAAAACTAAGATTCTGATTCAATTTGTGCTGTTCTCTTTCTTCTTTCAATATATCACCACTTCCCATTGTTACTATCTTAGATATTTCCAAGAGTCTGTCTACATATATGAAATGGAAACTTCACAGTAATTATTTATACAGCAAGAACTCCCAAAGACTTACACATATCGCAGTTTTTTCTGAATATTTTCAATCTGCAATTGGTTCTATCCACAGATGCAGAACCCAAAGATATGGAGGGCCAACTGTGTATATCTTTTTTCTGGTTTGCAAAACTGTTCTTTTATAAATACAGGGAGAAATATGAACATAAGAGAATCTGATAGAATTTTTATACCAAACAAACAAAACAAAAATCAAATACCTCACTCTAGTTCTATTCCAATCCAACATTATGGATCCTCCCAACATTCACTGATGACAGCTTCTGCCTGCATTTCTGCAGGGCAGCCCATAGTGTTTTCTTCCTAAGAAGCCATGCAATGCAGCATGCTCTGTCCCCATCATCATATTCTCCCAAGTACACAATGTTAAGTAAATTATTCACCTACTGAAGAATTTTTTAGAAAAACAGGCAGAGAATAGACTTCAAAAATTTCAAAATCTTTATGAGGACCCCCAAACTTGCCCAGATTCTACAAAGATGAGCACAAGGTGGGGTGTCCCCTTTCCAAGACCATAAAGACCCACTGCGCAGCCCACAGCTTCCCATCTCCCAGCTAGGAGCGTTGGATCCGAAGGCAGCCGAGCATGCAGGAAAGGGTTTTCTCCTTCACCCGCAGTTGTCTTTTTCCTGGCAAACAAGTCAGGTGCCAGAAACTTGACCCAGACTGGCAGGGACAGAGATTAGAGGAAGCAGAAGAGGGAGAGGCACTAATGGAGAAAATAGAAGCAGTAGAAAAAGTGAAAAAGAGTGTCAAAAGGGTCCCGATTTGAAGCAATTTCAGAAAAGTTACTTATTTTCAAAGCATTTAAAGCCTCTCAAAGTTCAGAAAAGGCATAAGCCTGCCTGGAGGTGTATTGCCTCTGCAGGGTCGGTTCCTCGCCCAAGGGTAGAAAAACAGAAAAATCTCTCACTCAAGAATTGCAGAAGTATGCACTCTTGTGCGAGCACCGTTGACTGTTGTGTTTAATTCCTTCGTGCTGAACAGAAACCATTACCACCGGACCGGACCCCAGGGATGACTGGCCAGCATGCTTCCCAGCACATATGTCACTGTGTGCTTTCCTGACACTGGTTCTTTCTATTCATCTGTCACACAATCCTCTCCCCTTCACCAGAGCAATGGATGTAACTTCCCCTAGACAGTTAATTAACCCTTATTTTATCTTGCAGCTATCAGGAAAACACAAAGTCATTTGGGGTCATCTCTTCAAGGTTGAGAAGCCTGAGCCACCCACCTGCTCCTGCTTGTCAAAATGAAATCTGCCAAGTGCTGAGTTGCTCGAAAATGTCCCATTAAGTCATTTAAAGATATAGTTCTTCATGTATCTAGCACAGCATAACCTTAATTTGAGACATATTCCTTGTCACAATCACAGAACCTCTCCACAAAATGTTTTTCTTTACTAGAAAATAAAATGAGCTCCCATCTGAGAATGTTAGCATCCAGGTTTCTCATTTGTATTTCTTATTTCCTTAACAAATAGAGCACTCTTTCATGCATCCAACTATGTGATCTTGCTCACAGTAAGGGACATTTTAAAGTTAACCGATCACTCACATCTACAGTGCATTATAACTGGTTTTTAACCTCTTCTTCTTCAGCAAGTGACTGGGAATACCAGAATCAGCATTTTAACAGTTTCAGGTCTAGGAACTAGGCTGTCAATCTCTGCATCATATCATGGACACTTACATCACATCATGGACGTTTACTCTTCCATTGAGAGCTGCTGATTTGCCAGTATCTTCCCTGGGTATCTCCACCTCATCTATTTGACTTAAAAATTCACACTCCTGTCTGTCAAATATCTAGGGCATAATGTTATTCTACAACCTAATCCTTGAATAAATGCCATCATAAGTTATACCTTTATCATACTAGGATTGCTAAAATGTTTATGACATTCTTCAAAATGAACTTCAAAGAATCATCTGATGAAATGAGTTTGACATTATGTATAACATTCTTATTGTGTTTCTGGGAATTGTCCTGCACTTGTTCTGTCTGTTCCATCAGGTGAGCTCACTGTGATTAGTTTCTGCAAAGAAAGAAACATTGCTAGTTGCCTGCTTGCTATGGCATCTCAGCTTAGTGAAGGGGGACCCATGCTCCCACTGTGGGGCCACTGGATTCACAGTAGATAAGTGAGTCACAATTTCTTTTGGCCTCAGTTTCCTCAGGTAATATTGGGATCTTCATTATATGATCCCTAAACTCCCTTACAGGTCTAACTCCCACAGCTCTGTGACTATGACTGTGACCCCACAAGGCACTCTAGATAACTCTCAAACCAGCTCAGAAGCTTGGAGACTTTGTAGCTTCCAGAGCCCTCTCTTATAACTTACCTCATGCAAGTTTCCTAACATGCCCGTGGGGTAGGCAGCACTCACCATTTTGTTCTCATTTTGCTCATATTGATACTGAGCCCGAGAGTGGCTTACCTAAGGTATCACAGCCAATAATCAGAAAGACCTGGACTCCAACCCAATTGCAGAGGTTTAAATGCCCAGTCTTGTGCCCTTTCTACTACACAATAATGTTTCTCTCATAAAGTTTCAATAAACAATCACTAACACAATTGTATAGGAAATTCTCATTCCCCACTACATGCTCCTATGTAAATTAATCCAGAAGTAGATGTGCACATGTCACGGTTGCAGAATTTTTGTCCTGGGAAAAAGCTATTATTTCCCTTAGGAAATCTGACAGCGCAGCACTTCTGTTCATTTATTGAAGACATTTTTGAGGACTACAAACTTTGCAATATCCAAGGTTCTATGATGAGTACTTTGTTGGCTCAAAGATTCTCCCCTCCAGTGGTCACAGTCTTGGTGAACCAATGGGATGCAATTAAATAAGCTATAATAGAAGGTGGAAAGTCTCGGGAAGAGGCAAAATGTCCCCTGGGAACTTTCCCCTGGGAGGATCAGAGAAGGCCTATTAGCTTTCTATGGCTGCTTTAACAAGTTACGACAAACTTGGTGGCATAAAACAACAGGAATTTATTCTCTCACAGTTTTGGAGGCCAAAAGTCCAAAATTAGTGTCAACAGGGCCACACCCCTTCTGACGGCTCTAGAAGATAACTCTTGCCTGTTCCAGCTTCCAGCATTCCTTGGTTTGTGGCAGCATCAGTCCAATCTCTGCCACTGTCTTCACATGGCCATCTTTTCTGCATCTCTGGGTCATCTCCTCTTCTTATAAATATATGTTATTGGTCCTTAGGCCCTATTTCCAAATAAGGTCACATTCTAAGTTTCCGGGTCACCATGAATTTGGGAGAGAACTTAGGCAACCCACTTCAGAAGGCTTCCCAGAAGAGATGTCATTTGAACAGAGCCATGAAAACCAACTGATTCTTACAGCAGCAGTGGAGAGGAAAGCCATCCTAAGAAGACTCAGGAGAAAGATAAGGAAGTGGGCACCTCCTGGGCATATAGAAGGAGACAAGCACCTTGTGGGAACATAAGAAAAAAAAATTGGAAAGAGGATGCATTCAACTGCTTGGACACCCATAATAAAATACCACAGGCCAGGTGGCTTAAAATACAGACAGTTATTTTCTCACAGTTCTAAAGCCTGGAGTCCAAGATCAAAGTGGCATCAAGGTTGGTTTCTGGTGAGGCCTCTCTTGCTAACTTACAGACAATGCCTTTTCTCTGTATCCTCATGTAGCCTCGTCTCTGTTTATGCAGAGAGAAAGAGAGTGAGTTCTAGTACCTCTTCTTCTTATAACGATACCAGTTGTTATGGTTAGGCTGTGTCCCCGCCCAAATCTCATCTTGAATCGTAACTCCCACATTTCCCACGTGTCATGGGATGGGCCTGGTGGGAGGTGGTTGAATCATGGGGTGGGTCTTTCCTATGCTGTTCTCGTGATAGTGAATAAGTCTTGTGAGATCTGATGGTTTTATAAGGGGGAGTTTCCCTGCACAAGTTCTGTTATTCTCTCTTGTCTGCCACCATGTAAGACGTGCCGTTTGCCTTCTGCCATGATTGTGAGGCCTCCCCAGTCACATGAAATTGTGAGTCCGTTTTCTTTTTCTATAAACAGCCTTGGGTATGTCTTTATCAGCAGCATGAAAACAGACTAATACACCACTCCTATCAGATTAGGGCCTCATTCTCATGACCTCGTTTCACATTAATTCCCTTCTTAAAGGCTCTATCTCCAAATATCATATCAATTTAAGAATGACAAGTTTCATAAATTTAGAAAGAAGAGCTTTATTTCTCATGAAGAGTTTCAGCCTGCAGGGTGGCCATTCCCAGAGGCTGGGAAGTGTAGTCTCTGGTCAGAAGCCAAAAACAGATACTTCAAGGGAGGGGAAAAGGGAACAGAAACGTATGGTAAGTTGAGTGGTTAAGTGTACATATTCAACAGATTATAGGAGGAGTCATTAATATTTACAAAAGGAAAAACATGCACATGTGCAATTGAGCTTCATGCCTCTTCATGGGTCCTGTGTACAAAAAATGGCAGTGTTAGCATAATCCCAGGGTGGAGTTTTAGGCCCTCTGACATCAAAAGATGAAGCAGATGACAGGAAAACCTTTGCTGCACATTCTCCATAGACTGGCCAGAACCACTCCATGGTCAATTGTCTCTCATCAGGAAGAAATGCTGGTCTGTTGTTGCACCAAAACTGCAAAAGGGAGGGGCAGCATAAGGTGGTTGGTTGATATCAGCAGCAGAGTCTTTTGAGAGGGCTAGTTTCTGTTTAGCCTGTAGGGAAGAAGGCCTAATGGCTGTTAGTGAGGGAGCGGATATAACAAGATGTGTCCAACCTCCCATACCATCATGGCTGAGGACCGTTTTCAAGGTTATTCTGGGGTTGCCATGGCCAAGAGAAGGTCTGTTTACTCAGTTGAGGGGCTTAGAATTTTACTTGTATTTCCCAATAGTTATATCAGGAAGTAGGGCTTCAACACGTAAATTTGTGGAAAGAACACAGACAAAATTCAGTCCATAAAAGATTATTTAGAGCCAAATAAAAATGGGTCAAGAATACCAACCAGGCCAAGGAATTGGACCTGTATTCTGCCAGTCATAGAAACATGTTGAAAATCTTGATAGTGGTTATAAAAATGTTTTCAGGAGAGGCATCCTCCTTTTCATTTTCCTGTTCTATAAAGTAAGGACTATTTTCTAGGACCCCTTTCAGACTGTTAGGGTGTGATTACTGGCTACATTTTAGAAAATTAATCTCTTAGAATTGCTAACTCTGTCTGAATCATGGGCTATGAAGCAATTATGTCACCAAAAGTTAGATAATTTGTAAGGGTCATTGTTTTTTATTCTAAAAGGGCTAATAATAGACCAGCTGCTGTCAAGAGCAACAGAATTCTGCAAGTTCTTAGTATCATCAAATAAATACTAAGACAGAATAAGATGGTCTGGGTGTGGTGGCTCACACTTGTAATCCCAGCACTTTGGGAGGCCAAGGTGGGTGGATCACTTGAGGTCAGGAGCTTGAGATCAGCCTGGCCAACATGGCAGTCTCTACTAAAAATACAAAATATTAGCTGGGCGTGGTGGTGGGTGCCTGTAATCCCAACTTCTTAGGAGGCTGGCGCATGAGAATCGCTTGAGCCCAGGAGGCGGAGGTTGCACTGAGCCAAGATCATGCCACTGTACCCTAGCTTGGGTGACAGAGTAAGACTCTGTCTCCAAAAAGAATATAAAAAGACAGAATAAGATGAACCTGTGAGATTTTTTTTAATTCGGACAATTCTGGCATGATTAGCTTGCACCATAAGGGACATTTGTAAACATTTTTCTAAGGCCTTACTTTTTTATACAGTTTCCAAAAGAAATCCTGGGTCTTCTTTAACTCCCTGCTCAGTAAAGTGTGAATTGAGAGGCAGTATTGAATACCGAAGGGCTAGAGCTGGCAAGATACTTCTGAAATTACTCATTTCTGACTCTCACATCACAGACAAGTAAGCTGAAGCCCAGAGGTACACAGTAATTGGCCTGAGACAGTCCCCCAGCTATTTATTGGAAAAGCTTACCTGACACAAACAAGAAATAAGCCTTAGAGGTCTGACTGGTGAAAAACCATACCTGCTCTAAAATTTAACCAACATTATGTAGTACTTGTTGTGTTCCAGGCACTGCTTAAGTCAATTTCTCTGCTGGCCATAGAAAGTACCTAGGGATAGTGTCAAAAGGCAGCTTCTGATTCAGCAGGGCTGGTGCCAGGTCTGAGAGTCTGCATTTCTACTATAACAAGCCCCTAGGTATTGTTGATGATGCTGGTCTGAAGACCACACTTTGAGTAACTGGGGTCCAAGTACATTGTTTATTTATTTATCTATTTACTTATTTATTTACTTATTTATTTATTTATTTATTTGAGACAGAGTCTTGCTCTGTGGCCCAGGCTGGAGTGCAGTGGCACGATAGCTCACTGCAACCTCCGCCTGCCGGGTTCAAGCGATTCTCCTGCCTCACCCTCCTGAGTAGCTGGGACTACAGTCACACATCACCACACCCAGCTAATTTTTGCATTTTTTAGGAGAGACGGGGTTTCACCATGTTGGCCAGGCTGGTAACTCCTGACCTCAAGTGATCCACCCACCTCAACCTCCCAAAGTGCTGGGATTACAGCCATGAGCCAATGTGCCTGGCCCCAAGTACTTTATAAATATCAACTCTTCTATTCTCCAAAATAACACTACTACTGTTACAGATACAGGTACTGTTGCTATTCCAATTTTACAGAGGAGGAAAGTAAGGCACAGGAAAGTGAATTGTCTAAGAGCACACAGGCGGAAAGGGCCAGAGTCAGGATTTGTACCCAGACAGCCTAACGGTAACCTGTGCTCTTAACTACATTACCCTCAGATTCTCAAAAGCAACCCATGATCATCTCCATGCATCCACATATCTACTTTCAAGGCTGGGTCATTAACACTGTATTTTAAGTATGCTGTCATTAAAACAATCACCATGAAAATTATTTTTAAAATTAGGAAATGCTCATGATATAATGTTAAGCAAAAATATCAGAATACAAAATACATCAAGCCAGTCCAGGCTCCCTGACCACCCACCTCCGTCACTCAAGTAGGAACCACCCAAGTCATCCCTGCAACAGCAGGAAAGGTCTGCTCTCTTTTTCTCTCTCCCAGAAACTACCCCCAGGGAAACTTCATTCTTGCTCCTGCTCCCCAACAAACACTTTAGGAAGTGAGGTCTCCCCCGATCAAAGGCTTGAGAGAGAAGTATTCACATCACCCTGGGAGCAAGCCAGCCATCCTAGCATCTATAGCTTTCTTTCATTCATTCAACAAACATCCACTGAGGACCTGCTATGTGTCATATACCATCATAGGTGCTGGGGTACAAAACAGACAGAGTCCCCGCCCCCATGAAGATTACATTCTAGTGGGAAATGGCTGACAATTGTCAAAAGCATAAAAATAAGCATATTATATAATATCTTACTAGATGATAATTGTTATAGAAAAATAATAGAGCAGGAGAGTCAGCAGGGCTGGAGGGAGAGGGTTGCAATGGTACTTAGGGTTGTCAAGGTGACCTCAGCAAGAAAATGACATCAGAGATTTTAAGTGAGGGAGTTCATGATGCACATGTCTGGGAAAGAACATTCCAGGCAGAGAGAACCACAGGTGCAAAGGCCCTAAAATAGAAACACATCTAGAAAGTTAAAGGTACAGCAAAGAGGCCATGGTGTCTGAAATGGATGAGTGACAGGAAGAGGAGTCAGAGAGGGAATGGTTGGGGGAAGGGACAGATCATGCAGAGCCTCATTGGTCTTAATGAGGGCCTTGGTCTACTTTGAGAGTAATGGGGAGAATCAACCTTGGAGGACAAGGATGGAAGCTTGAAGACCAGCTAAAAGGCAACTGCAAGAATCCATGCAAGGGATGTTTGTGGATCAGACCAAAGTGGTTGCAGTGGAGATAGTAAGAAGTGGTAACGAGATTCCAGATATTAGGGTTTTTTGAAAGGTTAGATGTGGAATGTGAGCAAAAGAGAGGAGTCAGGGATGCTTCCAAGGCAATTGGCTCGGGCACTTAAACACATGAAGCTGTCCTTAACTGAGATGTGAAAGAAGGCAAGGAAAGCCAACTTGGAAGAAAGATCTAGAGTTCAGTTTCAGACACGTGAAGGTGGAAATGCAGAGACATGGAATAGATGGTTGGCTCTGTGAGTCTGGAATTCAGGGACAGGTGTGGGCTGGAGGTGCTCGTGTGGGAGTTTGCGGCACAGACAGCCATGAGACCAAATGAGATTTCCAAGAGCATGTGGAAGGCAGAGAAAAAGGAGCGATCTAAGGTCTGAGCCCTGGATGTGTCAATGAAAAGAGAAGGAAGCAGCAAGCATCTGGGAAGATGTATCCAGCAGCAGAAGAGGTAGGAGGGAAAGTGCAGAGTCTTGGAAGTCAAGAGAAGAAAATGTTTGCTGGAAGAGAGAGTGAGCGACTGTGTCGGCTGCTGCTGCAAGGTGAGATGGGATGAAGACTGAGAACCAAGCTTTGGATGTAGCAAGGCTGAAGCCATGGTGACCTTCACGAGCAGTTTCATGGAAGTAAGAAGAGAAATGTTTTTCCCCACAGGAAGGATAGAAAACTTCAACAATAAAAATGGGAAAGGGGCACCGTGGCTGGCATTAAACCTATAGGGAGGGATGGAGGAAGAAGCAACAATCCCTATGGCCCTTAAAGGACAGATCTGTGTCATCCAAGCTGAAATGCTTCTGTGCGTGTAGGAAAAGGCTTTATGTTCTCATGACTCAACAGATTATGCTGCTAATTTACTGACTCTTTGTTCTCTCTTCAGCTGTGCCCTGAATAAAGCTTAATCTCTTAAGCAGAAGAAAAAAATAAAAGGTCATTGACCAGCAATTAAGCTATCACTCAGATGAAACCTGGACCCAGTTCATTACATGAAAGGGATGCTTGCAACATTCTTTAATTTGAGATTTGTGGCTCCAACAATGGATTTTTGGCTTTGATATTGCTGCCACACCTTTGGAACAATAATATTGGGAAATTCACTGTCCTTTCTCTGTATTCAGCCCACAGAGGCCAGATTTCTGCATTCAAGGCCAAACCTGCTCTTTCTATCAACTCTGTAAAATCATCTCCTATCACCAGCATTCCTGCCAAGTTACCCATTTAGAACTGTCTCTTTCTTTTTCACACAAAGCCATATGTGAATGCATAAGAGATGATATACTTAAACCCATCAGAATCGTTCCTTTTTTACCCCAAAAATGGAAAATCTGCCTTAAAATTCCTGAACAGTAACTTCTAACTCATTAGCAATTACCAATTGCTTTTTTCCCTAGTTAAACCAGACTATAAAATATATTTCTAGGAAAGCACCTAAGACATTATACTCACACGGATGATCATATGCTTTGTTTCAACCTGATGGAAAGAACTATCATTATTACTCCTATGGCTAGGAAAAAAGACATTTGCAATCAAACCTCATCATTTCAGATGCTGCTACTCTAAAAATAACAGTAATTCAACCTTGATTGAAGGTTACCTTTGTAGCACATTTGAAAAGAAGGCATTGCAAAGAAAATTAATAACATGAATAATGTCCAAGGAAGATATTTAAACTACTTAGAACATAAAGGGTTTCAAATATCATCAATTTGTTAAAGGAGAGCTATCTTCAACAATACTAGCACAGAAAGACAGGATGCATGTGTAATTATGATAGGTATCTACTCATGAGTTCATTATGTCCCACCTTTTTTCAAAACTTATGAGGTTTTGTTGTAATTGCTGAGCTACACACACAGACACACACACACACACACATACACACACCCACTACCTCACCCACAGTCATGCAAGTATATTCAAACAACTTGCCAACCCACACATTTTATTTGCCAACACCCACACCCCACCCACAATTAGGTTTCCCAGATTCAAAAAGTAAATTGCTGGTCCTTTCTTTTGGTGCACAATAAGAAAGGACCGGCGATATACTTGAGTCATAAATGGACTACTCCCCAAACTGTGTTTTCATAATTATATAATTATAATTTTAGCAGTATAAAATTAAAAGAAAAAATATTATTTATTGCTTGACTAAGAAGTAGCCTATGAAAGAGATTTGCCTCTTCTCCATGCCTATAGATTTCAACATAGAGCAGAAATAATTAGAATCTGTGCTTAACAACAACAAAAAATACACCAAGATTCATTTATGAAATTCAAAATAAATAATATGCTATCTTAAATTATTATTTTTAGATGTTGAGTTGTATAAGCAACCTGCAGAGGGTGAAATTTGAAGGCAGCTCCACACAAGATGTAAGCATGAGAGAGGCATATATAAAGAATCTTACCAGCCCAGGACCAGCAGATGATGAAATCTGACAGATTGGCTGGCATTATCTCCCCCATTCTGGGTGCTTGTCTCATGCAATCTGCTCCCACGGGGCTGAGCCATTGCCTCACTCTAAAAACATCAACCACACACACACCACCTCCGATCCTGGAAACTGAAGAACTCTACACTGTGGTAAACATTTGTTCTCTGAAGTTTTCTTCACTAAACTTTTAGGATTCATATTTACCACATGTTAAGAATGTACCAAATGCACAACATTCAGAAAATTTCCCCCATCGCAATCCACAATAGTTCAAAAATATTTGTTCAACAAACCTCTGTTGAACATCTGCTATGTGCCAGGCACTGCAGTAGCTATTAAAGATGTAAAGCTGAATCAGAGACTGGTCCCCTCCTAAAGGAGATCATCATGCATGTAGAAAACAATGTCACAAATATGACATGAACAGTGCAACAGTAGAAAGGAAGGCAGTGTGATTCATTTTGCCTAAGAGATTGAGGAAAGCAACGTTGCAGAGGTTGTATTTGAGCTCGGCTTGCAGAAGGAGTTCACTGAATGAGAAGGAAAGAAACAGCGTCCAGACACAGCAAAGCCCTGAGACCTGTTTGGGAACTGAAAATCCAGAATGACAAGGTAGAGAGCAAGGAGGAGAGTAGGCTACAGTGATGGGCTGGGCAGGAAAGCTTTTGAATGCCATGCTTTTATTTTATACTAAAACAATAAGAAACCATGAAAGACTTTTAACCAAAGAAAAACAATCAAATCAAATTACATGGTATAATTACATAATTGTGGCAGTTCAGAGGATGGATTGAAACAGGGAGAGAAAATCAGGACTTAAAGTGGAGCTGTGGCAATACAGAGAGAGGAGGCGGCAAGAACTATTCCAGAGATAAGATGAACAGGATTCAGGGACCTTCAGATACCAGATGTGAAGAAGACAGAGTGGCACGGGATGAATTCAATGATCTCAGTGACAATGACAAGTGAGATGAACTTTCATGAGCCAGTCATGGGAAAGCAAGAGGAGGTGAAAGTTTGGGTGAAACAGTGAGTTCAGTGTTAGCTATTTAATGGGTTGCCTAGGAGGAGTGGAAGAGAGGGATGGAGGAGGTCAAGAAACTCTGTGTCCAAGTGTTGTCAGTGCTGAAGTTAAAGTCAGCCAGATGATAACAGGAGATGAATTCAGGAGAGAAATGGCAGCCCAGGAGTCAGTGGATGTGATGGAGTGACCCAGATGTTGATAGGTTATGGCAACTTGTATAGAAGAGCATAATCTGGCTGGATTGAGTGTCCCTCGGGGGCCAATGTTCTTGGATGACTGACTTAAGGAGCCATTCCCAAACCCTTTCTCCCTAAAGCCATGTACTCATTTTCCCTGTTTTCCTTTTAGCTAAAGGGGGCAATGTGGGGATACTGGAACTCTGCTGGGAGCCTCCAGAAAAACTTATGCTTCTCTGATAAAATGAACAGACTTAGTTGGTGCTTCCCCCACCATCTTCCTTGAATGCAAAAATAATGCCCAAAAGTTCTTTGAGCCAGCTTGTCACCCATGAGATGACAAAAGGCCAATATATGAATTATAGCCAGGTAAGAAGACAGAAAGCCCCACTTTCTAGCCCTAGACTATAGGGAGCTTTTAGGCAAGGCCCAAAGCAAAGCAGTATCATAGAAGGAAAATCAGGCTTTAAATGAGTCAAAAGGAAGGGGGCTTATTCTAAGGAAAGGTTGAGGACAGAAAGCGTGTCCTGCTGTTTCCCCAGCACCCAGCATGATGCCTGAGATCCAGGAGCTACACACCATGCATTTGCCGAATCAACAAATAGTAAGTGGATGGAAGGACTTCAAGGAAGGCTTGAGGGAGGAAGGGCAAGTCGAAGGGTTTGAAGGAAGGACCATGTCAAAGAAATGGGGACATACTGGCTGGTCAGTTAGAGCGTTTGCCCCTTGGACAGAGGTCTCAGATCACAGCGAGGAGGGAAGCCAGTACTGGTTGAAGGACAGTTTCAGGCATCAAGTCCCAGAAAAGAAAAGGCAGAAATATCGCTTAGAGAGAAACCATCTGAAACAACAATTGGCCTGTGTCCATTTTACAGGTCCGCTAGCAGAAGCAGTTCTCAAGGCCTTCCATTTCAGGAGAGCCATATCATTAACACCATGAAAGAATACAATTTCATCCTCAGACGCCTACAGCTCTCAAGTCCACCCAGGGACTCCTGAGGGGGGACACAAGTCATCTTGTAGGGTGAGGTTTACTCTGCCTGACTCATAGGAAAGCCAGCCCAGAATCTTTGATCTTCCACTTCTTCAGGCCTAACAATGGCAGGATTTAATCTGTAAGAACGAATTCTAACAGCAGAAAGTTGGGCACTGGACAAGAAAGAACCAGCCAGCTGCAGGGTTCCAAGAGATGCAATCTTGCAAGAGGTGGTGCCACTTCGAGAGCTTTCTGGGTGGAGAAAGATGGCCCAGCTGGTGGAGACAGCCCACAGCTGGAGGAAATATGCTATCCAAAAAGTGTTCATAGAATGTCCCACACAACCTCACAGTCTCCTAAATATTACTGTAGCCTCACTTTCTCCTCGTATACCCCTCTCCCCATGCCACTCCTTTCTGTACATCCACCCACCTACACATTCAATAAAGGAAATAAATCTAATGATGCCTTATGTGGTCTTTTTACAAATAGCAGCCAAAATAGACATATATTGACGATACACATATATACCAGAATCACATGGAGAATGAAATAAAGTAAAATGTCATCAGGCATTGAGGGCATCTGCAGCATGCGGGCACAGCTCTGTTTCTAATATTGAGATGCATTTTCTATCATTTAAATAATATCTAAATGTTCCATGTAAGGGAGAATTGACATTTTCAAATGTTAGTTTCATATATATAATTCCAAGAGAGTCCTACCAAATTGCTGGAGAAACTAATCTTATTTTCAGTAGACCCAGAATACACTCCAGCTAAGACTGCATTTAACATTTTGATCTACATCAGTAAGCCTCCTCTCACATTGCCAAGTTGGGGACGGAGCCCTAACAAGATACAGCACCACCTATTGACCACATACTAAAAATACAGACTGTCCATTTAAGCATATTCAGGCTCACATGCTATGTAGGGTTGAGACATGTAATTTATTTCATATCAACTGATCTTTAACATTTCAACAGATTTAATAGAAGCAAAGTGAGAATAGAAACTATAAAACATTGTCAAGGTATTCTGCTTCCATTCTTTTAATGTTATTTCTTATAGCTCTATTATAAGAACTTAATCTTACCTATTTGTCCTAATTATCTTATTATCCTAATCCTATCTATTTGTATTTGCTCCCTGGTTCATTAAATACATATTCACTAAGCACCTGTATATGCCAGATCTTGTGTGTGGCAATAGAATCACAGTGGTAAACAAGACCAACATGACCCCTTACCACCTGGGAGTTTATGGTTTTCCTAGAATCTGACCACTTTTCATCACCTCAGCTAAGAATGCCTTAGTCCAAAGCCACCTAGATGATTGCAGGGGTCTCCTTACTGGTCAACCTGCTTTCACTCTATGCCTCCACAATCTCTTCTTGATGGAGCATAGAGGGAGTCCTTTAAAACGTAAGTCAGACCACAAACCTCCCCTGCTCTAAAACCTCCAAAGCTTCCATCTCATCCAAAATGCAAAATCATTACTTTATAAGACCTGGCCTCCCCTTTCCACCTCTCTCCATCCTCCCAGGCCCCAATCTTCCACACCAACCATCCTGTCCTCCCCACTCTTTCTCAAACTTAGGAAGCCACGGGGCCTTTGCTTGGATGCTTATCCTCAGATGCCTACATGACACACTCCCTCAAGGTCTTTGCTCAAACAGCACATGATTCGTGAGGCCCTTCTTGACCACCTTTCCTGAAATCATAACAGCACTCCTTACGATGGCATTCCTATCCCCCCCACCCCCCATTTATCCATCATGCTTATCACTATCCGACCTACTATCTGCAGGCACTCGCCTGTTCATCTGTCGTTGTCTTCTACAACTAGAGTGCAAACTCCATGAGGGCAGGGACTTTGTTTTGTTAACTTTGGAATCTCCAGAGCCTCAAACATTGTCCTTTACACATCTGTCAAATAAAATCTCATCCACTTTCCCTGTGTATCTTTCTCATTCTCTAGACCCTGGTTCCCGAGGGCAGTGAAGGAGTCAGATATGGGAAAGTTTCATACCAAGTCTAGGACACAGAAGAGCTCGTCCTATGCATGTTTGGGGGCAGGGCCAGATACATGGATGTGTTCCATGCTCAGAGGGGCCCTGTGCCAGGTTTAATGCTCTCGGTGACCAAATTGAAATCCTTCATAATTTTTGGATAAAAGGACCTGCATTTTCCTCTTGCCCTGGCCTCCCACAAATTATGTAGCCAGTCTTGTTTTGAGGATTTGGAATAAAACATGTGTGAGTAAATAGCACACTGAAAAAATCCATCGAAAGATAAACAGTTCTCACAGGGCATGGCCCTTTTGATAAGTCACAACCACCAGCTATTTCATCACTGATCATTCCAGGAAGGAAGCTTCGCCCCTGAGGTATATGAGAGGTTTGCTCTCTTCAGCCTAGGACTAACCCTATCCTGCTAGGAAGTCAGGGGATTGTTCCCAGCAGTTCTTTCCTCTGCACCCTTCTCACCCCATCTCCCCCTCTCACCAGGCCACAGGCTGGAATTCCCCACCAGCAAGATCAATCCATGCCAAGAGAGAAGAAGTAACTTACATGGATACAATTGTTAAATTAACTCCTGCAAAGCTTACATTTAAAATAGGCAGGAGAGGTCAGGCACAGTGGTTCACACCTGTAATCCCAGCACTTAGGGAGACCGAGGCAGGCTGATCACTTGAGGCCAGGAGTTGGAGACTAGCCTGGCCAACACTGTGAAACCCCATGTCTACTAAAAATACAAAAATTAACCAGGTGTAGTGGTAGGTGCCTGTAATCCCAGCTACTTGGGAGGCTGAGGCACAAGAATCGCTTGAACCCAGGAGGCAGAGGTTGCAGTGAGCCGAGATCGTGCCACTGCACTCCAGCCTGAACGACAGAGTGAGACTCTCTCAATAAATAAATAAATAAATACTCAGGAGGGTTCCCAGTAGGAAAGGGTCACAGTCTGCGGTTTTAGCTTAGAGGTTGAGGGGAGGGAAGAGATGAGACTGAGCCCCAGAAGGGTGGATGCTTGGGGGTATGTGGTGCAAAGGAGGGAGCAGAGCGGAAAGGTAAGAAAGGGACATAAAACATCTCAGAAGACTTAGCAACTGCTTTGACTTGGCTCAGGGCACCAACAAATGGCTCCTTGTGTTTTCCTGGACATAGACAAAGAGGTGGAAAAAGGAGTAAGAACCATGGGTGCTCCACTGCCCTCTGCTGGCCCCTGCAAGAAGTGTCCAGTGTGCTGGCAAAGTGTCATGGGGTTTTCTCTTGAATGATGGCTGCACACAAAACATTCATGAGTCCTGAGAGCAGGGGAATAGTAAGATGTGGTTAAGCAACACTTTCCTTTTCTATTCTTTTCTATTCTATTCTATTCTATTCTATTCTATTCTATTCTATTCTATTCTATTCTATTCTATTCTATTCTTCTCTCAGTGAAGTACTAAACAGTACGGGTACAATGCTTTGGGAATTCAAGCCAGCAAAAAAGCCTCAGGTAGATGGGTGGTTAGTGGATAAAGACAAACTTGAATTTGTCCTTGAAGGATAGGAAGGATTCAGACAAGAAAAAGAAGAAAAAAGAGAAATTAAAGGTGAAAGGAAAAGCTTTCAGAGGAAGACCCATAAAGACAAGAACAGACACAGAAGAGAGATGGTTGAGCCCAACTAATAATTTGAATATTAAGCAATGTTTATAGCAAGGTGAGGACAAACTATGCCTTTCCTCAGACAAAAAATAAGGACAACATCTAAAAGAACAAAGGAAGTTCTTGCCACTAGAAAGCTTGGCGATGTCTTTCATTAGACTTGTTAGGAAGTCTCACTTTTCACACCTCTGTGAAATAGAAGATAGGCAGTCCAGAAACAAAAACTCCCCAAGCAAAGTGGTGACATGTTTGAGGCCCTTTACGGCAAAACAGTGAACCTTGGCCACCCAGAGGTTTGTAACACTCTCCAAGTGTAGACCACACCAAGACTGATGCCATCTCTCAGGTGGGACCCCGGGATTCCAAAGCTGATTGGAGCCTGAGTGCTGACGGCTTTGTTTTGGTGGCTTTTCTGAGGCTTCTCAGGATTAGTAGGTTGTAATAAAATACAATTTCCTTTCTTAATGACACTGGTTCTTAAACTTTGGGGAACCTACAATAAAATACAACTGGGCACTTGTCAAAATATAGAACGGCAGGCTCCATCTCCCAAGATGTCGACACAGGAGGTCTGACTGCAGTTTATTAATCTGCATTTTAAATAAGTCTCATGCACTCCCCAGATGATTCCGATACAGGTAATTTTAGGACCATGTTTTGTACTGCCCTATAAACTGTTTCTCAAGTCACTGGTTAACTCTAATGCAAACCCCTAAGCTTCAGATCCAGTTTTGTAGGATTTCAGGAGCTATTGCCACCCAACTTCAGAAGAGTATCCGCAAGGCTTTCCATTCTGTCATGATCTTCTTTCACCCAGAGGTATTCAATATTCACACAAGAAGGGAGAATTTGAAAGATGCCCTGACTTAGTCCATATGGGCTGCTGCAACAAAAAGCCCCAATGTGGGTGGCTTGTAAACAACAGAAATTTATTTCTCACAGGCCTAAACACTGGAAATTCCAAGTTCAAGGTGCCTGCAGATTCAACGTCTAGCGAGGGCTGCACTTCTTTGTTGATAGATGGCCCCTTCTTGCTGTGTTCTCACATGGGGAAGGAGCAAGGAAGCTCACTGGCACCTCTTTTATAAGGGCACTAATCCCATTCGGCAGGGCTGTGCCTCCCAAGGGCCCCACGTCTTAAAAGCATCACATTGGTGATTAGGTTTCAACATAAATTTGGGAACGTAGGGTAGGGGAGGATTAACATTCAGACCAAGCTCAAGCAAACAGCATCAGTTAGAATATGAATTATCTTGGACCTCATCCTAATACATAACCAGAATTATATCCGACCATTTTTGTCAAGCTTTGGTTTATAAATGCAAAAGGCAGGAACCCCTGACTTTTACAGAAGGAAAAGCCTGTTATAACAGCCATGGAAATTCTCGTGATTAATTGGAACCAGCAGTGATGGATTTGAGATAGTGAGACAGGCCTCCATGTAGTCTTCAATGAGCAAAGAATGCCTGAGCTAATTCATTCATTCAGCAAAGGCTTCCGGAGTGCCCACCTCTTGCCAGGCACCAGAATCCTCGCAGTGAGCAAAACTGGTACATGTTCTCCCTATAGTTTGTAGAGAAAGACAGAAGATGGTATTAAGAGCTGGAAAAGAAGTCAAGGATTGGGTAAGGAGTGGCTATGTTAGGTAGAAAGATCAGGGGAATGACTCCGATTGAGTGACATTTATGCTAAGACCTGAATGTCAAGAAGCTGGTCATGGAAAGATCCAGGAAAGATTTCACTTATATGTGGGATCTAAAAAAGTTGAACCCATAGAAAACAGAGGATAGAATATTGGTTGCCAGGGGCTGGGAGGGGGGTGGTTGGGGAGATCTTGGTCAGAGGGTACAAACTTTCAGTTATAAGATGAATATGTCCTAGGGATCTAATTTACCGCAGGGTGACTCTAGTTAACAATACTGTATTATGTATTTGAAATTTGCTGACAGTAGACCCTAAATGTTCTTGCTACACACACACACACAAATGGTAACTAGGGTGAGGTGACAGATATGCTAACTAACTTGATTGTGGTAATGATTTCACAATGTATATGTATATCAAATCAACACATTGTACCTCTCAAACTTTCACAATTTTATTTGTCAATTATACCGCAATGAAGTTGGAAAAAATTAAATTTAAAAAAAGATCCAGGAGAAGAACAGTAGATGCAAATCTCTGAAATAGAAAGGAGTCTTGGCATGCTTGAGGAACAGGAAAAAGGCCAGTGTGACTGGAACAAGTGAACAAGAGGAAGGCAGAGTTGGAAAAGCAGAAAGGAGCTGGCTGCGGCAAAGGCATCACTATTGCTGCAGTGGCAGAGAACTATTTTCAACAATGACACTCCGGTGACAAATCTTTGGTTTCGTGGGTGATTGGCAGGCTCTTCTGTACACACTGACACAATGAGTAACTTGGGTCTGTCTAGTGGAAGATTTCAACCTTGGGAAGCCATCCTCTCCCCTAAAGCCTTTTCTCCTTGTTCAAGATGTCTGAAACTATACCAAGAAGGCAGAAAAGGATGTGATTCCTCTGTGATTCCAGAATAAGATGTCTGGCTTTGAAACCAGACAATCATAGGTTTTAGTTTCAGCTCTGTCACCTTTTAGTTGGCAAGTTATTGAAACAACCTGAGCTTTGTTTCCACATCTGTAAAATGGGAATAACATAGACTATCTTACTCACAGGGTTGTTGTAGGCATTTTGTGAGACAACACACATAAATCATTTACTGCCGCAGCTGGCATATAATAGTAGCTGCATACAAATGTTATTCTTATCCAAGAAGCTTCATTTCTCTCATTTAACATGTTGATGGAAGTTAAACAGAAAGTCTATCTGGAGTAATCACACCGTAACCTGTTATTTGTCATTTGTACTTTAGTGTGAATGAGTCTGCAATTCTTTCTCCAAAGCTCTACAAAGTTGAATTTAAGAGAAAGAGAGGGCTGGGTGCGGTGGCTCACGCCTGTAATCCCAGCACTTTGGGAGGTCAAGGCAGGCGGATCACTTGAGGTCAGGAGTTTGAGACCAGCCTGGCCAACATGGTGAAACCCCATCTCTACTAAAAATACAAAAAATTAGCCGGGCGTGGTGGCAGGCGCCTGTAATCCCAGCTACTCGGGAGGCTGAGGCAGGAGAATCGCTTGAATCTGGGAGGCAGAAGTTGCAGTGAGCCGAGATTGTGCCACTGTACTCCAGCCTGGGCAACAGAGCGAGACTCTATCTCAAAAAAAGAAAAAAGAGAGAGAGAGATTGAAAGACAGACCAAGATTCCGGATTACAGATGCGGCCAGAGGAAAGAGGAGAAAACTAGTTGGGGAAGAAGGGGTACAATCTCTGAAGTCTTCAGTGTTTAAATTCCTTAAAAACTATTAATAAAGGGAAAGAAGCCAGCATTAATTCTGACTTTCCTGTACAAACTGCACTTCAGAGTTACAAATGCTTATAAGAGAAGTTTCTCTTCCAGACCAGTATTCTGGCTAAGGCGTAGGAAGCAAAGATAGAACTGGAGTATTACCACTGAGCAACCTCTAATGAGCTAAGGGACTGAGTTAATCCGTGCATCAGGACTGCTCACATCATAGAAGGAGAGAGAACTCAGCATTTTGTGTCTCCAGATAGAAGTACACACACTACCACCTATGAGATATTTCTGCCCTAAACTCAAGCTAAATGTTTACATCTAACTATCATTTTGATAGCAATACAGAGAACAGAGGAACAGGTTAAACATCACGAGGAAGCAATCAGCAAAATCCAGACTATGGGAAACTCTACTGGAGAAAACATCCAGTTTCTTCAACAAATAAATTGCAACGAAACAAAAAAAAAAAAAGAGCATGAGGGGAAACCTGTAGATTAGAAAAGTTTTGGCTGGACACAGTGGCTCACGCCTGTAATCTCAGCACTTTGGGAGGCCAAGGTGGAAGGATCATTTGAGCCCAGGAATTCTAGACAAGCCTCGACAACATAGTGAGACCCCATCTCTAAAAAAAAAAATTAGCCAGGCATGGGGGCACATGCCTGTGGTCCCAGCTACTCAGGAGGCTAAGGCAGGAGGATCACTCCAGCCCGAGAGGTCAAGGCTGCAGTGAGCAGTGATTTTTGCCACTGCACTTCACCCTGGGTGACACAGCAAGACCTTGTCTCAAAAAAAAGAAAGAAAAGATTTAAGTGGTATCCCAACCAATCACAACATAGGCACCTATCAAAAATCCTGATTCAGACAAACCAACTATAAAAGTAAAAGCTTATAATAAAATCAGTGAAATGTGACTGGATATCTGATAATATTAAGGAATTGCCAATAATTTTTTAGGTGTGGTCATCATATTACAGTTACTTTTTAAAGAGTCATGGCTTATGCCTGTAATCTCAGCACTCTGGGAGGCCAAGGCAGGTGGATCACAAGGTCAGGAGTTCGAGACCAACCTGGCCAACATGGTGAAACCCCATCTCTACTAAAAATACAAAAAATTAGCCAGGTGTGGTGGCGGGCGCCTGTAATCTCAGCTACTTGGGAGGCTGAGGCATGAGAATTGCTTGAACTGGGGAGGTGGAGGTTGCAGTGAGCTGAGACCATGCCACTGCACTCCAGCCTGGGCAACAGAACAAGACTACGTCTCAAAAAAATAAAAATTAAAAAATAAAGAGTCCTTAACTTTCAGAGATATATGCTGGAATATTTACACATATTTGCATTTATGATATGTGTATTTATAGATATATATTTACATATATAGATACATATAAACATCTGTATAATACCTGGAACTTACTTCAAATTAATCCAGCAGGGGGACGGGGAAAATGGGTTCAGGACACACTACCCCAAAATATGACACCTTGGCATTTGAGAAAACAACAGAAGCAGGAAGTCCTCTCTCACCTTTCCCTCAGCCTTCTCCCCTGAAGCAGATCACAAATCCCTCATTTGAAAAGTACCCTTCCTATACCTGGGGTGAAAGGAACATCCTTACCTCTGAAGACACAGGGACACAGAGAGGAACCTGAACAAACAGGCCTTGCTAAGTTTCCCCCTAGCTTATTATCATTCAGTCACATCCTTCTGCCCTCCAGTCATATTTCGCCATGACGGTCCATGCTCCATCAAACCTAAGCATAGCAATACACAAGTGCACCTGTTTACTTGAATCTTCATTTCCTTAAGAAGTCTCCCCTTCATATAAAACTTATATCAAATAAATGTGTATGCCTTTTGCTTGTTAATCTTATTTTGTTATAGGAGCCTCAGCTATGAACCTACGATGGGTGAGAAAAGGAAATCTTTCCGCCCCTGCAGGTGTTTGGGGTTTTTTTAAATAACAATACAATAATAAAAACTAAAATAAAATCAGAAAAGTGTTTAAATAACTTCAAAATTTTTCTTAAGTTTCTGTTACCTGCACACATTGCACTGGTAGGCAAGGGCTCCATGAGTTGGAAGCATTTGAAAGCCTTTACGTGGACATGACCACAGTCATGAGGATGGCCAGTATTTATTGATAACCTATACAATCTAAGTCCAATCTAGGAACATGCTCAACCAGAAGAAAAATGGTGCAATTGCATGAAAACCAAAATCCAGAAAGAAGATAAAGAAAGAGTCACTCACTGTGAGTTCCTTGCAACTCTGTTTTTCCCAGTTCTTTATGAGCTGCTGAAGACTGAGGGACCATGTTTTATTCATCTCTGTTCCCAGATCCTAGCACAAGCCTGGCATATAGCAGCATTGTGGACAACTGGATAAGGAGGAGCACAAAAAATAGGACTGTAGATTAAGGGAAATATTCTATAATTGAAAGCAGGGAGCAGGAAGCTGAAGCCAATCTGCTGGAATGGCCAGGGAAGAGTAAAGCTCTAAGATTGTGCTCAATCTCCCTGAAGCCAAAATGATAACCAATACAAGAAACACCAGCCAAGGGCTAGGCACGGTGGCTCACGCCTGTAATCGCAGCACTTTAGGATCATGAGGTCAGGAGTTTGAAACCAGCCTGGCCAGCATGGTGAAACCCCATCTCTACTAAAAATACAAAAATTAGCTGGGGATGGTGGTGCACACCTGTAGCCCCAGCTACTCAGGAGGCTGAGGCAAGAGAATCTCTTGAACCCAGGAGGCAGAGGTTGTAGTGAGCCGAGATCATGCCACTGCACTCCAGCCTGGGTGACAGAGTGAGACTCTGTCTAAAAAGAAAAAAAAAGAAACACCAGCCGAGGTGGGAAAATTGTTTGAGCCCAGGAGCTCGAGACCAGACTGGACAGCATAGCAAGACCTCATCCCTACTAAAAATTTCAAAATTAGCTAGGCATGATGGCTCACACCTGTAGTCTCATCATTTTGAGAGGCCAAGGCAGATGGATAGCTTGAGCCCAGGAGCTCAAGACCAGTTGGGCAACACAGGAAGAACTTCTCTCCAAAAAAAAAAAAATTTTAAATTAGCCAGGCACAGTGGCATGCACCTGTAGTCCTAGCAACTTGAGAAGCTGAGGTAGGAGGATCACTTGAGCAAGGGAGGTCAAGGCTGCAGCAAGCTATGATCACACCACTGCACTTAAGCCTGGGCAACAAATCAAGAACCTGTCTCAAAAAAAAAGAAGGAGAAAGAAAGGGAGAGAGGGAAAGAAAGAGAGAAAGAGAGAAAGGAAGGAAGGAAGGAAAGAAGGAAGGAAGGAAGGGAAAAGAAAGAAAGAAGGAAAGAAAGAAAGAAAGAAAGAAGGAAGGAAGGAAGGAAGGAAAGAAAGAAAGAAAGAAAGAAAGAAAGAAAGAAAGAGAGAAAGAGAAGAAAGAAAGTAAGAAAGAAAGAAAGAAAAAGAAAGAAAGAAAGAAAGAAAGAAAGAAAGAAAGAAAGAAAGAAAGAAAGAAAGAAAGAAAGAGAGAGAAAGAAAGAAAGAAGGCACAAGACAGTCCAAAAGACAAGAAAGGGCCTAGGAAATCATCAGTAGGCTTTAAACTGATTCAGTCTCTCTTCTGCACAAGAGTCAGCCATCGCCAGGCAGGGCTGGGAACTAAAGAGCCTTAAAGGAAATCGAGCTTTTATTCCCAGGAGTCAACAAAGAGCTGATGGTCCCTGGAGAAGGTGAAACCACATCAGCAAGGTGGGGCCTCTGTACCGCCTGCTGGGAAATTCCATCCTTTGCAATTCTACCCCGTTTACCTCTCTCACCAGGCCAGAAAAAGCACATAGGGAGCTTTTTGGAGAAAGGTTGGGAAGCAGGGAATCAGTAACAGTGTGGGAGGAATAAACATTCCTGTGACAAACTGACAGTGGAGAAGGTAGAGTGTATCATATGGACAGTGTTTCATACGCACAGCTTGAAAACCTACACTTAACTTCAATTCCAAATTCTTCTACAATTTTTTGCCTCTCAGGGCATGCACTTGGCCATGGAATTGCTGTGCAGCTCAAAGCCTGATTCCTGGCACCTCCACACTCAGCCATAAAGCAAAACCATCTGAAAGCACTTTCAGTGTCAATTAACTACTGAGGATCTTTTCCCAGGATTCCTCAACCACGGCCATGAGCAGCAGAAAGAACTTCCGATGAGGTACTCAGGGCTTGGGAATATACCAAAGTCAATCAGGCTCAACCCAAAGGCCATTATGCTAGGATTTTCTTGCATTTTGATTCCAAGCCCCATTTACCACCCCAGGCAGACCCACAGTGGGCACTGCTGCTTGGGAAGCCTCAGCTGCCTTCCAGGGGTCTTGTTTTCACATAAAGGGGTCCTGAACAACACTTCCAACATCATCTGCAATGTACGCTTTCCCTTCAGCTCAGGTTCAATGCCACCACTCCTTCGCTCTTTTCATTGCAAATGATATTAGATGTGAACTTGAGGAAGAAACTGGCCCTCCCTTACTTTTTCCTTTTATTCTGTCCTCATTGGAGTATCCCACAGCCTGGATGTAGAAAAGGATCAGTTCTTCCCCCTTCCCTGCACACATCTGCATGCACATACACACACACACACATTTTTTAAGTCTCTGTCTTTAAGAATCCACAGCTAAGGCTGAGTGCAGTGGTTCACACCTGTAATCCCAGCAATTTTAGAAGCCAAAGCGGGTGGATCTCTTGAGCCCAGGAGGTCAAAGCTGCAGTGAGCCAAGATTCCAGTCTGGGTGACATAGCGACACCCTGTTTCGAAAAAAAAAATCCACTCTCTTTCATAAAATCCACTATCTACCATAAAAACTATCTCTTTTTTGTTTTTATTTTTTAAATTAAACACTTCACAAATTTGTGTGTCATCCTGGCACTGGGGCCATCCTAATCTTCTCTGTATTGGTGCAATCTTAATACACATGCTGCCAAAGCGAACACCACAGCCATCTATTGATAAAGCTCCCTTGTAATCCTCTTCCAAAGTTGTTAGACAGCTTTTAATGGAGACCAGTATACTCCCAACATACTGGCAGACAATAAATTACAAAGGGCATTACCTGAAGATGGTGTATTAGTCAGGTTCTCCAGAGAAATAGACCTAGTAAGATACTTAGAGAGACATATAAAAAGAGATTTATTATGAAATTTTGGTCCATGAGATTATGGAGGCTGAGAAGTCTCACAATCTGCATCTGCAAGCTGAAGGCCCAGGAAAGCTGATGGAGTAATTCCAGCCTGAGTGTGAGGGCATCAGAACCAGGAGTGCTGTTGCCCAAGGGCAGAAGATAGATGTCCCAGCTCAAGCAGAGAGCAAATTCACCTTTCCTCCGCCTTTCTGTTCTAGCTGGGCCTTCAACAGATTGGATGATGCCCAGCCACTTTGGTGAGGGCTGATCTTTACTCAGTCTACTGATTCAAATGCTAATGTTTTTGAGAAACATCTTCACAGACACACCCAGAAATAACGCTTTACCAGCTATCTGAGCATCCCTTAGCACAGTCAAGTTAACACATCAAATTAGCCACTACAAATGAGCAGATAAGTGAACAAAAAAAGAGAGAGAGAGAGAAAGCCCTTAGGAAGAGGAAACGCTCAGAGCTTCTAATTAAAATTCAGAATAGTATTGTTAAAATTCAGAATAGTATTGTTCTCTAATTTTTTTAATTTTTTTCTTTTCTAATTTTTCTAGTTCCAGGAAGTTAGGCAAGAGTGTCATCAGCAGAAAGGGCCATCCCAGGCCTGTGAAGCTCTGTGGGTCTGCCCAGCAGCCATGGGAGGACCAGTGCAGCTTGCATTTCCAGGAGACACAGAATATGCTGCCCCAGGGGTGCTGCCAGATTCCCTGGCAGCCTGAGAAGTGGCCAGCTTTGAACTCCAGTGACCCAGTGCAAAAGCCTCAGAACCCAACACAACCTAACTTAGAATCCCAACCAACACTTGGATGAGTTCCCAAATATGAGTCTTAATATCCCAATCTGCATACTGTGAATCCTAGAAAATCTAAATAATAACATGGGGTGGTGATTGTGAGAATTTAGACAATGTATGTAAAGGACCTGACACTGTGTCTGGATGCTCTCAAAAATGCTCTCAGTAGTTTGCTTTCTGTCCTGTCTTACAATCTTCCTGATCTTCCTGTATCTCCTTTCCCAGGTATTCATTTGGCCACACTCCACAGGAAAATCCTCACACTCCACTGAAAGCTATCAGCTGACACTGAAGGATGCTTTATCTCCAGGGCAGATCTTCATAATACTCAAAATTGAGTTTACTCTGGATTTACTTGTTGAATTCTAGCATATGAAAGACACTCAATAATAGATACCCACTATTTATTATGATAATTCTTTTTTTTTTTTTTTTATTGAGACAGGGTCTTGCTCTGTCACTCGGGTTGGAGTGCAGTCGCACAATCCCTGCTCATCGCAGCCTCAAATTCCTCGGCTCAAGCAATCCCTCCATCTCAGCCTCCTAAGTAGCTGAGGCTACAGGCATGTGCCACCACACTCAGCTAATTTTTTTAATTTTTGTAAAGACAAGGTCTCGCTTCGTTTCCCAGGCTGGTCTTGAACTCCCAGCTTCAAGCAGTCCTCCCACCTCAGCCTCCCAAAGTGCTGGGATTACAGACATAAGCCACCACACCTGGCCCATGTTACCTCTTTTACCAATGAGGTATTATCTTAAATGACCTTTGGTATTTTTTTAATGTTTTATTATGTTTTAACACTTTTTATATATTTAATTTTTACATATTTATATATCATAATATTCATTATAATTTATATTTATTTCACGTATTTTTCTATATTTATCTTTTCATTATGTTTTGAATTTCCAAATACACACATAAATAGAATACTAAAGAGAATCTCTTTGAGCCCTTCTCTAGTTTTCACAGCTATCAACAATTTAGCATTCTTGTTTTATCTATCAGTCCTCCATTTTCATTGCTGTCACATTACTGGAGCAAATCCCTAGGCACCTTATTCTACCACCATATTCTTCAGGATATATCACTCACAAAGGACGGTATCTTACATAACCATGATTCCATCATCACACCTGTAGTGTAAATAAGGCTATCTGGTCTTCATTCCTGGTTCCTGGCACAAAACTCCTAAAACCCTTGGAATTTCCTGAGCGACAGGAGTGTCTTTTGTTATTCATAAAGCGCCTGTTTAGATCACACCTGAGTTTATGCTAATGAAGTATCTGGAAAGGGGCAGACTCAGAGTAAGTGCTATAAAAACTCTCGAACAATGAGATTTGATGAGCTTCCAGGTTGGTGAATACATCAAGATGCTGGGAGGGTGGTGTGCCCAGAGAGAGAAGAGAAGAGCCACGAACCACTCTCTGGCCCCATATGTTGCCCTATGCATCTCTTCTCTCTAGATTTTCTAGAGGTGTGTCCTTTATAATAAACCACTAAACGTAAGTAAAGTGTTTCCCTCAATTCTATGAGTCATTGTAGCAAATTATCAAACTCATCATGGGAACCCCCAATTTAAAGCTGGTCATTCAGAACTGCAAGAGCCCCAGACATGCGATTAACATCTGAAGTAGGGGCAGTCTTGAGGAACCAAGCCCTTTAACTTATGGGATCTGATGCCAACTTCAGGTAGATAGTCTCAGAATTAGGTTAAGTTGTAGTACACCCAGCTGGGGTCCAGAGATTTGGAGAATTGCTTGGTGTGGAGGGAAAAAACCCACACATGTAGTGTCAGAAGTGTTATGTGAATAAAAACAGCATGTTTTCTCAGCCCCCAAGAAAAAATTAACACTAATCCCCTACTATCATTGGATACCCAGTCTGTATCTATATTCCCACAATTACCTCAAAAGTATCTCGGGGTGGGCGCAGTGACTTACGCCTGTAACCCCAGCACTTTGAGAGGCCAAGGCAGGTGGATCACCTGAGATCAAGGGTTCAAGACTAGCCTGGCCAACGTGGTGAAACCCCGTCTCTACTAAAAATACAAAATATTAGCCGGGTATGATGGTGCAAGCCTGTAATCCCAGCTACTAGGGAGGCTGAGGCAGGAGAATCACCTGAACCCGGGAGGCGGAGGTCGCAGTGAGCCAAGATTGCACCATTGCACTCCAGCCTGGGTAATAAGAGTGAAATTTCATCTCAAAAAAAAAAAAAGTGTCTTGGTTGTTTGTTGGAATCAGGAATCCTTGGCATTTGATGGATGTCCCTTAAGTCTTTCTTAATCTATAATGGTTCCTGGGGTAGACATGGAGGGGCATCACCGAGATACCCTTCAAGAAGAACCTACATCCCAACTGCGAGATGTGGGGTCAGCAGACAGCCTCCAGCTCTCAGCTCCTTCAAGGTCAGCATCAGCTGCTGAGAGCTGAGGTCACACCCTTCTCCAAGCGACTCACATTCAGCGACCGAGAAAGGAGGGGTAAAAAGGTCCAGCTATTGGCCTGACACAGAACGACTCTGATAAACAATATTTGCTCACAGAGCCACTCTGGGTTTGCCAAGGTTTTGCCAGGACTGCGTCGCAACAGGTCTTCTCCGTCTAGCACCTTCCCTTTATAGGCACTGCTCCTTACCATCATCCTGCACCCAAACCGTGTGTCAGCATCTGCTTCCAGAGAATCCAATTTGCAACAGTTCTCATCTCTTTTCATACCCTTTACTTGTTGAAGAAACTAGGACTGACTTTATATTTAAAACATGATTTTCAGCATTCCCACAATCATTTCCCAAGAAGGAAAATTATAAGCCAAACATTCTCATTTTCACTAATAGGAATTACTAATTATTTAATCAAAAGAAATTAAAGATAAATACAATATATTTTAAAAGTCTCACTTTATCTTCTAAAATAGGTAAACTATATCGATACATTTCCATTAAGTTGCTGGTGTCACCAAAATAAGCCACAATAAGCCAGGCACAGTGGTTCATGCCTATAATCCCAACACTTTGGGAAGCCAAGGCAGGAGGATCGCTTGAAGCCAGGAGTTTGAGAATAGCCTGGACAATATAGCAAGACCTTGTCTCAACAAAAAAAATATTTAAAAACTAACTGTAGTAGGGCATGCCTGTAGTCCTAACTACTCAAGAAGCTGAGGCAGGAAGATCGCTTCAGCCCAGAAGGTCGAGGCTGCAGTGAGCTATGATTGTGCCACTGCACTCCAGCCTGGTCATTAGAGCAAGACTCTGTCTCAGAAAATAAAAAATACAAATAATTTTTTAAAGCCACAATAGAAGTCTAGATTCTCTATATAATAATAAAGGGGTCAATTCAGCCAGAGGATATAATAATTGTTAAGTATATATGCACTCAACACTGAAGCATCTAGACGTATAAAGCAAATATTAGAGCTAAAGGGAGAGATAGACCCCAATATAATAATAGCTGTAGACTTCAACGCCCCTCTTTCAGCATCGGACACATCTTCCAGACAGAAAATCAACACAGAAACATTAGACTTAATCTATGCTATAGAATAAATGGAACTAGTAGGTATTTACAGAACATTTCATCCAACAGCTCCAGAATACACTTTTTTTTCCTCAGCATATGGATCATTCTCAAGGATAGATCATGTGTTAGGTCACAAAACAAGTCTTAAAACATTCAAAAAAATTGAAATAATATCCAGTGTCTTCTCTGGCTACAATGGAATAAAACTAGAAATCAATAACAAGAGGAATTTGGGAAACTATACAAACACATGGAAATTAGAAAATATGCTCCTGAATGACTAGTGGGTCAATGAAGAAATTAAGGAAACTGAAAATTTTCTTGAAACAAATGATAATAGAAACACAACATACCAAAACCTATGGGATACAGAGAAGGCAGTAATAAGAGGGAAGTTTATAGCTATAAGCATCTACATCAAAAACGAAGAAAAACATCATGTAATTAACTTAACAATGCATCTTAAGCAAGTAGAAAAGCAAGAGCAAACCAGACCCAAAATTAGTAGAAGAAAAGAAATAATAAACATCAGAGCATAAATAAATAAAATTGAAATGAAAACAATATAAAACATCAACAAAATTAAAAGCTGGTTTTTTGAAAAAATAAAATTTTAAAAAAGAAAGAAAAAGAATCAAAAGAAAAATAATATTTATGACACAAAATAATTAAAAATTCAAATTTCAGTGTTAAAAAAGTCTAGATTTCTCTTTTTAAAACTATGGTCATGCTGGGCACAGTGGCTCACGCCTGTAATCCCAACACTTTGGGAAGCTGAGGCAGGTGGATTACTTGAGGTCAGGAGTTCGAGACCAGCCTGGCCAACATGATGAAATCCTGTCTCTACTAAAACTACAAAAACATTAGCTGAACATGGTGGTAGGAGACTGTAATCCTAGCTATTCAGGAGGCTGAGGCAGGAGAATCACTTGAACCTGGGAAGCAGAGGTTGCAGTGAGCTGAGATTGCGCCACTGCACTGCAGCCTGGGCAACAGGGCAAGACTCTGTCTCAAAAACAAACAAAACCAAAAATAAAACTATGGTCATATTTAAATTACAATAAATTCATCAGGTCAGGCGCTGTGACTCACCTGTAATCCCAGCACTTTGAGAGGCTGAGGCAGGCAGATCACTTGAGCTCAGAGGTTCAAGACCAGCCTGGCCAACATGGCAAAACCCCATCTCTACTAAAAATACAAATATTAGCCAGGCGTGGTGGCATCCTGCCTCAGCCAGGCAGGAGGCTGAGGCAGGAGAATTGCTTGAACCCAGGAGGCAGAAGTTGCAGTGAGCTGAGATTGCGCCACCGTACTTCAGCCTGGGTGACAGAGCAAGACTCCGTCTCAAAATAAATAAATAAATAAATAAATAAATAAATAAATAAATTCATCAATCTCTTTTTTTACCCCTAATCAATTAAGGGCCAACTTGAGCAGCCACAGGTTGTGGGAAACTGCATGGATTAGAACTGTAAACCTACACTTGAGTGTCTGATTATAGAAATGAAAAAAAATGCAGTCCCATCTCCATCCCTCCCTGCTACATGGCTGTGCTCTGGAATTTCAGTTTACTCACCTGTGCATTAAAAATGCTTAGACTTCTAACTTCACAGGCTATTGTGTGGACTGAATGAGATCATCTGTGAGAAAGCACCTTTCACGCTGTTGGATGCCTATGGCTGTAAATTCTTTCTTTCCCTCACATACATCTGTTGATCTACTGACTCACCTGATGGCAGGAAGCCACAGCAGAACCTGCAACTGCTCTGCCTTCCCCTTCCCTCCTTCAGCTTCTTCTCCTGAGCCAGGTGTATGGGATTAGGTTCTCGATAAAGGACCCAGGCTTCCACAGACAGAATGGCCACACTATCAAGGTCAGAGGCAACAAGACGTGACACGGATTTCAGTCTGTTTGTGTGGGTTTAGCTCATGCTTGCAGAGTCCTACCTGCCCTCGGTCTCCTCTAATTTCCGTCTGTCTTTTATGCCTGACTACCTGCATCATGGACTTCAAGCTCCAGGCTCACACAGACACAGGGATAACAGCCTTACAGAGACCACTTAACCCACTTCTTGAGTTGCAAAAACCCAAATCCTTATATGTGTATATATATCTGCTAGCAGTTCTGCTCCCCTGGTTGGACCCTGACTGAGGCACCCGCATGCTCACCTCTGAACTCCTGCAGGCTCCCGGCCTTTCTCAGAAGAGCTGTGCCGAGCGTGGCTCCTCCCCTCCCAGCTTTTTCCAGGACCTCCCTATGCTTTCAGGCTTTTCCTCTTTTACCCCAACTTTGTCAAAGGCCATAAAACAAACTGCTTATATGTTTCATAGGTTAAGAGAAAAACCTCATCAGGTAGATTGGCATTATTTCAGGAGGTAATTTTTCAGTGTATTATCAAAATATTTTCCAAAATGAGCATATCTGCCTCCTTAGCCTACTCCACTTTTAAGATTTATTTGAAAGAAAGAAATCCTGAAGGTACACAAAACATTATCAGGTCAGCTTTTCTTATAATAGCAAAATATTGGGAAAAAACTAAATGTCCAACAACAGAGGACTAATAATTATATTTTAACCATATGTTAGATTATAATGCATCAGTTAGAAGTGGAAAAAGAACAAATAAATTGCAAAGAGCAAGCCTTTCACAGAACAGAAAACAGATATGGCCCATAAAATATGGAAAATTTTTAATTTCATTAGGACTTACAGAAATGCAAACAGGCTTGCAAGATAAACAATTTTATACCCATTAGTTTGGTAAAATTTAAAATTTGTGGACATTTAGCCACAAAATGTCCACTTCACAGCTTTAATTCAAAATAAATTTTAATAAATTTAAAATTTATATGCATTTCTATATCTATTAAAAATTATATAGATCAATGGATGGTAGAGTAAAAACTGGTACAACCACTTTGGAAAATTATTTAGTGTTATCTTGCAAAATTGAACATCCACATATACTCCAGCTCAGTAATCCCATTCCTATTTATCTCCAAAAATGTTTGTGCTTGGCATTGTACTTGGCATAGAGGAGACATATACAAGACCATTAGCAATGTTTGCAATAACAAAAAACTAGAAACAACTCAAACGGACATCAACAGGTAAATGCATAAATAAATAAATTGTGGTATATCCACACAATGCAACACGATATTGCAGAGAAAATGAACCACCACTACACACAATGTGAATCAATATTAGTAACATAATGTTGAGGAAGGAAAGGCAAGAAACAGATAACTACATATTGTTTACATAATTCTCAAAACAAGCAAAGGTGAGCAATATAGTTCTTAGACAAATATTAGTGCTAAAACCATATTTTTGCTTAAAAAGCAATAGGATGGCAAGCCTCTAGGTAGGCCTGGAGGTGAGAGGCAGTGGACTTGGATAGGGAAAATATACACTGGTAGATAGAAAATTTTGGAAATATTCTAGTCTTGGGTGGAGAAGTGGTTCACAGTATTTGTGATATTACTATATTTAATAACTAATATTGATGTTACATGTAATCTCATGTATATTATCAATTTTTTTTTATTACAAAAGGCATTCTGGAGTCAGATGGGTTCAACTTTGAGGGTGGCCAGAGGAGAACTGGTTGCAGTGCCCTACATTAAAGAGTTAACTCTGCTGGCAATATAAAAGACTGAAAGAAGAAGAACTATTTGGAACTATTTTCTGATTCTACAAAAAAAACATTTTTCTGTTTCTTCTAACCCTGTTTCTTCATATTTCAAAAGGTTTGCTTCTAAAAAAAAAAAAAAAGTCCTTGTAAGACAATTGATCCTGCTTAAGGTACTTCCTGCCACGTCTCCTATAAGGAATGCTTCTGAGCAACTGAATAGCATCATAGTATGGTGCTAATAAGCCCACGTTCTGGAGTCCAGCTGCCTGGCTCTGACACCTGCCCTATGCTTGCTAGCTGTGTGACCGAGGAAAGTTACTAGTCTCTCAGTTTCATTTTTCTCATCTTTAAAATGGGGATGAGAATAAGAGCCCTAGCAAATTTCATTAGTGTGAGAATTAAATGCTTTAATTATGTAGTAAAATGCTTGACACTGGATACTCAGTAAGGAAATTATCATTTCTAGCAATATGGTGCACAAGGTACCCAGAACATTTCTGCTTAAAAAAACAAAATCATGCCATATAAAATGTTTTTAATTTTTTAAAAAATGTATCCATAAAATGTCAAGAAAATAAAAACCCCTTGTGTCCTGATTTTGGTCTCTAGTGCCATTCCCTATGGAAATAAAAATAATAATTAATTTTTTTTTAAAAAAGCAAGGCTCATTGGAGAACTGATTCCAGAGGCAGGATGGTAAGAACACGAGGTGAATCTGGGGTATTTCTGTAACGCTCAAAAACAAGGAAATTTCCAAAGATGAATGGACTCATAACAAAGGGACACAGGAGTCAGTTGAAGGGGAACTTACTGACATAATTGTGGTAACATAAGCATCAAAAAGAAGAATGATCATAGTTAAATGGCATACACTGGATATATAAAAACCCAAAAGTCTACAATATGGAAAAAAGATAAAGCTGGAGTAGGGGAGACTCATTTGTCACCATCTAAAGAAGCTATTAAACCAAATTCTTGTTTTGAAAATTGGCAAAGGGAGGCCGGGCGCGGTGGCTCACGCCTGTAATCCTAGCACTTCGGGAGGCCGAGGCGGGCGGATCACGAGGTCAGGAGATTGAGACCGTCCTGGCTAATGTGGTGAAACCCCATCTCTCCTAATATTACAAAAAGTTAGCCGGGCGTGGTTGCAGGCGCCTGTAGTCCCAGCTACTCAGGAGGCTGAGGCAGGAGAATGGCCTGAACCTGGGAGGCGGAGCTTGCAGTGAGCCGAGATCGCGCCACTGCACTCTAGCCTGGGCAACAGAGTGACACCGCGTCTCAAAAAAAAAAAGAAAGAAAATTGGCAAAGGGAAAGATTTAAGCATTCATCTTATCTTTCTAATATGAAATATATTCAGGAGAGCCAGCCAGCCCTACTTTACAGAAGAATGCCAACTAAGAAGTGTAGAAGAATAACTGAATTAATTAAAACTCATTATTTCACAGCTCCTAATTGAAATTACTGATTCATTTTCTAACAAATAAATGGGCCGGGCACAGTGGCTTATGCCTATAATCCCAGCACTTTGGGAGGCCAAGGCAGGAGGATCACCTGAGGTCAGGAGTTCAAGACCAGCCTGGCCAACATGGTGAAACCCAGTCTCTACAAAAATACAAAAATTACCTGAGCATGATGGTGGGTTCCTGTAATCCCAGCTACTCAGGAGGCTGAGAGGGGAGAATCGCTTGAATCCAGGAGGCGGAGTTTGCAGTGAGCCAAGATGGCACCATTGCACTCCAGCCTGGACAACTGAGTAATACTCTGTCTCAAAAAACAAACAAATAAAAATAAATAAATAAATAAATAAATAAATTGATTGGCTGCTGATTAATGAAGTTTAAAAGTGTTAGGTGGATGGTAGATGGGGAACTGAACATGCAAATGATGCTATGGAAACAACACATATTTCTTCCTGGTCACGTGTGTGAATATCACTGCCCATCACAGGAACGAGGCTTCCTTTCCCCAGTCTCCTGAGGATATGTGCATGAAGGGCACACTTCTGACCTATGCTAGCCACAAAATGTCCACTTCACACCTTTGATTCAAAACAAATCCCAGACCCAAACCTAAATGGATAAAACTGCTAGAAGAAAACACTGGAGAACATCTTCATGACCTTGGGAAAGGCAAAAGACACAAACCATTTTTTAAAAATAGATTAAACTTCAGGAAAATCTAAAACTTATGGTTTTCAGGGGACATTGTTTAAAAAAGAGATAAATCACAGGGAGAAAATATTCACAATATATTTATCTGACAAAGGACTTGTATCCATAATATCTAAAGATTATTAAAACTCTGGCCAGGCGCAATGGCTCACACCTGTAATCCCAGCACTTTGGGAGGCCAAGGCAGGCAGATCACTTGAGGTCAGGAGTTTGAGACCAACGTGGTGAAACCCTGTCTCTACTAAAAATGCAAAAATTAGCCAGGCATGGTGGTGTGTGCCTGTATTCCCAGCTACTCGGGAGGCTGAGGCATGAGAATTGCTGGAACCCGGAGGCGGAGGATGCGTGAGCTGAGATTGCGCCACTGCACTCCAGCCTGGGTGACAGAGTGAGACTGTCTCAAAAAGAATTATTAAAACTCAGTAATAAGAAAAGAAAAACAATTTTTTAAAGGCAAAAGATTCTAACAGATCCTTCATAAGAGAAGATATTGCATATGAATGACCAATAAGGATATGAAAAAATTCTCAACATCATTGCAAATTGAAACCACAATGCCATCCACTGCATACCTACTAATGACCAAAACCAAACCCTGACAATATCAAGTATTAGAGAGAATGTAGAGTAAGCATACACTGCTGGTGAGAATGTAAAGTACAACTAATTTGGAAATCTTTTTGAAAATTTACCAGAGTTAAATATATATTAACCATATGACCCAGTAGCTCTACTCCTAGGTATTTACTCAGAAATTATTTGTTCACACAAAGATATGTACATGAGTATTCATAGCAGCTTTATTCATAAGAGCTAAAACCAAAGACTATCCAAATGTCTGTCAAAAGGTAAATGAATAGTGTATCTTTATAACAGATAACAATTCTCAGCAATAAAAAGAAACAAACTCCCAATACATACAACATGAATGAATCTCAAAGGATTATGCTGAGTGAAAGAGTGCTTTCTATATGACTCCATTCATATGAAATCTAGAAAAGGAAAATAAATCTGATATACAGAGACAGAAGACAGACTGCTGGATTCTTGGACCCAGATTGGCAGATGCTCACTGGAAAGAGAGCAAGAAAATCTTTGGGAAATGAAGGAAATGTTATATATATATATTTTTTTTTTTTTTTTTTTTTTTTTTTTTGAGACAGAGTTTCACTCTTGTCACCCAGGGTGGAGTGCAATGGCACGATCTTGGCTCACTGCAACCTTCACCTCCTGGGTTCAAGCAATTCTCCTGCCTCAGCCTCCCTAGTAGCTGGGATTACAGACATGTGCCACCATGCCTGGCTAATTTTTGTATTTTTAATAGAGTCGTGGTTTTACCACATTGACCAGGCTGTCCTCAAACTCCTGACCTCAGGTGATCAGTCTGCCTCAGCTTCCCAAAGTGCTGGATTATAGGCGTAAGTCACTGCGCCCGGTCTGGAAATGTTTTATATCTTGATTGTGATGTTGGTTGCAAATATTTTTTTTTTCAAAACTCAGCATTAACCTCAGAATACACCTCAACGCCTCCATCTCCCTCACCATTGCCATATCCAAATGATTGTCAACTTCTGACAATTCTGCTACTGAGCATGAGTTAAATTGGGGTGGTCCTCTCTAGTCCCACTTCTGCTTTTGTGAAAGTTGTCAGGATCAAAATGGAGTCACTGTGTCAAACTCTAACAACAACAACAAAAAAAACACATGGAAGGCGGAGTGGCTCACGTCTGTAATCCCAGCACTTTCCAATACAAGAGGATCACTTGAAGCCTCGAGACCAGTGTGGGCAACGTAGCGAGACCCCATCTTTACAAAAAATAAAAAATTACACATGGTGGTGCACACCTGCAGTCCCAGCTACTTGGGAGGCTGATGGAAGTATCACTTGAGCCCAGGAGGTTGAGGCTACAGTGAGGTGTAATTGCACCACTGCACTCCAGCCTGAGTGACAGAGCAAGACTCTGTCTCAAAAAATAAATACGTACATACATACATATACACATACAGTAAATAAAGCCGGGAAGTTAAGAAGGGAGGGCTGTCATGCACACATACCTATGATAAGACTTATTACAAAGACTCTCTGAAGGGCTTTATGCACATATGCCTGTAACCAAAACTTTTGCCAAGGACTTTCCAAACTGCAGCTTGCTACATGAGTCACAAGGACGGCTAGCCGGATGCACAAGAACACTTGCCTGACACACTGTCTCCACTAATGAACTACTGTCAACTCCTAGGATGAGCCCCTGTAGCCACTGTTCTCTTTGTTTCAAAACAATTTACTTGTACTTCTCTCTTTTGCCTTAAAAGCTTACCCCTGCCTGAACCTCTTTAGCTGCATTTGCAAATCCCCTGCGCACTCCCAAATAAATCTTTGGATAAATATTTGGATATATCTTTGGAGAATCTCCCTCTGTTTAGACTGACACCTTCATCCTCGCTTAACTAGCTGCTGGTCCACCTGCCTCCAGTCTCTTGCCTTGGGTCCACCCTGCCTCCAGGGAAATCTTTAAAAACACAAATCTGCTCCTATTTCTTCCCTGCTGCAGTCTGTCAATGTCTCATCAAAGCTGACAGGTTAAAGCACAAATCCTCAATATAAGTCTTTAAAAGCCTAGACTCTACCTATTTTTTCAGCTTTATTTTATACTTCTTTTCTCCACACCCATCCCCCACAAAATACATATGCATACCTGCTTCCCTCACACCCACGTTATCCTACCACCGTACTGAATTCCTTGATAATCCCCAAAGACACCTTTATCCGTCATGTCTCCACATCTTTGCACATGTGAGTCCTCTGCTTGGGGCGCCAGCTATGATTTGAGTGTTTGTGTCCCTCCAAAATTCATGTTGAAACTTAATCTTCAGTGAAAACTATTAATATGTGGGGTCTTCAGGAGGTGAGTAGGTCATGAGGACTCCATCCTTATGAATGGGATTAGTGTCCTTATAAAAAGACTGGAGGGATTCTGCTGGTCTCTTCTACCACTACCCCTTCTGCCATATGAGGACACAGCAAGAGGTGCCATCTATGAAACCGAGAGTGAGTCCTCACCAGAAACTGAATCTGCTGGTGCATTGGTCTTGGACTTCCCAGCCTCCAGAACTATGAGAAATAAATGTCTATTATTTATAAATTATCCAGTCTAAGCTATTGTGTTATAGCAACCCAGACTAAGATGGTACCCTTCCCTCACATACAAGGTTGCCAGATTTAGCAAATAAAGACATAGAATGTCCAGATAGTTTTGAATTGTCCTGCATGTCCAAAGTATGCCATGTATAACTTGTTAACAATTTCACCTTTGTACTCACCAATATAATTCAGGGGCTTGCATTCAACTCCAAGAGCATTCCTCCATTCCCAGAGTATGGCAGAATGTTCCCTCTTAATTTAAATGCCTCAGAAATGTGTTTCTGTCTCAGTTGTGAAGATTGTCTTAATAGCTACTGTAATTCAATGCTAACTGGGTTAAGTGATTTATATACACTCTGTCTTTATCATCTCAGTTGTCCTAATGGATAAGTAATGTTAGTAATTTTCATTTATAGATGAGGAAACCAAGGCATGGAGAAGTTACAGAGCCAGGTCAAGTTTATATCATAAGTGGGGGAGCACCAGAATTTGAACTCAAATAACCTCACTACAAAGCCCACAGGATAAGTCTTTGTACTTCAACAACTACTCATGTTTGCATAATACTTTACAACTTGTGAAACTCTTTTATTTCTTTTCCTCATGTGATGTCTTAGAATAAGGTATAAGAATAATACAACCAAAATTCATGTACACACCTACAAGAAATACAATGCAAATATAGCTGAAGCCTGTTGATGAAAAGAACCAAACTCTATAAAATATTTAAAGAGGTTTATTCTGAGTCAGTATGAGTGACCGCAACCTGGGAAACAGTCTCAAAAGGTCCTGAGAATGTCTGCCTGCAGTAATCAGGTTATAGCTTGGTTTCATACATTTTCAGGAGACAGAATTTACAGGCAAAGATATAAATCATTACATTGGTTTGGCCCAGAAAGTTGAGACATCTAGAAGTGGGATCTTACAGATCATGGGTGGATTCAAGGATTTTCTGATGAGCAACTGGTTAAGAGTTAAGCTTTGTCTAAAGAGTTGAAGTCATGGCTGGGCATCACAGTTGGAAATTCAGTTTTTCAGGTTTCGCTTGGACCACAGGGGGTCCATTCAGTCAGTTGGGGGCTTAGAATTTTGTTTTTGGTTTACACCCCCAGTAACATTTTCTTCACCAAACCTCTACCCCTAATGAGTTCTTATCCTTCACACTAATGTACAGCTTATGTAGAGTGTACAATGTACAATATTACTTCATATTTTAAACATATTATTAGTGTTATTACACTGTGTGTCTTCTTCTGTGATTTACATTTTTCTCACTTTTTGCATTTTTGAGACTTAACCATGTTGATACATTATATCAGTCCATTTGTATTGCTATAAAGGAATATCAGAGGCTGGGTAATTTATAGAGAAAAGAGGTTTATTGGGCTCCCAGTTCTGCAGGCTGTATAGGAAGCCTGGCACCACCATCTGCTTCTGGTGAAGGCTTCAGGGAGCTTCCAATACTGGTAGAAGGAAAAGGGGAGCTCACATGTGACATGGCCAGAGAGGGAGCAAAAGTAGGGAGGGGGTGCCATGCGCTTTTAAAATACCAGCTCTCTGAATCTTAAAGTTGGCTGGTGAAAAAATAAATAAACAATTTTTAAAAATAAACAATCAGCTCTCTTGTGATCTAATAGAGTGAATACTTTCTTAAGGATGAGGATGACACCAAGCCATTTATGAGGAATCCGCCTCCCATGACTAGAACACCTCCCACTAGGCCCTACTTCCAACACTGGGGATCACATTTTAACATGAGATTTGGAGGGGACAAATATCCAATCTATATTACATATATAGGTTTATTTATTCATTTTCACTGCTGTATAATTTTTCATTGAATGACTATATCATAATTTAGTCATTCATTCTCTTGTTAATGGACATTGTCATCATTATCAGCTTTTTGTTTCTTGTTTTGGTTTTTGTTTTATATTGGTTTTTTGGTTGTTTGGTTTTTGTTTGTTTCTTTGCCTTTTCTTGGCTAGAAACAAAGGCTACTATAAATTATTTTAATGGCTTCTTATGCACCTGTGCAAGAATCTCTCTTAGTAAATACTTATTTTCCCTAAGCTGTAATGTATGGATTATTATGTTAGCAGTACCAACCAACAGAGTATGACAGGGGAAAAAAAGTCACAAGGATTGGAGAGGATGAAACTAAACTGCCAATATTTACAGTCAATCTAATTGACTGTATAAACAATCCAAAATTTGACAAGACAAAAATTTAATAAGAGCACAGCAAAAGTGGCTGGTCATAAACTTAATGTTCAAGTATTTGTTACGTTCTTACACTATAGCAAAAAAGGTGGGAAAATATAAATTTTAAGAATAGGAACAAATTTTACAAAAGATGTACAGGATCTTTATGAAGAAAATCATAAAAATTTATAAAGTGCATCATAGATCTAAATAAATAGATATATTATAATCATGTATAGAAAAACTTAATATTGTAAGGGTATTAGTTTCCTTCTAGGTGAACAGATGTAAATTTATTGCAATTCCAACCACAATCTCAGCAGGACTGCCACAGACTAGGAGAAAATATTTGTAATTCAAATATCCAACAAAAATGATTGTCCAGAATATATAAAAAATACCACAGGACAAATTTTTTTTAAACACAAAGGGATCATCAATATATAGGTGATTGTTTTTAAAATGTCAACAAATTCTGTCTATATTCCCTTCAAAAAGCAGAGCTAATTCTCCTCTCCTTGAGTATGATCTGGATTTAGTAACAATTTGAACAAGTAGAATAAGATGGAAATAGGATAATATGTGTGACTTCTAATAAGTCATATAAGGGATCATGGCTTCCTCCTTGCTCACTCTTGAATTACTTACACTGGAGTAAGCTAACCACTATGTCATGAGGACACTCAAGCAGCCCTATGGGTTGGTCCATGTTACAAGGAGCTGAGACCTTCAACCAATAGCCATATGAGTCAGCCATCTTGGAAGCAGATTCCATGCCCCAGTCAAGCCTTCAGATGACCCAGCTGACATCTTGACTTTATTTTTATGAGAGATCTTGATACAGAATGACACAGCTGAGACACTCCAAGATTTCTGATACTCAGAAGTTATAAGTTAAATTTTTGCTGCATTGAGCTGCTAAGCTTAGTGGTAATGTATTATGCTGTTATAGATAACTAATGCAGGAAGTTGTACATTAATAGCATAATGACTAAGAGCACAAGATCTGAGCCAGACTGTCCAAATTCAAATTCTAGCTTCAACACTGACTAACCATATGACTATGGCCAGTGACTAGTCATGCGACTAACTCATTTTACTCATCTGTAAACTAAGGATATTAGCAACATACCACATAGGACCACTGTGAGGATTGAATTGATACAGATTGAGTTGATACAACTAAAGATACTAAAAGACATGGAATCAACCCAAACGCCCATCAACAACAGACTGGATAAAGAAAATGTGGTACATATACACCATGGAATACTATGCAGCCATAAAAAGGAATGAGATCATGTCCTTTGCAGGGACATGGATGAAGCTGGAAGCCATTATCCTCAGCAAACTAATGCAGGAACAAAAAACCAAAGACCGCATGTTCTCACTTATAAGTGGGAGCTGAACATTGAGAACACGTGGACACAGGGAGGGGAACAACATACACTGGGGCCTGTCCGGGGTTGGGGTGCGGGGAGGGAGAGCATTAGGAAAAATAGCTAATGCATGCTGGGCTTAATACGTAGGTGAATGGGTTCATAAGTGCAGCAAACCACCATGGCACACATTTACCTGTGTAATAAACCTGCACATCCTGCACATGTACCCCAGAACTAAAAATAAAAATTAGCAGGAAAAAAAAGATACTAAAAGAGTACCTGGCCACCAGTACATCTGAGAGATGTCACCTGCTGTTACTAATTTACAAAAGAGTAAATCTGAATGTCAAATAGGATGTTCAGCCTTGCTATAAATCAGGGAAACAAATTAAAAGCAAAATGAGATACCATTTGTTACCCATAAAATTGGCAAAAAGTATCAGTTCTTAGCTTGAGTAGTGGTTACATGGGCATGCTCATTTTGCAATAATTTACCAAAAAGTACATGTCTGATTGGAGCGCTTTTTTTGTGTGTGCACTGTACTTCAATCCAAAAGTTTAAAGAATAAATAACAAAGTACATATAGGAAAATCCTCTCCCTCCCTCTACCCTTCCCCTAGGAATTGCTCTGTCAATATTAAATGTTAGCAAAGATGTAGAACATGAGAGCTTTTGTGGTTTGCTGGTGTGGTATAAATTGGGGCAACCATTTTGGAGAGCAATTTGACAATATAAGAAAAGTTGAAAATGCACAACTAAGGTTTTACCTGAATACCTGAATAACAAAACACAGACTTGTGCTGCCCATTATTCTATAACCTCTTTTTTTGAAAAAAATTCCACTTAGCACTTTTTGTGGTGAGACATTAAAAATTTACTCTCTTAGCAACTTTGAAATATACATTATAATTAACCACAGTCACCCTGCTGTGCAACAGATCTCACACACTTATTCCTGCTGTCTAACTGAAACTTTGTACCCTTTAACCATCTCCTTATTTCTTCCTCCATCCCCCGAAAATTCATTTCTGTTAAGAAACATGTTTCTCTCAGTTCTAGAGACTGAGAAGTCAAAGATCAAAGTGAACATCTGGTGTCTGGTGACAGCCCTCTTTCTGCAAAGCAGACAGTCATCTTGTTTTGTTCCAGTGTGCTGGGGAGCAGAGAGAGAGGAAACAAGCTCTACAAGTCTCTTCTTATAACGGCATTAATCCCATTCATATGAGGGCTCTGCCTTCAAGACCTAATTACCTCCCAAAGGCCCCACCTCCTAAAACCATCACATTGGAGGTTATGGTTTCAACATTTTAAAATGGGAAGGGACACAAACATTCAGTCTATAACAGCGATCAGGTGGCACAGGAGCCTAGAGAAGGGAGCAGGCCAGATCCTCAAAGGGCTTGATTTGGCATGCCAAGGAATTTGGCCTTCATCCTATAAGCAGTAGAAAAATTACATAGCATTATACCTGTGAACACAAACAGAGGTTCCATTCTCCAGGACACGAAGGTATAGAAATGCTCAACATTTTGTCATTGTTGAATAGGGATGGTATTTTTGATAGCAAATAACAAAGCTCAGAACCTGCTACGGCAAAACCGGAAAACTGGATTACCAGAAAGAGGTTTGGAAGGACCACGTGGGCCTGGAATTACCCCAAGTGTTAAATAAATAGATCAGTTTACTTCTCCTGAGGAAACATAATCTCCTAGGATACAGGAGAAAACTTGAGGGCAAGGAGTGACCAGACTACCCCTCAGCTTACTACCTGAAATGAATTTGGTTGTGAGTTCCAACATCCACCCTCTAGATTTGCACAGCAAAGAGAGGGCTATGCCTGTGCAGTACGCAAGGGTCAAGGAGGGACTCAGGTTTATTCATTTACTCCATCAGTCTTTCGACATATATTTATCGAACACCTATTATGTGCAAGAAGCTGAGACTCAAAAGTGGAGAGAAAAAACACCTCAGATTTGTTTCCTCCTCTCTAGGAGTTCACTGTCTAGGTGTTCAACAAGGAAAAATGATTTAAGAGTGAAAAGTATTGTGATATAATTACCCCGACTGAAAGTCAGGGTTCCGATAGGTAGTGAATTTTAAGCCAAGACCTGAAGGCTAAGAATGGCCTATTGCCTATCCCATTAGATTTTTTTAACTTTGCTAATTGATTTATAAAATTTTAAGAAAACATTTTCTGGATATCAATTGTTTGTTATAACTGAAAACACCTCTCAGACAGACACTTAACTTTTATCTTTGTTAATGGTATTTTTTTCTTTTGACAATAAGAGTTGGAAGTTTTTCGTTGTCGTCGTCGTCGTCGTCGTCGTTGTTGTTGTTTGAAACAAGGTCTGGCTCTCCCTCCCAGGGTAGAGTGCAGTGGCATGATCCTGGCTCACTGCAACCTCTGCCTCCTGGGCTCACCTCAGCCCCCTGGGCTCTCACCTCAGCCCCCTGAGTAGCTGGGACCACTCGTGCACACCACCACGCACAGCTAATTTTTGTATTTTTAGTAGAGACAAGGTTTCACCACGTTGCCCAGGCTGGTCTCAAATTCCTGAGCTCAAGTGCTACCACCTACCTCAGCCTCCCAAAGTGCTGGGATTACAGGCCTGAGCCACTGCGCCCAAGCAAAGTTTGAAGTTTTGGATGTAACAAAATTTATCTCTTTTTTTATTTCATACTTTTGTTGTTTGTGTCTTGTTTGCCTAATATTTTGCCCTGAGATCATAAAGCTGTTCTCCTAATAGTTTTAAGTAGATTTTCTTATAATAGTTTTGAAGTTTTGCTTTTCACATTTAGACCTGTAATCCATTTGAAATTTAACTTTTTTGGAAATTTAACTACTCAAAAATGTGAATTAGACATTTCATTTTATTTTTTTTCCATAAGGAAGGTGAATTTTGGCAATGCCATTTATTGAATTTACCCTTTTCCAACGGGTATATGGAAAGTCCCTATAAATATAATCTGTTCCCAGATCTAATTATCTATTCTGTGTCAGTAGTACAGTTTTATTTATACAACTTTTTAAAAATGTCTTTATATCTGATAGAGAAATCCCCACCTCCTGCTTCTTTTTTAGAATGTCTTGGCTAGAAGTTCTTAGAATCTGTTTGTTAAGTTCCACACAATAATGTTGGGATTTTTATTAGAACTGCATTAAATTCATAATTTAATTTATGGAGAATTCACATCTTTCTATCAAGCATTTGCTTCCATAAATATGTTAGATTTCTTCATTTCTTCAGCTGTTCTTTCGTGTCCTTTGTGATAGTTAATTTTATGTACCAATTTGCCTGGGCCACAGTATGCTCAGATATCTGATTAAACACTATTGCTGGGTGTGTCTATGAGGGTGTTTCCAGAAGAGGTTAGTACTCGAATTGGTGGACTGAGTAAAGATGATGGCCTTCCCCAATGTGGGTGGACATCATTCAATCCGTGGAAGGCCTAAATAGAACAAGAAGGTGGAGGAAGTTTGGATTATCCTCTCTCTGCTTGACTGCTTGAGCTGAAACATCAATTCCTGCCCTTGGCACTCCTGGTTCTCAGGCCTTGAACTACGTCACTGGCTTTTCCTAGGTCTCCAGCTTGCAGACAGCAAACTGTGGGACTTCTCATTCCGTATAATTGCATGAGCCAATATCTTATAATAAATCTCTTTCAGCCGGGCACAGTAGCTCATGCCTGTAATCCCAGGACTTTGGGAAGCTGAGGCGGGTGGATCTCCTGAGGTCAGGAGTTCAAGACCAGCCTGGCCAACATGATGAAACCCCATCTCTACTTAAAATACAAGAATTAGCCCAGCGTCATGGCACATGCCTTTAATCCCAGCTACTCTGGAGGCTGAGGCAGGAGAATCGCTAGAAACCAGGAGGTGGAGGTTGCAGTGAGCCGAGATTGCGCCACTGCCTTCCAGCTTGGGTGACAAAGCAAGACTCCATCCAAAAAAAAAAAAAAAGAAAAACTTTCTAGATAGATAGATAGGTGTAGATATGTAAGTATCCTTTTGCTTCTGTTTCTCTGGAGAACCCTGACTAATACATTCTCTAGTAAACTTAAATTTTTCTCCATAAAGGTTTTGCAGTGGATGATATTTTCAAAAGCTAAAGTTCATGAGTAGCAGAAAGTTTAGGTTTAAGGTAGAAATTAAAGTTATAATCCAGAAGTTTCCTCTGGATCAGCTTAATATAATTAAAACTATCATGAAGAAAATAAAATGGAAATGCATTTTAATAGACCACTCTGGAAGATAATGGGAATGTGTTCAGCATAATCTGTGTTGTAATATTTTAGTTTTTTTTTTTCACCCTTACAAGAAATCAAAAGAAAGTCTGTCCTAGTGTTTCTTGGAGCATCTATCTAATATGCTAGAGTCATAGGAGTCTCCCAGGCATATTTGTTCAAGCCTAGACCTGGAGAAGTATCCTCTTCAAACAGGACTACTAGCTGCCCTTAGGCTCACGAAGTATTGAAGGCCTAAGAAGGTAATCACGGCAGGCTGGATCCCAGAAAGTGAATGCATGCTTTCACCTCTAGCTGGAACCCTTTTCTACTCCACAGATGTTCACTGCCCTTTTCTATCCCTTCTATTCCGCATTTTTATACTGAAGCATAACTTATGCTAACACCTCATCCCCTGGATTACTTTAACAGAGAATAAAACGTAAGGTAAGGAAATTAAGCTGTTAGAGTAAAATTGCAGGTGTGAGCCTGGCTACCAAGTCGCCATTTTAGTGAGTTCAGACCACTCAAATTAAAACTGATACATATCAATGACCTAAAGGAAGCCTTAGCAGGATGAGAGAAACCTAAGTGGGAGTGTGAAGATATGCCCCAACAATCATGATTTCTGTGTGGCAGGGGACAGTGAAATTGGGCCTATTCCAGAGTTCCTCAGAAATGTGAGTCACCTACATGAGACATGGCTGTGTTTGAAGAGCCTCTGAGAGCTGTCTTAGAATAAGGGAGTCAGCATATTCTTTTTCTAAAAGTGAGAAAAGAATCAAATTTAAATGACCTTCCAGTTACCTTCTGAGGATGATCCAATACAAGTTAAGGTAACATTTATAAGAACATCATGATATTTTCTAAACTTTGTAATCCCTGTATGTTTGCCATTTGTGTTACGGTATCATAATCCCCAGAGTAATCAACAGTAAAATCCCCAAAGTTTTCAAAGCCTGCAGGCTTCTTTTGAGGCCATCAAAGGTAGGAGCACTTCCCAACATAGCCTTAGAAAATGGGAACTGATGAGGAGATACGCATGTTCAATTCCTTAGTGTTGCAAGGGGAAAGGTGCGCTACGTGAAATCACTGTCTGTGTGGAGAGTGTGATTTAATCTTCAAGAAGCTGAAACTACATCATGTGTTTTCCAAGACAGCTTTTCTGCATGCAAACTCTCTCCTTTTGATCCCTGCCATTTTTGTTAGCTAGGAGTCTGTGCTTGGGGCAAATGGAAGTGATGATGATGCTACCATATAAAGCTAATGCTTATATAATAACTTAGTTGTCTGTCGCTGCCATAACAAGTTACCACAAAACTAGCAGCTTAAAACAACACAGACTTATTACCCTGAAGTTCTGTGGGGTCAGAAATCCAGTGAGCTCAACTAGTTCCACGCTCAGGGTCTTACAAGACAAAATCAAGTTGTCCACCTGCCTGGACTCTTCTCTGGAAGGCTTAGGGGGAAAATCCACTTTCAAACTTATTCAGGCCCCTGTTTCCTCACTGACTGCCAGCCAGTGTTACCTTTAGCTCCTAGGGGACTCTCTCCAGTTCTCCTCCTCACACACAACAAGCAAGACTTTTGTCACCGTTAAAAGTCTGAATATTAAACAGGTTCTTGAACTGGTGGCTCATATCTATCTGCTCGTTCAACCTTCCCACCTGTCTCATCCCCAGTAGCTTTTCCAGAACTGCTCCCTTCACCGTGAAGCTCCCTGAGTTTTCTCGATTCAAACTTGGGCTTTTTTAGCATGTTTACTTTTCTAATGAAGACCTCATGGACAGGGTAACTAGACTGGCAAGGCTTTCTATGTCTTTCTAGTGCTGTCTAAAATCAATTTATTGATTGTCTCTTTTAAGACATCTGTCTGCACCTCTGGGATCATGATTTCCATCATCTTCTTCCGGATTTGTCAGACCTGTTGGTGCTGAGCATAAGCAAAATGCAAACCGATTGCTGGCTGAACACAAAACAAATGAAGCAAATAACCACAGGTAGCCTGAACATCAACATGAGCTTCAGTCATGAACTACCATGGAACACATTTTGTCATGGATAAGATTCATGCCATGAAAGCTGGGCAGGTGGTTTTTGTCCTGAACATTCTCAGTAATTAGTTTGAATTTTCTAAATGCAGCTTCATCATTCTCCAGCTCAGCAAGGCTTACCTCAATATCACAACCCTTGAGGCCAACAGATGCAGTTTTTGTTCCTTGTATCCCTGGGACTAGTGTTCTACCAATATTTCTTACATTGAACATAGCTGGTACTTTCACATTGTACCAGTCTTCTTAGAAAATGTTATCAACCACTTCCTTCTTGGCTTCCTTTTTGCTGCTTTTTGTAAAGCACTTATTCTTGCCAACCACCATCATGCTGCTCAGAGAGCCAAAAGGGGCCAGTCCTTGCAGATGGCCACATGGCCTCCTACATCTTAGGGCCGGCAGTGCTGACGCAAATGCTTCTCATGCCTGGAATCTGACTTCTCTTTCTGCTCCATCACTTTTGCTGCCAGCCAGCAAAAGTCTTCTGCTCTTAAGGGATCATGTGATTAGATTGTGCCACCTGGATGATCTAGGGTAATCTTCCCTGTCTTAAGACCTATGACCTTGATTATAACTGCAAAGTCCCTTTTGCTGTGTAGCATAACATATTCACAGACTCTAGGCTTAGGATGTGGGTATCTTTGAGGGACCATTCTGTCTACTATGCATAGTGTGTCTCGTGTTTGTGTCACATAATGTCCTGGGTGCTCTACATACAGCAATTGATTTAAACTTCACAAAAACCTTATGACTGGCACTTTGAATATCATAACAATCTTACAGATAGGGACCAAGGAAAAAAGCTTAAATAACTTGCCCAAGGTCATGAAATTTTTAACTAGCACTAGTGAGCTTCAAATGCAGAGGGACAGAGGGAGACCCGGTCTCAAAAAATAAATAAATAAATAAATAATTAGCATACAGGCTTTTCCATCTATGTATAAAAAGGACATAAAAATTCAGCCAGCCATAGTATCTGTGCCCTTAAGAATGATACATGATGGCCGAGTATGGTGGCTCACACTTGTAATCCCAGCACTTTGGGAGGCTAAGGCGAGAAGATTGCTTGAGCCCAGGAGTTTGAGACCAACCTGGGAAACATGGCAAAACTCTATCTCTAGACAAAGTAGAAAAATTAGCCAGGCATGGTGGTGCTGGCCTGTAGTGCCAGCTACTCAGGAGTCTGAGGTGGGAGGATCACCTGAGCCTGGGAAGGTCAAGGCTGCAGTAGGTCATGATCAGGCCACTGCACTCCAGCCTAGGCAACAGAATGAGACCCTGCATCAAAAATTTTTTATAAATAGAGTGGTGCATGATTTTTTTATAGTCCCAGGTTTAGAGACCAGCCTGGGCAATATAGAAAACAATTTTTAAAAAAATTAACTGGGCATGGCGGCACATGCCTGTGGTCCTAGCTACTCAGGAGGCTGAGGTAGGAGGATTACTTGAGCCCAGGAGGTTGAGGCTGTGGTGAGCCATGATCACGTCATTGCACTCCAGCCTAGGTGACAGAGTGAAACCCCATCTCAAATAAAAAGAAAGAAAGAAAGAAAGAAAGAAAGAAAGAAAGAAAGAAAGAAAGAAAGAAAGAAGGAAAAGGAAACAAGAAAGAAAGAAAGAAAGGAGGGAGGGGGGAGGGAGGGAAGAAAGGAAGGAAGGAAGGAAGGAAGGAAGGAAGGAAGGAAGGAAAAGAAAGAAAAGAAAAAAAAAGAAAAGAAAAGAAAATGAGGAACCTCGGTTCCAGGTGACATCACTGAGTCACTGAATTAGACCAACCCTGAAGCCTGCCCTACCACTTGCATAAGATAATAAGCCTCCTTAGTCCATTCTCTGCTACTATAACTGAGCACTACTGACTGGGTAATTTATTTAAAAAGAAGTTGGCCAAGCACGGTTGCTCATGCCTGTAATCTCAGTACTTTGGAAGGCTTAAGGTGGGAGGACTGCTTGAGCCCAGGAGTTTGAGACTAACCTGACCAATGTGGTGAGACCCCATTTCTACAAAAAATCTTGTAAATAGTTGGGCATGGTGACACACACCTGTGGCCCAGCTACTCAGGAGCCTGAGATGGGAGAATCACTTGAGCCCAGAATGTTGAGGCTGCAGAGAGCCCTGTTCACAGCACTGTACTCTAGCCTGGATGACAGAACAAGACCCTGTCTAAATAAATAAATAAATAAGAAGTTTATTTAGCTAACAATTCTGGAGAGTCCAAAGTCACAATTCTGAAGTCCAAAAGCACAGCACCAGCATCTGGTGAGGGCCTTCTTGCTGCATTATAAAATGGCGGAAGACATCACATGGCAAGAGGGAAAGTCCATGCAAGTCAAATCAGATTTCTCTTCCTCTTATAAAGCCACCAGTCTCACCATGGGGGTCTTACCCTGACATCCTTATTTAATTCTATACTCCTCCCAAAAGGCTTACCTCCAATCAAACTATGAATTCTGAGATTAAGTTTCCAACACATGAAATTTGGCAGACACATTCAAATCATAGCATTACTTAAATCCATTTGAGTTGGAGTTTGTGTTACTTACAACTGAACACATCCTAATACAGAAAGGAAAGGGTATTCATTCTAGGTAAGAAGAGCAATGAGAGTAAAGATAGAGAGTAATGAAATAGCATGACCCCTAGAGGAGCTGTGGATGATTCAGTATCTGAAGCACAGACAAGGAGGAAGGCACTGCAAGGAATGAGGCTGAAGTTGCAGGCAGAAGTCAGTATATGGAGCTAAACATGCTAGATCACACTGATTTTATTCTACAGGGAGTAGGGGAAGATGGGAATTTAGAAGGCAGGGCTTCAATGCAATGACTTGCTTCAATTTTTATTTTAGACAGGTCACTAAAGGATTAGAAATGGGTGAGAAGTGACTGAGATATGGGTTAGATCAGCAAAGAAATTGTGAAAATCTAAAAGACATTGAGAGTAGGAATTAAAAAAAGGGGACAAATATAAGAGACAGAGATTTCAGGAGGCTAAATCCACATGGCGAAGTCATGTATCAAAAGTAAGGAGTGGAGTAGAGGAGGAGTCAGGGCTCATGCCCACCTTCCTAGCTTGGGTTCCTGGCAGTCTGTGGCACCACTTGCTGAAATAGGGACTACAGATGGAGTTCCATTTTTGACATGTGGAGTTTCAGGGGCCGTGGGATGTGCAAGGGTTGCTTGGCAGGTACAATAATGTCCCACATGGTGCTGTTAAACTTTTAAAATCAATTGCCAACATTTTCTGATTAAATTTTCACATAAAAATCTAATTTACCCCTTCTTTTCAAAAATCAGAAGATCTGACAGCATTGGTTCAATATTCCCACATGGTAAATGTAAACTCTGCGTGTGTTCTTCTATTCACCACAATCATACCCCTCCTTACTATCCAGCTAGTATCCATCCTACTCTATCTGGTCCCCTTAGATCTGAATTTGTAGTCCTTCTAATGTATGCAATTGATGTGCTGGAATTAAGCATCATCCCCTGAATCAAGTTCCCATCACTCACATATACCTTACTTCCTAGGTGCATTTCTAGAAGCATGTGGAGCTCCTGCCACCAGCTTACCAACACCAAAATCTCTGGTCACCATGCCACCAACAGGCCCCAGTTCCCTTCTTCTATAGTTGGGCTTGCTGCTACAACTCTGTCCCAAAAGGAGTCTCCAGTTTCCAGGTCTCATGCCTACAATATCTGAGCCTTAATCTAGTATTTTTCTCTTCCTTTGTCTATTTTTCCTCTTCCTACTTCCAATAAAAGAAAAGTAGGTCTATATTAGATGAGGAAAAGAAGAGTCAGAAACAGACCAGCCTAGACAAGGCCAACGGGCTAAACTGGGGGAAGCTAAAGGTTACAGCCCTTCTTCCAAGTATCTGTGTGCACACAGGGTTGCCTGGCACCCTAACTGAAACTGTGACGGAGGAAGTTATGTCACACTTCTACTT